>NC_000006.12:57162520-57808204 GCF_000001405.40 Homo sapiens
AGGTCTAGCTCAACGCTTAGCAGCCACATAATGATGAATTAAACAAATGAAAGAACTTTTGTGCGTTTTGAACAAAAACTGCCAATTAAGTTGTTTATCAAGGCCACTAAAAGATAAACAGTACTGAACATCTAAAGAGTTCAGATTTTGCAACTTGTATTTGACACCTCGTGACTCATCCCATGGAAAATGCCAGGCAAAATTATAACTTTTAAATAATTATAAGCTATCACAGTTTTGTGGGCTCCTAGCTAACCTAGGAAATCTGAGATTTGTGTAACTGGATATGTACCACATATTATCTATGTAATGCATTTTATGGTTTGGAGGTGGAGATGTTACATTTTTGTGATTATTTGGTTTGGAAAAATAATTATTTTTATAGGATTCAAGAGAAGACACTTTAAACCTATAACTAGTTGTCATAGTTAAAATAGAGGTGGGGATAAAATCCTTTAATTCCAAGAAAAACCAAAGGAATGTGTTTGTGTTTTGTATCCTGATGCTTTATATAAAATAAATGTGAGAAGCATATGGTGGTTCACTTAAGTTAAGGAATATGGGCTCCTTTGCACTTTTCTCTAACACCCTTCTTCTTTTCCCCTCCTCATCACCCCAAAAGAGCTAACTCGAATTTTATCTCTTAGGTTGAACCATATAGAATTGCCATTTTTGTAGGCACTGTTGTATGGTCAGTGCCTTTCCTAGATTGTCCATCTTTAGACACAGCCAACCACTCTCTATTCTGGGCTCCCTCTGTACCAGGCCAAGTGGATTTAAAATACTTCTGTCTATAACTTTCATCTCTGCTGACTGTAAGCTCCTTAGGGAGTAGGATCATGTTTTATTTATCTTTACTTCAGCAGCACCTAGCACAGTGTTTGGCACAAAATGGTTGCTTGTTAAATGAATAAACTTTTTTTTTTTTTTTTTTTTTTTTTTTTTTTTGAGACGGAGTCTCGCTCTGTCGCCCAGGCTGGAGTGCAGTGGCGCGATCTCAGCTCACTGCAAGCTCCGCCTCCCGGGTTCACGCCATTCTCCTGCCTCAGCCTCCCGAGTAGCTGGGACTACAGGCGCCCGCCACCACGCCCGGCTAATTTTTTGTATTTTTAGTAGAGACGGGGTTTCACCGTGTTAGCCAGGATGGTCTCGATCTCCTGACCTCGTGATCCGCCTGCCTCGGCCTCCCAAAGTGCTGGGATTACAGGCGTGAGCCACCGCGCCCGGCCTAAATGAATAAACTTTTAACAAACTTAAAACATGTTAGAGCCACCAGGACCCATTTCCCTATAACTGGATAAGGGAAATTAAGATAGAGGCTATTTTGTTATAGAATATTGGGTTATTTTGTTGACCCTGAACCACAGAAGCAAAATAATGTTCTAGTCTAGACCTGATAACAAAACTCAAAAAAAATTTTAAGCAACCTCTTAAGTGTCTTTTTATTCCTTCCTTTCCCAGTACAACTCTGTAAATGCCTGAGAAATAGTGGCAGAAGACAGGATAAATCTGCTTATGGCTTTTTGCCTTAGGGTAATTCCCTCCTTCCATGATTTGTGTTATTCTTTGTTGTTCCTCATAGACCAATATCAAACTCTGACCACGCAGGCCAGTCATAACAATCCCATATAATCTAGTTCCTTGTACTTGACAGAGGAAACAGATGCCGCATAATGTGGTGGTGAAAAGTACAGTCTTTGGATTCATACTGCCTAAGTTAAAACTCTGCTGCTTACAAGTTGTGTAATATTGGACAAGTCACTTAACTTCACTGTGCTTCAGCTTCCTCCTCTTAAATATGGGAATATTAGTATACCTACCTTACTAGAATAACATGACATATGATAAATAGTATATATTGGTTGCTGCTAATGTTACTGGGATTATGATGATCATTATGCCATTATTTACTTATATGTTCATCTAAGGTCTACTCTAGAGGTATGTCTGTTAACTAGAGGTATTCTGACTCAAATTGCTGGAAGAGACAGAGGACAGCATTATATAGATAATTTTCTTTGCAAAACCATCTTTCTGTAAATGTTAGCAATATGCCTTATTCTGAGAATTCCTTCAATTAATAGCAGTCAAAACTGCTCTTAATCTTAACAACTTGTGAGAGTCAGACTATTCTCTTCATTTTATATGAAAACTGAGGCTTCTAAACATTAAGTAATTTGGCCTTACATCCACAGTTTTAAAATGATTGGGAACCATTTCTATATGTCTTCTACCTCCTACTACTGGTTGTTTTTGTTGTTTGTTTGCCATAATTACTGCTCTCAAAGTAAATGAAATTAAGGCAGAAAGAATGGTAAGGGGAACACAGAGCTAGCCACAGAATAGAAAAACAAAGACAGATTTTTCACAATTGCTCTTTATTTTTTCATATGGCTTCAAGTTACTGTCTGATGTCCTTTAATTTCAATCTGAGAGATTCTCTTTAGCATTTCTTGTAGGGCAGGTCTACTAGTAAATTCTGTAGCTTTTGTTTATCTGAGAATTTCTTTAGGAATAGTTTTGTCAGATATAGAATTCTTGATCGACATTCTTATTTTCTGGTCTCCATGGTTTTTTATAAGAAATCAGCTAGTAATTTTATTAAGGCTCTCTTGTATGTGATGAGTTGTTTCTCTCTTGTTGTTTTCATTGTCTTTGGCTTTTGACAGTTTGACTATAACACGTCTCAGTGTGGGTCTCTTTAGAGTTCATTGAGCTTCTTGGATATGTAGATTCACCTCTTTCATCAAATTTGGGAGTTTTTCAACCATTATTTCTTCAAACATTCTTTCTGATCCTATTGCACTTCCCCTCTTGAGACTCCTGTAATGCATATGTTAGTTCACTTGATGATGTCCCACAGGTCCCTTGGACTCTGTTTACTTTTCTTCATTTTTCTTTCTGTTCCTCATACTGGATGATTGATTGATTGATTGATTGATTTAGACTGAACTCAAACCAAGACACACACTGGATAATTTAAATTATACTATCTTTAAATTTGCTGACTCTTCTTTGTACTCAAATTCATTAAGCCCCTCTAAAGATTTTTCATTTTAGTTATTGTACTTTTCAGTTCCTGAGTTTCTATTTGATGGGCTTTTAATAATTCTGCCTCATTATTGGTACTCTTAATTTTGTTCATACATTTTTTTCCTGGTTTCCTTTAGTTCTTTGAACATACATAAGACAGTTGGCTTAAAGTCTTTGTCACCCATGCTATATCATGTAGCCTGTTGCTCCTAGTCTACAAACCTGTATAGCATGTTATTGTGCTGAATACTGTAGACATTGTAACATAATGGTAAATATTTTTGTATCTAAACATAGAGACATAAAAATACATAAAAAATGGTATACCTGTATAAGGTACTTACCCTGAATGGAGCTTGCAGGATGGGGAAGTTGCTCTGGGTGAGTCAGTGAGTGAGTGGTGAGTGAATGTGAAGGTCTAGGATGTTACTGTACTCTACTGTAGATTTTATAAACACTGTACGATTAGGCTATACTACTTTTTTTTTTTTTGAGACGGAGTCTTCCTCTGTTGCCCAGGCTGGAGTGCAGTTGTGTGATCTTGGCTCACTGCAACCTCCGCCTCCCAGGTTTAAGCGATTCTCCCACCTCAGCCTCCCAAGTAGCTGGGATTATAGGCATGTGCCACCACGCCCGCCTAATTTTTGTATTTTTGGTAGAGATGGGGTTTCTCCATGTTGGCCAGGCTGGTCTCGAACTACTGACCTCAGGTGATCCGCCCACCTTGGCCTTCCAAAGTACTCGGATTAAGACATGAGCCACTGTGCCTGGCCTATACTACATTTAAAAAAATTTTTTTTTCTTCAGTAATCAGTTCACCTTAGCTTACTGTAACTTGTATAAACTTTAAAATTTTTAACTTTTTGTCTCTATTGTAATAACACTTAAAACACAAACACTTTGTACAGCTATAGAGAAATATTTTCTTTATATCCTTATTCTATAAGCTTTTCCCTACTTTTAAATTGTTTTATTACTTTTAAAACTTTTTTGTTAAAAACTAAGACACAAACACATATATATTAGCTTAGACCTGCACAGAGTCAGGATCATCAATATCACTTTTATAAGTAGCAGTACCCTCTAAAATAATAATAAAAAGTATAGTAAATACATAAACCAGTACCAGAGTTTATTATAATTTTCAAGTGTTATGTACTGTACATAATTGTATGTGCTGTACTTTTATACAACTGGCAACATAGTGTATTTGTTTACAGCAGCATCACCACAAACACATGAGTAATATGTTGCACTGCAACATGAAGATGGCTATGACATAATTAGGCAATAGGAATTTTTCAGGTCTATTATAATCTTATGGGACCACTGTTGTATATGTGATCCACTGTTTACCAAAAGTTGATACGCAGCACATGACCATACTTGCTTTTTGTTTTTTATAGTCTTTCAGCTGGCAAGTTTAATCCCTATAAGCTCACTGGAGGTATGATATCTTTGTATAGATGTTGCTGTACTTAATGATGGTTTGATTTATGATTTTTTTACTTTATAAGGATGTGAAAGCAATATGCATTTAGTATAAACCATACTTCAAATTTTGAATTTTAGTTCAAAGATTTTTATAACTTTAATTGTAAAACAGACGTTGTGATTTCGTATATATATACACACACACACACACACACACATATATACATATAACCTACTATCATTTGTTAAAAAGACCTTTCCCTGTCATTCTGCAGTGCTACCTTTGTTATAAATCCAGTGTCCATATATGCATGGGTCTGTTTCTGAGCTGTCTATGCTGTTCCTTTGGTCTATTTATTCTTGCACTAGTAGCACATTATTAGTTACTGTAACTTTATAATAAGTGTTCATATCTTAGACAAGTCTTGTCCCCTTGTTTTTCTTTGGTAAGAGTGTCTTGGCTTTTCTTTGCATTTCCTCATCCCTTTTAATTCATCTTAAGGGCAACTAACTGATCCTAGAGTGTAGCTTTAACTTGATACACAGTTCATGCTAGTTTATTGTACTTTAAATTAGACAACATAACACTAGTGCCCCCAATCAGAGGAACATGCGGTTGCATCTTAGGGAGATCACTGGTGCCTGTAGCCAAGTAGCCTCTGAGAGACTGTGGACCAGATGGGATGAGATAAATCTGGTGTGAGAAGCTAGTGAAGGCCAAGAAATTGACACCAAATTTCACCCTCCTGGATTTTAGCATCATTCCCAAGGAGGAGATGGAACTCAACTATTGTGAACCCAATAACGTCTGTCTTGTTCACTATTACATTGCTGTTCCTGGTATATAATGGGCATTCAATAAATATTTGTCAAATGAGTTTACATACATCTGCATACAGCATATATTATATGCTTCTCAGATGACATTTATGTGGCTATGAGTTTCACTACCTTAGATGCTAGGATGCTTTAAGCTAATTTTTCCCCAGCTTTATTGAGGTATAATTAAAAATTAAACTAAATTTTTAATGGCCTGTGACATTTTGTCATTTCATGGAGTTGCCTTTCTGTTTAAAGTCTTATATGTATCACCTCAAGTCTTTTAGCAAATAAGTGATACAGATTTTTTTTTAAATGTTGAAACAAATGATTACCTGTCAGTGATTTTAAAAGTTTGTTGACTTTCTACATTCCTAAGTGGAATTAACTTGCAAGTTCTAAGTTCATATATAAAATTCAATTCAAGATCATGTCTAGATTTTCATATTTCAAAATACTCAATTTTTTAGTAGAGAAACTGCCAAGTTATCCTGTGTTTTTCCATTTTGATTTTACTTTCCTTCTTGAAAAGAATACAGTCGATGAAACTTAAATAAATACAGCACATGTTGAGTTTTCTGCCCTAAGTGTTAAAATTCTATGTTTTTTAATGCAGATGTGGAATTAGAAGAAGCTATTAGAAGAAGTCTTGAGGAAATGTAATTAAAGATATTACCACACAACATCAAGTGGCCTTGAAGAGACTGAGATAACGAATTCTTGAGTTTGTTTTCTAAAGGAGACCAGAAATCCACTATTACAAATGTATTTGAAAACATGTTTTTGCTTTCATATGTTCAAAATCTGATCTTTGTTTTGTATTTTTGTGCTAATGTGCAAACATGTACAGAAGAAATAGAATACATGTTCATGCAAATATAAATTATGTATTCTAATATAGGTGTAACAGTTTCCCAGTTAACTTTGAATTTATATATTTAGATTTAAAGGATTAAAAAAAAGGAAAGCTCTTGACAGTTGTTTCCCAAATAGCATTAGTTCTTTAATTTTATTTGTACTGTACAAATGATGCTAGTTTATTTTTTTAGCAGTGAAAATGAATATAAAAAAGGTGACATAGGTCAAGTTTTCCATAAATTCTACTTCTCATGTGGCACTATTATATAATACCTTTGAGATCTTTGTTTATGTTTATTAGAAGAGGGTAATGGAAACTGATCATGGAAACATTTAAAATTTTATCAGCAATGTTCTTTGTGGGTGCCATGCATATGTAAATTATTGCTTTAATTAGAGCAGCACATTGCTAAAATAAAAAATACACCTTAATTTTTAAGAAATAATTTAAATGAAACAATTTCCATTCCTTTTACCTGCTTAGACTTTTATGTGACTTGTATGGTCTCCTGGTTAAAGGGAATGGTGTCAGAATATTTGCATAAAATTATTTTTCATAACAGTCCTTTTTTATATATTGGTGTAAACATAATATTCTTCAAGAAATAATGTTGAAAGCCTACTCAGGAATAATCTTCCTTAACTCTTTAAATTTTTATTTCATGTGAAGTGTTTTCAGTTTAGTTATTCACTGAATTGTCAGTTTCCTTCATTTGGTATTACATATTTAATTCTTAAATATTGAGGCCCCATTGTGAGTAATAAAAAATACGACATAAGTAGAAGACTAAGAAGGGCTTGTCATATTATCTTTGTGTATATGCTTCATGTTATTTAACCAGAAATGTCTTATCTCTAAAAATTTTTAGTAGTAATTATTTACCAAACTTAAAAACATTTCTATAAATATAAAGCTTTTCTTTATATTTAAGACAAAATATAAAGGCTAGAATTTGGTTCCTTCTCTGTAACACTAAATATTTTAGTGTGAAATTGAATTTTTTTATTACTATAGTCTTTTCAATCTATAATTTGTGTTTTTAATTTCTTGATATGTCACTTCTGTTCCTCCCTGCTTGCATTTTTTAAAAACTAGACATTGTGGCTTGAGAATTTATCAATCATCTTTCCGAAATGACCACATTGTGCTTTTAGTTTGTATGTTTAAGTGGTCAAGCAAGGCTCTAGGAGGTAGTCACTGAGCTGGACCTTAAACACATCTGCAGGAGCTCACAAAATGGGAGCAAAAGAGGCATTCCAGAAAGAAGAGTAGTTAAGCAGATGTGGGGGCAGGGCAAGAGGAGACAGCACCTTGTTGCCAGAGATTCTACACAAAGGTGTGATGGACACTGATGCTCTATTAAGAAGCTTTTGTGGTGTGTGTGGTAGAGAATAATTAAGGCTTCTGATAAGACAGGAAAGGGATATTTCATCATGACTGTTAAGAAAAGGTAACTGGGTTGTTTAATGTTTTAATTGATAATTGTCACTGATCGTATTTCTACTTGTTAAATAATTAAAAATCATCTTAAAATTCATACTTTGACTTTAATTTAGACACAAGGAGATGTAATCGCTGTGTAACATCAGAGAAAGCTATATGGATTATCGTCAGAAGTAAATGTTTCTAACATTGACAAAGATGCTTATCTTTTCATTACATCATTCACTCATTAATTCATTCAATCACAAAATATTGAGTACCCACCATGTGCCAGCAACTGTTCTAAGCACTTGGAATATACCAGTAAGCAAAACAAAGCCCTTACCCCTCTGTGGAGCACATATTGGTGGAGAGGAGGGGATTGTACAATGTTAGTAAGCAAGGCAATAAAACTGCATATCTGATGGTGATACGTGTAACGACGGAAAATAAAGAAGGGAAGGGAATAAATAGTGCAGGGACAGGGAGTTGGGGGGAGGCTTGCTATTTTTAATAGGGTTGTCAGAAAAGATCTCACTGATAGGTAAACTTGAGCAAAGACCTGAAGAAGGTGAGGGAATGAGGATGAAAATACATATCGGGAAGAGAGTTCCAGGTGGAGGAGGTTAAGGTCCAGACAGGAGCTTAGTATATTCAAGGAAAAGCAAGAAGACTAGTATGGCTGACAGGATGAGCTAGGAGAGTAATAGGAAATGAACTTACTGAGGTTTTTCTAATGACCTGGGCTTTTACTTTGAGGTAAGGAGCCAGTGAAGGTTTCTGAGAATAAATGGTATGATCTGCCTTATTTAGGATTGCTGTAGTTGCTGCACTGAGATAACATGTACATGAGAGGCAAGAGTAGAAGCAGGGAGACCAGAGAGGAAGGTATTGTAGTATTCCAGGTGCAAACTCACCAGGTAGCTTGAACCAGAATGGTGGCGGTAGAATTGGGAAGAATCTGGATATATTCTGAAGGCAAAATTGATGGGGTTTACTAATGGTGTGGATCTAGGATAAGAGAGAAAAAGAGTTCAGGATGATTCTAAAGTCACTTGATAGACTTTCAAACCACTCACAAAATGTGTTTTGTTTTCGTTTGTGTCATGATAAAGTTATTTTTAATAAGGTCAAATAATCCCCTACCCCAAGAGTTAATTAGGATTTAAAATGAGTTCAGAGGGAATTGGGATCCAGCCTTAAGGGCTTCAACTCTGTTCAAGTATTTAAATGGCTTTGATCTCTGATTAAAGGTGGTGGCTCAGCTTTAAACTATTATTATCTATCATTTTCTGTGCCCTGTACATTGTCATCCTTGCAATGAGAGGCATAGAGCTATCAGGAGAGGGGACTAAAGCCTAACTTTTTAAGTAGACTAATCTTTGTATCCTCAGCTCTATTCCGTCTTTTACCGACAGCTGGTGCCTGACCTAGAGGCCTACTGCATCTTTTTTGTTAACAGGATTTTTAAAAGTTGAGGACTTTTTAATGCCAATTATTTCACTCAGAATATTTATTTATTTATTTATTTTTTTGAGACAAGGTCTCGCTCTATCGCCCAGGCTGGAGTGCAGTGGCGAGATCTCGGCTCGCTCAACAGGAATAATTTTAATAGCAAAAATTTAAAACCCCTTCATTAAGCCAGGCGTGGTGGTTCACATCTGTAATCCCAGCACTTTGGGAGGCTGAGGTGGGAGGACCGCTTGAACCCGGGAGGTCGAGGCTGCAGTAAGTCGTGATCGCGCCACTACACTCCAACGTGGGCGACAGTTAGACCCCATCTCAAAAACAAAAGAAAATTAGAATGGTAAAAATGAAGTAAATTCACTTTGCTTCCCACATCTAGCTAGACAGGGAAAGATGGAGTAGCTTTTTCTTTTTTACTTCATAGCTTCAGTGTTGTCCGGGCTTTCATTACTCTCATCTCAGTATAAAGTGGTAACAGGAAGGTCAGGTGAGTGTGGGCTGCCTACGAGCTGTACTTACTGCCTTCTGTTTCACAAAAGGACGTTTTCTCCCCATAATGTCGTTGTTCTTGCTTTGAATTATGGGTGCTGGGAGAAACTAAACGAAGCCGTCACTGAGCAATACACCCACAGCCCGTCGACCGATAGGAACCTTCGCGTGGGGGGAGTTGGTTACTTTTAGGTTGCATGAAGAGGCGGGGCCTCGCGGGGCGGAGCTGGGGGTGGTCTGTGGGTCCGCGCGGGCTTCGGGTAGTTCCTGGGTCCGGGGAGCAGACGATCCGCTAGCCACATTAGGCGCTCGGTCTCTGCGTCCGCCCCTCCCGTGCCTCAGAGACTTGCGCTCCCCAGGCCCGAGCCCCTGTCGGCCCATCCTCGAGCCCGTGTGGCTCGCGAACCTCTAACTCCAGCCGCTGCAGCCCCCTCCCAGGCCCGGCGTCCCCGAGCCCCGCGGGCGCCGCGCCTGCCCTTCTTTGGCTACGCTGCAGCCGCGGTGTCGGCGAGTCCTCCCGGGTTGCCCCCGCGGGCGTCAGAGGGAGGGCGGGCGCCCGCGTGGTGACGGCGACGCCTGCAGCCCAAGGAGCGCTCCACTCGCTGCCGCCGGAGGGGCCGGTGACCTCTTGGCTACCCCGCGTCGGAGGCTTAGATGGCTCAGGCGAAGATCAACGCTAAAGCCAACGAGGGGCGCTTCTGCCGCTCCTCCTCCATGGCTGACCGCTCCAGCCGCCTGCTGGAGAGCCTGGACCAGCTGGAGCTCAGGTGAGCTCCGGGCGGGCGGTCTCGGGCGTTCTGCTCGCCGCGCGGGCGGTTCGCGGGCGGTTAGCGGACGGAGGCCGCGTGTGGCGGGCCGGGGCCTGGGGCACAGTGAGGCTGCGGCAACCGAAGTTGCTTGTTGAGATTTGTTGTGGATGGACGTGGTGTAGTTTTGTTTGTTTCTTGGATTATCTCCCCTAGTCCGAGAGAAAACGCATTCGATTTAAGCTAAACCTGTGAGGGCGTTATCGGTGGCCACACTTTGATTAATTTACCTAGGTGTTAGGGAGCGGAAAAAAATCAGAGGAGATAAAAGTTACAGTGAGATTCCATGCGATTAAGGACTGTGGCAGCTTGGGTCTGCAGAACTTCTAGAACCTTCTGTGTGGCCCCAAACGTTTTAACTTACTCTTCTCGTTATGCATTTTTTAAGGGAGGCAGCAGTTTACAGTGGCCCTCCACGTGAAGTTAAGTTTCCTTGCTTCAGAACAAAAATGAATAAAACAAAACCAACCCAGCAATCCATTGAGAGCAAAGATTAGACAGGAGTGAGGGGTAGGCAGTAAGTTACCGGGTGCTTCGTGCAGCAGAGACGTTGCCGCTTCTGTTTCTCCCCTAACCTCGCGGACGGGATTCAGCGGTTCCGTTCGTCTCTCGGTATTTATTGGGCACCTCCCTACATAGAAGACTAAGTGCTAGTTACTGGCCTGAAAGCATGAAAAGATAGTTTTCCCCTTTTCTTGCTTAAGAATTTATTTGGTAATACAGTAGTAGACTTGTATAGAATTTCTAAACAATTTAATGTTAATAGATTTTTGGAAAGACTTTAACGGTGTATTGAAAAGTTTTATCTACTTCCTGTGAACGTTTGTCTCAAGTTACTGTGTAAATTTTGTGAGCAGGTGTAGTTAAAAGAAAATCTTGTTAGGCACCTGCAATTCCGTGAAACTGTACACAGGAGTTGGTTACATAGTTTTGTCTAGGTTGTGCATGAGCAAAGAAGCATGTGAGCCAAAAAGTTTAGGAAACACTGCATGTGTGTCTTTATCTTCCTACATTAATACACCCAAACATGAAGTATCTGTTTGCTGAGAAAATACTTCAATAACCACGGTATCTCTTAACAAGTGAGGCATTATTATTGTTACTATTGGGAGAAAAGAGCCAGAGAGTGAGAGATTCTCCACTCAAAATAATTTCTTGGATTATTAAGCCCTACACCAGGTTCTGGGGTTCCACTCAGAATGAGGCAAGTGGAAGAGAGAAGTAATGCTTCCTCATGGATTTTCACAATACTGGCAAACCTGACCGTTCCACTCCCAGAAAAAGTAGAGCGAAAGTAGAAATTGGTGGCCTCAGTTACTTGAAGTCCCTCTAACTGGTAATGTTTCTTTTTAGGGAGCCACATAACAAGTAACACACATCTCTCCATGTCTTCAGAACGTTGAGGGCATGTTCTCAACCACTTCATTCTCCTCTCCCTTAGCCAGAAAGAAAAGTTTTCCTAAAGGAATGGGGAGGTTGTTACTCCACTCCGCCTTCCTTCAAGCTGAGTCATTGTCCTCCAACTTGAATTAATGCCTCACATGTGGTAGGTACAAAAGCACTCTGAAGTGCTCCTCTTTAAAAGAAAGCCTCAGGTTTTGAATATTATTATATTCTACTGTTTGATTAATGTAAAATGAATTCTGATTGCACATCAGTGATTAAATTACAACTTGCTTAATTAACATTTGAGCTGAGGAGAAAAGTGATTAATATGTGGCTGTTCATTTCAAGGACTTTTTTTTAGTAATTCTGGACTTTTGTAGGCCTTTTTTCTTCTTTTTAAAAAAGTAATACTAGCTGAAAAGGAAGGATTTCCGAAGGTAAGCAAAAATAGAGAAAAATGCTAATGTAGATCCTATTAAAGTTTTTTTTGAAACCACATGGGCAATGGCACTGAACACTATTAAAAACTAGAATCATGCGTAGAAGATCGATTTTTAAAAGAAAACATGAAACTCATATGTAATTTTGCTCTAATAGTTTGATTTTGTTGACTAATAAAGTAGTGTAACTGTGTAGAATAAAACCTTATAGTTTGTACTTAGAAGTGTGCACTTAATGTTCCCTAACCACACTGATCCTGTCAATTGTGGAAGAAATTTCATACTTTATGACCTGGAGTATGAACTGATCTACATGATGTTTAAAATGTTTGGCAGCAGTTTTACAAACTGTTAAAGGATTTCCATTTATCTCTAATGGAATTTATCAATACAGTAGCCCTTTTTTTTGGACTGCATTTTGTCTTCTGTATTTCTTCCTTCTACAGAGGTGATTCCCTTTTCTCCGTTTTGACGATCAGTTCTAAATGGACTCTGAGTTTTGCATTCTTCAGTGGCTCAAACCATCTTGCTTACTATTGTTACTTTTTAACAATTATTGTAATTTGTAAAAAATACTATGATATTACGATTCTCTCTCTCTGTATATATACAACGTTTTCCTGGCTCATAACTCCCATAACCCTTGTTACAGTCTTATGTTATAGTTCCTGGCTCATAACTCCCATAACCCTTATTACAGTCTTACGTTATAATGTTGGGGTGCTTTAGGCCTCAGGAAAAAGAATCTCTCTCTCTGACCTTCTTTCACCTGCCTTACCTCTAGTCTGATTGTGGGTCAAAAGACTCTCGTTCCAGAGAGGGTCCTGCCCTATGCCCTGGAGGAGGGCATTTAGCACCCAGAGGCCAAGAAGAATCTGAATAGACTGGCCTTGCTGGGTTTCCCCATTCAGTCTGTTAGAGTGAGGGCATACTCTTTTTGTCCAATCACTTTTCTACATGGTTGTCATTCATGCTTATATAAAAGAAGCAAGCCTCCATAAGAACCCAAAAAGGACAGGGTTTGGAGAGCTTCTGGATAGCTGGACATGTGGAGGCTCCTGGAAGGTGGTGTGCCCCTTCCCCCTGTACCTCACCCTACACATCTCTTTATCCATGTCCTTTGTAATACCCTTTATAATAAATCCGTAAATATAAGTAAGTGTTTCCCTGAATTTTGTGAGCTGCTGCAGCAAGTTAAACCCAAAGAGGGGGACATGGGAACCCCAATTTGAAGCCAGTTGGTCAGAAGTTCTGGAGGCCTAGACTTGCAACGGTGGAGGGTGGGGTCTTGGGGACTGAGCTTTCAACTTGTGGGATCTGATACCGTCTCCAGGTGTAGGGAGTGTTGGAACTGAGTTGGGGGATACTTAGCTGCAAATCCCCCACATATTTGGTCACAGCCTTCTGTGTTGTTACAGTGTGAGAGCAGAGGAAAAACACAGTGTGAGAGTTTTTTCTAAAACACAGGCTAATGTTTATTCATTTAATGTACACGGACTATGTGCCAGGCCCCATGTCGTTGTTACTATTATCACCATTCTACAGATAGGGAAATTGAGGCTTAGAAGCTTAAATGACTTGTCCAAAGTCACACAACTAGAGAGTAGTAAACTCCAAATTTGAACCCAGGAAGACTGGCTCTCCAGGCTCTAATACTTTATGCCTGAATTTTCTTAAATATATCACATTTCAAAATATAGAAATGATATATGGATGAATAGATGAGCTTCCTCTAAGAGATAAAAATTCAATCTAAATTGGCCTTTAATTCAGTGGATATTGAACACCCACTATGTGTTAGGTATTGGGTAGCTCCTAGAAAGCTCAAGATGGTAATGAAGATGTTTGGGGGATGGGTTTTGGAGACTGGCAGAGGGGAAAATGATAGGACTGGGAGATTGGCTTTTCATATGTTTCCCAAAACTTATAACACAGTGGCTCCTTCTGCCTTCCTGTCAGCCTTTCACTGTGGCTTAACCTGCACCCAGGTAGTGAAGGGATGGGGTTGGGGGTGATAGGGATCATTCGTCTGGCTTAAAGTTTCATGTTAGGGTGTGCCAGTGTTCTAGGAGTCACAAAACAAGATGGCATCATAGTTAATACTGTGTGACAGCCTGTAATTTAAAAGAACACTTCATATATGTTATTTGAAACTTTAAGAACCCTTCGAGTTAGGTGGAGGGCACATACTCTCTCTCCTAGAAATGAGGGAAGTGAGGTCCAATTAGGATGAAGTGGCTTGCCTGAGGACATGCTACTGAAAAGTGGCTCTTCACACTAAAAACACTAGTCCCTTCTTTTACACCAAAATGTCTTGACAGTAAATGTAATTTAACATTTTGGTGATTAGGAAAACACTTCAGAATTTTACATTGCCTAAAAGTGATCATTATAGCATTCTTTTGATATAGGAGTATGGAATAAGAGACAGAACTATGAGTTTTAAGAACCTGTTTTAGGCCAGGCGTGGTGGCTCACTCCTGTAATCCCAGCACTTTGGGAGGCTGAGGTGGGCAGATCACCTGAGGTCAGGAGTTTGAGACCAGCCTGTCCAACATGGTGAAAACCATCTCTAATAAAAAATTCAAAAGTTAGCCAGACGTGGTGGCGCATGTCTGTAGTCCTAGCCACTCGGGAGGCTGAGGCAGGAGAATCACTTGAACCCTGGAGGTGGAGGTTGCAGTGAGCTGAGATCACACCACTGCACTCCGGCCTGGACGACAGAGTGAGACTCCATCTCAAAAAAAACAAACCTGTTTTAGAAATTATTTCTTTCAAATCATGGTATGAGCATTTGCCATTTTCCCTCCTTTTTATGAAAGCACAAATTTTCATCATTAATAAATAAGCCCACATTCATAATGGTAAGAATATAATAGCTATTAATACTATAAATATATGCCAGTGCCAATTCTAGACACATTATACATATTAACTTGTGTGTGTGTGTAATTTTTTTAGTCAGTGCTATCAGTCACTGTTAAACTCTACCTGCTTTACTTCATTTAGTCACAAGCACTGTTCCCTTATCATCCCTGTTTCATAGGCGACTGACCCATTTGCACAGCTAGTAGTGGCAGTGCTGGCGCAGTTTTCACTGCATACTCTATTAGCTGACATATTAATAGTAGCCACAGTTTGCGCAAAATTGCTGTTGTACTCCTCCTAAGTCTCCCAGCAGTTTGCCGTTTCGATACTGAGACTGCAGAGGTTTGTGAGGTGCCCAAGACCTGGGTACTAGCTGAGGATGCATGCGCTCCGGTTTTGTCTTCCTACTGAGTACTCTGACTAAAATTTCTTTTTGTCAAAGCCTACTTAGTTGTGATTTCATGCAGGGAGTTTTCCAGGAGCACAGCCCAGGCCAGCCTTGATGTGAGGAAAAGTTCTTTCCCAATTTGGACGTGTAGCTGCTTCCGGGATCTGTTAGTAAAAACAGAACTGCCCTTCTCCGCCAGAAGTGTTGCCAGATGAGATATTAAGAAACATGAAGGATAAAGTGAGATGGTCCAACATTTCTCTAACCAGAGTTCCAGACGAAAATAACAGAAGGGGAGACAGGGAATATTCAAAGATACAACAGCCAAGAATTTTCTAGAACTAATGGAAAAATTGTAGACAAAAGACGTGTATATGAGTTTAAGGATAGCAATAGCTGACAAACAGTACAAACGTTACTTAAACTAAGTAGAGATCTAGGTTCAGCTTTTTAAAAGAAAAAATGTAAAATATGAGGTAGACATATTTTAGACTGTAGAGTAAATGGATGTACCAGGGCCAAAAGGAGCATGAATTGCCTTAAGGGAGAGGAAGGGGGAAGCTAAGGAAACAATTCCTGCTGAAGCAATTGGGTTTTGAAAAAGGTGATCCCAGTAGACAAGGGTCAGGGAGAAAGAATGCTACCTGAAGAGGGAATAGGACATGAAAAGCCCATGTTGCCAAATAAACCCTGAGATCTTTACATTTTGAAGAATGACATTTTACCCTTGCATGAAATGAAAAAGGTATACATAAAAATGTATATAAGAAGTTCTATAAATGATGAAATCTGGTTTTCACAGGGATAATGCCCTGGTAATTTCTATTATGTATTAAAAAAAGCCTTGTGGGATGGGGGTGGGGGAGGGTCCCTAAAACACAAACTTTAGCAGTTCCACCTAACTATTTGGTCTCATTTAATGATAAAATATTTTCGTCATATGACAGGCTTATTATATTTTTTCTAGAATGTCTTTTTTATCTATTTTGTTAAGAACATGAACTTACTGCTGTAACTCATAAATGAAACCTTCCTTTTCAGAATAGCATTGTTCTCTCTTATCATCTTACAATTGAATACAAACCGAAAAGGTGTTGAAAAATTAATCTCTTCTTTCAGCATCTTCTCATTTATCAATCACATGATTCACCTGTGTCATTTGTCTAAATATTGGAGTCATGGTTTGTGCTTTTAGCATAAATATTTAGTGCCAACTCCGTCTCTTTCCTATGTTCTGGGCCCTAGTTTATCTTTCTGAGAGATTGCTAATGTAAAATGTTTAAGTAAATACTGAATGGTCCTGGAATAGGGCCTGATACTTGCATTACTATTAGTTAGTAGAATATTTGTATTTTGATTGTGTTCTCTAGCCAAATTTGTCACATGCGATTCTTCCCAGTTCTTTGCTTTTACTGGCTCTTATAAACACACTTTGACATATATTTAATATCTTGAAGAATAAAGATATCCTGTGATTTTACAGCCTGTCAGTACTATTTTGGGGTATAACAGGTGGGTAACCGAAGGGGAAAAGGCATGTGTGTGCTTAGGGCAGGGAGAGGATCCTTTTATGGAATTGAACGTGCTAAAACATTGGTGAAGTTGTTCTTTCTGTGCACACTTAAGACAGCAGTTAGGATTAGATCTTTCATGAACTTGTATTTCTAAGACCATCCAAATACTGGGAATAGGTCTGTCACTTTCATTTTGCAAAAGTTGGCATCTTAGTTACTGTAATTCATAATAACAACGTTCCCTGGAAGTATAGAACATGTTAAATATACAATATATATTTCTTTATTTTGCCCTTATTCCACAGCTTAGTTTTTTAGTGACTGGGTATATTCATGTGTGTGTATAGTGTGAGTGCATGTGTGTGCAATTGAGTGAAGTGGGAAAGTAGTGCTTCTATAGTTTGATCAGGGCTTTACACAAAAAAGCCACAGAGATTTTCCCTTAAATTTGGGAAAAGACAAAGATACCCCCATGATTGCCACTGTTTAATACAGTACTGAAGGACCTTTTCTTAAAAAAAAAAAAGTAATAGGATTGGGAAGGAAGAAATAAAAACTGCAGATGATATGGATATGATTATTAACCTAGAAGAACCAACAGAATCAACAGACTGAACACTAAAATGAATACATGTAAATCAAGGTTGCCAGTGACAAGATAAACCTACAAAAACAGCACTTCTCAAACCAGTAAAAATCAAGTAGAAAATACAAATTCACAATAGCAGCAATATCCACGAAGACTACTATGAAGAATACATGGGAACTCTATAGATCTGAATAAATGAAGAGACATATATCATGCCTTTAAACAGAGAGATGTTATAAAGATGTCTAATTTCTCTTGTTTTTTGAGAAACACAATAAACTTACCCTAGAATTTATATGGAAAAGTTGGAGAAGTAAAAGTCCATAAATAGCTAAGTTATCTTTAAAGAAGATTGAGGGACCTGCTCTATCAAATATTAAAGTGTAGTACAAGGCTAGTGCTATTAAAAAAAAAAACCCAAAACTTGGCACTGGTATAAGAACAGTTAAATACACTAATGCATGGCATAGAGATTTTAGAGATAAATAGCGAATATACATTCGCTAGGGGAAAGATGGATTGCTTGGTAAATAATGTTGGGGAAAATGGCTATTTGGAAGAAAAAAACAAAACATTCTTACCTAACTGCATGCAGGGGTTGATGCTAGGTGGATTAAAGACATAAATATAAGGAAGGTAGAACTATAAAGTTAATAAGAGAAAATATAGGAAAATAGGACCAAAGGGTGGGGGAAGACCTTAGGTCAAAACTTCAAAAGCATACGCCATAAGGCAAAAAAAAAAAAAAAATTGATCGCATCAAAATAAGAGTCTCTCTTTAGTGCAAGACATCCCAGACGTGGTTCATATATGAGAGGATGAGAGATGGTTGCAATGTCTGTAACCAACAAGAATCTCTTGAGTATACAAATCAACAAGGGAACAGTAACTCCTGTTTAAAAATAGAAAAGCAAAATAGGAAAAGTCTATGAATAGGCTAACAAGGATACAAAGAGATGTCTGAAATTATTAGGAAAACACAAGTTAACACTGACATATCAGTGTATTTCTGTCACACTGGCAGCAAATAGAAAGTTGGAAAATGCAGAATGTTGGTAGGGATATGGGGACCCCTGTGCTTTGCTGTGGAGAGTGGATAGGTACAGGTGTTCTGCAGAATAGTCATAATACTAAGTCAAAAGCAGAGTACACATACCCTTTGTCTTAGCAGTTCTGTCCTGGTATATGTCCTAAGGAAATCCTCACCAAGGTCCAAAGGGGAGATGTATTCATAGAAGTGTTATTTGTAGTAATGAGAAGCTGGTAGACAACCTAAGTGTCCATCTCTGGGAGAGTGGAGAGGGAAAATCAGGTAGGTATACACATGGAGTATTATACAGCAATTAGCAGCAACTGATTAGAAGTACACATAGGGGGCTGGGTGTGGTGGCTCACACCTGTAATCCCAGCACTTTGGGAGGCTGCGGTGGGCAGATCACTTGAGGCCAGCAGTTTGAGACCAGCCTGGCCAACATGGTGAAACCCCAGGAGTTTGAGACCAGCCTGGCCAACATGGTGAAACCCCGTCTCTACTAAAACTACAGAAATTAGCCGGGCCTGGAGGCTGAGGCACGAGAATCACTTGAAAGCGGGAGGTGGAGGCTGCGGTGAGATTGTGCCACTGTGCTCCAACCTGGGTGACAAAGCAAGACTGTCTCAAAAACAAAAAACAAACAAAAATCTAGCAACCTGGATGCTAAGTGAAAAAATAAAAACAGAATGAGATATAAATTCAAAATATACAAATAATACAGATCTTGTAAAAAACAAATAGTATTAATTAGATAAACACGAAAGAATGATTGCCTTATGAGCTGGGAGGAAAATGGGAGAAAGGCAAGTGTATAGAAAAATGAAAGAATTTTAAAGCAGAAATGAAGAATTTTTGAAAAGTTTGGTGATCTTTAAACTTGATTTGGGTTGAATGAGAGATAAAGAAAATTAATAGGAAGAACATCCTGCATACAATAACCGTTTTGTTTTCCCAATTTCTATAGGGTTGAAGCTTTGAGAGAAGCAGCAACTGCTGTTGAGCAAGAGAAAGAAATCCTTCTGGAAATGATCCACAGTATCCAAAATAGCCAGGACATGAGGCAGATCAGTGACGGTGAGAGCCATCTCCACAGAAGGGGCTCATCTTTTACACTCCTTTAAAGAGTTTATGATAAGTGTGGGTCAATTTTTGCTTGACTTTTGGTATGCGTACACCAGGCCACAGCATTTAATGTGAGCCACAGAGAGCAGCTGCAGCTGTCAGTTCATTACAGCAGCCACTTACTCAGAGATTTCTTCCAGCATGCTCTCTACCCCAAGCCCCTGGCTAGGAGAGATAGGAAAAAGCCTGCAAGCTCAGAAAAGCTGGCCCCAAGCAGTAAGGCCATGTGTTTTATCCCAGGTTCACAGTCCTAACTTCAGTTCCTCACAAGTTACTGGACTGCAAGAGATTAAAAAAGCAGAGGAAGAGGGTGAGAGAGTGGAAGCAGAGAAGTAGAGACCAAAAAAAAAAAAAAAAAAAAGATGAATTGAGGTACAACATAAAGAGAAGGGACAAAATGCAGAGAAAATGAGGAAACTTGTAGGACCAATAAAAGGCATGAATGTAAAAATGTGCTGTCATTTTCTTTTTTCTTTTTTTGAGATGGAGTTTTACTCGTCACCCAGGCTGGAGTGCAATGGCGCGATCTTGGCTCACTGCAACCTCTGCCTCCTGGGTTGAAGCGATTCTCCTGCCTCAGCCTCCCGAGTAGCTGGGATTACAGGCACGTGCCACCACGCCTGGCTAATTTTTATATTTTTAGTAAAGACAGGGTTTCACCATGTTGGCCAAGCTGGTCTCAAACTCCTGACCTCAGGTGATCCGCCTGCCTCAGCCTCCCAAAGTGCTGGGATTACAGGCATGTGACATCTGCCTAACCTGTGCTGTCATTTTCATGTGAAGAACATGAAATAGGAATAGGTCACTTCTGATTTTCTTTTATTGGCACTGGACTTCCTACTTGGGCTCCTTTGGTGCCACACAGGCCACATGGTACTGGGCCAAGTGGCTGGTGAGGTAAGTAAGCAACCTAAATCCAGATCAAAACTGTTACACATCTATAGGTAGGCCATGATCTAGTCTCTACGCTATCCTGCCCAAAGATCAATGAATTAGGAAGTTACAGAAGCAGGAGCTTGCTGACTTTCTCATATAAATAATGAAATGTTGATAGAGCTCCTCGTGCTGGCCAAGACTTTAGACCACTGTCCTGCTTCTATCTGGAGAAGGATGAAGTCAGTGCCTAGTATTGACGACAGAAGACAGCTTATCTTCTATCGTGGCTACATTTTCTCAACCAAAATTTGGGGCATTGTATTCTGATAAATGCACATGTCGTTCTGGAGAGATCTGGGACATCTGATCTCTGGAGCTCTACCCAGCATAAACCCTATATGTGCTTACTGCTCACAGTGTTAAGACTTGATCTCCATCCCAGTTACAAATGCATACCTACCCAAACTTTTGCAGACATGCCAATTTGAGAAGTCATCTGGTATCCCATATATGCAGATTGTCAGGAAGTGGTATTCTACAACCTCTTTCTGTAATCTAATACATTTCATCAGTTAATCTTACATGCTATAGTTTCAGCTTTTATCTCTAAAAAAATTTCATGGCAGAGGTAAAGAAAATAATAAATTTAGTCACAAACAAATGCCTTAATGTTTTTGACACAGATAAGTTTACATCTCATATTGATTTTTAGGAGAAAGAGAAGAATTAAATCTGACTGCAAACCGTTTGATGGGAAGAACTCTCACCGTTGAAGTGTCAGTAGAAACAATTAGAAACCCCCAGCAGCAAGAATCCCTAAAGCATGCCACAAGGATTATTGATGAGGTGGTCAATAAGTTTCTGGATGATTTGGGAAATGCCAAGAGTCATTTAATGTCGCTCTACAGTGCATGTTCATCTGAGGTGCCACATGGGCCAGTTGATCAGAAGTTTCAATCCATAGTAATTGGCTGTGCTCTTGAAGATCAGAAGAAAATTAAGAGAAGATTAGAGACTCTGCTTAGAAATATTGAAAACTCTGACAAGGCCATCAAGCTATTAGAGCATTCTAAAGGAGCTGGTTCCAAAACTCTGCAACAAAATGCTGAAAGCAGATTCAATTAGTCTTCAAACCTAAGAGCATTTACACAATACACAAGGTGTAAAAATGATAAAATACTATTTTAATTGATAACTAGTTCTTTGTTAGGTATAACCACTTAGTTGACACTGATAGTTGTTTCAGATGAGGAAAATATTCCATCAAGTATCTTCAGTTTTGTGAATAACAAAACTAGCAATATTTTAATTATCTATCTAGAGATTTTTTAGATTGAATTCTTGTCTTGTACTAGGATCTAGCATATTTCACTATTCTGTGGATGAATACATAGTTTGTGGGGAAAACAAACGTTCAGCTAGGGGCAAAAAGCATGACTGCTTTTTCCTGTCTGGCATGGAATCACGCAGTCACCTTGGGCATTTAGTTTACTAGAAATTCTTTACCTTAAGCAGCACACACATTTACTACACACACAGTGTTAACAAAGCACTGTGCTTAGAGGGTAAAAAGGAATCACAAAACAAGAATCTTTCCAAAGTTGTCTCATTCAGCAATGTTAAGGCATCTGTATCAAATTATTTTGGATGTAAAGATTCCTGTGTCTCATAATATGAATGTATTTTTTGATATACAAGAAACTGACATAAAATGTGAGAAAACCACCTATAATTTACCACTGTGAACAATTATATATCTATCTGCTTCATCTTTTCTCAAATGCATCAATTCTCTAAAATTCCTATATTGTAACTTGCCTTTTTTTAAAAAAGTTAGATGCTGATATAAAGTCTGCTTAATTGTCAACTTAATGAGCTCTATTTTGTGTAGTTATATCTTTATCCATTCCTCTTTTATGGACATTTAGGTTGTTTCCAACTTGTTGCTATTACTGCAACATATTTTTGTACACAGGACTTTTTCCTTCTTTCATTTTTGTTTTTCTCTGTATAAAGGCCCAGCAGTGAATTATATTGGGTCAAAGGATATAGACGTTTTCATGGCCTCACACATATTAAACTTTTTTTGTATAAAGGTTACAGCAATTTATACTTTTTTCAGTAATTAAAATATAGCTATTTCACTGAAATATTTCCAGCACTGAGCATTAATACCTAGTTTGCATTTTGTTTACTAAAAAGGTTGACCAGTGTGTTGATTCTTCTTTTATCTGATAAAGTGTGAAGCAACTAGAGAACACTTATTTGTTCAAAGTAACTAGTCCTATTGATATACAAAAACCACAACAACTTCCCTGGATACTATTTTGAAATGAACACATCAATTTTTATTTGAATGTAGGTATTCTTCACACTGAAAAACCAAATCAAGATCCAAACTGACTTTATGTATGTATATATCTCTCAATGCAAGCAATATCAAACTTCATTTTCTCTACAAAAATGCCAAGTTAGTCTCTTTATAAAAAGCAGTTACAATCTGAAGACATTCATGTTACTTCCTTTGCCAGCTCCAACTCTGCCTTATTTAAATCTTTGCATTTCATGGGAAACATTAATTCTATCTATGGCAGAGCCACTTGGTTTGTTAGCAGACTGATTTGCTGTCATCAGACTGTGAGATGATTTTTTGTGTGCATCATTTTTTTCTTGACCAGCTTTTTGAAAATTAAGAAATGGATAGTCATGTTTTCTTCAGGTTCTCAAGTATTGTCAGCATCCGTAAATCCCTTCCACTCTGGGAAATACTACTGCTCCCTGCTTCCCATGGCTTCCACATCAGTCCAGGACTTTTTCTACACAAATTATTCTGGCTCTGCCTCCTTGACCTTGGTATTCTTAGCATTATTTTTCCCATTTTTTTGCAATGGAGTTTTTAATGGAGGTCATTGATTTCTGATCACAGACTTGAAGAGCTATGATCCACATTTCCAAGCTGCTTGGGGTCCCTGGTTTACAGTGTCTCCAGCATTCTGTACCTAGAGCCACATCTAAAGGGCAGGGAATCTCCAGTGTGGTTTTTTGTTTTTTTGTTTTTTGTTTTGGAGTCTTGCTCTGTCACCCAGGCTGTCTGACAAGTAGAAGACATATCCACTGTAGCAAGGAACACTATGGAGTATATGAGTTAGGGAAAAGAGACTGTGAAGGGAAGAGAACAAACATTTTGTAGACGTTTGGTGTTGAATATATGCTATGGAGGCAGTTTCTATAGTTTCATTTACTTCATGAGGTTTCATTTTTTCTTTTCTGAGATGGAGTCTTGCTCTGTTGCCCAGGCTGGAGTGCAGTGGTGTGATCTCAGCTCACTGCAACCTCCACCTCCCGGGTTCAAGCGATTCTCCTGCCTCAGCCTCCCTAGTAGTTGGGACTACAGGCGCCCACCACCACGCCCGGCTAAATTTTTGTATTTTTAGTAGACATGGGGTTTCACCATATTGGCCAGGCTGGTCTCAAACTCCTGACCTTGTGATCTGCCTGCCTTGGCCTCCCAAAGTACAGGGATTACAGGCATGAGCCACCACGCTTGGCCAATGGGTTGGTTCTTAACATGTATTTTTATTTATAAGAATGGGAGTATAATTTATTTTCAAATGATGATGAATCTCCTGAGTCACATTTTTACCCTCATTTAAACTATTGTCTTTTATATAGACTATAAGTGGATATAGAGTATGTTTTGCTGTATCTCAATTCTCTACCATTCCTAGCATATAATACATAATTTTAGGGTAGCCCTCCTGCCATTCCTTGTTAGCACTACTTTCAATAAAATGAGAGTATTAAATATTGGCAGAGTATCTGAAATATGAAATAATTTTAGGTTGCTTTGATCTTTAAAGAAGTTGCATTATATATTTTACTATTTAGATCCACACTGTTGATACAATCATACATATCACACAAAATTTTAGCTTTGAAATGCATTTATTTTCTGATTATTGGAATTCATCCTTCATGAAATTTTTAGAGTAGTGTTTTAAATTAAGCTCCAGAGTGTAACTGCAACCAAATAGCAATACATACAAGTGGTTTTCCATTCAAATTTACAAAAGCATTATTTATTAGTAATAAAAATATAGAAGGAATTCAGTTTTCCTTTTATCCCCAATTTTTTGCTTTTAAAAGACCATTTACTAACATCCTACTGTAGATATTTCGAGAGACAGATGAAAATAATAATAATAAAGATTATTATAGCCAAATCATCCAGTTAGCCAGGAGTTTGATGACTGGATATTTCAGAGTCTACTGCGGGTTTTAAATATTTTGTTAGCAAATGAATTCATCTGTATGATGAGAGACTTACATGTTTTATAGCTGAAAACCTAAGGAGTGACAATAGTACATGTGACATTCTTAACAGTTAAAAACTGAGTAAGTCCTGTTCATTAGGTAGGTGCCATGTGGAACAAGCTTTCACCTCATCAATGCATTTTGTTTTCAGAGAAACAGACTAATGATAGATTAATGGGAACATTTTATCAGGTTAGCAGTAACTATTTCAAAGGTTTTGAAAAGTATGCTAATAATTAACAATATCTTATATTAAAAGGGTCCAACACTAAGTTGGGACATTAGGTCCTAAGGCCAACTCCCTATTCTAAGGTCTTCAGAAAAGGTCCAGTTTCCTAAAACTCACAGGTCCAAGGAGTACATGTTATTTATTGAGAGTTCCTTCTGAGCACTGCACTGCCAACTTCTAAAGCAACCACCTAGAACTTCACTCCATAATGAGGAAAAAGTTTTCATCCTCTTTTTGGTAGTTTTAGCTTTATTTTGAAAAAGTAACGTGTGCTATCAACTTTGGGCAGATACAAAGGAAATCATTTAACCTGGTTTTATTTAACTATATTGCCTTATATGGGTCATTCTATATACTATTTAATTCATAGACAGAGACTGGAAAAGGAAAAGGAAACCTGAGGAACTCTGAAATATGGCAGTTATTCCACAGCGATATGTCTACGCAAAAGATTAGCCGTAATGTTAAAAAAGTAGATTAGAGCACAAATGCACAATCACCTGGAATCTTGGAAAAGTTTTTCTTTAGTATACATGGTTTCATAAAATTAAAGTTATTTAAGAGAATGAAGGGTCTTGGAAAAAAAATGTCAATTTTTGAAGGCTTTAAGAATTGATTAAATTGAGAAATTAACATGGCTGACTTTCAGGCCTACTTAATTATTTTAAATGACTAATTATGGTTAGGTTTAAAATACAGCAGTGCAAATTAAAAATTCAAATATGTAACAAAGCTCTCTCTTCAGTTCTTATTTAAAAAAAGATAAAACTAGGTACATAAAATTATATTACAGGAACTGTAACTATCCTCAGAGATTACTTTTTTTAAATATAGAAAGGTAACACGCTTTTAGCCACACAGCTAACATGAAAAAGAACTAACTAGAACACATATAACAAGTGATTTTTCTGCCAATAAAGACAAAAGACTATTTGTTGCAAAGTATTATTTTGTGCAAAAATTAAAGAGGAGAGTAGAGAGTAGAAAATTGAAGAGAGTAGAAAAGATGACTCATTAGCAGTATCCACTGTTTGTTAGGAACTGAATTTTGCCCCCAAAACCTATGTCACTATCAGCAATGGGAGTGGTGACAACTGGTGACATAAAAATAAGCATTTTACATTACTGTGAAATAGATAATGCCAGATCATTTCAATATAATGAAAAGCAAAAATTTACTTTTTAATTTTTTTTATTTTTCCATCTAAAATGGCAAAGAGAACATTTACTTTTGATCACTTAACAAGGACACACCCAGGAAATTTGATTTTCTCAACATTAGGAGGATGAGGGGAGTACAGATGGAAAAACAAAAGATAAAACACAAAAGGAGTACATAAAACATTGTTTAGTACAAATAATGAAAAATGACTTCATGACATTTTCCAATAAAAGTTATTTTTACAGATTTTGCAATGCTGTAAAAACCAGGTATATTGAAAGGGGTTATTTATAGGTTAAAAATAAAGCCATTGATGAGTGATAATCAGTTTTAACAGAGTTCACGCAATTATCTTAGCTGGAAAGCTACTGTCCCAAGTGACAAAATTTATGTCCTGACACATGATTACATATTAAATCATTTTGTAAAAGAAATGATTCTGTATGTGGGACTGACAGCTCTTGAGAAAGTGCTATACAAACAAGGTTATAGAAATGTTGAAGTGATTGATAATCTTAAAATACCATACAAAAATGTGTAAACAAAAGGATGGTTTAGAGTTGCAGGGCATTATAAAATATGTAATTTTAGTTAAGACTAATAATAATATTTTTGTGCACTTTAAAAATGGTTAGTGTAATCTTGTAAGTTCAAAGCTGGGTTCTCAGTGAGCAGCAAAAGGTGTTAGATGCATCACCACACTTCACAGGACCTCCTGAATGACTGCAGATGTGCTGTGTACCTTCTTAAGGGGCTTTGGCTGACCTTATGAGAGCAGGAGCTCACCATGCTTATGGGTGACTATATCAAAAAGATCTGCAATAAGGCTCACCTGGGAGATGCTCTAGCATTCAAATTCCTATACTCCTCTTTTATCTACGCTGTCAGATGAAAACTGCTTACTGCTTTTAAAAGATATAATAAACAATATAAATTCTGATAGTAAAGCACTATAAAAATTAGGTATGATATTTTTGGCACAAAGCACTTTTTAAACCCAAGCTCATTTTGCAAAATATATGTCTAGAGTTTATCATTTGAAAATAAAAACATATACACAATATGTAAATGGTTTTATAAGTGAATTAATTAGAATGTACATTTTCTTAAATACTGCACATACCTTCAGCTTACTCCAGTACCAGACATCTGCATGCACACCCCACATTCTACATTACACAGATATTGCACAAGTTTCAATGCCAAAATACTAATGCAGTCTGGCAAGATTTAGGGTTTACCTTTCAGTATTATTTTGTGAAAGTATTCAGATTCAATACTATTTCGCAGAAAAGCTACATGACCAATTTCAGGAAAAGAATGCTTGCTATCTTTCCTTGATCCACAGTATTAAAATCTGTAACAATATATTTAGGCATTTCATTTATGTTTTCCAGCATTTAAAATTCCGCAAAACCTGTGTTTGAAATTTCTTATAGCATTCCTTTACAAACAGGAGAAGCTTCGTCTAATGTAAAAAAAATTAAAGGAGTCCACAGGGCAATAATTTTTCCACCAGAGGTCTCACTCTACATTCTGAAAAGCACTGCAGAGCAATATTTAAGTCTGTCACTTTCAGAGAGCCATTAGGAGCAAAGTCTGCTGAAAACCTTGTAACATACCATGACAGCTGGATGGGTTTCTTAATGCATTGCACAATGTAATTCAATTGTTTTCCTCCCAAAACATCTTAGGGTATGCTACAGCTGCTAAAAGGATTTCTGTTTTTCTTGGTCCTTTGTTTGTTGGGTCTAAGATTGATGACATCTCCACCATTGAGGGTACCTGAATTCTGACCGGAGTGACTTCCACCAGATGTATTAAAGACACCTGTATAAATTGAGGGAAAAGAGTGATTGCCACTGACACGCCTGAGTTACCTGTTGCATCCAGCTTGTTAGTAAAATCAGTAATATTTTCAAGTATTTACAGTTTCTCTAAAATTGTAGTAAAATCCAACAAAATTTAGCATCTTAACCATTTTTAGGCATACGGTTCAGTGGTATTAAATACATTTGTAATGTTGTGGAACAATCACCCCCGTCCATCTCCATAACTCTTTTCATCTTTAAAACTGAAACTCATACCCATTAAACAGTAACTAACTCCCCATTCCCCCTCCCTGCAGACCTTAGCAACCACCATTCTATCTTCTGTCTCTTATGATTTTAACTACTCTACCTTATATAAATGGAATAATAGTGTCTTTTTGGGACTGACTTATTTCATTTAGCATAATGTCTTCAAGGTTCATCCAACGTAGAACACTGAAGCATTTCCTTCCTTTTTAAGGGTGAATAATATTCCATTGTATGTATATACCACATTTTGCTTATCCTTTCATACATCAATGGACACAGATTTATGATTTTAAAGCTCTTGTTTTAGTTTTACTTTTAGTAGCTAATACGCATGGTACAAAGTTCCAAGGCTGTAAAAGAGGTCACATTAGGGCTCTTTTTTACCCAGATTTTCACCCCTTGCCAGTTTTCCCACCCCTAAGGTACGCATGTTATTACTTTTCCTACTTATCCTTCCAGATATAGTTTATGCATATATAAGCTAAAATGCATATATATTCTCTTTTCTACCTAAGTTGTGGCATATTCTACACAATGTTCTGCATCTTTTGACTTAACAATTTATCTTTGACGTTTGGAATCAGCAAATACGATAATTTTTATTTATTTATTTTTTGAAGACGGAGTCTCGCTCTGTCGCCAGGCTGGAGTGCAGTTGTGTGATTTTGGCTCACCGCAACTTCCGCCTCTTGGAGTCAATTGATTCTCCTGCCTCAGCCTCCCGAGTAGCTGGGACTACAGCCGCCTGCCGCCACGCCCGGCTAATTTTTCATATTTTAGTAGAGACGGGCTTTCACCGTGTTACCCAGGCTGGTCTCAAAGTCCTAAGCTCAGGCAATCCACCTGCCTGGGATTAGAGGTGTGCTAGGATTACAGGCATGAGCCACCACACCTGGCAACTACGATAATTTTAATAACTTACTAACTTCACATCATATCACTTCCTCAAGAATACCTTTTAGTTAACAACAGTAACAACAGTATTTCTGAGTTGTGTGTGTGTGTGTGTTTTAAGAGATAGGGTCTTGCTCTGTCACCAGGCTGGAGTGCAGTGGTGCAATCATAGCTCATTGCAGCCTTTAACTCCTGGGCTCCAGCAGTCCTGCCTCAGCCTCCTGAGTAACTGGGACTACAGGCACAGGAATGCCATCAGCTAATTTTTCTTTTTTTTTTTAAGAGACAGGATATTGCTATGTTGTCTAAGTTGGTCTCAAACTGTCGGCCTCAAGCAATCCTCCTGCTTCAACCTCCCAAATAGCTGGGATTATAGGCACAAGCAACCACACCCAGCTATTTGTGAGATTCTGTGTTAATACTAGTAAGATACGTTTTTCCTACTTATACTAAACCAGTAAAAAAGTGGCCCACAGATAAAAGTGATGAGTAGCTAAAAGATAAAGAACTTTATAGTTTCCATTTTGAACTGTGCTATTCACAAAATGTAATCTCCAATTTATGATATAGCATCCATGACACACAAAATTCTGGGCCAGAGATACTGTCAGGGATACAAAGGTGACTAAGACCAGTTCTCGCCCACAAGAAGTTTACAATGTAATAAGACAAGACAGTAAACAAGTAATGCCATATGACATTATATGTTAAGTGTCATAAAAGAGACACAAAATCTTACAGAAGTTTCAAAGGAAGGACAGATTGCATCTGATACATAAGAAAGGAAAAACTACATGAAGAAGGTAGAACTGGACACTTGGCAGTGCCCTGGGCTTAGATGTCTATTCTTTTAGAAGATGGAGGCTGGGCAGTGGCTCACACCTATAATCCCAACCCTTTGGGAAGCCGAGACAGGAGGATCACTTGAGCCCAGGAGTTCAAGACCAGCCTGGACAACACAGTGAGACTCTGTTTCTTTAAAAAAGAAAGAAAAAGAGTATGGAGGATGTGTCTTCAGGCAGGCAGATACACAACTGAAAACTTTCTAGAAAGGCCTTGAGGAATGAATTGTTCTTCGACAGAAGATGGGAAAGAGGTCATTCTCAATAGAAGAAAAAAAATGACCAAAAGTGAAGAAGAAAGCAAGCATGGGGCATACTCAGGAAAGATCAAGACCTCTGAGAGAACCAGTAAATGGGTTACATAGATGTAATGGTGTGGCAGGAGGCTACACAGAAGGAAGGGCAAAACCACCTTTAAATGTTGGATTGAAGAGAATCTGCATTTACTTTGTTCCACAATGAGTCTTATTAAAGCTTTAATCAGTAGATATGAAGAAGACAAAAGGGGAGCCAAGGAGATCACACCAGGTAGAGGCTTATTATAAGTGTCTTGTGTTCACAAAGCATTTGAGGTCTCTGATGGCAAGAAATTTTGCAATGAAAATGGCAAAGGCAGAAAAAAAAAAAAGCCAGAATCCAGGAAAAATCTAAGTTAAAACAGGTCCAGAAAATAATGTGTTTGTTTCTACATATGTAGTGAAGGGGGACAGAATACAGATATGAAGTCCTTAAGAGATTATACAAGTATCAAGATTTAGAACCAGCAACTTTGGCTCTCATTTTCCTGGAATCCAGAACAAGAAGAGAGACATCTGGTCAGGCAGTTATTGTGAAAGAGAACACAACACACTTGTTCTTCAGAGAATGCTAAAGTTTTGCTGGCATTTAACATAAGAAAAAGCAAAATCAGTAATGGGTAATAAGCAAGATAGTAAGAAAGGGAAAAGGTAAGAGCCAGTGTAAGTACAGATTCAGAAGAATAACTGTTATAAAGTTCCTTTATATAAAGGACAGATCTTTACAAAAAGTCTTTATCTCTGTTGTGTTTAATCTATCAAATGGATTTATAAAATTCAATGGCAAAAAAACCCCCATTAACACAATATACCTTTTAACAAGAGACCTGATACTTAAATCACTGACTTAATAGTTTAATAATCACTTTTAAATCACATTTCTGAAAGAAATGAGCATATTATATGTGTTTTTTAACTTTACCAAGTAAACATGGGCTAAAATTTCCTATGTACTTACCAATCTTGTTACTACTTGAATGCGTTAGTTCTGGATCCTCAGCTATTTGTTGTTTGAGTTTCTGAAGGTATTTTTCAGCCAAATACTTAAAAACTAGAATAAAAAGAAAACACCCAGAACCAGGTCAATGATTTATGCATGTAAATCTGTTATTTCACATCATTTGTAATATTTATACTTACTAAACAAATTTAAAGTTACAATTAGGAGCATACAATCTAGTTAAAAATTCAACTTTTAAAAATTATTTGGGCAGTATCTGAGTACAATGATAATATTAACAAATGTATAATGGTATTTTATTAGTAAATAAGTGAAATAATACTTGTAATGATTGGCTCTTCTAAGTATCTGAATAGTGATTAATACTAAGCAACACTAAACAGACTCACTCTTGAAAAGATGTCTCCTTTATGTGAAGAAAAGTATCCAAAATAGACATCCAAGAGAATATCTAGTTGCAATCTAAATAAGTGGCAATTCCAGAATGAGAAAAATAACTTACCATCTTTTTCTAATTTCACTTTCTTAAACTAGGAAATACTATTAAATTAAAGTATTAAATTAAATACTATTAAATAAACTAACTACCTAGTGGAATATCTACTATCATGGAGTTCTAAAACAACTGAGTTATTTTTAACAGGTATGCATCAAAACCACATATGCATATACTCTACATATATAGCTTACATTTTTCAAAGATAATAATAAAAATGGAAAACCTTACGAGGATGAAAAGTATTCAAGGGCATTAGTAAATAATTAAGCACTAACAAAAAGAAGTAGAAAGCCTTTAAATTCTACTTAATGTTAGGTGACAAAAAAATCTTGTTCTCGTTATAAATATAATTTCTAAACAACACAATTTTAAAAGCGCAAGAATAAAATTTCTTTTTGCAATCTATATCCTTTAAAGGTAATTTACCTTCATTCACATTTAGATCTTCTTTCACTGATGTTCTGTAGAATCTTAACTTTAACCTTTTTGCCAGTGCCTCAGCTTCCTCACTGCACATCAATTTAAAAAAAAATGCTTTACAAAGGTGCCTTCTGATAGCTTGTTTTTTAAATCACTTTTAATTACATTTACTGAATACAGTTTGGCAGGGAAGGGAGGGAAGGTGGATCAGATCTTTCAGAAAATTTTCATATTTCTTTTTAAAAGAGCTTGATATAATTTCCCAGTTAAGTAAAATCAGTTGAAAGCTATGTTTTCATTTAGTGCCTGTACTGATTTTAGTTTTCACTACTCTTGAGAAATAAACACCAACTGTTATACCGTATGTGTACATAGAAGACTTTTCTATAAAGTCATTAATCTCTAGCCCTAAACTAAGAAAATATCACTTTTCTTTGTATAATATTTTAATTAATTTTATCTCTTCCTGAGAACACCTGTAGTTAATTACACTCTGAAAATCTTACAGTGAATTACTTATTTTATTCTTACTGGCCATGAAACAATTTTGCTGCCTAAAGCCAAAGTCAGTATATTAATGACTACATCTCCAAATTGTACTCCTAATTTTAGTTTTATCAGGATTCCTGGTTGTGGACTCCTGATATTAATGTCATTAGAGACTGTTGTAACCATGCCCCATAGGCTCCCGCTATTTCTCTGGCTTCTGGTCTTCAGCCCCTTGTGTAGTCTCCTCCCACACTGTAATCAAGGTTGGTCTGGGTGTCCACTAATATGCAATACAAGGGACAGTATAAGACTGGGTCATAAGAAACACTGTGGCTTCTGTCTTGCTCTTTCTTGGATCACCCACTCTGGGAGAAATAGCTGCCGTGTTGTGAGAATAGGAGAGGCCCATCTGACAAGGAACTAAGGCTTCCTGCCAAGTGAATAAGCCATCATAGAAATGGATGGTCCAGCACCAGTGTAGCCTTTCCGTGAGAACAGGCCTAGCCAACATCTCAACTGCAGCTTCATGAAAAACCACCAGCTAAGCCATTCTCAAACTCCTGATCTACAGAAACTGTGATATAATAGATGTTTGTTGTTTTAAGACACTAAGTTTTGGGCTAATTTGTTACATAGCAACAGATAACTAACATAAGAAGACTTAAAAAACAGGTAAAAACCAAGCAAATATTTTCAAAACTGGCAAAAATAATAATACAATAAGTAAATATTTATGAACAGAAATTATCTGTTCACAAATTTGAGCATAAGAGTTCTGAATATACAAAACAATATGAATCTGAACCCTTAATTAAAATTCATCAACATAGGATAGTTACTTATTCTGGGTATTACAAAATCTAGGGATGCTTTTCTTAACATTCTTACCATATTAAGGTTTGACTTAACATGAAGAATTAGATTTCTTGTGCAAAGACCTGAGATTAGAATTCTAAAAGAGCCTTCAAATTTTAATCCTTTAATTTTATCTACTTAGGAATCAATGAATTTTTTAACCCAAACCAATCACATAGAATAGCTCACAGAAATTTTAGGTAAATTAAAATATTTAAGTCATTAAAGCCTTCAAAATGAAAGTATAGAATTTTTCCTAGAACCTGTAAAACTATGCAAAAATTAAGATGTCTTAACTTTATAGAATTACTGTCCCTCCTTCCCCAAAAGTAGCCATCTTACTTCTTTATACAAGAATCATCCAGAAGATCAATCTTGTTTTGCACAAGTACAGTTGGTATATCTCCCACTTCGGCTACTACTTTCTCTCTCCAACTGGAAACTGCTTCAAAAGATTCCCTATCTGTGGTAGAGAACACGAGCACACAAGCCTGGGCTCCTGTAAGTTCACAATCAATCAATCAATCAATCAAGGTATTTACATTAACATATTACATTTACATTAAGAAAACAATCTCATGAAGAATGGGGGCAACTTTTATCCATTCAAAACAACTTTTATGTAAATAAATGTTGAACTCATCTTTGTACTACTCTTCTTTACTTTTCAACATATAAACTCTATTTATGTTGAATTCATCTTTGCACTACTCTTCTTTACTTTTCAACATATAAATTCTATTTTCATTTTTACCAAAAACAGTGGTTCTCAAATGTGTTCAACTGTCAAAGTACCTCAAAAGCATACACATTCTTTTTGGAATACCATAAAATACTGATTTAATTCCATTATAAAAGCTAGAGAGAATGGTAAACTAAAATTACAGGCTGTTGCCAAATTCTTCTTGTTAATTTGCTTCTTAATTTCTTTCAGCGTAGATTTAAGAAAAATGTCATTTGCTTAATTTCTTTCAGCGCAGATTTAAGAAAAATTTATGAGAAAAAAATCATAATTTGTTCATTCTATTCACTTTTTAAATAAATTGTATTATTTTATTTCAGTAGAATACCAGTGATCCTAAGGAACATAATTTGAAAGCCAATGCCAAGAGTATATATATATATAATAGAGGGGTTGGGGGAAACTTAGTTTTACCCTGTTTAACTGCATAATTTTACCCACCCATATTGTATCCATTGACAATATTTTAACCATCAACTGTCATTTTAGGCTGATAATATCAAAGACTAAAATAAGCAGAAACCTCTTAGAAGAAGCAGTTTTATAAATTATTAGCTATTGATTCAGGTAGCATGGTGATAAAAGCAGGCATGTAAGCAACAAGAGAAAATCATCCTGGGGGTCAAGAGGATTTCCTGAAATCAAGGCATGTTTTCTTACCATTACTCCTTCCTTACACATCCCTCTGGTATAAGAGTTTTCTACTAAGACTCAAGATATGTCTGGGCTATCTAAGACACTCTAGAGCCAAAACTAGTCTGTATATCTATATATCACTGGGGGAATACTGTAGAAAGCAAAAGACCACAGAAAGAAAACAGCAGTTTGCTATTACTGTAAAAACAGAAGGTTCATTTGGAAAATCTTCCCTACCCTAAAAACAGGTTTTTTGTTTTCTGGTTTTCTTGAGACAAGGTCTCACTCTGTTGCCCAAACTGGAGTGCAGTGGCATGATCATGGCTCGCTGCAGCCTCGACCTCCTGGACTCAATCAATCCTCCCACCTCAGCCTCCTGAGTAACTGGGACTTACAGGAGGAGCCTGCCATCATGCACAGCTAATTCTTTGTTTTTTTGTTTTGTTTTGTTTTGTTTTTGTTTGTTTGTTTTGTAGAGATGGGTCTCCCAATGTTGCCCAGGCTGGTCTCAAACTCCTGGGCTCCAGCAATCTGCCTGCCTCAGCCTCCCAAAGTGCTGGGATTACAGGTGTGAGTGACTGTGCCTGGCCTAAAAACAGGTTTTAATCCAAATAATAAATGAATAATGCAAAATACAGAAAGAGAGAGACAAAGACACCCTGAGACCTTCTCAGAATTTAAGGGAAAATAAAACTGAAGAGATCACATTAGTATACCGATAAATAAACTTATATTTACTTGAGCTGTAATATTTACCTCAACTACAAATAAAAAAAATTATGTAATCATATTTTAAGAAACTGTGGATCATGAGGTCAGGAGATCGAGACCATCCTGGCTAACACGGTGAAACCCCGTCTCTACTAAAAATACAAAAAATTAGCTGGGTGTGGTGGCGGGTGCCTGTAGTCCCAGCTACTTGGGAGGCTGAGGCAGGAGAATGGCATGAACCCGGGAGGTGGAGCTTGCAGTGAGCCGAGATCGCGCCACTGCAAGACCAGCCTGGGCAACATGGCAAAACCCCATCTCTACAAAAAATACAAAAATCAGCCAGGCGTGGTGGCACACACCTGTAGTCCCAGCTACTCAGGTGACTGAGGTGGGAGGATTGCTTGAGCCTGGAAGGTTGAGGCTGCAGTGAGCTGTGATTGTGCCACCGCACTCCAGCATGGGCAAAAGGGTGAGACTCTGTCTAAAAAAAAAAAAAAAATTTGTTCTTTATCATAAAACTCAATGAATTACCTTTAAGCCTACAGCTTTATGTCCAGCTGTCATTTAAATTTGAGGGCACAATAGGGTATTTCCAAGTGTTCAAGGTCTCAGACACTTAACCAAAAAAACCTCTTAGAGGAAGCATATATGATGGAAAAAAAACCCCAAACAGATAATGCCAGAGATACGGGCAGTAAGAATGATTAAGAAAAGCTCAACATTATTTAAAAAATCAAAGACCAAAAGAAAGTATGTCCATAACAACCCCAAGATTATTTAGCAGGGGACAGAATGGGTACAGACCAGAGAAATGTGGGAATGTGCCAAAGTGCTTGTGTGAAGAAAGGGAAGATGTTTACATAATCAGGGAGGTAAATAAACAAACCCTGCAGCAGAGGCCTGTGGCTGCATGCATGTCCCCTCAACCGGGCTTCAGCGCAGCTGTGGAGAACAGTTCCTGTGCCAGTTGCTCCTGCCTATGCTGCAGGGGGCTCTGCTGTTCTGCTGGGGGCTGTTCTGATGCATCCCCCAAGGGGGAAGTGATGCCTCTGGGTGGCGGGGGGGTGGAATGAACACCTCAGCCTCCCTTTGGTGGGCTCCTGAGGCCTCTCTTCATGGTTCCTCAGGGAGACTGAGCCCCAGTGGCCCACAGTGATACTTAGAACGCTTTACTGGTTTTTCTCCCTTCCTTGCCTCATTCTCCCTAGTCTTTCACTCTACTTCCTGGGATCATGTCCCAAATAAACGAGCCCCACCCATGTGGCGCAGTGGGAAGGCACACAGAGGCTTAAACTAAGACAGTAAATGCCTTAAGTTAAAGGCAATCACCTTAAGAATAAGAGAATGTATGACTATTAAACCACAGGAGAAAAATGGATTTCTGCAGTATAAAGAACAAAATGAAAAAACAAGAACTGCAGGAAATAAAAAATCTGAAATAAGATCGCAAAAATAAGTCCTAAGAAGATAAATTACAATCTATAGAAAGAATGGTACACAAATCTCCAAAGCAGGACGGTTCACCTGATACCAAGCCTTTATATCAAATGCTGCACCACCTTGTCTGATTTAACCTAAAAATATTACTAAAATGGAAAAAAAATCAACTGGATTACTTTTTATGGATTACTTTTATGGTTATAATAATTCTGACAAATGTTGGACAACCACTTGTTTCCATTTCCCCTAACTGAATATCATCTTCCATCTAGACAGATAAAATACTTTGTCAAACTGTGATTCATCATGGTTCTTTTATGTTTGGAAAAATCCTAATGACCGGAAAGCCCTTTCTAATATTTAGTTTAAAAAGCTCAAAAGATGACCCCTTACCCTCCACCCTTTTTTAAAAAAAAACTTTGACTGAGGTACCAATAAAGCATGTAACAAATACAAGATTCCAAGATTTATGAGACAGATCATTATTTGCAGAATTTAGAAAGCAAATGGCTGATCCTGCTGCACAACTCTGAACTCCCTCAAGCACTTCAAGAATTTTTTTTTTTTTTTTTAATATGAGATGGGGGTTGGAAAGGAAAAGGATCTGTAAAGAATGTCTTGGCCGGGTGCGGTGGCTCATGCCTGTAATCCCAGCACTTTGGGAGGCTGAGGTGGGCGGATCACGAGGTCAGGAGTTCAAAACAAGCCTGGCCAACATAGTGAAACCTTGTCTCTACTAAAAATACAAAAATTAGCTGGGTGTGGTGGTGGGCACCTGTAGTCCCAGCTACTTGGGAGGCTGAGGCAGGAGAATCACTTGAACCCTGGAGGAGGAGGTTGCAATGAGCTGAGACCATGCCATCGCACTCCAGCTTGGGTGACAGAGTGAGACTCTGTCTCAAAAAAAAAAAAAAAAAAAAAAGAATTTTTTTAGAGGAAGTACTGTACTCCAAACCCTTTCTCCTGCAAAAAGGTGCAGTAGGATGGATGAGGGTGCTATCACCACCTGCTTCATCTCAAACCTTAAAGAATGGATGCTGACAAGACCAATTTAGGAAGCTGTTACGTATTTCCAGCAACTGGCGGACATTAGGGACTAGTGATGCCTTGATTCAAGCCTGAGAAAAATGCAATGGGTGAGAGTGAGAGTGAAAAATCAAAACCAGCAGACAAAAAGCAGAGAGCTATATTGGGAAGGAACTGTGCCTCTCCCAATGGCAGGGCAAAGAATGCACATGAATTTCATAGGGGCAGAGATGAACCACATCTAAGAGATACCAGTAATGGGGCTCTGGACATGCTAAACTAAAATATGGCACCTTGACGTACTGAATATTTTAAGCTGAAGGAATCTGAGAAAACAGCAGAAGCAGGAGAGTCACTTTGATCTCCCCTAGCCCCTTCTCCTCTGAAGCAGATCCTAAAATTCAGGAAGGATTTTCTCTCTCTCTTTTTTTTTTTTTTTGAGATGGAGTCTTGCTCTGTCGCCCAGGCTGGAGTGCAGTGGCATGATCTTGGCTCACGGCAGCCTCTGCCTCCCGGATTCAAGCAATTCTCCTGCCTCAGCCTGAGTAGCTGAGATTACAGGCGCCCACCACCATGCCCAACTAATTTTTCTATACTTTTAGCAGAGATGGGGTTTTGCCATGTTGGCCAGGCTGGTCTTGAACTCCTGACCTCAGGTGATCCGCCCATCTTGGCCTCCCAAAGGAAGGATTTTCTGACCCTCACCTGAAGGAGGTCATAAGCCCCTCAGGTGAGAGGTGACCTCCATATACCCAGAGGAAAGGAGAATCCTCATTTCTGAAGAGAGAAGGATACCAAAAGGAATCTGAATGAACCTCTGCTGATGAATCTTGCTAAGTTTCCTCCAGTTTACTGCTCTTAGCTCATATTTGTCCTATCACATTCTTCAACAACTTTGCACTCTTCCTCAAACCTGGTATAAAAACGTTCAGGTTTAACTGTTTATTTGGGTTTTCATTTCCTTATGAAGGTTTCTTTGTCACATAAAACTTATATTAAATAAATTCATAAGTTTTTCTCTTGTTAATCTGTCTTTTGTTAGAGACCCAATCAAGGACCAAAAAGAGTAGAAGGAAAAAGATATTTTTCCTCTCCTACAAACCAAAGTCACAGTAAAAAACTGTAACAAAAATCTATTTCATGTCGTCTGTATCTTTCTGTACTAACTAAAATCACTGGTTCCTACTGCCTGGAGTCAACTTTCTAAAAAGCTTTAGAGAAATCACTTGGGATCCCAGAGGCTTCCTAATCTGTGCTCTGTTGTAACCTATTTACAAGAAGGTCTTGTTTCAACATCTCTCACTATACAATTAAGCCAGCATTCCAAGTCCATAATAATACCTTTGAGCAATGGCTTTGATATAATGGGTCTTTTAAATGAATTATAATAAAATTGTTCTTTTTAAAATTTTAATTTGTTGATTTTTATGCATCATTAATAACACATTTCTAGGATTTAAATCAGCAAGTCATAACTATATATGGCATAGTGTTTCTACCACTACATTTGTATCTTAATTCATTCTTTCTAGCCCTTACCTTCTCTTCTTACTTTTATTTCTATTTAATTTCATCACTATCTAAATCTGTACTAGCAGCAGATATTGTCTGATTGCCTAGGTGGCATCTCTCCCTAAAAACACCTTTCCCCCACTGTATAGTAGCCATATGGTTTAGGTAGACTAAACCTATTCTCTGCTGGAGGTGGGAGTTGTGGTGGTGGCAAGGAGCACAATGTGATCCAAGTCAATTAATCACATTCCTCTCATTATTGCAATCAGGTCAAGGGTGGTCTAATCAGAGAAAAGCTCAGGACATCTGAACCACTGCTGTGGGAAGTAACCCTCTCTCCCCAAGGATGTAAACAAAGCATGTGGCTGTCATTGCTCCTGGTGATAATCTTGCAACCCAAAAGGAAATCAACATGAGGAGGTACCGGTACCACACAGGGAAGAGACAAAGCCAGGAGAATCAGTAAGGTTATAGGCTGAACAAACAACTAAAAGGGATGCTATTTCCAGACTTTTCTATCAAATCAGTAAGTCTCTGTAGTTTTAAGACAGTACGAAATTCCTTTTATTTGGCAGCAACCAAAAGCATTCTAATGGAACCCCAAAGAGGTTTCCCAAAGGGAAAACATAAAATAATGTTCAATATACTGTTTTTCAATTTTATGTATAATTGCTGTTTTTTCTTTAATTCATATTGTATTGTGATAAATGTTTACTTTTACCATTTAGAAAAAGAAGACGCTGAAACTGAGGACCTATCTCAGTATCTCACCCTCTTTGCCATTTTAATACAGTCAGCTAAAAAGTTAAATTACTAAGATAGGCTGTTTTTTTTTTTTTTTTTTTTTTTTGAGACAGAGTCTTGCTCTGTCACCCAGGCTGGAGTACAGTGGCATGATCTCGGCTCACTGCAGCCTCTGCCTCCTGGGTTCAAGCTATTCTCATGCCTCAGCCTCCCCAGTACTGAGATTACAGGTGTGCGCCACCACACCTGGCTAATTTTTGTATTTTTAGTAGAGACGTGGTTTCACCATATTGGCCAGGCTGGTCTCGAACTCCTGACCTCAGGTGACCTGCCGGCCGCAGCCTCCCAAAGTGCTGGGATTACAGGCGTGAGCCACTGTGCCCAACCAGTTTTGCCTTTTTAAATTATAGAAACATAATGTCAAATATATTCTCTAAAAATAACCCTATTGGTTAAAAAGTAATAACTGCCACATCAAACTGTCAAAAGCTTAGAAAGGATTAGGCCAGCCTATCTGTTTCCTCAAAAAAAAGAACAGACATTTCATGCAGAGAATTTAGAAGACCAAGTTCACTAGATAAAAATAAAATAATGAAAATCTCAAGTAATCCTACTTCTTTCTGGTGTTTCCACATAGGTTTTATGTTTATTTTTTTCCTGAGTGTGTGGGGAAGGTAGTGGTAATAACCCCATTAAAAAATACAAATAACTTTTACTCAAGAATAAAACTGTACATTTAGGACCTGTTAATCAATACTGTCAAGGCTGATGAAATTCATAATTTGATACAAATATCATCTACTTGAATGACAGAGGGGTAGAAAAAAAATACCATCTACTCCAAGAACGGCTTGGGGTAGTAAAAACATAATTCTCAACCTTAGACCATGATACAGGTGCTCAGGATCCAAACTGGTAGCCACAGAGAATAACCAAAGCTACTGTGGACGGGAAGCCTTAAAGTACACAGTAAATAGAGTGGTAAGTAGTGGTGGCAAGAAACCAAAATATGTTTTAGAGCAGGCAGTGGAAGTCAAGTTTCCTTGGTACCAATTTAGAAAGGCAACTTCTTTGGTCATTTGTATGTTAGTACAATCATGAAACCTTAGTTGTCATTATTACAATAAATCCTACATTTTCAAAAGCGAAAAAAATAAGCTATATATTCAAAAGTTACATGAATTCACCCAATTTCTCAAGTATATCGATTTTATATAACTGGTGTAAGTTTGTAAATAAGCAAGCTACTTCAATAAAATCAGTGGTAAATCCTGTCTAAAAGAAGAAATTATGTGTTTATATGATACTGTACCTAAAAGTTCATTAACACTGTCACTTGGAACTTTCATATATATAGATTTCTTCAAGAGACACATACTGGTATACTGCTATTCAATATATCTATTCTATTTTCAAGTACTGCTTCTCTGATAATCCAGGACACACAAACATAGGTTCCCTTTCAAATTGGGTAAAGTGACACATTAAAGAAGACTTCCATGAAGAAGTCAGAAGAATTTCCATTGTATACATAACTATTATTTCAGTTTCATTAAACCTGTATCTTTCAATACAGGATGTTTAAAGAGACTTTGAAAAAATAATTCATAACTGCTTCCATATCATCTGTTGTTTGGGACTGTTTAGTATTCAACTACTAGCATTCTACATACTAAGATAGAATATATTTTAATTTTTATGATACCAAAGAGTAGATTTAAAAGCAGAAAACAAAAGATTTAAGAAGTAAAAAAGATAATTAGCTTAAAGGAAACTTTTCAGATATATTTCTAAGCAATGTTATTACATGAATATAAATACAAGTTAAGACAAAGAAGCCAGGGCAAGGTTTACTATGCCTATTATATCCCTAGAACAACAGAGACACTTAATACACATTTTCTGAATAAAACTTCAAATCTAGAGAAACAGTCATGGGGGCAACTATAAACAAGGTAGATCCTACTTTCCTGGGGCTTCTAGTTCAGAGAGCAAATACCTTTAAGTGAAATCATTTATATTTATAAATATAGATATATGTGTATATACACATACACATACATATGTGTACATATGTACAGACATGTTTACATAGATACATACATATATGTATATGTGTATATATACATCTGTTTATAAATATGTGTATATATACATATACATATATTTGCATTTATAAATATATATACACTGTGTGTATATATACACATCTATACATATATACTTTATATACACACATATATACACACTATATTAATTACATATATACATATTACATACATACACATATATTAAGTGTGTGTATATATGTGTGTGTGTATGTATGTGTGTGTGTATATATATATAAAAATAAAATTTCATCCATTACTTAAGGTCAGAGTATAAAGTTATAGCATCTGATAAGTAAAATGAGACTGTGTGATGAACGAGCAGAATTTCACTTTATAAAAAAATTAACCAAAATGATACTGTCTCCTAAGGTCAACTGAATTCACTTGAGCCAACAGGTGCTACGCAATGGGGCTGGGGAGACAAAGACAAAAAACCCTGCCACTCCATAAGCCAGAAGCTAAAGTAACTCATAATCTCTTAGGGAAAATAAATATGCAAATGCTACATAGAGTGATAAATGCAATAAACATACTGAATTAGCTAAAAAAAATTATTAACTGTTCAGGGATGAGGGCCACAGAAAGTTTCACAGAGACTTCTGAGATGTTAAACCTGAAGGCAAAAGGTCAAGAGAGACAAGAAAGCATTCCAGGCATAGTGTAAAAAGAAAAGAAAAAAATGGGGGATTTCTCAAGGGTGAAGTACAAGTGAGGAATCAGCAGATGATGCTGGACAGACGAGGGGAAACACAGTTGTAAAGTCCTGTGTATATGATGCTGAAGAGTTTTAACCACGAAAGTGATTTGGTAGTGGGAAGGATAAAATGGTTTTCACTGACTATTTTCTCAAAGAAGAGTGAAGCAAAGAAATCAGCAGAGTGGAGAGGAGGAAGGGATTCCCAAAGTTAAGGCAAGAGAAAACACAAAAGAGCTCTTTTGGAAAATGACAGAGACTTGAGTAAAAAACACTGAGAGTGCCTGGCAGCACTATGTACTCATTAAGGTTATGTGATGTTAGCTTCAAAGTTCAGTCTGAATGGTTGTCTGATATTCTCTATATGGTTCAGGTGCTCGGATGCAGATTGGTAGATAGTCGGGTTTAACTGGGTTGGGCATTTTGCTGAGCAAGTATTATGCAGAGAGCGCAGGTCTGGGAGTTAAAGGTCCTTGCAAGCAAATGCTTACAGGACTAGAAAAACTAAGCTGAAGAAGGAAAGAAGTAAAGCCATGTGGAAGGTCATATTTAAAAAGTGGTAGGGTCAATGAACAGAGAAGCTCTCGATGGTTTCAAGACAGCGTCTGGATATTAAAGTTAGCAAGCCACAAGCCACCAGTAGTGGTCAGGGAGTAGGAGACTATAGAGGTTTAGATTTTGGGGTAATGAAACAATTGTTGGCCTTGAAAACAACAAGGAAATGAGCAACAGGCTGAATTTTCAAAAAGTAATCCAAACAATTATGGAGAAGAAACTGAGTCAGATGCCACTGTTATCAGAAAGGAGGCATAAAGGAAGTTGATGGACCAGAGCAAGCAGGGGGATTAGTGGTGGGTAAAAGTCTCATGACCTGGACTTTCAAGGTGCCGAGGTTTTGGAAGGAGAAAAGAGGAGGAATGGTGTGGAAGCAGCAGTGAGAAACAAGACAACCTCTGCCGAACAGCCTTTAAGTCTTGAGGAATGTGAGTATGCAGGGATATGGGTAAAAAGCCTCCCTTAGAGAAGGCAGCAGAGGAAGTTGTGTCTTTAGAAAACAAGTTTTAATTACAACACGGTGAAAAGTTCAGAAAAGAGGGACATCATAGAAGGGATAATCAGTATATCAGTTGTGCCTTTTTATTTCCCACAGCATCTGCGAAATGCAGAGTATTAAATACCTGTCAATATGAATGATCAATTAATATTTACTTGGCATCAACAGGCTATAATGCCACATGGTATTCCACCAAGCTTTTGTTACTGTGTTCTCTCACTTTAATCACTATTGGCAGTTGAGTTACAGGAACACTGAAAATGGTGTTTTAAATTCCAAAAGAAAAGGGCAAAATTTTATAAGAAAATGTTAAAGGAAACTTTTAAGTTCCATTTGGAAGTTTAATTTAGCCTTTTAAGAAATTTTAGCCCACATTTTAGAGCTTTAAATTCTTTAGTCATGGTTCCTTCCTTTCACAGGTATCTCATACTTCTCTGAACTCCTACAGCAGTGAAAAGGCTTTACCATGTGACTTCATGTGTCGTAACAAATGCCATCTTATTTGCCAGGGCTTTACTTTTTCGTATGTTAGCTTCCACTCTCTGACTATACAGTCATTTTCTTGGGGTCAAAGTAGGCACTTAAGAGTTTCTTAATGATTTGGTCTGGGAATGCCTACATGAGTCATATAATTCTAAGGCAGAGACAAACTGTCTACAGTACCAGGTATTATTTGCTACTATACAAGATCTTTAGAAGAATAATGAACTGGGGTTTTAAAAAATACTTTGAAATTATTTTAACTATTCTTCAAGAGAAGCCCTTATACGGGAAACAAAGAAAGCAAAATTATTTATTTAGCCAAAATAATATGCCCAAACAAAATAAATAAATAAATCCTGTGTTTTACCTCGATAGTAGGCCTTTGTAATTGCATCAAATTCCTCCTGACCTGCAGTGTCCCATAACATTAGTCTGACATCTTCATCATTAACTCTAAAACAAGAGATGAATTTATTTCATATGTAAAGGAAAATGTTTTTGGTAATATAGCTTTGTGTATATTTTTCATTTTCAAATCCAAAGATATTAAAACTACAAATGCTCCTTGACTTATGATGGGTTGTCCCAATAAACCTACTGGGGGTTACATCCTGGTAAGCCCATTGTAAGCTGAAAATTAGGAGTCAAAAATGCATTTAACACCCCATTAAACCACTGTAAATTCAAAAAACTCATAAGCTGAACTATTATAAATCCTTATGCTCCTCAACTTACGATGGGGCTATGTCTCAAAAAACCCATGCTAAAGTTGAAAAACTGTAAGTCAAACCTTCCTGAGTCAGAGACCACATGTACACTGTCAGTTTCACCCTGAAAAACTGAGTACTTTCGGATGTTGATATCATTATCAACAGTGAAAGAGTGAAAAACATTCCCCTAAAGCTACAGCTTCCCACATGATTTGGATTTATCTGCCATGTTTTTTTCTTTGACACAGTCACAGCGTAGTGGTGGTCTAAGATTAACGTTTTGGGAAGGGGAATTTCCTTAGGTCAGTGCCTGTTCTCCTTTCCCGACATCTTTCTAATGGGTTCTGGTGCTTTTGTGATAAAATGAGGATAAGAATGCAAAAAAGCAATTTACCGCCAGTCACGGTGGCTCACGCCTGTAATCCCAGCAATCTGTGAGGCCAAAGTGGGCGGATCACTTGAGGCCAGGAGTTCAGTACCAGCCTGGCCAACATGGCGAAACCCTGTCTCTACCAAAAATAGAAAAATTAGCTGTGTGTGGTGGTGCATGCCTGTAGTCCCAGCTACCCAGGAGGCTGAGATGGGAGAATCGCTTGAGCCTGGGAGGTGGAGCACCACTGCAGTCCAGCCTGGGAGACAGAGTGAGACTCTGTCTCAAAAAAAAAAAAAAAAAAAAAAAGCGATTTACCTCCCTGGCTCACTGGTTGCCCTTAAACTTAAAATTTACTCTATTTTGTCATATAGTCAATTCTCATTATTCACAGTAGTTACGTTCTATAATGTCAATGTGAACACTGAATTAGCAAATACTGAACCACTGCTCCTAAGGGAAACATAGGGTTAGGTTTTTGAGAACCCCTGGTTACATTTTCATCAACTGATCAGTACATAACCTTGTTTTATGTGTTTCTGTTTAAAGACACCTTACTGATTGATATATATTGTTAATTCATTAACACTGAATTCACGACCAACAGCACTATAACTCGTGCCTGAACAAAGCTTATCTAACATATTTATTTTTTCTGTAAGGCACATCATAGCCTTCCTATACTTAGGAATGCTAGACAGCACTGCAGCACTACACTTAGGAGCCTTCTTAAACAGCAAAATCACCAAGAAAAAGCACAAAATGTAAAAAATGTGGCATTAAACAGAACACAAAAAGGACATGTGTTTACTGTATGAGGTACTGAAACAAGAAAGCAGACTTGTTTGATGACCTCAGCTGGGAAGTGCATGATGGGCAACTTAAATTTTTTGCTGCTCTATATATGTCCACAAATGACCACAAATGTACTACAAATACTGATTCTGGGGTTACAAATAAATATTACCAAGTGGGTGAATTTGCATATGCAGAACCTATAAACAATAAGGATTGACTGCATACTGAAATATTTATTTGGTTTCAGGTAATAAGTATAAAAAGCAAACATCATCAAGACTTAACATGCTTGCTCTTAAAATATGTTCTAAGAGAGGAAGCAAATATGGAAATACTTTTAAAAAGAAAGTAATAGAATACAGACTAGAAATTAATCTTTAAAATGATAAAATTATCTTTGATGTTAAAGTTGGGCCAGTAACCAGGTTTGTAATATTTTAAATTACAATTTGAAATACAAACTAAAATGTATTTGGGTAACACATTTTAGTTTGTCTGCTACAATTTAAAATATACTTAGAAGTTCTCAGGACTAATGACAAAAAATATTACTCTGATGTGCTTTAGAATCCAAATGAATTTCCTAAAGCAGGATTTCCTTTTCATAGGCAAATTTTGTCCTCCCAAATCTGTTTTATCTTATTTCTTTAGAGTAAAGCAAACTATTAATTCTCTAACTTCCATACAGTCTTGCCTAGTTTCAAAAAGAGAACAGACATTCTAATAAAAACGAGCCCATAATATAACTTTCATTCCAAAGAAAATAGCAGTTGGAAATCTCACTGGAGTCAGCATCAGTTTGTGTTTAAGACGTGCCCAAGGTGTCACCAATAAATATAAAACAGCTATGAGACAGAAAAAAACGTGGAGAGTAGAAAAAGAAAAAAAAATGAAAGAAGGGAAGAGATGAAAGAAAAAAAAAAGGATAAAGTTACATATGTCATGAAAACCACCATCACTGTCGCATGAGCATTGCCACTAGTTGCCACACCTCGAAATCCACTGCAATCAGTTAACTATTACTCCAATGAGTCTTGGATATAGTTCACAAATCAAAGCCAAAGGAATAAAATGGCCAAGTACTTACTGAATTTGTCGCTCCAAAAAATCAACTCCAATGGTTTTCTTGTAGTCTTTTGTAAAAATGCCTTTGCAATATCGCTGAATCATACTTGATTTTCCAACTGCTCCATTCCCTACAACCACCATCTTTATGGCGACTTCCATATCTTCCTCCAACATTTTTGGAGCTGAAATGGTTTCTGTACCAACTCTAATTCTAGGAGATCAGATCTTCCCTCTCAAATCTGTGGTTTAAAATGAAATTATTTTTTCATAACACAAAAATGTACAAAATAAACTAATTGTTTTATCAAGAAATTATCACATTGCATTGCAAGGATGTGTTTTCATAACTGAGGTCCCTCCCACTCTCTTTAGATAATGTAAACTCTTTGAAAGGTACAGCAATAACAATTCATTTTTGAATGAATCCTCATCAATAGCGCAATGCATGACATTCATATATCAATAAATACCTAGATCTACTTTCATAGAGATGATGACTAGGATCATTAGATTTGATGCCTGATTATTTAAAGGTGCCACTTACTAGTTCTGTGCTCTTAGTGAACACGTTGCTTAACTTCTTCAGGCTTCTGTTTCCTGGCAATAATATCCATCTCATACGGTTATTGATCAATGATACACATAAAGCACTTAGCATAGTGAAAGTTATGCATTCAGAATTTAGTTAAGCATTCCTGATCCAAAAATCTGAAGTCTGAAATGTGGCAAAATCTGAAATGTTTTAAGCACTGACATGATGCCATAAGGGAAAAATTCCATACCTGACATGTGATAGGTCACAGTCAAAGCAGTCAAAACTTTGTTTCATGCACAAAAATACTAAAAGTACTGTATAAAATTACTTTGAGGCTATGTGTATAAGGCATGTATGAGACATAAATGAATTTCCTGTTTAGACTCGGGTCCTGTCCCCAAGACATCTCATTATGTACATGCAAATAGGGCAGGTGTGGTGGCTCATGCCTATAATCCCAGCATTTTGGGAGGCTGAGGCAAGAGGATCGCTTGAAGCCAGGAGTTTGAGACTAGCCTGGGCAACATATAGAGACCCAGTTGCCACTAAAAAAAATAAAATAAAATAAATTAGCCGAGTGTAGTGGTGCATGCCTGTCGTCCCAGCTACACAAGAGGCTGAGGTGGGAGGATCCCTTGAGCCCAAGGGTCTGAAGCTGCAGTGAGCTATGGTCACGCCACTGTACTCCAGCCTAGGTGATAGAACAAGATGCTGTCTCTAAAAAAAATTAAAATAAAATAAAAAAAAATTGTAAATCCTCCATAGTGTATCACCAAATAGGCAACAAATTCAAAATCTGTAGAAATTGCTTTTCAACCTCACAGGTAATAATGTCCCTAAAAAAGCACCCCAAAGAAGGTTTTGTATAATAGTGTACGACCATGTGTCAGCATTGGACTCTTAGTTATAATGATTTAGTGTTTGGTTTACAATGAATCCTGTACAAATAAATATCTTACACCACACATTCTTGCTTTAGTTTTAAACCTTTATAGTTACACATACAGTGAAAGCAATAGAATGGGCACTTTGCATTTTAAGAATGAAAAGAACAGAAAGTCAATTTCTTCATGTTTCTTCTTAAAATTACTAGTTAGGCTACTGCTCCTTTAGCTATTATATTTCAACTACTTTAACTGAAAATCCATCTATACAACCACTACACCAAGGGAGTCCAAAATGTGAACATTCCTTTCTTTGTCCCTAATAGTCTCAGCAATTGTCTCTGGTACTTTACAAACCTGAGTGATCATAAGAATCACCTAAAAGTACTTGTTAAAGTACAGTTCTGGGTCTCTGCCTCAGGCATAATTTATCAGAAATTTCACAGGAAGCCTTGGAATCTGGTTTATAAAACAAGCATAAAAGGTGCTGTTTAGCTCTCCCTTCATGAGCTGCTACCTGGCAGTCTCTGCTACCTCACCTTCAGGATCCACTGCACTGTCCACTCCTGTTGAGGCCGCATTCTCCCCGGGTAAAGACTAAACAGGCAGTGCCACTTGAGTTGGGACAATTATGCACAACATGGATCCTCTTTGGTCTGGGGCTCCCCATCAGACTAGCTGAGATTTTTTCAGAAATGCACTGCAGTCTGGAGCTCTTTCCACCCCATCTTTCTTTATCCTTTCACAAGTATAAAAAACTAGCATTGCAGCCTCTTTATCCTTCTCAGGCATTTTCCCCAATAAATCTCTTGCACTTTTAGTTCCATCTTGATACTTACTTCCTGGAGAACTCAAATGGATATACATCCCAAGTGATTTTACAATCAGGTAAGTGTCAAAGCCAATATCCTATGCTAGTGATTCTCAATTTTGGCTATACACTGGGATCATCTAGATAACTTTAAAAAATACTTGGCTGGGGGCAGTGGCTCACACCTATAATCCCAGTGCTTTGGGAGGCTGAGGCAGGAGGATTGCTTGAGGCCAGGGGTTCAAGACCAGCCTGGGCACCATGTGAGTCCCTGTCTCTACCAAAAAAAAAAAAAAAAAAATTGGCCAGGCATGGTGGCGTGAGCCTGTAGTCCCAGCTACTCGGGAAGCTAAGGCAGGATTGTTTGAGCCCAGGAGTTCAAGGCCGCAGTGAGCCATGACTGTACCAGTGCACTTCAGCTTGGGTGACAGAGCGAGGCCCTGTCTAAAAAACAAACAAACAAACAAAAAACCTGATGCCTGATGCCTGCATCTTGCCCTCTGAGTATACGATCAGATGGTCTAGGGCAGTGGTTCCCAACCATTTTGGCACCAGGGACTTGCTTTGGTGGAAGACAACATCCACAGATGGGAGGTTGGTGGGGGGCAGTGGAGGGACGGTTTGGGGATAAAACTGTTCTACCTCAAATCATCAGGCATTAGTTAGATTCTCATAAGGATATAAGGAGTGCTGCAACCTAGATCCCTCACATGTGCAGTTCTCAATAGAGTTTGGGCTCCTATGAGAATCTAATGCTGCTGCTGATTTGACAGGAGGCGGAGCTCAGGCGGTAATGCTCGCAGCCACTCACCTCCTGCTGTGTGGCCCAGTTCCTAACAGGCCACAGAACGGTACCAGTCCACGGCCTGGGAGTTGGGGACCCCTGGTCTAGGGTACAATCTGGACATCAAGTATCATCATCCTATTACCCTACACAAGATGTAGTCTTTAGGACACACGGTCAAATATAAAATTCTGACCAGGATCTGACCCTTGTTCATCCAGCTGTATCTCACACTGGTTCAGTTCCTAGAAAGCAACTTCCTTTCTCTACCTAAACAATTCTTCACCCAAGAAGACTGTTATGTTCAAAAAAAGGCAACAACAAAAATCTTATCACATTTTATCCTTTTAAAGATATATACTTCAGACACTTTTGCTTCTGAAATGATACACATTTTTCCCTATTCCTTCCTCTAAGTATAACTAAAAATTTTGGATACTATATATAAACAAACATTAGACATTGAAAAGTGCAAAGGTACCACAGGACACAAAGCACAACATGGTAATGAGTTTTCCTTGAGTTCTTTTTACCTCATATATCCCAGACTGGATTATAGAGAAGCTAGTAACCAGGAAATATCACCACCAACAACAAAAAAACATAAAAGCCTACTCTCTTGAGTCAAAGGACCAGGAAAGGGGCAGCCTAGCAAGCAGAAAGATAGAAAACACCTATACCCTTGTGAGGGCTATATTGATGCACCCCAACTCCCTCTATGGGGTGGTGTCAGAAAAGACCAACTGGGGAGGACTGGGGAGGACTTGCATCCTCACTGGGGAGAAATGAAGGCACCCCCCACCCCTGCCCAACCACCACCAAGGCATCCCTAGAGACCATGTGGGAGCCTGAACTCCCACCCCATCCACCAATTCAGTCATCCCTACCCCTTTTCACCTCTACTTTTTTGCTGGGGTGGTGTCAGATGAAGCCTACTAGAAAGTCAGGACTTACACTATCTCTCACAGGTAATAAGGCCATCTACTGACTCTTTGCAGTGTCAGTGGGTCAGCCTCTTCCCAGCCAGGGTGGTATCAGTGGCCCCCAGTAGAGAGTCATCATGACCAGTAGTAAGAGGAGCTCTTCCCATTCTCAGTTTCTTTCTTTTTTTTTAGACAGTGTCTCATTCTACATTCCAGGCTGGAGTGCAGTGGGGTGAACACAGCTCACTGCAGCCTCAACTTCCTGGGCTCAAGCAATCATCCCACCTCAGCTGGGACTACAGGCGCACACCACCACGCCTGGCTAGTTTTTGCATTTTTTTGTAGAGACAGGGTTTTGCCATTTTGGCCAGGCTGGTCTCAAACTCCTGGGCTCAAGTGATCCACCTGCCTTGGCCTCCCAAAGTGCTGAGATTACAGGCACGAGCCACTGCGCCCAGCCCACTCTGTTTCAATGGAAGACAAGCAGGAAACCTGGAGTTTTTATCCTCACCTGGTAGTAAAGAGGTAGTGCCCCACCCTTCCTGTTTTTGGAGCACATCAAAGGAAGAGAATCAAGCTAAAAGAGAATGTAATGAGACCAGAGAATCACAACATAACACTCCCAGTGTCCTGATTTCATCGAAAATCACTCAGCACACCAAGAACCAGGAAAATCTTAAATGCAAAAGACAATCAATAGACACTAGCAATGAGATGACAGACATTAGATTCATGTAATAAGGATTTCAAAAATAAAAAGTTAACTGGCAGTCAATGAGCAATTATGGATATACTTAAACGAATGTAAAAAATAAAGAGTCTCAAAAATAAACAGAAGATATAAAGAAGTACCAAATGGAAAGTAGAACTGAAAATTATAATAACCATAATTTAAAAAACTAAATGATATGTTCAACGGCAGAATAGAGAGGACGGAGGAAAGAATTAGTGAACTTGAACATACAATCTGAGCCACGCAAACAGGCTGAAATAAAGGACAGAGCCTTCAAGACCTGTGGAACTAAACCACAAAAAAATCAGATATTTCTGTCATTGGAGTTCCAGGAGGAGAGGAGAAAGAAGATAGAGCTAAAAAAGGACTTGAAGAAATAATGACTGAAAATTTCCCAAATATGGAAAAAGACAAAGCTACAGATTCAAGAAGCTGAGTAAATCCCAAACAGGATAAACCAGTCAAAATCTAGACCTAAACAAATCAAAGTCAAACTTCTGAAAACTAAAGACAAAACATTTTGAAAGCAGCCAGAGAAAAAGGATGGGGAAAAGTAATTTGAACGACAGTGAATTTCTCCTCAGAAACCATGGAGGCCAGAAGGAAGTGGCACATCATTTTTTGAGTGTTGAAAGAAAAGAACTGTCAACTCAAAATTATATATCCAACAAAAATATCCTCTAGGAATGAAAAGGAAATCAAGGTAATCTCTGATGAGGGAAAACTAAGAGCATTTGTTGACAGCAGACCAATGCAAAAGAACAGCTAATGGAAGTTCTCAGTGGAAAAGAAATAATTTTTTAAAAGAAGAACTTGGAGTGTCAGAACAAAAGAAAGAACATGGTAAGAGCAAAAATATTGTTAAATACAACAGACTTCCCTTCTCTTGAGTGTTCTAAACTATGTTTGATAGTTGAAAAAAAAATTATAAAACTGTCCAATGTGGTGTTCAATATATGTAGGAAAAATATTTAAGACAATTATAAATGGGGAAGGATAAAGGACTATAAAGGGAGGTACGGGTTCCACACTTCACTTGAATTTGTAAAATATTGACTGCAGTGATAAATTATGGGGATAAATCACATATACAGTCATGCACCACATAACAACATTTCGGTCAATGATGGATTGCATATATAACAGTGGTCCTTTAAAATTACAATGCCATATGTTTACTATGCCTTTTCTGTGTTTAAATATGTTTAGATACACAAATATTTACCAATGTGTTACAAGTACCTACAGTATTCAATACAGTAACAGCGTACAGGTTTGTGGCTTAGGAGCAATAAGCTCTAATAGCATACAGCCTAGATGTGTAGTAGGCTATACCATCTAGGTCTGTGTAAGTACATTTTAGTATGTTCACACAATGACAAAACCATAATGTGCATCCCCATCATTAAGCAATGCATGACTATATATATAATGTAATACCAAGAACAACCACTAAAACAATAATACAAGCAGGTACTCTCAAAAACACACAGATAAATCAAAATGGAATTCTAAAAACACAATAAAATCAGAATTTAATTGATATTTATAGAACTGTCTATACAACAGCACAATATACCTCCTTTCAAGTACCCAGATAGAACATATTCTGGGCCATAAAACAAACATCAACATGTCACAGGGCAAACCCCAAAACTGGAGTTCAGCCCAGGAGGCCACGTGGGTTTTTGGCTTTGTGCAGAAGGAATTCAAGGGTGAGCCGACAGAGTGACATGAAAGCAAGTTTATTAAGAAAGTAAAGGAATAAAAGAGTGGCTGCTCCATAGACAGAGCGGCCCTGAGGGCTGGTGGTTGGTTATTTTTATGGTTTTTTTTTTATTATATGCTATACAAGGGGTGGATTATTCTTGACTTTTCTGGGAAAGGGATGGGGGAATTCCCAGAACTGAGGGTTCCTCCCTGTTTCAGATGATATAAGGTAACTTCCAGACGTTGCCGCGGCATTTATAAATTGTCACGGTGCTGATGGCAGTAACCTTTAGTATGCTAATGTATTATAATTAGCATATAATGAGCAGTGAGGACAACCAGAGGTCACTTGCATGACCATCTTGGTTTTGGCCAGCTTCTTTACTGCATCCTGTTTTGTCAGTGGGGATCTTTTAAGACCTGTATCTTGTGGAACCAGATCTACTGACCTCCTGTCTCAAACACACTTAAAATAATGGAAATCATACAGAATATGTTCACTGATCACAATGGAATCAAACTAGAAATCAATAACAGAAAGATAAAACAGGGAAATCTCCAGACAGAAACTAAAAGCACACACTTTTCAAATAATCCAGGATTCAAAGTAGTAGTTACAAGGAAAGCAAAAAAAAAAAAAAACAAAATTAACTGAAAGTGAAAATACATGTGAAACTTTGTGGGGCACAGCTAAATTAGTGCTGAAATGGGAAAATATATTTTATTTTATTGTTATTATTTTTGAGACAAAGTCTCACTCAGTAGTCCAGGCTGGAGTGCAGTGGCCTGATCTCGGCTCACCGCAACCTCCCCCTCCCATGTTCAAACAATCCTGCCTCAGCCTCCCGAGTAGGTGGGACTACACGCATGCATCACCATGCTGGGCTAATTTTTGTATTTTTAGTAGAGACAGGACTTCACCATGTTGGCCAGGCAGTTCTCTAACTCCTGGCTCAAGTGATCCGCCCGCCGTGGCCTCCCAAAGTGCTGGGACTACAGGCGTGAGCCACCGTGCCCAGCCTAAGATACGAAAATTTAGAGCGCTAAATGCTTACTTTGAAAAGGAAAAAAGTTTCAACTCAATAATCTAAGCACTCACCTCAAGAACTAGAAGAAGAGCAAAATAAACCCAAAGCAAGCAAAAAAAAAGGAAGATACTAAAAAAGAAGAACAGAAATCAATGAAATTGCAAACAGAAAAACTGATGAAACAAAAAGCTGGCTTTTTGAGAAGATCAATAAATTTAATAAAACTTTAGTGAGACTAACACAAAAAAGAGAGAGGATACAAATACCTAATACCGGGAATAAAATAGGGGATAGCAACATAGACTCTGCAGACTCAAAAGGATAACGTAACAACCCTACACACATAAATGTGACAACCCAGACAAAATGAACCAAATTTTTGAAAAGTATAAACGACCATAATTCACCCAATATAATATAGGTCCATTTGAATACCCCTATAACTATGAAGGAAATTGAATTTGTAATGTAAAAACTCAGAAAGAAATCTACAGGATCAGGCAGTTTCACTGAAGAATCCTACTAAACATTTAAAAAATTAACACCAATGTACACAATCTCCTCCAGAATAGAGACGAGGAAACACTTCCCAACTCTTTTTATGAAGCCAGCATTATCTTGATACCACAAAAAGACACTACAAAAAAGAAAATTAGACAAACTCTTCTGAACAAAGATGTAAAAATCTTCAACAAAGTATTAATAAATTGAATTCAGCAATATTTAAAACACAATACACTGCAACCAAGTGGACTTTATTCTGGGAATGCAAGGCTAGTTAAATACTCAAAAAACAATCAATGTAATCCACCATATTAATAAACTCAAGGAAAAAAACACAACATAGTATCAATTGATGCAGAAGAAATATTGACAAAATTCAACATTTGTGAGAAAACTCTGAGCAAACTAGAAATAGAATGGGACTTCTTCAACCTGGTAAAAGGCATCTATAGGCCGAGCACAGTGGCACACATCTGTAATCCTAGCACTTTGGGAGGCCAAGTCAGGCTGATCACTGAGGTCAGGAGTTCGAGACCAGCCTGGACAACATGGTGAAACTGTGTCTCTACCAAAAATACAAAAAATTAACTGGGTGTGGGGTTGCTCGCCTGTAATCCCAGCTACTCAGGAGACAGAGGCACAAGAATTGCTTGAACCCGGGAGGCAGAGGTTGCAGTGAGCTGAGATCGTGTGCCACTGCACTCCAGCCTGGGTGACAGAGTGAGATTCTGTCTCCAAAAAAAAAAAAAAGGAAAAAAAAGCATCTATAACATAAAACAATTCTGGAAGACAGACTGCTTTCCCCTCACATTGGGAACAAGGTAAGGATATATATTCTCACTACTCCTATTCATCATACATGAAGTTCTAGTCATTGTAATAGGAAACAAAAATAAAACACAGATTAGGAAAAAATTAAAACTTTCTCTATTCACAAATGACATGATTATCTCTGTAGAAAAACCCATGGAATCCACCAAAAATTCAAAAACCAAACCCTGAACTAATGAGTTTAGCAAAGTCAGAGGACATATGTACAACACACAAAATTCAATTGTATTTCTGTGTACAAACAATGTACAATTTGAAACCAGTATTTTTTAGAATGAGATTTACAATAGCTCCAAAAACATTAAATACTTAGGTATAAATGTAACAAAACATGTACACAATCTGTATGCTGAAAACTACAAAACACTAAACAAATCAAAGACCTAAATAAATGGAAAGACATATCATGTTCATAGATTGGGAGACTCAACAAAGTAAACAGCAATTCTCCCTAAATTGATCTACGGGTGTAATACAATTTCAATCAAAGCACCAGCCAAATTTTTCTGTATCCACAAGCTGATTCTAAACTTTATACACAAAGGTAAAAGAATCAGAATAGCTAAAACAATTTTGAAAAAGAATAAAACTGGAGGAAATTATACTACCTGGTTTTAAGACATTATAATGCTAAATTAACAAAGTGTAATACTGGCAAAGGGAAAGCTAAGTAAATCAGTGGAACAAAACAGGCCCAAAATAGACCCTCACAAATAAAGACAATTGATTTTTAACAAAGGTGCAAAAGCAATTCAATGGAGAGAAGACAGTCTTTTCAACAAATAGTGACGGAACAACTGGACATCCATATGCAAAAAAGTAAACCTTCACACCTTATACAATTAACTCAAATGGATCACAGATCTAAATGGAACACTTTTATAAAACAATTTTTAGAAGGAGAAAATCTTGACCTGTTAGGCAGAGTTTTTAGACATGACACCAGATGACCCATAAAAGGAAAAACTGATACTGGACTTCACCAAAATTAAAAACATTGCTGTCTGAAAGACACTGTTAGAATGAAGAGAAAGACAGACTGGAAGAAAATACCTGAAAAACACGTATCTAACATATAATTTGTATCCAAAACATATAAAGAGCCTTCAAAACTCAACATAAGAAAACAGCCCAATTTAAAAATGGGCAAGAGACTTTGCCAGATACCTCACCAACGACTCCATGTGGCAAATGAACACATGAAAACATGTACATCTTTAGCCATTAGTTAAAGGCACATTAAAACCACAAGGAGATACCACTACACACCTATTAGAATGGCTAAATTTAAAAAAACTGACACTATCAAATGCTGGGAGTATGTGGAGCAACTAGAACTCTCACATGTTGCTTGTGGGAATGCAAAATGACACAGATACTCCAGAAAACAGTTTAACAGTTTTTTAAAAGTTAAACATACATTTACCATATGACCCTGCAATCCACTCCTAGCAATACCCTAGAGAAATGAAAACATGTCCATGCAAAAACCTGTACATGGTATTTATAGCAGATTGATTCATAATCACAGAAAACTGAAAACAACCTCAATGTCCTTCCATGGGCAGATGTTGAAACAGACTGTGGCATATCCACATAATAAAATAGTACTCAGCAATAAAAAAAGAAATTATCCATACATGAAACAACTTGGAGAAATCTTAAAGGCATTATGCTGAGTGAAAAAAAGCTAACATCGAAAGATTACTAACTGTTATGATTTCATTTCTAGAAAAGATTAGTAATTGCCAGGGGTAAGGAGTATGATATAATGGGATCACATTAGGTTTTTTTTCTGTGGCGGGGGAGCGATAGATTTGTTCTACATCCTTACTGTAGTGGTGGTTACATGAGTCTAAAATTCGCAGAACTGTACATCGAAAAAAAATCAATTTTACCATACACTTTTTAAAATAATAAATTAATTTCCTTAAAATAAATTTAAAGAAAAAAGCCAAATTAAATTTTAACAGGCAGTCGGACTCTTGCTTTTCAGAAACTATAGACTTAAAGCACTAGATCAAAACAATTACGTTCCTAGAAATAAGCATACTTCTGAGTACAATTAAAAACCTCGACAATAATACTTTATATAAATACCCTTTCCCCAAAACTTTTAACATTTTGCTAATGCGGTCTAATAAATTAGAGAAGCAAAGGGTGAGTTAACTCACTAATCAAAAGGTTGTTTTCTCATAACAGCCTTTATTTAAGTAGAAGTACAGGTTATATTTGTAAAAATACTGAAAAACTTCTTAGGGTCAATGAAATTACCTAGATGTTAGGAGATACATAAAAACCTAGAGAAGTTAACAGCCCTTTTCAGACCCTACTGCCACTTCACTAGCTCCTGATAATGAAGTTCTTACTCTCACACGCTCTCAGGTTCTTACTCCTGGGAACTGCCGATGGCTCCTCGGATCTCCGAGTAAAGTTAATTCTGTAGCAACCAGTGTCAATGGAACAGCACAATTTGGCTCATTCATATTCCAGCACTCTATGAACAAGAAACTAGGGAAGGGTGGGGTCGCGGGTAAAGAGTGGTCGCACTGCAGGGAGGAGTCTAAATGCCAGGGTGGAGCTGAGGACTCTCTTCGCCATCAAACCTAACCTGAGCACTTCACGCCCTTACTGGTGTCTGGCCCAGCCCGGGTCGCCCCTTCCCCAGTCGGGACTTGGGGCAGGCAAAAAGCCGAACGTTCGGCCAGACTGGGGACGCAGCGCCGCCCTCGCTCCACCCCTCTTTCCCGCCCACCAGGCAATTCCAGGTACCCACCGCTGGGAGCTGGGAGGGGGCGCCGGGCTGGCGCTGCCGCCCACCTTCTCTAGCTGGAACTTGGGATCGGTGCTCAGGGAGGGGAGAGCCGGCGCTCGGCGGTCCGAACCGGGGGATGGGGGAGCCGGGCCGGGAGGCCCCTGCCCTCGATACCCCTGCCCACTCCGGAGAGTAAGGCACAACCCGGGACCCCGGGGAGAAGCTGAGTCTTCCCCAGTGGAGCCGGACGAACCCCCAGCCCCTGGAGAGGGCGAGTGAGTGCAGCGCCGCTGCACCGCAGCGCGAGCCGCTACTCACCGTCCCCCACCGGCCGCGGACCCGCCGCCCGGCGCCACCGGCTCCTCCTGGTCGCGGCGCAACCGCTGCCGCCGCTGTCTCCTCCCGACGCGCCAGCTCTCCCTGCGGGGCCGAGCGGCTAGTTCGCACCCTCTTTCGCTCTCTTAAGAATGATTATGATTTTTAAACGAACTTTATTAGTAGCCAGGGCTCAGATTGAGTGGCTCAGCAGCAGCTCCGCCGGGGGTGGTGGGGCGCGGGAGTCTCGACTCCCCTCATCTGTGGACCCGCCGCGCTGCGGAGCATGCGCCGTGCTTCGTCTGCGCATGCTCTGTGCGGACCCGCGGCCCTGCCCCGCCCCTGTTCTGGCGGGTGGCTGGCGGCGGCTCAGCTTTCCAGGCGCCTCCAAGGGAGCCCGGGAGGGCAGTGGGGAGATCAGAGACGAGCAGGATCTCCTAGATCGTGAACTCTAGAAAAGAGAAATCGGCCAATGACGGTCCGCATGAGTTTCGCCTACAGAGTTATCACACTTCCAGTGTCCTCAAAGGGCTTGCCCCGCTTCGGACACCTACCTTATTTTCTTGACCAGATGACATCTTAAGTGGCCAAGTGAGCAAAAAAATGTCGAGCAAAGTCGAAAACGCACTCACACAGCCTGCAGGACAAAATAGAAGCCTGAGATGGTTAATTATTCAGAGAAGCGAACCAAAAACGAAAAGGTTCCGCAAAAGCAATCTCAACTTTGCTTCAGTTGTTTTTATATTTCAAAATAAAATAGAATAGAAAAAAAAGATGGAAAATACCAAGTGTTGGCCAGGATGTAGAGTAACTGCATTCTTCTACTTTGCTGCTGGAATGTAAACTGGAACAACTCCTTTGAAAAACAGTTTGGGACTGTCTGCAAAAGGTGCATACCCTATGGCCCCGCAGTTCCACGCCTGCATATAGAGCAAAGAGAAACGAATACTTAGGGTGCACGGACAGGCAGGTATCAGAATGTTCGTAGCTGCATTTATTGTAATAATTCCTTAATGAGAATAACCCAAAAGACCATCAACAATAGAATAAATTAATGAAATTACACAGAGTTCATATAATGAAACACTATACAGCAACGCAAAAAAGCATCTGCAATTACAGGCAATAACGTGAATCAACTGGGGAAACCTAATGCCCAGCATAAAAAGACAACAAAAGTACACATGGCATAAGTCCATTTCTATAAACTACAAAAACAGAAGAACTAAGAGGCTCAAAGTTAGCATAATGGTTACCTTGGTGGGCAGGGGATAGTGACTGGAAGGAGTTAGCGACTAGAAGAGGGGCTTCCAGTTAGCAACTGGAAGAGGGGCTTCCTTCTAGTGAGGTTCTCTCCGTTGATTTTGGCGCTAGTTATAAATGCGTGTCCATTTGTGAAAATTCAAGCTGTACTCTTATGCACATTTTTCTGTATGTGAATTATAATTCACACTTAATAATTTTAAAAATTAGTGGAGATTATTTTACCTATAATAGCAATAGTATTTGTAAGAAATTTAATATCAAGTAGCTAACAGATTTATCTCTAGGATTTGGTTGGCAGTATCTCTTAAACTTGAGTAACGTACTGATGCCCTTTCTGAGAAAAGAAAAAAAACAATTAAAAAGTTGGCAAATGACTTGAATAGACATTTCTCCAAAGAAGGTATACAAATGGCCGATGAGCACATGAAAAGAGACTCAAGGTCACTAATCATGAGGGAAATGCAACTCAAAACCATGAGATACAACTTCACACTCATTAAAATGATGATTATAAACAAAGCAGAACAGAAAATAAATATGAGTGTTGGCAAGGATGTGGAAAAATTATAACCTTTGTGTGCTGCTGGTGGGAATGTAAAATGGTACGGCCACTATGGAAAATTGTATGGTTCATCAGAACATTAAAAATAGAATTATCGTATGATTAAATAATTCCACTTCTGAGTATATATTCAAAAGAATTGAAAACAGGGACTCAAAAAAAAATTTGTACAACCATGTTTATAGCAGCATTATTCACAATAGCCAAAGGGTGGAAGCAACCCAAATGTCCATCAATGGATGAATGGATGAACAAAATGTAGTATATACATGCAATAAAATATTATTCAGCCTTAAAAAAGGAGGGACCCAGGTGTGGCGAGGTATCCCTGTAATCCCAGCTACTTAGGAGGCTGAGATGGGAGGATCACTTGAATCCAGGAGTTCAAGACCAGCCTGGGCAAATCCTGTCTCAAAAATAAAAGAGAGAGAGGGAAATTCTGACACATGTTATAGCATGGATGAAGCTTGAAGACATTATGCCTAGTCGCAAAAGGACAAATGCTGTATGATTCAACTTATATAAGGTACATAGAGTAGTCAAATTCATAGAGACAGTTGGGGGGTGGGAAGTGGTTGTGGGAAAGGAAGGGCAGGTGGGAATGGGGAGTTACTGTTTTATGTCTACAGTTCTAGCTTTGCAAGATGAAGAAAGTCTGGAGATAGATGGTGGTGATGGTTGCACAACGATGTGAATAAACTTGATGCTCTTGAACTTTATACTTAAAAATGGCTAAAAATGGTAAATTTTATGTTTTATGTATATCTTGCCAAATTTCTTTTTAATGGGAAAAAAAAAAAAGAAAATCTTAGAGGGTCTCAGGGAGTACTTCTGGGATCCAAATTTGAGAAAAACTTCCTGAAAGGGGGTTCCCCCAAAATCATTTCTTTCCTCCCCACTTTTCCATTTCCTTGGGATTGTTGGACATTGAAGGAGATCCAGAATATGCCACCCCAAAACATGCCACTTTGACACAAGCATTATTTGGAGTTGAAGGCAATTAAGAAACAGCAGAACAGAAGAAACACTCTGCTTTTCCTATTTCTGCCTAAAAGCAGGACATAAATTTCCCTTTGTGAAGTTGTTCCTCCTCCCCATCCCACACTAGGAGGAGGAGATTCCTATCACCAGAGCACCAACTTGAGTCATATGGCAAACCTTGCAAAATAACCCTTGTCTTCCAATAGTTTCCCTCATATAGTTTACTCGGCCACAATTTACCACCTTCACAAGTCCCACCCCTTTTTCCTTTGTCTTATCACTTCTCCACAATTTATCACCTTTTAAAAAAATGGTATATAAGCTCTTAGGCCTAACTGCTTTTTGGGGTTTTCACTTCCTTTCTGTGAGGCCCCCCATGTGCATATGAAATAAACCTTTTCTCCTGTTTATCTGTCATTTGTCAATTTAATTTGCAGGCTTCTGCTACTGAACTTACAAGAGTAGAGAAAAAGTGTTTATCCTCCCTGCAGACATGCTCAGTGCAATTAAAGTCTACTTTTTATTTGACTTGAGGCTGCTCTCAAGGACACAGCAGAGATTCTCATGCTCTCACTGAAGGCAGTGAAATAATGAAAGCCTGCATGGAAACCTGGCCTTTTAAATCATGTAGTTGTGCTATAGTAGAAATAGCAACAGAATTAACCTAAAAGGTTTTGAAAGAAATTTTACCTGCAGTGACTAGAAATGAGTTTCACAAAATTATTTTAAGGAAAACATTCTGAAAAGTTAGTTATTAAGTCATTAAATGATTGTTTGAATCTAGTACCTCCACTGATCCAGCAAAAAATGTCCATTTGTTCCCTTGCTCGTTCTTTCATTGTGTCTGACTCTAATGAACTGAACAGTGTCCAAGGATCATGAATTGTAGCTGAGTAGAAAGAAAAACAGAAAAATCAGAAAATATTTTCTTCCAAGAAAGAAAGCTTTGAAAATTTTACCACTTAGAATATAAGTCTGCATATACATATGAATGCATATGTGGCCATCTGGAAAAAACTAGTAGAAATCACAGTATTTGGCTAGACAATAATAATCTACTGTTCTTCAGATTCAAACAGATCATGCTGGAAAAAAAATTTTTTCTAGTACTTTCTAGGCAGACATTAGAGTACTGATTCAGTTTTTCTGTTGCTTAATAACCTTGGATCTTAGTATCCTCATCTATAGTAAGGAGTTACCCACCTTACAAGGTCATTTATCCATTAAAAAAAATACATATTGTGCCAAGGACTGTGCTGAACATTGGGTATTCAGTAATAGACAAAAGGCAGATGGTTTGTGTCCTCTGGGAGCTTATAATGTGTTAAGGGAGACCAAAAAAGAAAGTATACAAATACACACATATGCACACATATACACAAATAAGTGATTACATACCCTTAGACATTATGTGAAAGTAAATAACTGGTATGATGGAAGCATGTAAGAGGGAGCCCTAATTTATGTTGGAGAACCAAGGGAAGGCCTTTCTGATACAGTGATTTTTAAGCTGTTATCTGAAAGATAAATGAGTTTGGTGAAGAATAGACAGAAAAAGCCTTTAAGCAGAGACAGCAGGAAGTACGATGGCCTGAGGCAGCAAACAATTCACTGGGTTTGAATAATTGAAAGGGAGCCAGTGTGCAGGAGTGAGGTGGAAAGCGGTATGTAAAAAATAAAGAACAGTGGTGAGGGAAGCAGGGGCCAGATCATGAAGACCTTGCAGGTCATATTAGGTAATTTGGATTATATCTCAAGTATATTGGGAAGCCATTGGAGGATTTTTTAGTGCACAGACTAGGAGATCCACTGGACAGTTTTAAAAAATTCCTCTGACTGCTATCTAGGGAAAACATAGAGTAGTGGAAAATGGGAGAGCAATGGAAGGCCGGTTCAGGCAAGAGATGATGGAGGGTTAGACTGAGATGGTTACAGGGGTGATACAGAAAAGTGCATTTGTTTTTAATCTTGGAAGTAGAACCTATAGGATTTGGCTATGGTGTAGGAAAAAGACGGAATGTAAAGAGTGACTTGCAGGTTTCTTGAATGACTGCCTTGCTGAGATTGGTCACTAAGGGACTAGTTATAACCCCTCACAGTGTGAGTCGGGGAATAATCTGTTCATTCTAAATTCCTTTTTGTTTTGTCCTTGATTGTTCTTGTATTATGGTCTAGTGTGTTCCAGCATATACACTTCTAGATTTAGGGCCCTTACTAACAAAGAATAATTAGAAAATAAAAATCTTTTTTTTTTCTTTACTGCCCAAGTCTTTCTCATATATATATTTACTTTTGTTGAAATACTCTTAGTATACTGAGAGACCTCCTCTCTAATGGAAAGGGCTGGACTAGACAACTCTCTGACTTTTGAGAACTTCGCTCATGGTAAATAAGGAAACGTCTGTGTGATATTCTTCCTCACACTTCTGTTGGAACATTTGTTCACCTCGCTTCAGTGATCTGATGCATTTTCAAGAGCTTATTCACAATCAAGTTTTTGTCATCCATTCCATAATTTAAATTCTTCTCAGTAGGCTGGGCACAGTGGCTCACGCCTGTAATCCCAGCACTTTGGGAGGCCAAGGCAGGAGGATCACCTGAGGTCAGGAGTTCAAGACCAGCCTGGCCAACATGGTGAAACCCCATCTCTACTAAAAATACAAAAATTAGCTGGGCGTTGTGGCGCACGCCTGTAATCTCAGCTACTCAGGAGGCTGAGACATGAGAATTGCTTGAACCCGGGAGATGGAGGTTGCAGTGAGCCAAGATCATGCCACTGAACTCCAGCCTCAGCCACAGGGTGAGACCATCTCAAAAAAAAAAAAAAAAAAAAAGAATAAATAAATTCTTTTCTCAGTGCTCTCATAAAATAAGTAGAAGGACTATTTGATTAACCTTATTTGTACATATAAATAAAGTAGGTAAAGGTCACATACCCTACAGGTAGTTTTGATACAAGAATCCAATTCTCTTAATGGGCAGTTATGAATTCAAACTCATCCACTTGCCCATTCCCTGGATTTACAATTATTAAGTCACAAAAAAGTGGTGAGGAAATGTTCTACTTGTGCTAATACTTGTGCATCAAATACTTGATGCTCATGACAGAATATTTTTACCTCTTAAATATAATCTTTTCAACATTAATCAGTAATTGAGGTTTTGTGCTTAAAGTTATTTTGCAACCAGGACTAATTCTTAATTTTTTAACCACTTCTACTCAACAAATATATAAAACACTTTAAATATTGATGCATCTCCTGGTTTTTGGTTTTTATTTCTTGATATCTTATAGAAGATCTACAAAACTAGAGTTAGAAGCCAGAAAGAAGCCTCAGATGGTGATAAATAAAAATGTTCTGTCTTAATGCTGATTTTTTCAGTAATGAAGTGGTATAAACTCATTACTTTCATGAAGCTTCCTAGGTCATGAAAATAACATTGTTGTAGAGCTTCCATGTGCATCAGGTATGACTGAATAGTTTGATGCACTTGCAAATCACAAAGTGCCTTCCTTTGAAATGTGTAAGGCAGGTTGAGATGCAGCTTCTCAGATGGATTTAGTCCCTCCTAGGACTAGATGTCTCCTTGTTGCAGCTGAATTCTCATTTCATTTACCCATAACTAGAAACACCTCATGAACACCTATTTTAAACATTGAGTTGCCATCAACCTGAGGGACCAAAGAAATGGATTGAGGGCAGGGAGTAGTTGGAAAGAGCAGGGAATTGATTTAAAGATGAGACATGTGCGATAATGAGGTACAGGCACTTTGTGGGGTATGGGAGGGCCCCAGGTAGACAGGAGCTGGCATATGGCTTACAGTCATCCAGCCAACGTTATTGGGCTCTTACAACTCAGGCTTCGGAGCCAGAATCCCTATATTTGAATTCCAGCTGTACCACTTACTAGCCGTGTTACCTTGGACAAGTTACTTAAATCTCTCAGCGCCTCAGTTTCCTCACTTGTAAAATGGAGATAATAGTAGTACTTCCTGGAGTTATTAGAGGAATTTAATGAGTTACCATACGTAAAAGCACTTAGAAGAGTGTAAGCCCTCAAAAGAGTTAGTAGAAGTACTAGTAGTATTTGAAAGTTACTAGTTATATGGGAATGGAAGGGACAGAAATGTCTCCAAACGGACTCATCTCTAAGTGGTGAAATGCCAATGGCATTGCCAATGATATATCTTTTTCTCCTCCTTGCTAGAGTTTTTCTTCAGCTTTACTGCTCTGCAGTGTCCAAGTATGGATTGTTTTTATTATATCTACAGTATTTAGTGTGCTACTTCAATAATGTCTTTCTTCAGTTCTGCAAAATTCTCAGCCTTATATCTTCAAATATTGCCTCTAACCCATTCTATTTTCTTTTTCTGGAACTCCTATTAAGAGAGGCTGATCCTAAACCCCTCTTATAATTTTCATATCATTATCTTTCTGGCTTTATTATGTGAAATGGCCGATCTTCCAGTTTACCAATTTCTTCTCCATCTATTTCTATTCTACAGTTTAAATTTACCTGAGTTTATAATCTCAATGAACTACATTTAAAATTTTCCACATGTTCTCTGTTTTGTTAAAATTTCTTTTCTCCTGTAGTCAAATTATTGTATTCATTAGGCTTTTTAATCTTTTTTTGCATTACTTTAATTCTTTTTTTATTTATTTTTTTTTTTTTGAGACTGAATCTCGCTCTGTTGCCCAGGCTGGAGTGCAGTGGTGCGATCTTGGCTCACTACAGCCTCTGCCTCCCAGGTTCAAGCAATTCTCTTGCCTTAGCCTCCCGGGTAGCTGGGATTACAGGCACATGCCACCACCCATGCCCAGCTAATTTTTGTATTTTTAGTAGAGACAGGGTTTCACCATGTTGGCCAGGCTGATCTCGAATACCTGACCTCGTGATCCGTGCACCTTGGCCTCCCAAAGTGCTGGGATTACAGGTGTGAGCCACTGTGCCTGGCCTGCATTGCTTTAATTCTTTTGAACATAATTATTTTAGTCCCTTTGCTATTGTTCCATTATTTCCAATTCTTTTTTGTTGCACTCGATGACTCTCCCTCATGCCTCCTTTGGTGGTTTTTAATTTAGGAATGTGAAGTCATCTTCATGAGGGCTGCCTTTTCTATGGGACTTCTATATGCTTAGCCCCTGTACAATGGCTTGATATCTGCTTTTGATATTTGCTTTTGTCAAAGCCAGGGCTTCAGAATGTTCAAAGATGTGGGAACAGCATTTAAATTCTCAGCTTGGAATGCCCACATCACATAGGTAGCATAAATTCAGAAAACATGTCCATCCATGGTGTAGGTTTTGGGCCTTGATTCCTCCCAGAAACATTTCCCCATTCAGGATCCTGGGGGATGGTAATCTTCCTTGTCGCTTCCCTGTTCTCCTTGACAAAATTTTTCTAGCTCCCTTTTCACTGAATTGGTGCGTATTCTAGTGCCTTGTTTTTATGTCTGTGTCTCACTTCCAGCCTTCTCTTTCATCTAGACCAGGACATCTCTTCAATCACTTGGGAGCATTCAACCTTCTGTTTTGGTCCTCAGGTGGGGCACTTTCTTGGCCTGTCAGGACCACTGGGGATTCCCCTTTCTTTGTTTTGACATAGGCTATTGTATTTTTTGTTGTTGTTACAGTTTATCTTAGTGTATATGTTTATCTACGCTTATCAAGGCTGTGCATATCTAGTGGGAGGGTTGATATCAGTTCAGTTAGCATCGTTACAGGAACAGGGAGTCTTGCTTTATTTTTTATTGCAAATTAATTCTGATCTGAGACATCACTTGCCAGGGGTCGTAAGATACCCAATGTCAGTCTTTAAATTAAAGATTTCCTTCTCTTTTCCATAGTTGCACAAGACTTGTCAGAGGCTTGCACAGTTTGGAAAACTTAGGCAAAGACCCTGGTACTCAATTGTGATCATCACTGTGATGTGAATTGCCCATGTACATTGAGTCTATTTGAATAAATCTACATCCTTTGTGCCCAGTTTGGTTATAAGTATCTTTTACCTCAACTCCCAGGGTTATGGAGGTTGGTGTTCATGTCTCCACCACTGAGAAGCTGAAGCACCTTCAGAGGCTGTACTGTATCTCCTGGTAAAGCCAGGCACAGATACCTGTAGTTTTTGGAACCTGCTACCTCCATCAGTCTCTAGGAAACTAATTACATTTTTTCAATCCTAAGGATCCACCTCTTGAGCAGAATGGTGAGGACATTTGAAATGTGTAGGTACATTTTTTGGTTATCTTAATGACTAGGGTATACTATTGTTATTTAGTGCCTAGAAACCAGGGATATCCAGTGAAGCTTTCCAGAAAGTCCACTGGAGACTTTTCTTTGAGAAACATTGTCTTTTCCATCCATATGTGAGATGGTCCAACTTAATCCTCTTGGAAAGACCATACTTAAAAAAGTTTTTACTTTTCCCCTAGGGAAGGTGTAATGAGCTCAGACCTTTTTAAAAATACAATGTTAGGTTTCTCTTCCTGTGGTAGGGAGGGGAAAGGGATTACTTTATTCTACTTGGTAAATACTTATCTCAAAAACTCACCTTGAATTACAAATAATGATGCAAAAACAAATTACAAACTGAGAAAAAAATACTCTCAATATATGACAGATAAAGGGCTAAATTTCTTTAATATACAAAGATCTCTTACAAGTCAATAAGCAACAAATAGGCAAAAACCACTCACATCCAGATACTGAAATGAAAGATAATAGCCTATTGACATGAGTATATTTAATATCTTCACAATTCAGAAAATGCAAATTAAACAATAAGGATATAATTTTCCTTGTGTCTGATTGACAAATTGAACAGGTTAACATTTAATATGGGGAAGGATGTGGGAAAACAAATATTTTGTTGGAACGTAAATGGAATTAACCCTTTTAGAGAGCAATTTGGCAAAATATATCAAAATTATAAATGTGTATTTCCATGTGTAACAATTTTATTTACACCATTTTCTATGAGTGCTTGAAAATATTAGTATATTCCAGGTAGAATCCCTAAGGGAAAAAAAAAAAACCACTAGTACAATGAACTTAATTATCCCAAACGCTAGGGAAAATGGATATGGAATTTATGGTCTGAGCAAAGCATTCAATGCTTTTCTTCTTTTCATCCTAAGTTATAGTTGGTTACTTCCAAATATAAAGGCTAAAGCTTTGGCATTACCATGTTTTCAGAGATTCAGAAATTCTTCTATTAAAGAAGATAATCTGTCTTGAATTTCTTCCAAAGATTTCTTTTTTTCAAGAGACATTATTTAAGGAAGATAGAATGAATGCAAGACAAAACAAGTTCCGCAAAACAAAACAAGCGTTCCGTTGTTGTATTAATGATGGTTATAGACATCGAGTTTCAGAGCCACGTTGATGAGTCCAGATTCTGGTCCTCAAATTTGTAAGTTTAAAAATTAAAATTTTAGGGACTGGGCGTGGTGGCTCACGCCTGTAATCCCAGCACTTTGGGAGGCCGAAGCAGGCGGATCATGAGGTCAGGAGTTCGAGACCAGCCTGACCAATGTGGTGAAACCCCATCTCTACTACAAATACAAAAAATTAGCCAGGTGTGGTGGCGCGTGCCTGTAATCCCAGCTGCTCAGGAGGCTGAGGCAGGAGAATCACTTGAACTGAGGCGGAGGTTGCAGTGAGCTGAGATCGCGCCACTGCACTCCAGCCTGGGTGACAGAGTAAGACTCTGTCAAAAAAAATAAAAATAAAATTAAAATTTTACCAAGGGATGGTTAGGTACCAGGAAACCAACCATCTTTCAAGAGCCTTATATACATAAATCAGAATGCTAATTTATTAACCTGTAATAGGATATATAGCAAGCATGATAACCAGATTTAAACTTGTCACAAAACACCTTCCCTTTCTTACAAATAGCAGACTCCTCCTTCTTGCTCTCTCCCTGTTCTTCTTCCCTGAATGTTTTCTTTTTGTTGTGCACATACAGTTAGGACACCAAATTGTAAGTCAGAAAGTTGTTGGGTGAGCACACAGTTAAAACAAATGGAATTGGATGCTTTTGGGATGGATTTCCAGCAAACTGAGAAGTACTAAGGAATTGTCCTTCCACATATTAGAGGTATTTCTTCCTAAAAAGCTGGCCACAGATCAAGAATCAGAATACTCTTTCTCTGGCTAGTACAGGAGAAATACTAGCAAAGATATATTTTCTAATTCTTCTTTCTCTAGTTTCCATGCAAACCATCATATTCCTCTGTATGAAATCATGTACCCACAGACATGTTGGAGTTTGGTCATAGCCTAGTTTGCATTTATGTTTTAAATTGATATCTCCAGCAAGAATTTCAGATATATTCTTGCCTTACTGAACTTTTGTCTCAGGGAAGTTTTCTGGGATGAGTTTCCATAAATGGGGTAATGTCAAGTATTTTATGTTGCTTCTTTCCCATTCCTGAAAGTAAGAATTATATTTTCATTTATTCATCCATCATACATTGAGTGCTGTAATTTGTCAAGCATTATGAGTGATACAAAGATACATAAAACATTGTTCCTGAATATATTTAATCTTTGGGTTTTATCTAGACTATGTACTATTTTAAAAATTAAACTAGCTTTTATAATTCTAAAAGTTACAACTTGCACTGGTAAAACTTCAACCTCTACACAAAATGCGTAAAATGATCACTAAATGTCTACCCTCTCCGTATGCACTTACCTGATGCCTGTTCCACTCCTAGGGGTAACATCTTGTTAACAATGTCTTTCCTCCTTCCCTCCTCCCCCTCCCTCCCTCCCTCCCTCCTTCCCTTTCCTCCCTCCCTCCCTTCCTTCCTCCCTCCCTCCCTCCCTTGACAGGGGCTCACTCCGTTGCCCAAGCTAGAGTGCAGTTGTGCCATCATAGCTCACTGTAACCTTAAACACATGGGCTCAAGTGATTCGATCCTTCTGCTTCAGCCTCCCTAGTAGCTAGGACCACAGGTGCACAGTACTACAGCACAACTAATTTTTAAAATTATTATTTTTTATACAGACAGGATCTCACAATGTTGCCCAGGCTGGACTCAATCTCCTGGGCTCAAGTGATCCTCCCGCCTTGGCCTCCCAAAGTATTGGAATTACACATGTAAGCCGCCATCTCTGGCCCTCTGTTAACAATTTCTTATTTATTCTTCCAGAATTTTAGTGTGTACGAATAAATAGATGTATGATTTTCTGCCAAATGCTACATACATCTATATGTGATAAGTAATTCTCAATTTGAAGGATAGACTAAATTTCTTTCAAACACAGACTTAGCTCTTTAGATGAAAAGTCATTAGGCAGGAATGGAGGTAAGGGCTGGTCTAAGGTCTCTTGGGTGTCTGGATTCACTGAATTTCAATGATGATACAGTAAAAAAAATTGTAAAAGAGCAAAAACAATTAAAAATAGATGTGTAGTTATATTTTTCTTCTTACATAGACCTAACTTATGAAACACAAAAGGGTATCTACTCCAAGTTGTGTTATTTTCAAATTTTCAATACTAGCTCATTTAGTATTGTCATTGCACTAGCATCACTGTTGGTATTCTCCAGCGTGTGAGATATTAATTAAACTCCTGTTTAGAAAAGTTGAAGATAACAGCTACTAACTGAGGATTATTAATTTTATGGCTTTAATAATAATTTTAGTAACTTGTGTCTGCTGTGTTTTATTTTTATTTTATTTTATTTTATTTTTTGAGATGGAGTCTCGCTTTGTTTCCCAGGCTGGAGTGCAGTGGCGCAATCTTGGCTCACTGCAACCTCCGCCTCCCAGGTTCAAGCGATTCTCTTGCCTCAGCCTCCCAAGTAGCTGGGACTACAGGTGCATACCACCATGCCCAGCTAATTTTTTGTATTTTTAGTAGAGATGGGGTTTCACTGTGTTAGCCAGGATGGTCTTGAACTCCTCACTTTGTGACCCACCCGCCTTGGCCTCCCAAAGTGCTGGGATTACAGGTGTGAGCCACCATGCCCAGCCCTGATGTGTTTTATTAATTTTTTGGAAATGACTGAAGTTTATCTGTAACAAATCGGTATTGATTCGAAGGCCAGTCACAGTGGTTTATGCCTGTCATCTCAACGCTTTGAAAGGCTGAGGCCAGAGGATCGTCGGAGCCAAGGAGTTTGAGACCAGCCTGGGCAACATAGCCACCCCATCTCTAAAAACAAAATAACCGAGTGTGATGACACATGCTACTTGGGAGGCTGAGGTGGGAGGGTCACTTAAGCCCTGGAGGTCAAGGCTGCAGTGAAGAATGATAGTGCCATTGTACTCCAGCCTGGGTGACAGAATGAGACCCTTCTCAAAAACAAAACAAAACAAAAACAAAGTGAAATACCAGGCACGGTGGCTCATGGCTGTAATCCCCGCACTTTCGGAGGCCAAGGCAAGCAGATCACGTGAGATCAGGAGCTCAAGACCAGCCTGGCCAACATGGTGAAGCCCCATCTCTACTAAAAATGCAAAAAATTAGCCAGGTTTGCTGGCACATGCCTGTAATTCCAGCTACTCAGGAGGCTGAGGCAGGAGAATCACTTGAACCCAGGAGGGGGAGATTGCAGTGAGCTGAGATCGCGCCACTGCGCTCCAGCCTGGGCAACAAGAGCAAAACTCCATTTCAAAAAAAAAAAAATGAAAAAAATGCTTAAATGTAGGACTGGATTAATGAAATTCAAAGACACTTGTGCTTCATGCAAACATAGTGTCACTTTAGCATCTGTGATAGGCAAGATAATGCCCCAATCTCTTCTACCACCCCAAAGTTGTCCACATCTTATCCTTGAAACCTGTGATTATGTATGTACCTTGCATGGCAAAAAGGACTTTGCAGATGTGGTTAAGAATTGTGAGATGGGGAGATTGTGCTGGATTATCCAAGTGGGCCCAGTGCAAGCATAAGGAGTCTTTATAAGAGGGAAGCAAGAGGGTCAGAGCCAAAAAAGTAGATGTGACACAGAAGCAGAGGTCAGAAAGAGGGGTGGAGAAGAGAGAGAGATTTGAAGATGTTGTGCTGCTGGCTTTCAAGATGGAGAAGGGGGCTACAAGTCAAGGAATGCAAGTGGCCTCCAGAAGTTGGAAGAGCCAAGCACAAGGATTCTCCTCTAGAGCCTCCAGAAAGAACCAACCCTACTTCCACTTTGATTTTAGCCCAGAGAGACTGATTTTGGACTTCTGACCTCTAGAATGAAAAAGTAATTAATTTGTGTTGTCTTAGAGCACTACGTTTGTAGTAATAGTTATAGCAACAATAGGAGACTATATCGTAAGCTGAATTTAGTATGTCTCCTACTATAAAATCTACCTTTTTCCTTGCTTCACTGACTTGGTGAGTCCACCTAATTCTGATGCCTAAAGTCAGATACCTGGGAGTCATTCTTGACACTACTGTCACCATTCATGTCCAAATCTGACCTGTCATTCTTCCTTCCCTGTAGCTCACTGGTCCATGTTCTCTTCACTCACCTAGACAAGTGTGTAATAGCTTCCCAATTCATTATTATTATTATTATTTGCCTCTAGCCTCCACCTTTTATTCATTCTACACTTTGTTCCCAGAATGATCTTTTTTTTTCTTTTTATTATTATTATACTTTAAGTTCTAGGGTACATGTGCACAACGTGCAGGTTTGTTACATATGTATACATGTGCCATGTTAGTGTGCTGCACCCATTAACTCGTCATTTACATTAGGTATATCTCCTAATGCTATCCCTCCCCTCTCCCCCCACCCCACAACAGGCCCTGGTGTGTGATGTTCCCCTTCCTGTGTCCAGGTGTTCTCATTGTTCAATTCCCACCTATGAGTGAGAACATGCGGTGTTTGGTTTTTTGTCCTTGTGATAGTTTGCTGAGAATGATGGTTTCCAGCTTCATCCATGTCTCTACAAAGGACATGAACTCATCCTTTTTTATGGCTGCATAGTTTTCCATGTTGTATATGTGCCACATTTTCTTAATCCAGTCTATCATTGATGGACATTTGGGTTGGTTCCAAGTCTTTGCTATTGTGAATAGTGCCGCAATGAACATACTTGTGCATGTGTCCTTATAACAGCATGATTTATAATCCTTTGGGTAAATACCAGTAATGGGATGGCTGGGTCAAAAGGTATTTCTAGTTCTAGATCCTTGAGGAATCGCCACACTATCTTCCACAATGGTTGAACTAGTTTACAGTCCCACCAAGAGTGTAAAAGTGTTCCTATTTCTCCACATCCTCTCCAGCACCTGTTGTTTCCTGACTTTTTAATGATCGCCATTCTAACTGGTGTGAGATAGTATCTCATTGTGGTTTTGATTTGCATTTCTCTGATGGCCAGTGATGATGAGCATTTTCTCATGTGTCTGTTGGCTGCATAAATGTCTTCTTTTGAGAAGTGTCTGTTCATATCCTTTGCCCACTTCTTGATGTGGTTCTTTGTTTTTTTCTTGTAAATTTGTTTGAGTTCATTGTAGATTCTGGATATTAGCCCTTTGTCAGATGGGTAGATTGCAAAAATTTTCTCCCATTCTGTGGGTTGCCTGTTCACTCTGATGGTAGTTTCTTTTGCTGTGCAGAAGCTCTTTAGTTTAATTAGATCCCATTTTTCAATTTTGGCTTTTGTTGCCATTGCTTTTGGTGTTTTAGACGTGAAGTCCTTGACCATGCCTATGTCCTGAATGGTATTGCCTAGGTTTTCTTCTAGGGTTTTTATGGTTTTAGGTCTAACATGTAAGTCTTTAATCCACTTTGAATTAATTTTTGTATAAGGTGTAAGGAAGGGATCCAGTTTCAGCTTTCTACATATGGCTAGCCAGTTTTCCCAGCACCATTTATTAAATAGGGAATCCTTTCCCCATTTCTTGTTTTTCTCAGGTTTGTCAAAGATCAGATAGTTGCAGATGTGTGGTATTATTTCTGAGGGCTCTGTTCTGTTCCATTGGTCTATATCTCTGTTTTTGTACCAGTACCATGCTGTTTTGGTTACTATAGCCTTGTGGTATAGTTTGAAATCAGGTAGCGTGATGCCTCCAGCTTTGTTCTTTTGGCTTAGGATTGACTTGGCGATGCAGGCTCTTTTTTCTTTCCATATGAACTTTGGACAGACTTTAAACCAATGACGATCAAAAGAGACAAAGAAGGCCATTACATAATGGTAAAGGGATCAATTCAACAAGAAGAGCTGACTATCCTAAATATACATGCACCCAATACAGCAGCACCCAGATTCATAAAGCAAGTCCTTAGAGACCTACAAAGAGACTTAGACTCCCACACAATAATCATGGGAGACTTTAACACCCCACTGTCAACATTAGACAGATCAACGAGACAGAAAGTTAACAAGGATATCCAGGAATGGAACTCAGCTCTGCACCAAGCAGACCTAATAGACATCTACAGAACTCTCCACCCCAAATCAACAGAATATACATTCTTCTCAGCACCACATCACACTTATTCCAAAATTGACCACATAGTTGGAAGTAAAGCACTCCTCAGCAAATGTAAAAGAACAGAAATTATAACAAACTGTCTCTCAGACCACAGTGCAATCAAACTAGAACTCAGGATTAAGAAACTCACTCAAAACCTCTCAACTACATGGAAACTGAACAACCTGCTCCTGAATGACTACTGGGTATATAATGAAATGAAGGCAGAAATAAAGATATTCTTTGAAACCAAAGAGAACAAAGACACAACATACTAGAATTTCTGGGACACATTTAAAGCAGTGTGTACAGGGAAATTTATAGCACTAAATGCCCACAAGAGAAAGCAGGAAAGATCTAAAATGGACAACCTAACATCACAGTTAGAAGAACTGGAGAAGCAAGAGCAAATACATTCAAAAGCTAGCAGAAGGCAAGAAATAACTAAGATCAGAGCAGAACTGAAAGAGATAGAGACACAAAAAACCCTTCAAAAAATCAATGAATCCAGGAGCTGGTTTTTTGAAAAGATCAACAAAATTGAGAGACCGCTAGCAAGACTAATAAAGCAGAATGATATTTCTAAATTTTCTGCTTAACAGCCTTGAATAACTCTTCTTTGACATATTATTGTCAAGCTCCTTAGTATGACCTTGCCTTTGTCGTGCTGTCTAGTCACACGTCTCTCTATATCCCACAATGTATTCCCTGTTTTTCTTTTTTCTTTTTTTATTTTTTTTTTATTTTGAGACAAGGTCTCACTCTGTCGTCCAGGCTGGAGTACAGTGGCATGATCTCAGCCCACTGCAACTTCTGCCTCCTGAGTTCAAGCGATTCTCCTGCCTCCACATTCTGAGTAGCTGGGACTACAGGCGTGCACCACCATACCCGGCTAATTTTTGTATTTTTAGTAGAGATGGGGTTTCACCATGTTGGCCAGACTGGTCTCGAACTCCTGACCTCAGGTGATCAGCCTGACTTGGCCTCCCAAAGTGCTAGGATTACAGGTGTGAGCCACCATGGCTGGCATGTTCCTCTTATTCTGCTACATTGAATTTGTTATAGTTCCCAATACGTATCATGCTATTTAATGTCTCTGTACCTTTGAAAATGCTGTTTTCTTTCCTGGCATTTTTTTCTCCTCTCCTTCTAGTTTTACCACTTCTTTTATATTTTGTAAGAATTTGTTTAGGCCATGTGTAGTGACGCATGCCTATAATTTCAGCACTTTGGGAGGCAAAGGGGGATGGATCACTTGAGTTCAGGAATTGGAGACCAGCCTGGGCAACATGGCGAGACCCCAAATCCCATCTCTACAAAAAATACAAAAATTAGCAGGGTGTGGTGGCGCATGCCTGTATTCTCAGCTACTCGGGAGGCTCAGGTTGGGGGAGGATCACCTGAGCCTGGGGAGGTCGAGGCTGCATTGAGCCAAGATTGCGCCACTTCACTCCAGCCTGAGCGACAGAGCAAAACCTTGTCTCCAAAAAAATTTGTTTAAATGCCACCATCCACAAGGAGCCCTCCCTTAAGTGCCTTCCCCTGTTTTCTTCTAGTGCCATGATTATATTTATATCATACTGCTTCTTAATCTGCAATGTGAATTTTGGGCTGCTTCAAATAACTAATATTTTTGAGCACCTACAATGTTATGCACCATGCTAACTCTAACTCATAAAATAGTAATCAAAAAAGACATAGTTCTTGCCCTCATACAGCTCAGAGACTGTAGGGAGGACAGATATTAAGAACATAATTATAAGTACTCCAAAGAAGAGATATAAATTATATATAGGTATTAGCAGGAGGATCTAGGGGATCAATAATCTGTTTTTTTTTTTTTTTTTTTTTTTTTGAGACGGAGTTTTGCTCTTGTTGCCCAGGCTGGAGTGCAATGGCGCGATCTCGGCTCACACTGCAACCTCTGCCTCCCGGGTTCAAGCGATTCTCCTGCCTCAGCCTCTCAAGTAGCTGGGATTACAGGCATGCGCCAACCGCGCCCAGCTAAATTTGTATTTTTAGTAGAGATGGGCTTCTCTATGTTGGTTAGGCTGGTCTCAAACTCCTGACCTCAGGTGATCCTCCTGCCTCGGCCTCCCAAAGTGCTGGGACTACAGGTGTGAGCCACCACGCCTGGCCAGGGTCAAGAATCTTTAGGCTCAGACATTTCTGTCTCCCCAGTAGACCACGAGCAGCTTGCATTCAGGGAGGAGACTATGTTGGTCCTAATGGGAAGCTACGGGGGAAGATAAAATGAAAGAGTACACAAAGAAAGAGGAATACTCAGGACCCAGGAAACAGGAGACCAGCACAGGTGAGAGGTAGAGAGAAGTCCCAGGACAGCAGCTGTGTGTGACAGAGAAAGCCACAAGTCCTGATTGGTAGAAGAGGTAGAAGACTCCTGAATGGCTGTCTCCAAGGAGAGATAATTGATAGAATACATAACATGTTTGAAAAACATGTTGAGTAAAGACTTACATTTCTAGAATACAGTATACGGTAAATTAATATAAGATAGAAAACTAAGCAAATAACAAAAATATTAAGCTGCGCACAGTGGCTCACACCTGTAATCTCAACACTTTGGGAGGTTGAGGCAGGAGGATCACTTCAACCCAGAAGTTCAAGACCAGCTTGGGCAACACAGCAAGACCTCATCTCTACTAAAAATAGAAAAATAAGGCGGGGCTCAGTGACTCAAGCCTGTAATCCCAGCACTCTGGGAGGCTGAGGTGGGCAGATCACGAGGTCAGGAGATCGAGACCATCCTGGCTAACACGGGTGAAACTCTGTCTCTACTAAAAATACAAAAAATTAGCTGGCATGGTGGTGGGCACCTGTAGTCCCAGCTACTCGGGAGGCTGAGGCAGGAGAATGGCGTGAACCCAGGAGGCGGAGCTTGCAGTGAGCCGAGATTGCGCCAGTGCACTCCATCCTGGGCGACAGAGCGAGACTCTGTCTCAAAAAAAAAAAAAAAGAAAAAAAGAAAAAAGAAAAATTAGCTGAATGTGGTTGCACGCACTTGTTGTCTCAGCTACTCAGGAGGCTGAGACTGGAGGATCACTTGAGCCTAGGAGTTTGAGATTACAGTGAGCTATGATCACATCACTGCACTCCAGCCTGGATGACAGAGTGAGACCCTGTTTTAAAAAATAAAAAATAAAAAAAGCAGATTCTCCTCTTCATGATAGGAAGTTGATAGATGTGTAAAACTGAAAACTTTTTCAGGAAACTGCTGAAGGAATGGCAAGCAGAAAAAAAAAAAACTTTAAAAAATAGCAGTATTAGCAAGGATAGAAATGGCTGTAAATACCAAAAGAAACCGAAAAAAGTGTTGAAAGTCTTTGGAAACAAGAATTGGGGGGATGGGGAGGAGTATGGAATTACTAGATTACTGTTTTAATACTAAACTATGCAGAACTATGTATTTTTTTTTTTTTTTTTGAGATGGAGTCTTGCTGAGTGCAGTGGCACGATCTCGGCTCACTGCAAGCTCTGCCTCCCGGGTTCACGCCATTCTCCTGCCTCAACCTCCCAAGTAGCTGGGACTACAGGCGCCCGCCACCACGCCTGGCTAATTTTTTGTATTTTTAGTAGAGATGGGGTTTCACCATGTTAGCCAGGATGGTCTCGATCTCCTGACCTCGTGATCTGCCCTCCTTGGCCTCCCAAAGTGCTGAGATTACAGGCGTCAGCCACTGTGCCCGGCCAGAACCATTTAATTTTTTAAACTATGAATATGTAAATAGATAAAGACATTACATTAAAATTTTCTGTGTCAACTGTAAAGTGACTGATAAAGGCTCACTATTATTAATAATATTAACAATAATAAGTTGTTTCTTCAGTTAGTTTCGTACAATGTTCTGGTACAAGGTAATGAGATCACACATCAATATCTGGAACACAGCTTGGCATACAGTAAATGCTCAGTAAATAATTCTTTCTTTCTTCCAGTATCTTTAAATAAAAATACCTAAAAACTTCCTTCATGTTAAAACACATTAAAAGCAATAAAGCATTAAAAATTTCCTGCCAATAAAATGTAGATTTACATTTATTTTGTGTTTGAAAATTGCTTTTAAATAAATAAAACAGAAAACAGTGAGCCATTTTGATTTTTTTAATCTACTAACAATGTTTTGTGAGGGAATTATTGTAATTTAAATTAGGTTATTTTTAAGAACAATAATTTAATACTAAAAAATTATGTTTTGTGGCTAAAAAATGGAAATAAAATAACTTACAATTGACTTAAATTGCGTCATGTTTTTCCAAACCAATATGATGGTTACCAAATCAGAAGGAAAAACATGTTAATCATAGTGTAAGCTTTTTTCCTAATATGGTATAAACAATTTTAAAGTTCTTACTGTATGACGTCTCAGGGTGTGTATTTACTTAACTCTCAGAGGAAGATTAGTAACATATCATGTGCCTCTTTTTCTCTTTTTTTAAACCAGTGTTGCTATCTGGGCTTTATTTGGAGCCTTGAAAAGTCCAGGCTCCTTACATTATAATTAGGCAATGATGTAATCTGATCTGGATTTGTATCTGAGGTAATCACAGGCAGTTTCACAGTGATGTTTGCCTTGAGTTTTGTGCTTCAGGAGTAAATTTTCATGGAAAAGAAGAATTTTCTAGAAATTCTGTTTTAAATATCTTTTGTGAATTTCACAGATGTTCTCAAACAATGTAGTATTACTTGTTCCATAAACCCATGTTCTCCAATTCGATATCAACTATCAATATCATCTACCAAGGTCAGCCACCTATGAAGGATAAGTGGTTCTTAGAAGGTTCCTAATGTTCAATCTGCTCTCATTTGCAATCTATAATTCTTCATTCACATCTTCACACATTCTGAATGTTAATATTGCATAGCCTCTTAGAATGCAAATGGCAAAAACATACAAATGATGATGGTCATTCACTACCTAACCCTTTCCCCTCAATAACTGCCTGGTATCAGGAAAAGGGAGCTTTAATGGGGAAAGAAGAAGGATAAGGAGTGTTTGTGTGCTACTGATGGTTGGTGGCTATTGAAAGCCTGAGTTCAGAATGGGAGGCTGTGTACATATGAGAAAGGGGGAAGAAAGATGAGGAAAGGAATGATGTTGGTCCCTAAGATAAAGATTAAGAGGGTATGTTAATTGGAATATTGGGACAGATGAGAAGGTTAAATCCTGTTTTATTTATTTACTTGTTTGCTTATTTATTTATTTGAGATGGAGCCTCGGTATGTTGCCCAGGCTGGAGTGCAGTGGTGCGATCTCAGCTCACTGCAACCTCCGCCTGCCGGGTTCAAATGATTCTCCTGCCTCAGCCTCCCAAGTAGCCGAGACTACAGGTGCACACCACTACGCCCCGACTCTTTTTTTTATTTTTATTTTTAGTAGAGATGGGGCTTCACCGTGTTGGCCAGGCTGGTCTCGAATTCTGACTTCAGGTGATCATCCCGCCTCGGCCTCCCGAAGTGCTGGGATTACAGGTGTGGGCCACAGCGCCTGGCCAGGATTTAGTTTTTCATACAAATCTGTTTCAAAGATTCTTCCAACATTTCCTGTAAGTTGCCGAGGTTGTGGGAGAACCTGAAAGTAGCTTCTGACTTCTATGTAATTCAAAGGGCCTAATTATGCATTCTATGCTGTAGCTTTAATTATACCTGTTAAAGTATACCCCTGGCTGACAGATAGAATGGACTCCTCATGGCTGAGGTGCTCAAAAACAGAACTATGCAGCCATAGCTGGACGAGGAAGCAGTCACATATTCTGTTCTCAGAAAGATGTAGAAGTATCACTGGATCTCCCTTTCTGCAATCAAGCCTGTGACGTCTGAGTTTGGGCTTGGAAAACGACCAATCAGAGCTCACCTACCGCAGCCAATCAGAAACCAGCCATATTGACCGATCAGAACTTAGCTGCACCAACCAATCAGAACTAAGCAAGTTTGAATCCTTTATTTGCCGGAAGCTGGGCAGGAACTTGAACCCTCTCTTTGTTTAACGAAATGCACCTTCATTTTGCACCAAAGGCTGTATCTCCCAGTTTGCAAACTGTTCACTGGAATAAAGTCTCTTTCTTCCAAATTCCTTTTCAGAGAACTTTTGTTCACATAAGAAAAAATTAATTTTAAAATTGTCTTCCTCATTAAAAATTGGTTCAGCTAAGGCTTTATATGAAAATAGTGTTCTTTTCCATTGAATACAATTTTGTTGGCTGGGCGCGGTGGCTTACACCTGTAATCCTAGCACTTTGGGAGGCCAGGGCAGGTGGATCACCTGAAGTCGGGAGTTCGAGACCAGTCTGAACAACATGGATTAAACCCCGTGTCCACTAAAAATACAAAATTAGCTGGGCGTGGTGGCGCATGCCTGTAATCCCAGCTACTCCGGAGGCTGAGGCAGGAGAATCGCTTGAACCCGAGTGGCAGGGGTTGAGGTGAGCCCAGCCTGGGTGATAAGAGCGAAACTCCATCTCAAAAAAAAAAAAAATTGCTTAATTTCTGTTTTCATGCCTGTGGGTATTTGCCCTGCAACACTGCAGCAGTTTTCAAAACCAAAGTTTCTGAACTCCTTGAGGAATTCTAAAAACTCCCTGAAACGTTTTATTGCCATGTCTCTATGCTTTTATTTCGTATTAATTATGGAACACGTTTGCTAAGTCACTTCCTGAGCATAGGCAGCTCCTCTCACTCTGCTCAGGTCAGTGAGTTAGTTGATATGTGTGCAGATGCCTCAGGTACAGGCTGCAGGGATGGCTCCCGGCAGGGAAGAACTGCCCTTCCTCCACGAGTCCCAGCACTGCCCTACATTGAGGCCTTCCTCTCTCCACTGTTTCTGCTGCTGCATTTGCCCCCACCAGTCTAGGCTTAGGTGCAGGCCTACCCACCTTGGAGCCCTATGGTGCCCAGGATGGTCCCAAGGCATGTTACCAGGCCAGGTCACCAGGATGCCGGGTTGCTTGATGACTTCCATGCTGCTGTTGAGCATGCTCCATCGTCCTATCATATTAAGCTAAAAACACAAGATCAAAGATAAAATTGTTAATTATTCCAAGATAGTGTAGGTCTTTCTGAGTGCAAGGCTGTGCATGAAGCTCATACACCCATGATGCATCACCTGCCTACCTCTTACATGCTTTATGGGTTAGTTATATTTGCCATCACTGGAGGTGCCAGTAAACTCGCAAGGTAGCCTTTGTGTGAGGTTTGGTAACCAAATTGCCAAGTTAGCTCAGGGAACTGCAACTCATGTCCACCTTTCATCCACTTAGGCCTTGCTGTCTTCCCTCTTTCAGGTTTCAGTTTTGTAGATTTTGAGCCTAGATTCTCTTTCTCCATCTCTTAGAGCACAACCTAAGATAGCATTTTGATAGTCTAAGCTCCTGGTCTGGTGTAACTGCTTCCACTCAGAAATACTTCCTCTTCTCTGGAAAGGAAGGGATCAAACAATAGCTCAGTAAGAACATAATTATCAGATCAGGAGTGCCTGCAGATGTAAAGGTTCTGATGCCAGAATATGGAGGTGGAGGGAGTGGTCTTGGGATAGTGCAGGGGATGGGGTTTGGGGCATGAGAGTGCACTTGGATTACCTGATTATAAATGGCAGCACAATGAATTTTTAATATAAAGTTACAGCTTTAAAATTATTGAGAAAGATTAGTTGATTGGTGTCACTCTAGTCATAGAAAACATACAAATCTAATTCTGATTTTGTGCCAACAGACTATTATTTTTGTGCTTGCACACTTATTGTATCACATGCATCTCTATCCATCCATTTATCCACATATCTACAAATCATATATCTCAACACTGTAAAAAACTCCAGTTCCTTATAAATTACTATTTTATTTTCTCTTATTCTAAGCTTCCTTCCTGTAACTTATTTAATTGTTAACAAAATGTGTTATAGAAACCTGTGTTACTTGTTCTGCAGCCCATTTACGGGGGAGAAGATATTATGTTTCCTTGGTCTATGTTTCAAAGGTATCAACTCTCTTTGTTCCTGTATAACTACTTACATTTGAAGTGAAAAACTCCCAGAGGCCAACAGAAAATGGCTATGAAACTAGAAAGAATACTATTCTACCTACGCTAGTATATAAGTTTCCTAAGATGTTAGTGAAATACAGCTGGAGAAGTGCTTCAGTTTGGCTCAGTTTTGTTTTGGCCCAACTCTTACCAATAGCTCCTCTCCAATCTCCAGGAGATACGCCGTCCTATCGGTGATGGGGGAGGAGCAGGAGTGAAAGACAGGATGGTGTTGCAACAATTCAAAACCCCAGAGCGCACAGTTACCCCCAATGCACTAATCAGGGTGTAGGTACTATAACTTACTAAGCCTGTTTAATAAATCCATGCCTGTACTCAGGTGAATGGGGAATGGTGAGAGAAGAGAGAACACTGTGATAACCAACCAGCTCGAACAGGGAGGGGCAGCCAGCCCACCGTTGCAAGGAGAGCTGGGCAGATGTCTATCAAGATAACCATTTCTGCTGCCTGCTGATTCTCTCACCTGCCAGTTTCTGCATCTGCCCATAGAGTACTCATGTGCTCCTTCCTGTACCAGATGATCTCCCTGGACTTAATTTCTTTTTTTTTTTTTTTGAGACGGAGTCTCACTCTGTCGCCCAGGCTAGAGTGCGGTGGCGCGATCTCAGCTCACTGCAAGCTCCGCCTCCTGGGTTCACGCTATTCTCCTGCCTCAGCCTCCCGAGTAGCTGGGACTACAGGTACCCACCACCATGCCCGGCTAATTTTTTGTATTTTTAGTAGAGACGGGGTTTCACCGTGTTAGCCAGGATGGTCTTGATCTCCTGACCTCGTGATCCGCCCGCCTTGGCCTTCCAAAGTGCTAGGATTACAGGCGTGAGCCACACCGCGCCCGGCCTGGACTTGATTTCTTGATTGCCTGCACCTAGAGTATCCATCGTCTTTCCTACGTGGCTGGGCAACTAGGTTTATCCCTTTCAGGCTAGCCCTCCTTCATTGCCATAACATCTAGGGGTGACATTGACTGAGTTGTATATGATTATTCATCATTTCTCGGGCCTAGATAGATTGTGATGAGTTTTAGGGCTTGTCAAATTTCAAGGCTCTGTTTTTATACCACACATAATTTTGGGAATTTGTAAAGTGCTTAATAATTATCCATCAATGAGTAAGCTTTGAAGGAAGATTAAAAAGTATTATGAAATAAATTACAGAGTTATAGTTGAGGCTTATTCAGAGCAAAATTATTTTTGGTGTATTTTGAGCACTAGGTAAATGTCAAAGGCACCCATGAGAAATAGCAAAAACTGCTGTAATAGTATAAATTCTCATTTATAGCTGCTGCAGAAGAGATGCAAATGTTCTCTATGTGGTTGCTCTGTGTGAGGAGGTGTTTCATGGGACTATCAAAATCCTATCTTAGGTTGTCATTTTGGACACTAAAAATTTTCAAGTAATAATTTAAAGAATCTTGAGGTTTCCTTTTGATATGGCCTAGAAACCTTTGGCAACTAATTTCTGTATGACTCAAAGGATTTCCCCTAGAAGGGAATCCTACTATTTGGGCTTTTAAAAATAAACTGTCATTCTGGATACATTTGTAGCCCTGACTAGTGGGTGAGCATGAGTTTCATTCTGAAATCCAGAAAGAATAATGAGACTAAAAAAAATCAAGACACTGAGTACAGTATATTAGTTAATATAGCATATAATTCAATGTTTGCTTTAGAATTTTGAATTTAGCCAAAAAATAATTGGATCAGGTACTAATGATCAAAATGAGATCACGTGAGGAATTAAGGAGTGTACATAAGATCTTGGATTACATGTTACATAGTCATGTGGCGTAACCAAATGTATCCAAGTGTATTTACATGTGACTTTGAATTATAATGGCAGAGAGTTGGTCAAGGAAGAAGAGTACCCAGGCACCCAGCAAGTTAACACTGGAAACAGATGGTAGGAGCGGTTTCAAATTGAGCCAACTTATTTAAATTACAAAGAGATCTTCAAGTTCATTTTGCTATCCATAGAAAGCAATAAATCACACCTATTAACTTACCTAATTGTCTTTAGCTAGCAATATTAGATTCAGTCTCATACTCCTTTAACTTTCATTTAATAGTGTTATTGGTTGAGGGTGGGTTGTTGTCCAGGTTCTTGGTGTTTCGAACAAATAATTGAACAAAATGCACAAACAAAGCAAGGCAGCAAAAGCAGAGATTCATTTTAAACCAAAGTACACTCTAAAGGGTGGGAGTGGGATTGAGCAACTGGCTTAAGAGCATAGGTAACAGAATTTTCTGGGGTTTAAATACCCTCTAGAGGTTTCCCATTGGTTTATTCTATGCAAATGAAGTAGTGGCCCACTACCAGTCTGATTGGTTGTTGGAGGGGACCAATCAGAATGAAGAGTAGGCCTGCAACCAGTCTGATCCATTGCAGGAGGGGACCAGTCAGAGGTAGTTTCATTTTTCAACTTCCCCTCGGAAAAAGGAGGGGCTGAAAAGGGAGTAGCCTCTGATATCCAGTCAGCATGAATGAGCCTTAGGCTCCCTGCCTCCAGACCCTATTCTCCTGCCTCAATAGCAGTTTGAGATAAAATGCAATGTTTGAAAGCTACCTTACAGTGAGTTAGTGATTTCCGTTTAATATCCTTAATGTATTACTTCAAAATAACAGAATTTATTGAACAACACACAAGTCAATTTGCTTATTAGCACATTGTTCTCTGCAGAACTGCTGGCGACCTCATTGCTCCACTTTGGAAACCACGTTAATATACTGGGGAAACAGATTTAGTTAGCTTTGAACCATGATCACAGGACAATTATGAAAACATGCAAATTTGAAAGGCTAGACTCTGACACCACAAATTTTTAAAATAATTCTCCAAAAACATTTGCATCTAGGATGTGACATGCTTAAGGAGTGAAAATCTAAACTAGCTTTTCCTTTCCTTCCCTGCTTCTGCAAAAAGCATATTTTCCCCTTCACATTTGCTGAGCAATTTTTCTTTATTATGCATATTAGGTCAGTTGTGGAAGAAAGAAGTCTTTTTCTAGTAGGATTACTTGTTTCAAAGCTTAGACTAGCTTAGATTGAGGGTAAGAATAGCATAGAACTGTCCAGTCTGAGTAGGGCCAAGTTTGCCAAGAGGGGTTATAGGTTATCTAATGTGACATAAAGAATACCCAGGTTAGGTTGGGCGTGGTGGCTCATGCCTGTAATCCCAGCACTTTGGGAGGCTGAGGCAGGTGGATCGCTTGAAGTCAGGAGTTCAAGGCCAGCCTGACCAACATGGTGAAACCCCTTCTCTACTAAAAATACAAAAATTAGCCTGGCGTGGTGGTGCGTGCCTGTAATCCCAGCTACTCAGGAGGCTGAGGCAGGAGAATCGCTTGAACCCAAGAGGAGGAGGTTGCAGTGAGCTGAGACCATGCCATTGCACTCCAGCCTGGGTAACAAGAGTGAAACTGCGTCTCACAAACAAACAAACAAAAAAAGAATACCTATGCTAACGTGCTGGTCAAAGGCTTGGAGCTACAAATAGGATGGAGACTGGAGATGGCACACTGAGTTTAAGGACCTAGACCTGAGGGAAGAATTTAAATGGAATATTGTGACTGCAAGGTGGGGTGTTGGCTCTGTCATGAGCCTGACACCCATGGCATTACTACACCCTGCCTGAACTAGTTCTTGGCCTTCCTGCTGTTGGGAGGACCAGTATCTAAATGTGTATCTTCCTGTGTTAGTGCAAGTTCCACTGTGGCTTAGATTGTTCATCTGGTGGTTTGGAGCACACATCCTGAGAGATGAACGAATGGAACAATTGTTAGTTTATTGACCTAGTCCTGTGTGCCTGGACACTGCACCAGACAATTGATATACCTTGACTGGTTTTTCATTCCCTAAGTCTTTAATTATTTGGTTTTACAAATATTGCTATTTCTTCAATATGTGAACACTGATTCAGACAATATGTGTCATTTTTCTAGTGCTTCAGATTTGAAATCTGGGAGTTTATTCATTCACTTACTCAGCAAATATGTATTAGGTATTTACTAGTGTCAGGTACTGTGCTGGGCATTGGGTATAAAAAGTAAAATAAAAGAAACATGACCACTATCCTCATGATACTTATAATCCAAGGGAAAAAATTGACTTCAAATAAACAAATGCCTACATAGATATAGATATATAAGATTACAAATTAAGCAGTAATTTATAATAAATACTGTGAAAGAAAAATCGGGGGGTATGAAAAACATGATGACGTAATTTAGATTGAGGAGTCAAGGAAGACAACTTTCTGAAAGTGACATTTGTGCAGAGACCTCAGAATAGGCAACAGTTAGTTAGCCGTATGAAAACAAGGAGTAAAATAATTGCAGACAGAAGGAAGGGCATGAGTAAATATCCTGAGGTGGGAGATGGCTCAGTGGGTTCAAGATACTGAAAGCAACTGGAACTTGGTGGGCGAGCAAAAAGTGGTAAAAGATGAAGTAGTATTTGACTCTTTCCCGTTTTCACTCATCACATCAAATTACAGGTTGAGCATCCCAAATCTTAAAACCCCAAATCCTAAATGCTCCAAAATTAAAAACTTTTTGAGCACTGATATGACATCCAAAGGAAATGCTCACTGCAGCATGTCAAATTTTGGGTTTTTAGATTTGTGATTCTCAACTGATACAACGCAAATATTCCAAAATCTGAAAAAAATCATAAATCTGAAACACTTCTTGTCCCAAGCATTTCAAATGAAGGATACTCAACCTGTAGTTGTTTTTATTTCTCTCTTATAATCTTCCTCCCAGCCATGTCTTCTTTTCTGTTTCTTTCCTACCCCCAAACTCAGGCTCCTATTACATTGAAGCTAAATTTCTGTGTCAGATTTGTAACTGAGTTATCTGCCTCCATTTCGTTTCTCTCCTTGATCCATTTACAGATCATATAGACAAGATTTTTAAAAAAATCATACTTTTATCAATAAATCTAAAGTTCAAAGAGATATTTAGGGGAGACATATAGTCTAACTTACTGTATTAGTTGAGGTAGGTGAACCGCAGTTACAAACAACTCCCAAATCTCAGTGGCCTACCACAATAAAGGTTCATTTCTTGCTGTGTCCGTCTAATGCAGGTTGGCAGGGATGTTCTCTGCCTGTGCAGTCATTTGGTGGCTCATGTCTCTTCCATTTAGTGGGTCAGTCATCCCCTAGGTTTTTGACTCTTCTGTTGAATCAGTCTCAAATTTCTAGAAGACAAAATCTGACTACCTAGCTTGGATCAGATGATTTCCTTTGGTTCTATTAACTGACATGGGGGAAGGGTAAGTTATGTACATCAAACATGGGTGCAGTAGTCATTCTTGTGGGTTGGGGCCATTTATACAGAAGGGGAAATGAGCTGGGCAGATCCCATCAAAAGATGTGTTATTCAGGCAGACATTTTTACTTCATATATTAGATCTTTATATATTTGAAGAAAATCATCCAGTCTTCTTATTTCCCACAAGCTTTATTATTTTCTCATGAGAATGCATATTTCCGCTTTCTTAGGGGCAACATCCAGGTTATTACAGTAGCTTATCAACTTTCCTAAAATTCAGCTGTAAACTTCCTTCCAATTTCACCTGTTGGGTGAATTAACTACACTCTTAATTAATTATTCTCAAGTTCTGAATTCCTGCATGGCTTGATTCAATCAATCAAGCAACCTTTAACCTTGCTTGTACAGTTGCCTAGCATTAATTTTCAGCTTTTCAAACTCCATATCTTGCCCCATTGAAGATGAAGACCATGTCTTATTTGCCCTTTGAATTAATCACAATATAATGCTGACTGTATTCCTTCCTTAATTGTATTCAAAAACTTAATAATCTCTCCTTCCTCAGGAATACTTTCATGTTTACAGAAGGAAATCTTCATTTATCTCTTGATTCTGTGATAAGCATTGTCCTTAATTGGTCTACAGAATGTGTCATTTACTCTCAAGAAATGCAGACTCCAAGTTACCATGTATTGAGGCTCGCTATGTACTGGGAACTCTGTTATGCAATTTTATACGCATTATTTAATCCCACAACAAGCCTATGAGATAGTTACTATTATTATTTCCAAGATCACACAGCTAATCTAATTCTGGAACTTTAGTCTCTTGAGTTTCCAAGCTCTTGCCTTCTTTTTCTTTTTTTTTTGAGACGCAGTCTCGCTTTGTCGCCGAGGCTGGAGTGCAGTGGCGCAATCTTGGCTCACCGCAACCTCTGCCTCCCGGGTTCAAGGGATTCTCCTGCCTCAGCCTCCAAAGTAGTTGGGATTACAGGCACACGCCACCATGTCTGGCTATTTTTTGTGTTTTTAGTGGAGACGGGGTTTTGCCATGTTGGCCAGGCTGATCTCGAACTCCTGACCTCAGGTGGGCTGCCTGCCTCGGCCTCCCAAAGTGCTGGGATTACAGGCATGAGCCACTGTGCCCGGCCTTGCTCTTGCCTTCTTAATTGCAACTCTGTACTGACATGCATGTTAATAAATTGGCCAAACTGGCATTCTCACTGCAGCTCTGTTCTTTTCCAATCCTTGAACCTCTCATTATGGATGCCTCATCTCATCCTGTTGCCTTTTCCACTGTGGGTTGTATTGATCAGAAAGCAGATCTGTTTATGGAAGGAAAGAAAGGTATTGGGTTTAGTAGTTATTAGAAATAGAAATATTAGAATAAAGACAACATTGAAAGAAACAGACAAGAGAAAGAGGATGAGGTTCCCCATGTTTACATTCCTGTGACTCAAGAGTGCAGAGAGCCAAGAACAAAGCTGAAGTTTAGCCAGGGAAAGGAGAGTGTTCAACTAAAATTAACTCTGTAGGCAGCATTCCCAGTTGTTTGAGTTTCAGGATCCCCTCCTCAATTTCCTAAGAAAAACAACATGCAAGTTAAAAAAAAAAATAAACAGTAGTTAGGGGCAAAGAAACCGGTGTAATTAGGGCTAAAGTGATCTGTGGTATCTCTAAATGGTAGCTCCATTTAGAGAATGATCTCAGAGGCAGTTTTGGAAGGGTTTGGATCAGAGCAAGGAGGAGATCATGAGTGCAAGACTATAAACTATGGTCTATAAATCAGAAAGTTTATACTAAATTCAGAAACTTTAATGCTTCTTGGGGACTGTGGGCTTGTTAATATGCTACTGGCCTGATTTTGGTTAAGTCTAAGGATAAACTGGAAAATCATTAGTCCATGTGGCTATATCTGTTCTACCTGGTACTGTAGTTGTGCAGAGGGCTGCTCCCACCCTTCAGCACTGAGATCATGGAGCTCGTTCTCTTGGTGGTTTTCATGATTGAACCTGGATTAATAGTTACTAATTATATATATGTATAACTATCAATAGTGTAATCATGGTTATTATGAAATATTGATATAATTATTAATGCAACTAACTACTCTCCCTATATTCTCTGGTCTCTAGTTTCTATCAAGGAAGACTGAGCCCACACAAAGGCTTAGGATAGGAGGAGAATCAACATTCAGGGCTGCCTCTGAAACCCTTGTGCTATTGTAAACAGATTCCTCTATTCCTCCAGAGAAAGTTGGAAAGTGGAAAAGTTGCCTTTTGCTTCTTAGCCTTAATGCTCCTTCTAGTTTTTGGCTTTAATTGAAATCCCAGTCTCACAGGTTACCAAAGACATTGTTGTCATGATGTTGTGGTGATGATGATGGGTAGGTGGTGAGCTGTTGCTCAGCTGTCTGCACTACAACTTCTAAACCAAGAATTGTCCAACTTTAGTGAACATCATCATTTGGAGGGCTTCTGAAAACACAGATTTCTGAGCTCCATCCTCATTTCTGATTCAGTGGGTTTGGGGTAGAGCCTAGAATTTCATTTCTAACAAGTTCCTAGGTGACATTCATGCTGCTGGCCTGGCAACTACACTTTGAGAATCATTGTTCTACCTCATTACTGATTAAAATGCTCAACTTCCTTTGCAACCCTTGGCAATAACCTATACCATGCACTCTCCAACTAACAGCCCAGTCGCCACATATATACACTTTTGGAAGATATTATGGCAACAAGTCCACTGTTTCCTTTGCTACTCCAACTTCTCTATAACCCTAACTTCCACTATTTCCAATTCTCACACTTCCTCACCACAACTTCACCTACTCTTTGAGCACAAGGACAGTTTTGTGGCAGGCCGGGTCTCACTAACACAGGCCTCTGTAACAACTGTTTCAGCACTGACGGAGTGGCCAAGTTAAATATTAAAAGCTGATCGAGCTAGTGCCCTTATACAAAGGCTGGAATGTAACAAAAGCCCACCAGGAGTTTTGCTCAGGCCTTTCCTGGGCCTTGAAGTGTGACAAGATAACAAATGAATTCTTAACAGAGGCCTGTTTAGGATTAAACAAGTTTTATTGGAGGTCTGAAGAAACTCCCCAGACCTCCACAAACAAGTTTATTGGGGGTCTGAAGAAACTCCCCAAACCTCCATGATTTAGCAGGAGACAAGATAAGGGTAATCACCCAGCACCTGGACCCATTAGGATTAAGTAAATTTACCGAGGCTCCAGAGGAAGGTCTTCAGGATTCAGATCTTAGTTATAGATTAGAAGAAGTTAATCACTTATGTCTTCAGATGAATGCACACTAACACACAGACATATAGCTTAGAAGGTATATAAGCTCTGGAAAACTTTGTAACTTTGAGTTGGCCTGGCGATATTTTCCAGGCCTTTTCCCTGTACCCAGTTACAGAAATAAACTGTCTTCTTTCCCAGTTCGTCTGCCTCTCATTATTGGGCTGCGAGAATAGGCAGCCTGACCCTCAGCTTGGTCCGGAAACAGTTTGGTCACCTCAATTCCTTTATTTAATTCACCTTTTGATCTCTTCTTGGCTTCTAGGCCTTCTCCATACTGCCGAGGATCCATAGTTGATTATTAGAATTACTCTCCATTGGGCCGGGTGTGGTGGTGCACACCTGTAATCCCAGCACTCTGGGAGGCCGAGGCGGGCGGATCACGAGGTCAGGAGATCAAGACCATCCTGGCTAACACAGTGAAACCCTGTCTCTACTAAAAATACAAAAAATTAGCCAGGCATGGTGGCGGGCACCTGTAGTCCCAGCTACTCGGGAGGCTGATGCAGGAGAATGGCGTGAACCCGGGAGGCAGAGCTTGCAGTGAGCTGAGATCCCGCCACTGCACTCCAGCCTGGGCAACAGAGCAGGACTCTATCTCAAAAAAAAAAAAAAAAAGAATTACTCTCAATTTACTTGCATCCCTATATTTCCATCCTATTTCCAATGATCAATGTTAGGTCATTGCCACAACCTGCCTTCTCCATTTTTACACTGGTTGGGGAGGGAGTGATAAAGTTGATAAGAATGTAAACACAAATAACCACAATATACAGCAATGTCCCATTTAAATCATAAGCATAATACAGAAATTCGTGAACTTGTAAAGGCAGGAAAGAGAACATCTAGTTAGAATGATCATAAAAAAACTTCAAGGCTATTATGGCAGATACAAATATGAATAAGACACTACTAGACTTTTTTAAGCCCTTAAGTATAGGAATGGCATAATTTATATTCATTTCACTGATAGCACCAAGCGCTTTTCAAAAGAGAATTAATGAATTATGTCTCCTCTAGTGTGATTCTTTATCTATTACACAGTGCAGTGTGAAATGCCCTAAGGGGGCTTAAATGCTGAGTAAACAAATTTTTAAAAGCAATTTAGACACGCACACACACACACATACACACACACACACACACACACACATTAGATGTACAAGCATAGAAAAGTCTTGGAAGGATAAATACTGTCTTGCTTTATCCATCAGCATACTGATTACAGTTGTGATGAGGTAAGTACCCACACCTTTTGTAATGTAAAATTGTGCAGCAAAACAGCAAAAATAAAATATTACTTGGGGGAAAAAGACAATTAACTTGTTTTTGGCCAAAGGTGATAGAAACAATAATACTTGCATTTCCTGAGGCCCTACCATATGTCAGGCATATGCCACCTTATTTACCCCTCACCATCACCCTACAGGGCTATATTATGTATTATCTTCATTTTGCAATTGGGAATAGTTATTGTATTTCTTCCATTATAAGATCAAATTTAAAAATACTTTAAATCATTGGAATGTGTATGCATGTTATCATTTATGGTGTCTTAGACTTGATAAAATAACGTAAGTCACATTATTATAAATCATTAGATATAATATTCTAACTTATGGTTTAATTGGCTCTAAATTCTGTGCTTTTCCTCCATTGGATTGCGTTATCTTTTCTAACAAAAGTAGACTTTTGCTCCTTCTCCAAGTTTTCTTTCTCTCTTTCTCTTTCTCTTACACACACACACACACACACACACACACACACATGCCATGCAGGCACACACACACAGTTTTTCCTTTCTCTTTCTCTCACTTTCACACACACACACACACACACACACACACATACACTCTTACATCTTAGTCCAAAGTAAAAATATCCTGCTTATCAGATGCTCTGCCTTATTTTCAAGGCTTATGCTTATTTTGAGTGTAGCCATGGTGAACTTCATCTATCTAACTGATGTGCTAGTCTAGTCTCCTACCTACTGCTAAATTACTCAATTAACCTATTTTGTTCAATTCCATTTTAGCCACAACCCTTTAGTTTCAGTTGCCTTGACATTGGGGAAAAAAACCCTAATCTTTCTTATCTATTTGGTTAATTGGCCAAATTAATTCTGACAGATATCACATAGGTATTTTTGTTTTTCTTGGGGCAGCTAGCCACCCTGGGCCAGTGCTTCTCAATCTGGGCACACAAGAAACAACTGGTGTATCTTCTTGAAGCAAGAGTTCTCCTTGAAGATTTACTTGAAGAGAAAGTTGAAGCAGGACACTGAAAAATGTAGATGAAAATCTTTGAAAGAAGTATTTTTTATCTTAAAAGAAAAAAGAAAATATTATGAAACAGAATAAAATATCTGTAGGCATTTTTTTTTTTTTTTTGTGAGATGGAGTCTTGCTCTTGTTGCCCAGGCTGGAGTGCAATGGCGCAATCTCGGCTCACCGCAACCTCCACCTGCTGGATTCAAGCGATTCTCCTGCCTCAGGCTCCTGAATAGCTGGGATTACAGGCACCCACCACCAAGCCCGGCTAATTTTGTATTTTTAGTAGAGACAGGATTTCTCCATGTTGGTCAGGCTGGTCTTGAACTCCCGACCTCAGGTGATCTGCCCGCCTCGGCCTCCCAAAGTGCTGGGATTACAGGCGTGAGCCATCGCGCCCAGACTGTAGGCATTTTTAAGGCACAACTTTAATGGAATTTTGAACTGGTGGTAAACTACTCATGGTAACCTGTGGTTGAAACCATAGGCTTTGGGGCAAGACTGAAACCTAGCTCCTCCCTTTTCTAACTGTACCCTGGGGCAAGTTGCTTAGCCTTTTTGTGTCTCCATTTCTCATTTGTAAAATGGGAATAATATCATCTGCCTCATAGAGTTATCATGAGAATTAAGTGACCAGTATATGTTAAATGTTGGAACAGTGGGTCGTTCATAGTGAATTCTCCCTAATGTTAGCTATTTTCATTTTCATTTATATTTCTAGATATCCCAAGGGTTATTATTTTGTCCTCCTCTTTTGTTAAGTTGTCTCAGAGCAAAAGTTTGAGCAGCCCTGCCTTAGTCCTTCCCCAGGATTCTCTCCAGTATGCTGCACTTGGTTCTCATCGGCTGGTCTTTTGTAATGTTTCAGGAATGCACTGTTTTCCTTTTTCTCTTCTCTGTCTCTTTTTTTTCCAGCACCATTAAAAACAAAGAGTAGCTGTTTTAGGAATTTGGGAAGTGAAGAAACAAGACATTCGACTGTGAGTTTCACCCATGTTTAAAACGAAATAACCTAACAATCGGGAGTGGCGTGCTACCGTTAAGATTTTGGAGGTAGAGACGTGAAGATTTTCAGTCGCAACTCCCTTTAGAACCATGGCTTGAACCCGTAAAGTATGAGGGCTGCCCATAAAACTTTCTCTTCTAAGATGTGGGATATGTGTAGTCTCATCTAGTTATGGCTCATCTGGGAATGGATTTTCTGACGCAAATGAGGTTTAAAAAAAAAAGGCATAGTGTCTCTTTATTTGGTTAACACTATTTCTGCACTTTGTTTTTCCTTGTCAGCTTTAAAAGGAAGAGAACAAAAGCCAACCACCCTGCCAAAACTTGGCAGTAGAATTTCAGTGAGTGAAAATTCTCCACCTACAGTAATGTTTGAAGTGGTTGCACAGTGAGGGCCCCCCAGCCCCCACCCCAACCCACCCACCCCTCCACTGCAGGCCATTCTTGACCTGTTAGGACACCATCTTATGCAAAGTTAAGAAAGCCCAAGAGCCTAGAACCCACAGAAAAAGGCCAGTGTAAGACTAAGGGCATCTATCCCCTGTTCTTTTTTCCCTGTTCCATCTGATATTATCTTTGGCTCAATAGTCCTAGAACTCAGAAGGCTGATACTCCAATGTACCCTAGAATTGCTAGACTCAACTCTACCATCTCCTCCGCTCCCAGAACCTGGACTCTTGGAGGGCAGACAGCAGGATAGGAGCAGCCTCAAGGACGGGAAAGCAATGGAGACTGACCTATCCTTTGCTATTTCCCTTTGCCACCAATATCTTCTAGTTATAGGATTTTTGCACCTAGAAATAAAATATACAAATATTGACCATAACTTACAGTAATTCAGTGCTTCTAAGTTCCCATGTACCATGGCAAACACATGGATATATTATAGCAACATCATAAAACAGACATGATTATTTCTATACCAAGGATAAATCTCAGGTTTAGAAGAAAGGTTGGAAAAATTCTTGAAGGTCACAAGCCAGAAGTACATGGCACTGAAACAGATCTGACTCTTGAGTCCAAGCCTATTGTATTGACTTGCTATCAATGCATAACAAACCGCATCACACAAAACCAGTAGTATCTTTGAGTCATCTTGGGGGTTGGCTGATTTAAGCTGGGCTAGGCTAGGTGGCTGGGGTAGCTCTGCTCTATATGCCTCTCATCTTCCTCCTGGGACCAGTAGGTTGCCCTGGACATGTGTAAGAAGAAAATTGGAAATATGCAAGGTCTCTTAAGGCCTAGGCTTGGAACTGGCACACTAATTTCTGCCTCATCCTGTTCGTCAAGGCAAGTTACAAGGCTGAGACTAATGTCAAAGAGCAAAGAGACATACCTCATTTTTTTTTAAGAGATAAGGGTATGCCTGTTGATTAGGTTGTACTCAAATGCCTGGGCTCAAGGGATCATCCTGCATTGCTGGGACTACAAATGTGCACCACTGTGCCCAACTGAGATATACTTCACCTTTGTGGGGTGTAGTGGATGCTGAGGTGCACTTCCTGGTCCCTTTCCAGAACCAAGGCACTTACTTTCTCAGCTGCTAGGAATATTGCTTGCTGATGATGGCTCACCAAGTCCACTGACTCCCATCCTTTCACCTCCACCCTCGCCCTGGAGTCCCCATCCCACTGCCCACCAGGAATTGTCCTCAGCTGAAGGGCACTGCTTTGCCCAAGGGTGCCCCTATGGTCAACCCACATTCAAAGACTAGTCAGATGTGAGTATGAAGTCTGACCTCTTGCCTCAATTCAAGACATCTCTGAAGAGCTATCCTAGCATCAGAGCTTCCCATAGGATTGGGTGAGGCCTGGGTTGCAATTAAATTAGTCCCATTTTTTTCTGTGTCAATCTTGCTTCCCCTATTCCCTTAAAATGGCTGTTTCCAAGAGCATTCCTCAATAATTACTCTATGAAATCTAACCTTCAACATGAGAGGGACTCCAAAGCCAATGGTGAAGGGCAAAGATATAGTATAGGAAAGAATCAAAACCAATAACGCAATCTACCACATCTTTGCATTTAAGAAGTAGATTAAACTGCATCCCAGGTCCAAAAACAAAAGCATATAGTGGAGCAGACAGAATCTCTGTCTGACATGTCTTAATGTATATCTAAACCATTGATATTGGACCTTGAAATATATTTGACTTGGAAAAGGCATGTGGTCCTGAAGAGTTGTGGGCAAATGGAAACTTTGTAAATTGAATTAAATTCCAAATGCATGGTGGGGGTTTGGTATTCTAAAGTGAAAAATGTGGTGAATTATTTTATGAATAACCATTTTAATAACATTGATTTTTCTATGATGAGTTTTACATATCAGCAATTTATTTCATTTTTATGAACCCATTCTATTTTTAAAATAATTCTGTGTGTGTGAAATTATAGCATGATGTCATACGTTTGTTTTTTGGTCTCCAATCCTTGGTGGATTTCCTTTGCATAAATTTTAAGTTTACATGAACCTGAAAAGATTCCAGGGACTCTGGGCAAAGCCATGGGTGCATGGTTGTTGGAAATGGGTACAATGGATATAAGTAGCCGGGCAGACAAACATCCCAGGAGAAGAAATTTTGGCCAGGTCATGTTCCTTTGTCCAGTAAAAAAAGCAGGAGGAGAGAAAATAGATAATTTACTGTACTCAGGGATAGGGATTGATAAAATAGCTACAGCAGAAGGAAAAGTCAGCAGGAAAATCAAGAATTCTAACAGAATATTGCGGATATGACTGTTCATGATCTCCAGGGGTATGAAGGGCAAGCCAGGCTAAAAAGTGGACCAGAACACTGGTGGTTGAGGGATTGGAGGCCCCAGTGAGAGGAGGGAATAGGCACACAGCAGTGACAGATTCAATGGAAGTTTTTCCATATTTATGATATGCAAGCCATGTGTATTTTCATTTCCCTCATGCTTTTCTGTGAAGGTTGAGGCTCTCCCATGTGATAGTTTCCTCTATCAGTCAGGATTCTAAATATTCTTGATATTTTAAAGAAGAGATTTAATACCAGGAGATGACAAAGGTAAGAAGCCTAAAGTGGGAGAGTAAGGCATCCTTGAGATTATCAAGAGCAGGAAGCTGCTACCACTGCCTAAAGCTTAAGGGACAAAAGGAGCCAGGCCACCAGGGAGAAGTTGGAACCACAGAAGCTCTTGGAGCAAGAGCTGGGTCCATAGAAGAGATGGCCGCTGCCAGAGACAATACTTGAAGCTGAGAGAAGTGGGGAAAAATACCCAGCTTCTCCCTTTCTGCTCTCTCTTCAGGGCCATCCAATGGCTGAACTGACCCAGAAACCAGAGGGCAAAGGAACAAGGAAAAAGTAATTCTCTGTGATACGGAACAGGGTAGAGCGGGGACAGGGGATAAATCTAAGAGCAAAACAGGACAAGACTAGCACATGGCCTCAACTTCTCTGCTCTCCATGGCAATGTCTTCCTCCTCTTCTGTTTCCAGGAGTCTCTAATTCCTGCCACTTATTGCCCCAGGCTCCCTTGATAGCTGGTTTCCAGGTGGGGGCACAGCCAATGGGTGGCAGCAGCAGGAGACTGGGAGATAAAAGGAAAGGTTGGGTTATTTTTCCCCATTCCCTCCCTGCTTTGGAGCCACCTCTCTGGAAGGCTCCCTCCACCATTATAGATCCTGCTGGTGGTCTGTCTTCCGTGGCTCCAGGTCTCACCAGCTCTCACCAGGTCTCTCTCTAGGAGTGGTTTCCTTCTATTGCTGGTCTCTGGGTGTCTCAACATCCCTTGCTAATTCCCTTAATTCTGCCCACAGCTATGTCAGCAGTATCTTTGTTAAAGTCCCTTCATTTGAACAATTTGGCTTGAGTTCTGTTTTCTGCCAGAACCCTGGCTAGTATCCTGACCTACTGTGTTCTTTTCCAAGCTCCTTTCAAGTGTCATATTTTCCCCACTGTTGCCCAGATCAGCAGTGTGGTATAGTAGAAAGAATACTGGACTTACTGGCAGACAGACATGGTTTTATTTCTGATTCAGTCACTTACAGAGTTACTGGCTGGGAAAGTTATTTAACCTCCTGAGCTTCCGTTTTCTTGCTGGTAAAGTGGAAAGGGGATAATGATGAATTTCAGTTGGATATATTAGAAATCCGTGCCTGACCCATGTGTTCCAGGCCTCATCTGCCAGTTGTCTTTTTTTTTACATACCGATTATTTATGGCGTAAATCCCCTTCCTACTCGACTGAAAGAAATGAACCCCCTTCAAAGTATTTCCAGTTATTTCTAGAAGTTTCCAAAGAAGTTCCCTTGCTCACCAGTCGTTCTTTCACAGTTGCCATCGTCTTCTGCCCTGTTATTTTGCTTCTGCCCCAGCTCCCACATGTCCAGCTTCTGCTTGCAGGGCCACTTGCTGAGGCTTTGCCGAGGCTGAAACTTTTCCAGGGTCACTGTCCATCATGAGAACACAGCACATGCCAAGGGTGTTGCCTCTTAGTGTTCCCAAAGAGTCTGGTCCTTGGGAAGCCTCCATTTGGCCTCTGTGGTGCAGAGAGGAGAATGTCCTTCCCTGGCTCAGCCCCAAATAGCTGGGCTTGTGCCTAGAGCCTCTGAGAGTCTCTTTGACTATTTCCTCAGCTAATTTCACATGTAAACAAAACAACTCACAGAGGTTCTGCAACCTGCTTCCACCGTCTTTCTAGAAGGAGGTCAGAAAGGGAACAGATGCTTTGCCCTTTTCCCCTCTCCCCTCCACAGCTCTCCCAACCCCCAAACCCATCTTCCTCTTCTATTTGCTAAACTAAACATTTTATACTTATCAACCACTGTGGGATGGAAGTGGGATGGTCAAGGAGGGAGGTGAGGTCTAGATGACTTCTGTATATGAGCCAGAGTCCAATCCATTTATATATGAATGACTCCTAGTACAATATCTGACACAAAGTGGATTCTCAATGGTTGATGAATACTATTATCACGTAAATAGGAAACCACATTTCCTACCATTTAGATAGTATAAGTTCTTCAAAGTTCAATTTATGTGTCATTTCTTACCAGAAACCTGGCCCTAATCCCAGTAGGATGAGGTTACTCTTTGCCTCTGTATTTGCTTCTTAGGGCTATGGTTATAATATACCAAGAATTGGCTTAAAACAACAAAAATTTATTCTCTCACAGTTCTGGAGGCTGGAAGTTTGAAATCAAGACATTGATAGAGCCATCCTCTCTCTGAAGGCTGTAGGGAGAGTCCTTCCTTGCCCCTTCCCAGCTTCTGGTGGCTCTTGGCAATCCTTGGTGTTCCCTGGCTTAGAGCCGCTTCACTCAAATCTCTGCTTCTGATGTTGCACAGTCATCTTCTCCCTGTGTGTCTTTGTTTCCACGTGGCATTCTCTTCCCTTATAAGGCCATCAGTCACAGTGGATTGAGGCCCACTCTAGTAACCTCATTTAACTTGATTATATCTGCAAAGGCCCTGTTTCCAAATGAAGTCACATTCTGGGATCCTGAGAGTTGGGATTTCAAAATACCTTCTTGGGGGGTGCAATTCCACCCACAACACCCTGCAATAAGATTTTAAAATTGAATAGCAGCAATCTTATTTCTCTTTTGACATCTATCACATCTAGCTTATTTTATAGTAATCTATCTTTTATCTCCCCCTACAACACTGAACAGCCCAAGGACAAAACCTGTTTCTGATTCACTTTTGTGTCCCTGACAATACCTACATGTCCCATAATAGGTTTGATAGGTACTAAGTGACCGGGCTGAGGCTTGCACCCTCCCCTCCTGACTCATGATCAATCCTTCAGACTAGAGCGTGCTGCCACCAGCCTGGTACATGTATTTGTGAGTTCCTTGGGTTTCAACTCCTTGGTTGATTTATTTTTTGAAAACACTATATATCAGGAAGATGGGTTTGGCTAGCTGAAATAGCTGGTTATAGCTTGCCTTGGGTGGTTAAATATTTATGTCTTCTGAGAGTGAACAATGGGCTTTACTCTACCAGGGAAATAATCTTGTTTGTCCCCATTTATTGGCTCTTTTTTCCTCTTTTACATTTTCAGCATCCTAATGATGTCCTTAGTGATAGTTGCTATGGAAGTATTTTAGTGTTTTCTGCAGTGTTGGGTGGTGCAGTACCTGAAGCCCTCTTTAGTGTGTATTTATAATGACACCAAGCCATGAATTTCATTTTAGTGGTAGCTTTCTTGCTTAATAACTGGTTGTCGTCGGGGGAGTGGTCTGCATTTATTTTGGCCTCCTGATTTATCGCACTGATTTTTCTTCTCCTTTTCATTGTTCCTGGAGTGCTCGTCATCACTTCAAATACTCAACCCATTATTTCACAGAATATAATGACAGAGCCAGCCCCATCATTTTATCATTGAATACACTGGTAAACAGTTGCAACCCCTCTAATACCAATGTGATGAGGGGTGATTTAAACTTGTAAAAGTCAAACGCTTTTTTTTTTTTTTTTTTTTTGCGATGGAGCCTCACTCTGTTGCCAGGCTGGAGTGCAGTGGCACAGTCTTGGCTCACGGCAACCTCCCCCTCCTGAGTTCAAGCGATTCTCCTGCCTCAGCCTCCTGAGTAGCTGGGACTACAGGTGCGCCCCACCAAGCCCAGTTAATTTTTGCATTTTTTAGTAGATATACGGTTTCACCATCTTGGCCAAGATGGTTCCAATCTCTTGACCTTGTGATCTGCCCACTGGCAGATCTTGTTTGTCCCCATTTATTGGCTGGGATTAAAGGCGTCAAAAACTTTTAAGAATGTATAGTTTGGAGACTGAGACTCAGTAATGGGTGGAGGAGAGAAAACTGGGATATCTAGAGAATTGGATTGTGATGTCTTCCGTAAAATAGTAATAGTAGTACATGTTCTACCTACTTGATAGGATTGTTATGAGGGTCATGTGATTAATGTATGTGAAAGCAATTTGTAAGCTGTACAGTGCTATAAAATGTTTATATATGTTATCATTAATAACAACTAGATTGTTAATAGTCCTGATTGCTTTTGACCTGGATGTCTATGGAGAAGCAGCTTAATCTCTGGTGAAGACATGACTTGACCTTTTTACTGAACCATGTGGGCAAATGATCAGGCCATTATGCAGTATTTTCAAGGCCATCAGGTTGTCTGTGTTAGCCTCTTTCATTCGACTCTTACCTTTTATTTGGGGAGGAGAAGGGACAGTATGACTTTAATTATTAAGCTGAAGAAGTGGAGAAATCTTGATTTCTTGAATAGCTTTTTCAAGTCAGCTCTTTAATATAAAGTCTCTCTGGTGCATCTGTTGCTAGCTTGCCACGTTGGTATGTGCCATTTTAATTTTGTTCCTCCAAAGGTTTGGGTTATTTTTCCATACACTTTGGTTTACGGTAGACGCTCAACCACTTACTAGAATAGAACACACTTAGGCATGTAGACTTTGACAATTCTAGGGAAAAGTTGTGAATGCATTTAGTGATTTGATTTGTGTGTTTTAGTTTAAGTAATCTATCAATTTATCCTATAGATAGCCCAGAAATTGATGTCACTGCAATTAAACAGAATTTTTTTATAAAGAATTCTGTGCCTGACAACTCTAGACATATTTATTATGCAGCTTCTCTTAAAGGATTTTCAATTTGCTCATTTGGAGCAAATTTTGTGTGTTAAATGCAGTTGGTTCCTAGACACTGACTCATTTTCCAAATCTGAGTACACTTTTTCCTCAATTGACTTTCCCCTGCCAGTATGTCATCCAACTATTCTTTAATGTACTGTCAAAATATGGTCACCTCATCATTAACAGGAAATGGGCTTCTTGCCCAGTCTTATGAAAGTAGAATAAAATCAGACAGTTTGATTTTTAAACTATAAGAAAAGGAGAATGAAAAAACAGCAAAACTTAACTAATTTCCAAGCTCAGGGCTATTTATAAAGAGCTTGAACAAATAAGACACCCAGAAACGAAAGGAAAACTGCAATTTGCTTGGCTTTGTGTAGAATACAGAAGAATTTCCATTTTACTCTAAATATAAAGTAGCTGCAATGTGAGTCAACATAAATAAAACAAAGAAACCAAGTCTTTATGGAAGATGACAGCAGTTTCATGTGGGCAGCTTCATGTGTTTAAGCATCTCAATGTGAAAACTTGGCCATTTGCTCAAGATTGTTTCTCTGTATTTAGATTTTTGGTGCAAATATCATCTCTGTCTCTAGGAAACAAACCCAGACGGCCTACAGAGTCAAGAATGAAGAATTCATTTTACTGAAATGTTAATGTCAACTCTAAAAATATCAGAGTTTTCAATTTTACCTAATCAAATAATCAGCTCGACAATTTTTTTGCAACCACAGTTGCTTATAGGGCTGACCAAAGTGACGATTTGTTTAAGACCAAGTTCAAGGTTAGTTAAACATATAACATATAGCGCAGATTTCATTTAACCATGTGGATAATTCAGCCAAATATGTTTTTCATGAATTGCTGTGAAAAAGAGTAATTTGCCGCATTTGAATTATCTGATTACCTGTCCTGATCTTCTACTTCACTTTGAGTGTATATGTAGACTTTATTAGAATAACATTTTGTAGTGTAAAAATAGTCTATGTCGCCACAGCTTCTCTCTACTTGCTAGTTCAAAGCTTTCTCTTTAATTTTTGATCAGTGCCAATTTGGAACCGATCTCTTTTAGCTCAGTTTCCTCATTTGTGGAGTGGGTATCTTAACGTCCAAAATAATAAATGATTAAAAATAGTTAAAAAAAGTTAAAAATAAATGATTAGTGGAATGATGAAAAGTACTTCACACAGAATCCAGCATATAGTGAATGCTCAATGAATTTTAACTATTTTGACTTTTACTGTTAAAGATGTGACGTGGGAAGTCATTAAACCTTTTGTAGCTTAGTTCTTTAGGTATGAAAGACAAATGTCTTGATATAAGTCTAAAAATGTTCTTAAAATGCATGCAGTGCCTCCACATGCAAAGTGAAGCACAGAATTTAAGTAATTACCTTCATTAATTAATCAATGCATTGCTTTACCTAATAGGTTGATACATGTTTTAGAGCAAAGCTTGATGCACAAAGGTCCACTTTGCTTGGATATTAGTTTTATTGTCATTTTGCCATTTTTTTGGTATTCATTATCTACTGTGATGGGACAAGAATTTGGGTGAAAGTAGTTTACTTGGGAGGTGATCCCAGGAGGCATGATCAGGGAGTGGGCAAGTAAGACTGGCAAAAGAGGAACACCATTAAAGGATACATTGAGAAGCGGGTTACTGTCTTGGGCAAGTGAGCTCAATCCCAGTGGCATCTCTTTGAGAGGCTGCATAAAACCTTTGAGCAACCTCATCCATTTAGTCCAGCACTGTACTAATATTATCACTTTCTACGAGCAATACCACATGAAAAAATTTGGGGAGCATTGCTATAAAGAATGGTTGAGAGTGCTGAAGAGAAGCCAGGAAAATAAAAAGCAGAATAAATAAGAATGGTTGACATGCACGGTGGCTCACACTTGTAATTCCAGCACTTTGGGAGGCGGAGGCGGGAGGATCACTTGAGGCCAGGAGTTAAAGACCAGCCTGGGCAACATTGCGACACCCCATCTCTACAAAAAAATTTTAAAATTAGCTAGGCATGGTGGCACATGCTGGTCTCGAAAACCTGGCCTCAAATGACCCTCCCGCCTTGGCCTCCCAAAGTGCTGGGATTACAAGGGTGAGCCACCGTCCTGGCCTGGTTACATTTAACTATGTTGCAGAGAAGATCGTGGATTCATTCAAAATGAAATCATTGTTGCTGGGTTCTTGTAAAAGTAAGGTTGTTGAGCTATGGGCATTGAGCATATGAGAACAGAAACATAATCCTTTTAATCTACTCAGCATTTTGCAGGCTTCAGAGGAATAATGGCTGTTGTTTCTGGCTTTGCAGTTCAAGTGAGATGGATTTAGAAGAGCTCCAAGCACATTCCTAAAGTATTAGGTGGTTGGAAGGTTCTATGAGTTACGTAGTTGTTACTTCAGTCTCCAGCGGAAGGGAGGAGACATGTCTTCCTAGTCATATTCCTCCTTGGTCTCAAAAAACCACATTTTGTTCCCTTCAAGTCAGGAATGTAGCCAGAATGCCCACCAGGTGGTGCTCCAATTACTTTACTGTATAACATTTTGTGACCTCCTGTAGGATATAAGAATATTAAATGTTAGAGTTAAAGGCAGAAAATATTCTGTAACTTGAGCCTCAAGATGTAAAGACTTCATATATTGAGAAGACTAATATGGCTTTTAAAATATCACATGACATCAAAATGTCTATGCATAAAAGGTGAAAAAAAATGCTATCTCAGAGCCAAGGTTAACATTCTTGGTAGAAAAATAGATTACAATCAATATTTTTTAATTGAGTTTTAAAAAGAATTCTGATGCACTAGGTTCTGAGGCATTACAAGGATATATATGTATATATATATGGCAATTTCCCCCCACATTTACTTATTTATTTTTAATTTTATTATTATTATACTTTAAGTTTTAGGGTACATGTGCACAACGTGCAGGTTTGTTACATATGTATACATGTGTCATGTTGGTGTGCTGCACCCATTAACTCGTCATTTAGCATTAGGTATATCTCCTAATGCTATCCCTCCCCCCTCCCCCCACCCCACAACAGTCCCCAGAGTGTGATGTTCCCCTTGCTGTGTCCATGTGTTCTCATTGTTCAATTCCCACCTATGAGTGAGAACATGCGGTGTTTGGTTTTTTGTCCTTGCGATAGTTTACTGAGAATGATAATTTCCAATTTCATCCATGTCCCTACAAAGGACATGAACTCATCATTTTTTATGGCTGCATAGTATTCCATGGTGTATATGTGCCACATTTTCTTAATCCAGTCTATCATTGTTGGACATTTGGGTTGGTTCCAAGTCTTCGCTATTGTGAATAGTGCTGCAATAAACAAATGTGTGCATGTGTCTTTATAGCAGCATGATTTACAGTCCTTTGGGTATATACCCAGTAATGGGATGGCTGGGTCAAATGGTATTTCTAGTTCTAGATCCCTGAGGAATCGCCACACTGACTTCCACAATGGTTGAACTAGTTTACAGTCCCACCAACAGTGTAAAAGTGTTCCTATTTCTCCACATCCTCTCCAGCACCTGTTGTCTCCTGACTTTTTAATGATCGCCATTCTAACTGGTGTGAGATGGTATCTCATTGTGGTTTTGATTTGCATTTCTCTGATGGCCAGTGATGATGAGCATTTTTTCATGTGTTTTTTGGCTGCATAAATGTCTTCTTTTGAGAAGTGTCTGTTCATGTCCTTTGCCCACTTTTTGATGGGATTGTTTTTTTCTTGTAAATTTGTTTGAGTTCATTGTAGATTCTGGATATTAGCCCTTGGTCAGATGAGTAGATTGCAAAAATTTTCTCCCATTCTGTAGGTTGCCTGTTCACTCTGATGGTAGTTTCTTTTGCTGTGCAGAAGCTCTTTAGTTTAATTAGATCCCATTTGTCAATTTTGGCTTTTGTTGCCATTGCTTTTGGTGTTTTAGACATGAGGTCCTTGCCCATGCCTCTGTCCTGAATGGTATTGCCTAGGTTTTCTTCTAGGGTTTTTACGGTTTTAGGTCTAACATGTAAGTCTTTAATCCATCTTGAATTAATTTTTGTATAAGATGTAAGGAAGGGATCCAGTTTCAACTTTCTACATATGGCTAGCCAGTTTTCCCACCACCATTTATTAAACAGGGAATCCTTTCCCCATTGCTTGTTTTTGTGAGGTTTGTCAAAGATCAGATGGTTGTAGATATGCGGCATTATTTCTGAGGGCTCTGTTCTGTTCCATTGGTCTATATATCTGTTTTGGTACCAGTACCATGCTGTTTTGGTTACTGTAGCCTTGTAGTATAGTTTGAAGTCAGGTAGCATGATGCCTCCAGCTTTGTTCTTTTGGCTTAGGATTGACTTGGCGATGCGGGCTCTTTTTTGGTTCCATATGAACTTTAAAGTAGTTTTTTCCAATTCTGTGAAGAAAGTCATTGGTAGCTTGATGGGGATGGCATTGAATCTATAAATTATCTTGGGCAGTATGGCCATTTTCATGATATTGATTCTTCCTACCCATGAGCATGGAATGTTCTTCCATTTCTTTGTATCCTCTTTTATTTCATTGAGCAGTGGTTTGTAGTTCTCCTTGAAGAGGTCCTTCATGTCCCTTGTAAGTTGGATTCCTAGGTAATTTATTCTCTTTGAAGCAATTGTGAATGGGAGTTCACTGATGATTTGGCTGTTTGTCTGTTATTGGTGTATAAGAATGCTTGTGATTTTTGTACATTGATTTTGTATCCTGAGACTTTGCTGAAGTTGCTTATCAGCTTAAGGAGATTTTGGGCTGAGACGATGGGGTTTTCTAGATATACAATCATGTCATCTGCAAACAGGAACGATTTGACTTCCTCCTTTCCTAATTGAATGCCCTTTATTTCCTTCTCCTGCCTGATTGCCCCGGCCAGAACTTCCAACACTATGTTGAATAGGAGTGGTGAGAGAGGGCATCCCTGTCTTGTGCCTGTTTTCAAAGGGAATGCTTCCAGTTTTTCTCCATTCAGTATGATATTGGCTGTGGGTTTGTCATAGATAGCTCTTATTATTTTGAGATATGTCCCATCAATACCTAATTTATTGAGAGTTTTTAGCATGAAGCGTTGTTGAATTTTATCAAAGGCCTTTTCTGCATCTATTGAGATAATCATGTGGTTTTTGTCTTTGGTTCTGTTTATATGCTGGATTACACTTACTGATTTGTGTATGTTGAACCAGCCTTGCATCCCAGGGATGAAGCCCACTTGATCATGGTGGATAAGCTTTTTGATGTGCCGCTGGATTTGGTTTGCCAGTATTTTATTGAGGATTTTTGCATCGATGTTCATCAGGGATATCGGTCTAAAATTCTCTTTTTTTGTTTTGTCTCTGACAGGCTTTGGTATCAGGATGATGCTGGCCTCATAAAATGAGTTAGGGAGGATTCCCTCTTTCTCTATTCATTGGACTAGTTTCAGAAGGAATGGTACCAGCTCCTCTTTGTACCTCAGGTAGAATTCGGCTGTGAATCCATCTGGTCCTGGACTTTTTTTGGTTGGTAAGCGATTGATTATTGCCTCAATTTCAGAGCCTGTTATTGGTCTATTCAGAGATTCAACTTCTTCCTGGTTTAGTCGTGGGAGGGTGTATGTGTCAAGGAATGTATCCATTTCTTCTAGATTTTCTAGTTTATTTGCGTAGAGGTGTTTATAGTATTCTCTGATGGTAGTTTGTATTTCTGTGGGATTGGTGGTGATATCCCCTTTACCATTTTGTATTCCGTCTATTTGATTCTTCCTCTTTTCTTCTTTATTAGTCTTGCTCGTGGTCTATCAATTTTGTTGATCTTTTCAAAAAACCAGCTCCTGGATTCATTGATTTTTTGAAGGGTTTTTTGTGTCTCTATTTCCTTCAGTTCTGCCCTGATCTTAGTTATTTCTTGCCTTCTGCTGGCTTTTGAATGTGTTTGCTCTTGCTTCTCTAGTTCTTTTAATTGTGATGTTAGGGTGTCCATTTTAGATCTTTCCTGCTTTCTCTTGTGGGCATTTAGTGCTATAAATTTCCTTCTACACACTGCTTTGAATGTGTCCCAGAGATTCTGGTATGTTGTGTCTTTGTTCTCATTGGTTTCAAAGAACATCTTTATTTCTGCCTTCATTTTGTTATTTACCCAGTAGTCATTCAGGAGCAGGTTGTTCAGTTTCCACGTAGTTGAGCAGATTTGAGTGAGTTTCTTAATCCTGAGTTCTAGTTTGATTGCACTGTGGTCTGAGAGACAGTTTGTTATAATTTCTGTTCTTTTACATTTGCTGAGGAGTGCTTTACTTCCAACTATGTGGTCGATTTTGGAATAGGTGTGGTGTGGTGCTGAAAGGAACGTATATTCTATTGATTTGGGGTGGAGAGTTCTGTAGATGTCTATTAGGTCAGCTTGGTGCAGAGTTGAGTTCAATTCCTGGGTATCCTTGTTAACTTTCTGTCTCGTTGATCTTTCTAATGTTGACAGTGGGGTGTTAAAGTCTCCCATTATTATTGTGTGGTAGTGTAAGTCTTTGTAGGTCACTAAGGACTTGCTTTATGAATCTGGGTGCTCCTGTATTGGGTGCATATATATTTAGGATAGTTAGCTCTTCTTATTGAATTGATCCCTTTACCATTATGTAATGGCCTTCTTTGTCTCTTTTGATCTTTGATGGTTTAAAGTCTGTTTTATCAGAGACTAGGATTGCAACCCCTGCCTTTTTTTGTTTTCCATTTGCTTGGTAGATATTCCTCCATCCCTTTATTTTGAGCCTATGTGTGTCTCTACACATGAGATGGGTTTCCTGAATACAGCACACTGATGGTTCTTGACTCTTTATCCAATTTGCCAGTCTGTGTCTTTTAATTGAGGCATTTAGTCCATTTACATTCAAAGTTAATATTGTTATGTGTGAATTTGATCCTGTCATTATGATGTTAGCTGGCTATTTTGCTCGTTAGTTGATGCAGTTTCTTCCTAGCCTTGGGGGCCTTTACAATTTGGCATGTTTTTGCAGTGGCTGGTACCGGTTGTTCCTTTCCATGTTTAGTGCTTCCTTCAGGAGCTCTTTTAGGGCAGGCCTGATGGTGACAAAATCTCTCAGCATTTGCTTGTCTGTGAAGTATTTTATTTCTGCTTCACTTATGAAGCTTAGTTTGGCTGGATATGAAATTCTGGGTTGAAAATTCTTTTCTTGAAGAATGTTAAATATTGGCCCCTACTCTCTTCTGGCTTGTGGGGTTTCTGCTGAGAGATCAGCTGTTTGTCTGATGGGCTTCCCTTTGTGGGTAACCCGACCTTTCTCTCTGGCTGCCCTTAACATTGTTTCCTTCATTTCAACTTTGGTGAATCTGACAATTATGTGTCTTGGAGTTGCTCTTCTCGAGGAGTATCTTTGTGGCGTTCTCTGTATTTCCTGAATCTGAATGTTGGCCTGCCTTGCTAGATTGGGGAAGTTCTCCTGGATAATATCCTGCAGAATATTTTCCAACTTGGTTCCATTCTCCCCGTCACTTTCAGGTGCACTGATCAGACGCAGATTTGGTCTTTTCACATAGTCCCATATTTCTTGGAGGCTTTGTTCATTTCTTTTTATTCTGTTTTCTCTAAACTTCTCTTCTCACTTCATTTCATTCATTTCATCTTCCATGACTGATAGCCTATCTTCCAGTTGATCACATCGGCTACTGAGGCTTCTGCATTCATCACATAGTTCTTGTGCCTTGGTTTTCAGCTCCATCACATCCTTTAAGGACTTCTCTGCATTGGTTATTCTAGTTATGCATTCGTATAATTTTTTTTCAAAGTTTTGATCTTCTTTGCCATTGGTTCAAACTTCCTCCTGTAGCTTGGAGTAGTTTGATCATCTGAAGCCTTCTTCTCTCAGCTCGTCAAAGTCATTCTCCATCCAGCTTTGTTTCGTTGCTGGTGAGGAGCTGCATTCCTTTGGAGGAGGAGAGGCACTCTGGTTTTTAGAGTTTCCAGTTTTTCTGCTCTGTTTTTTCCCCATCTTTTTGGTTTTATCTACCTTTGGTCTTTGATCATGGTGACATACAGATGGGTTTTTGGTGTGGATGTCCTTCCCGTTTGTTAGTTTTCCTTCTAACAGACAGGTACCTCAGCTGCAGGTCTGTTGGCGTTTGCTAGAGGTCCACTCCAGACCCTGTTTGCCTGGGTATCAGCAGCGGTGGCTGCAGAACAGCGGATATTGGTGAACCACAAATGCTGCTGCCTGATCATTCCTTTGGAAATTTTGTCTCCGAGGAGTACCCGGCCGTGTAAGGTGTCAGTCCGCCCCTACTGGGGGGTGCCTCCCAGTTAGGCTACTCAGGGGTCAGGGACCCACTTGAGGAGGCAGTCTGCCCGTTCTCAGATCTCCAGCTGCATGCTGGGAGAACCACTACTCTCTTCAAAGCTGTCAGACAGGGACATTTATGTCTGCAGAGGTTACTGCTGTCTTTTTGTTTGTCTGTGCCCTGCCCCCAGAGGTGGAGCCTACAGAGGCAGGCAGGCCTCCTTGAGCTGTGGTGGGCTCCACCCAGTTCGAGCTTCCCTGCCGCTTTGTTTACCTAATCAAGTCTCGGCAATGGCGGGTGCCCCTCCCCCAGCCTCCCTGCGGCCTTGCAGTTTGATCTCAGACTGCTGTGCTAGCAATGAGCAAGACTCCGTGGGCATAGGACCCTCTGAGCCAGGTGTGGGACATAATCTCCTGGTGTACCGTTTTTTAAACCCATTGGGAAAGCACAGTATTTGGGTGGGAGTGACCCGATTTTCCAGGTGCTGTCTGTCACCCCTTTCTTTGACTAGGAAAGGGAATTCCCTGACCCTTTGCGCTTCCCGGGTGATGCGAAGCCTCGCCCTGCTTTGGCTCGTGCACGGTGCGCTGCACCCACTGTCCTGCACCCACTCACTGTCTGGCACACCCCAGTGAGATGAACCTGATACTTCAGTTGGAAATGCAGAAATCACCTATCTTCTGCATCACTCACGCTGGGAGCTGTAGACTGGAGCTTTTCCTATTCAGCCGTCTTGGCTCCTCCCTCTGTTTATTTATTTTGAGACAGAGTCTTCCTCTATTGCCCAGGCTGGAGTGCAGTGGTGTGATCTCGGGTCACTGCAACCTCTGTCTCCCAGGTTCAAGTGATTCCCCTGCCTCAGCCTCCTGAGTAGCTGGGACTACAGGCACGTGCCTCAACACCTGGCTAATTTTTTTTTTTTTTTGTATTTCTAGGAGAGACGGGGTTTCACCACGCTAGCCAGGATGGTCTCAATCTCCTGATCTCGTGATCCACCTGCCTTGGATTATAGGCGTGAGCCACTGCGCCCAGCCCCTCCTCCCACATTTATACATGTGATGTCTTTCAATATCATCTCAGAATGGATAAGATGTAGATCAAAAATTCTGTCAAAAACAGTGCAAAAAAATGCAAGCAGACGAAATACCAATTTTCAAGGTAAGCAAGCAAGACTAGAGTTAAAAGTAGACTATGTGGTTGGGTGCATTGGCTCAGGCCTGTAATCCCAGCACCTTGGGAGGCCAAGGTGGGTGAATCAAATGAGGCCAGGAGTGAAACCCTGTCTCTACTAAAAATACAAAACAAATTAGCGAGGCGTGGTGGAGCACACCTGTAATCCCAGCTACTCAGGAAGCTGAGGCATGAGAATCACTTGAACCCAGGAGGCAGAGGTTGCAGTGAGCCAAGATCGTGCCATTGCACTCCAGCCTGGGCAACAGAGTGAGACTCTGTTTCAAAAAAACAAACAAATAAAAGTAGATTATGTTATTACTGGACAGTTACTACTGAATGAATCCAAATATTTGCTTTCTTCAGCCTTACACTTGGACTGCCAGGCTGCTAGAGAAACATAACAGGACAATTTCGTGTCATCTTTAAGTCAAGACTTTAAACAGAATTTCTGGAAGGAAGCAACTTAAATGCATTTCCTCCACTTTCATTGCCAGCCTAACACAGCTGTCGTCTCCTGAGCCATTGAGTTCTTGGGCCTACAGTGGCTGGAGAGTGCTGGCTCTGTTGGAGTCCTCATGAAAAAGTAGAATTGGACTTTCTCCCAGTGGGCCAACTGGAACTCCTTCAATCCCACCAAACGGGTAACAGAAACGTCCATAGCAGTGGTGTTCATAATAGCAAAAATGCAAAACTATCTATACATCAATTAGTAGCAAAATGAATTAATCAGTTGTCATATTTTATACAGTGAAATATTGTATAGCAGTGACGAGGAAGGAACTGGAGCTCCATGTTTCCACATGGATAAATCTCCAAAATATAGAACTGAACAAAGAAAGAAAATAAGCAAGTAGCAGTAGCATGCTAGAATATTATATAACTAATAAAAAGTTAAAAACTGGGCCAGGCGCAGTGGCTCACACCTGTAATCCCAGCACTTTGGGAGGCCAAGGTGGGTGGATCAGCTGAGGTTGGGAGTTCAAGACCAGCCTGGCCAACATAGTGAAACCCAGTCTCTACTAAAAACACAAAAATTAGCTGGGTGTGGTGGCTCACGTCTGTAATCCCAGCTACTTGGGAGGCGGAGGCATGAGAATTGTGTGAACCCGGGATGCAGAGGGTTGCAGTGAGCTGAGATCATGCCACTGTACTCCAGCCTGGGCAACAGAGTGAGACTGTCTCAAATAAAATAAAATAAACCAAAAACAAAAGTTAAAAATTATAAAACAATACCATTTACATATATATATATATATACATGCATACATATGTATGTATGTAAATACATATATAATAGTAAAAAAGAAAAGGTAGTGGTTACTTTTAGTAAGGGAAAAGCATGGGTGGAAAGACATATATAGGAGCTTCAATTTTAATGGTACCATCTTAATTTGTAAGCTGAATGGTAGATGAAGAAATGATCATTAAGATGTAATGATATATTTGGGAGGCCAAAACAGGCAGATTGCTTGTGCTCAGAAGTTTGAGACCAGCCTGAGCAACATGGTGAAACCCATCTCTAAAAAAAGAAAATAGAAAAAAATTAGCTGGGCGTGGTGGTGCATGCATGTATTTGGGGGGCTCAGGTGGGAGAATGGCTTGAGCCCAGGAGGTCGAGGCTGCCATGAACCAGGGTTGCGCCACTGCACTCCAGCCTGGGTGACCAACTGAGACCCTGCCTCAAAAAAAAAAAGATATAATGATATATGAAATGTAAGATTTTTTTTTTGCGTGTCTCAAATAAGTCAAAGAAGCATGGGGGAGAATAAGAAAAAGGAGAGGAGGAAGAGGAAGAGGAGAAGAGGAAGAAGGAGAAGACCACCTTGGAAGGACAAAGAATAGGAACCAGCAGGCCTGTGAGTTCCAGTGGGTGTGTTGTTTTGGGCAAGAAGTTACCATCAGAGAGACTCAGTACAAGAAGAGGGAATGCTGAGAGGCATTCCTGAGGTCAGAGAGTGTGTTTGCTGGGAAAATCAGATGACATGGGATGGGAAGGTATCCTTTCAAAAGGGGCAGGTCCATCCATTCCTTCAATGTATATTTATGTGCTCTGCACTGTTCTAGGACACAGCAGTGAACAAATCAGCCCAAAATCTGCCCTCATGAGCTTAGGTGTCTGGCAGGCAAATTCTGTATCTAGCCTGTTTGTGTGAACTTCCTAGCTAGGCATTCAGGGAAGGACAGAGATTTATTTACTCTACAAATATATATTGAACACTTCATATATGTCAAATAATGCTGGATGCTGGGGAGATGGAATGAGTCCCTGTCTTCAAGGAACTTACAATGCAGTGGGAAAAGCCTTATATGCAGTTACCCATTTAAAGTTAAATGTGTTGGAGGCAAGCAGAGTACCTTGGGAACACAGCAGAAGCCGGGGGGTGGTAGGGAGTGTTGGAGCCTGCTTCTGCTTGGAAAATGAGTTGATTTCAGAGAACCACGATGTGAATTCAGAATCAGTGTCAGTTCATTAGCATAGATTAAAGATTCTGGCCAGGCGCGGTGGCTTCATGCCTGTAATCCCAGCAATTTGGGAGGCCAAGGCGGGTGGATCACAAGGTCAGGAGATCGAGACCATCCTGGCTAACATGGTGAAACCCCATCTCTACTAAAAAAATACAACAAAAATTAGCCAGGTGTGGTGGCGGGCACCTGTAGTCCCAGCTACTCAGGAGGCTGAGGCAGGAGGATGGCGTGAACCCGGGAGGTGGAGCTTGCAGTGAGCCGAGATCGTGCCACTGCGCTCCAGCCTGGGTGACAGAGCGAGATTCTATCTCAGAAAAACAAACAAACAAACAACAACAAAACAAAACAAAACAAAAAAAGATTCTGTGTTTGAGCTGGGCACGGTAGCTCATGCCTATAATCCCAGCAATTTGGGAGCCTGAGATGGGCAGATCACTTCAAGTTGAGAGTTTGAGACCATCCTGGCCAACATGGTGAAACCCTGTCTCTACCAAAAATACAAAAATTAGCCGGGTGTGGTAGTGGGTGCCTGTAATCCCAGCTACTCGGGAGGCTGAGGCAGGAGAATCACTTGAACATGGGAGGTGGAGATTGCAGTGAGCCGAGATTGCACCTCTGCACTACAGCCTGGGTGATAGAGCGAGACTGTTTAAAAAAAAAAATTCTACCTTTGGAGCATATACCTAAAGGTAGCCTTATGCTCTAGGGCACTAGGAAGTCTGTTATCCAAAACCATCTCTCTTCCCTTCCATGTGTCCTCCTACCACCAGTCTGTTGCTATTAGAAATTCATTCCATTGCCTCCATTTTATTATTTTAAATAACACACTATTCTGTTGAAAATTATTTTATAAATACAATTCTTATAATCGAATTTACAACTTTAATGTTTTGACAGGAGCTATGTCCCGAAATGTCTTATTGACAAAAACACCAAAATATCTGTGACATTCTGAGAGACACAATATAATACACAATCAGGACACAATGTGTTTTTTTTTTCTTCTTCATGTTTTCCAAGGCATGAAGAGTACAGTAGAGAAAAAAGGAGTTATGGATGAGGGAGTGGCTTCAGCCAGGAAGGGATCCATGAAAGAGGAGGGAAAGCGTGTCCAGCAGTTGGGGAGGTAAAAGAGAGTATAGTTTTTATGAACAAAGCTACAGACTAGGGAGAAAAAAAGATATAGACTAGGAGATCTTCCCCATCAACATTACTCTGGAAATCTGTGGAACAGTTTTTTCCTATGTGAGAATTATACTGAAACAATGAAGCAAATAAGAAAAAAAGACTATTTGTTCATTCAAATATTCTGTTATGCTTATTTTATGACACTGTGATAGATACTAGGAGTACAGTCTCTGAAGCACCCATTGAAGGCAGTAGATTGTGACTGCTTATAGTGTTCATTCTCCTACCCAAAGGGGTGAAATTACGGTCTGTGAAACCCTAAACCCAATTCATTGAGGGAGTAGTACTAGAAGTTTGGCTTCTAAAATCATGTTTCCGAGTCCTGTCTTAAGGAAGGACTTGAGCTTATGAAAGTTTTATATGAGGGAAACCACACATTAGAGCTGGAAAATCTTACAGCTTACTTTACTGCTTTTTTCTTTTTTTAACTTATGGAAACTGCATTCCCTAAGTCTGAGAGGAAAAGGAAATTTCTGCTTCACACCCTTTTCAATTCTCATATGGAGTAGTTTGCTTTTACATTGTAGGGTACCAGCTTCAGGAACTACTAGAGAAGCTTCTGTCAGCTTTTTTCAGAGAAACCTTGTGTGGATCCGTCAATGCAGTGTCCCTGGGAGAATTTCCAGGAACTCATGACTGCTGGAACCACCTACCCCAGGCAGGCTCCAGTCACCCTCTGTTTTGGAGAACTATATGACTAGATTGTGGCAAGTTTCTCTTTGCATCTAGGGATGTTAGGGGAAGGTGGTGATGGCGGCGCTACAGGAGAAACAATGATTATAGTGAATGAAATTAGTCTCATTAAAAAGTGGTGGAGGTTCTACTATGTGCTAGCACTGTGCCAGGCTCCAAAGCCTGGATAATAACACAGAGACCCTGTGCTCAAGGGAATCACAGACAAGTGGGTGAGACAGATTAATGTGTGATAAATGCAAAAAGCAGCCAAAGTATGGTACTATGGTAGCATGGGGTAGAGAGGAGGCAGGGAAGTCCTGTTGAGTGAGGCTGTGGCTGAGTCCTAAGGGATAGTCCTTAACAAGGGGAAGATTTGGGGGAGGAATTTCCAGACTGAAGACACCCTATACCATGAAGTAAGTTTGGGGCCTGTAAGTAGCTCATAATAATGAGAAGGGAAGAGGACAAGAGATGAGGCTGAAGAGAGAGACAGACCAGATAACATGAGGCCCCTTGTTTGCCATGCTAAGAAATCTGGACACCCTCAACAGTCCTTAGGGATACTGAGGGAGCCTGAGGAAGGCAGTGAGCACTTTCAAATAGTTTTTGTTTTCGTTTTTATTTTTTCTCCTGTAAAATTAAAAAATTCTCATTGAAGAAAATTTGGAGGTGACAGAAAGGCATAAAGAGAAAATATGTCACCTTTAATTTCTCCACACAGAAATAACCACTGCCAATTTTGGTATATTTGGTATATATCTTTTTATATGTTTGTGGTCACTTTGTTTATACAACTTTACATTTGCTTTTTCATTAACGTTCTTTCCTGGGCATTTCCATACTTTGTATTCTTTTTTTTTTAAATAAACTTTTAATTTTGAAATAATTTTAGACTAACAGAAGAGTTAGAAAGACAATGCAGACAGTTCCTGTAGGTCCTTCCCCCAGCTTCCCAGGATGTTAACCAAGTACTTTCTTTCTTGTTTTTTTTTGAGATGGAGTCTCACTCTGTCACCCAGGCTGGAGTGCAACGGCATGGTCTTGGCTCACTGCAACCTCCGCCTCCCAGGTTCAAGCGATTCTCCGGCCTCAGCCTCCTGAGTAGCTGGGATTACAGGCGTGTGCTACCACGCCTGGCTAATCTTTGTAGTTTTAGTAGAAACGGGGTTTCACCATATTGGTCGGCTGGTCTCGAACTCCTGACCTCATGATCTGCCTGCCTCGGCCTCCCAAAGTGCTGGGATTACAGGCGTGAGCCACCATACCCAGCATGTACTATCTTTTTTTTTAAAAAAAATTTTCATTGAGGTAAAATATCCATATATAATTTACCACCTTTACCATTTTTAGGTGTATATTTCAGTGTTATTAAATACATTTATATTCTTTTTTCCCTTTATCTCTCTCTTCCCCCATCCCTCCTGGCCTCTGCTAACCACAGTCTACTCTCTATCTTGATGAGATCCACTTTTTTAGCTCCTGCATATGAGTGAGAACATGAAATATTTGTCTTTTGTCTTTCTGTGCTTGTGTTATTTCACTTAACATCATGGCCTCCAGTTCCAAATACAAATGTTGCAGTTGCTGCAAATGACAAGATTTCATTCCTTTCTGTGACTGAATAGCATTCAATATGTACCAGTTTTCTTTTATCTATTCATCCATTGATGAGTACTTTGGTTGATTCCATTCCCCGGCTATTGTGAATAGTGATGCAATAAACATAGGAGTGCAGATATCTCTTCCATATATTCATTTCCTTTCTTTTGTATATATACCCAGCAGTGGAATTGCTGGATCACGTTCTGTTTTCAGGTTTTAGTTTTTTGAGGAAACTCCATACTGTTCTCCATAGTGGGTACTAGTTTACATTCCCACCAACAGTGTATGAGGGTTCCCGTTTCTCCACATCCTCAGCCGCATCTAACAACAAACTTTCTATCTTTCCCATCACAGTATCAAAATATATTTACCTCTATCATATTTTCACTGATACTCTAAAATGACCACTAACTAAACTGAAAAACTGACCCCATAGTACTATGAGTTCATAGACATGCCCAACCTGAAACCCAACTGTACTTGAATAAGAGCCTCCTGGAGTCACAGTGCATTACCCTGGAGGAGTGGGAATTCTGGACAAAAGTAGCATGCTACACAGAGAGGTGCTCCTGGGCAGATGGGACTTTCAGGACCCCACAGCTTAGCCTGCATGTGGGAGCAGCTGGTGTGTACTAATTCCAGATGAATTCTCACTCACTAAGATATTGATAAGTGATCTGCAGGCATTTCTCCTTATGTTTATTAAAAAAAGCCATACAACTGAGTTTTTTGTGATCTTGACCAGTTTTAACCCTAAGTCTGATCCAGCATTTACTGACATTGCTTAAAGCCAGTACTAAATGATTTATGCTCAATTCTAAAGTCCTGGGTTGAATCACTTGGTCCTTCCAGATTGACCAAGGAAAATACCATGTGCTGGCAAAGGTCACCGTTAATGAGGGAAACAAATTATCCCTGAGGCTCAGTCCTAGCCCCTCTGTGTGTTCCTTTTCAACATCCAATGTGACCTCGTCTTTCTCTAAGTACTCTTAGCACTTATCTGTCCTCTTTTGGGGCCATTTTCATCCTCTGTCATTTGCATAGTTGTGTCTGTGTATATTTCTTATTATTTTGTATATTTCTTGAGAATATCTTCTCCCTTCTTATGTATTTCACAGTACTGATCATAGCACCTTACTATCCGATGCTAAACAAATATTTGTTCCTTTGAATTTATTAATTCTCTATGCTTTTTCTTTTAGAGGTGTCATGGAGTCTCACAGCTTCAGCTAAGATCTTTTAGTACGTAAATTCTGTTGGGTATCTCCAACTGCTTCCTAAATGGTTCTACCCAGTAACCTACTTTCATTGCTAATTCCAAAAAGCTAATACTGAAACAGTCCCTCCCTTAGTCTCTCCCTGTTATGAGCTGAATTGTGTCTCCCTGCTCCCTCCACCAAATTCATATGTTGAATTCCTAACTCCCAGTACCTCAGAATGTGACCGTATTTGAAGATAGGGTCTTTAAAGATGTAATTAAGGTAAACGTAAAATGAGGTCTTATGGCTGATTGTCTTTATGCAAAGAGGATATTAGGACTCAGACACACACAGTTGGAAGACCATGTGAAGACACAAGAGAGAAGACAGCCATCTGTAAGCTAACGAGAGAGGGTGCAAAAGAAACCAAACCTACAAACACTTTGACTTTGAACTTCTGGCCTCCAGAACCATAAGAAAATAAATTTCTGTGGTTTAAACTACCTAGTCTGTGGTATTTTGTTATGGCAGTCCTACTAAACGAATGTACTTCCTTTACCTGAATTATAAGCTGACTTTCCCAATACACCTCCACATTTCTGTCATGTACCAGCATTCTCTCAGGCATAACTATCTGGGAGTCTTTTTTTCTAGTACTCTCACTCTTCTCATCATTAATTGTTTTGCTTTTTTTAAAAAAATTACCCCTTATTGGCACAGCTATTACTCTAGTCCTCCTCAGTTTTGATTCTTATTTCATAGCCTCAACACATTTTCCTCAAATACAGTTTTATATAGATCTCAGTATCTGATTTCTCTGTTATAATATACTCCCACATGCTTTCTGAGTGCCACTCATATGAAATGATCAACAATTCAACCATATCTTTGCCCATATTATTGCCTTTGTTGGGAGTGGCCTTTCTTCTCTTCCCCAGGGCTTAGTGGTTTGTGGATCTGGACATGTAACTACATGCCTTCTTGTTGACCTCTTATATCCCCTGTACTTCTGAACTTGGCATATGTTCTTGACTTCCCTAGTCTCAACCTCCAAATCTACCTCTCTGCTCTGTTCCTACTCCAGTTACAGTTTAAAATATTAGATTAACATTGAATACTCCCTGATTTCAAAGAGGCACTTCTCCATATAGTTATACCACATATATAGGTGGCAGATACTGAAGATTAATATAGCGTTAAGTTAGAGTTTTTGGTTTCGTGTCAGATTTTTTATTAACTCGGTGGCTTTGGGAAAGTGCTAACACTTTTTTTCAGCCTCAACTCTAAAGTAAAGATAAAAATATGTGATTTCACTTGAGCATTATGAAGAAAAATAGATTAAGTATGTGAAAGATTTGTAAGGCATCTACAAAACAATATTTGGTATTATTTGTTGAGTTTGGCCTTCTTGATGCTTCCCATATTGTCTTTTATTGCCATGAATCCTGTCTTCCCAAGTGCCTGACAAACTCGTTTGGGGCCTAAATTATAGGTAATATATTCTTTCTGACTCTTAAAGTACCTAGTCATCATTTAATACTGATTTTTTTTTAAAAGCTAACTCCTAAAATCACAGTAGTTGAAAAGCCTTTTAAGTAGGGTGATTATTTAATTAACTTTGCATGACATGGTTCTAGCTCACCCTTGTAATCTCGGCATCATTATTATAGTATATTTCTTACTCTCAAAAGTGTGCTTATTTGGACAACAGATTATATGGTCACTCTCCCCATAAGTATCCTGGCTTAAACAGAACCACAGAAGTTTGTTTCATGAAGATAAAAAGAACATAGAGCAAACTTTTTTCTGTGGGAAAGAAGAACATGAAAGAGAGAGAGTTGAGTCTCTACTTGGGAGAATATTTCATCTAGCAGAGATTGTAAAGTCTGTGGGTAAAATTTATTGTACTTAAATGTTTGCATGTCAGATAAGACAAACCAGCTGCACTTCACTACAATTGCCAAGTTTGGTCTTTGCATTTAACTTTTGGCAGATGTGCTTGTACGCTATTCAGGTCAAAAAGCTATTAATCAAACTGTTAAAATGTGTTGTTAAAAGTTGAAGATGTAGTCTATGTTCTGATCTTAAACAGTTTTTATTTGTTTTTATTACTCAAGTAATACATAGTTACTCAATACATACTCAACATACATACTTTTATTGTCTAGTTAAAATTATATCAAAATATATAGACTGAAAAATGTCTCTCTCCATCATCACTCACCCCTCATTTACCTAATCTCACTTTTCCATATGTAAACCAATTTTAACCAGAAACAACGCAAAATAAATATTGAGTATGAATGAATTGTAAATATCAAGACGTTCCATAAAAGTAACAAATTACTAACTTTTAATAAATAGTCCAACTTTTCTGGAAGAAAATTTGTCAAAATACATCAGTGTTAAACATGCAGTTTTAGACTCAGCAATTTCAATTCAAAGAAATAATTGGACAAGCATACAAGGATATACATGTAAAGATATTCATTGCAACCCAGGAGCTGAATTTTGCAAAGATTAACAAAAAATATAGACCACTAGCCAGACTAATAAAGAAGAGAGAAGAATCAAATAGATACAATAAAAAATGATAAAGGGGATATCACCACTGACCCCACAGAAATACAAACTACCATCAGAGAATACTATAAACACCTCTATGCAAATAAACTAGAAAATCTAGAAGAAATCGATAATTTCCTGGACACATACACCCTCCCAAGACTAAATCAGGAAGAAGTCGAATCCCTGAATAGACCAATAACAAATTCTGAAATTGAGGCAGCAACTAATAGCCTACCAATGAAGAAAAAAGTCCAGGACTGGACGGATTCACAGCTGAATTCTACCAGAGATATAAAGACAGCTGGTACCATTCCTTCTGAAACTATTCCAAACAACAAAAAAAGAGGGACTCCTCCCTAACTCATTTTATGAGGCCAGCATCATCCTGGTTCCAAAACCTGGCAGACACAACAAAAAAAGAGAATTTCAGGCCAGTATTCCAGATGAACACTGATGCGAAAATCCTCAATAAAATACTGGCAAACCAAACCCAGCAGCACATCAAAAAGCTTATCCACCACTATCAAGTTGGCTTCATCCCTGTGATGCAAGGCTGGTTCAACATATGCAAATCAATAAACGTAATCCATCACAGAAACAGAACGAATGACAAAAACCACATCATTATCTCGATAGATGCAGAAGAGGCCTTCGATAAAATTCAACAACGCTTTTTCCTAAAAACTCGCAATAAACTAGGTATTGATGGAGCATATCTCAAAATAATAAGAGCTATATATGACAAAACCATAGACAATATCAGACTGTAAGGGCAAAAGCTTTGAAAACTGTCACAAGAACAGGATGCCCTCTCTCACCACTCATATTCAACATAGTATTGGAATTTCTGGCCAGAGCAATCAGGCAAGAGAAAGAAATAAAGGTATTCAAATAGGAAGAGGAAGTCAAATTGTCTCTGTTTGCAGATGACATGATTGTATATTTAGAAAACCCCATCGTCTCAGCCCAAAAACTCCTTAAGCTGATAAAGAGCTTTGGCAAAGTCTTGGGATACAAAATCAATGTGCAAAAATCACAAGCATTCCTATACACAAATAATAGACAAACAAAGAGCCAAATCATGAGTGAACTCCCATTCACAATTGCTATAAAGAAAATAAAATACCTAGGAATACAAGTTACCAGGGACATGAAGGACGTCTTCAAGGAAAACTAGAAACCACTGCTCAAGGAAATAAGACAGGACACGAACAAAAGGAAAAACATTCCATGCTCATGGATAGGAAGAATCAATATTGTGAAAATGGCCATACTTCCCAAAGTAATTTATAGATTCAATGCTATCCCCATCAAGCTACCAATGACTTTCTTCGCAGAACTAGAAAAAACTACTTTACATTTCATATAAAACCAAAAAAGAGCCCGTATAGCCAAGACAATGCTAAGCAAAAAGAACAAAGCTGGAGGCATCATGCTACCTGACTTCAAACTATACTACAAGGCTACAGTAACCAAAACAGCATAGTACTGGTACCAAAACAGATATATAGACAAATGGAACAGAACAGAGGCCCCAGAAGTAACACCACACATCTACAACCGTCTCATCTTCAACAATCCTGACAAAAATAAACAATGGGGAAAAGATTCCCTATTTAATAAATGGTGCTGGGAAAATTGGCTAGCCATATACGGAAAACAGAAACTGGATCCATGCCTTACACCTTATACAAAAATTAACTCAAGGTGGATTAAAGACTTAAACATAAAACCTAAAAGTATAAAAACCCTAGAAGAAAACCTAGGCAATACCATTCAGGACATAGGCATGGGTAAAGACTTCATGACTAAAACACCCAAAGCAATGGCAACAAAAGCCGAAATTGAAAAATGGGATCTAAATAAACTAATAAGCTTCTGCTCAGCAAAAGAAACTATCATCAGAGTGAACAGGCAACCTACAGAATGGGAGAAAAGTTTTGCAATCTATGCATTTGACAAAGATCTAATATCCAGAGTCTACAAGGTACTTAAACAAATTTACAAGAGAAAAACAACCCCATCAAAAAGTGGGCAAAGGATGATGTGAACAGACACTTCTCAAAAGAAGACATTTATGTGGCCAACAAACATATGGAAAAAAGCTCATCATCACTGGCCATTAGAGAAATGCAAATGAAAACCACAATGAGATGCCATCTCCTGCCTGTTAGAATGGTAATCGTTAAAATGTCTGGAAACAACAGATGCTGGTGAGGATGTGGAGAAATAGGAATGCTTTTACGGTGTTGGTAGGAGTGTAAATTAGTTCAGCCATTGTGGAAGACAGTGTGGCGATTCCTGAAGGATCTAGAACTAGAAATACCATTTGACCCAGCAATCCCATTACTGGGTACATACCCAAAGGATTGTAAATCATTCTACCATAAAGACACATGCACACGTATGTTTATTGTAGCACTATTTACAATAAGCAAAGACTTGTAACCAACCCAAATGCCCATCAATGACAGAGTGGATAAAGAAAATGTGGCACATATACACTATGGAATACTATGCAGCCCTAGAAAAGAATGAGTTCATGTCCTTTGCAGGGACATGGATGAAGCTGGAAACAATCACCCTCAAAAAACTAACACAGGAACAGAAAACCAAACACTGCATGTTCTCAATCATAAGTGGGAGTTGAACCATGAGAACACATGGACACAGGGAGGGGACCATCACACACTGGAGCCTGTCAGGGGGTGGGGGCAAGAGGAGGGAGAGCATTAAGACAAATACCTGATGCATGTGGAGCTTAAAACTTATGTGACGGGTTGATAGGTGCAGGAAAACACCATGGCACCTGTATACCTGTGTAACAAAGCTGCATGTTCAGCACATGTATCCCAGAACTTAAAGTAAAATGAAAAAAAAAAAAAGATATTCCAAGATTCTTCCAAGATGGCTAAATAGGAACAGATCTGGTCTGCAGCTCCCAGCAAGATTGACACAGAAGACGGGTGATTTCTGCATTTCCAACTGAAGTACGTGGTTCATCTCATTGGGACTGGTTGGATGGTGGGTGCAGCCCACGGAGGGTGAGCTGAAGCAGGGCAGGGTGTCGCCTCACCCAGGAAGCACAAGAGGCCAGGGATTTCCCGTTCCTAGTCAAGGGAAGCTGTGACAGTCTATACCTGGAGAATTGGTACACTCCTGCTCAAATACTGTGCTTTTCCCATGGTCTTCACAACTGGCAGACCAGGAAATTCCCTTCCATGCCTGGCTCGCCAGGTCCCACTCCCACGGAGCCTTGTTCACTGTTAGCGCAGCAGTCTGTGATCAACCTGCGACACTGCAGCTTGGCGTGGGGAGGGGGTGTCTGCCATTGCTGAGGCTTGAATAGGCGGTTTGGTGCTCACAGCGTAAACAAAGAGCCTGGGAAGCTTGAACTGGGTGGAGCCCACTGCAGCTCAGCAAGGCCTACTGCCTCTCTAGATTCCACCTCTGTGGGCAGGGCATATCAGAACAAAAGGCAGCAGACAGCTTCCGAAGACCTAAACATTCCGGTCTGACAGCTCTGAAGAGAGCAGTAGTTCTCCCGGCACAGCGTTCAAGCTTTGAGAATGGACAGACTGCCTCCTCAAGTGGGTCCCTGACCCCCGTGTAGCCTGACTGGGAGATACCTCCCAATAGGGGCAACAGACACCTCATAGAGACAGGGGGCCCCTCTGGGACAAAGCTTCCAGAGGAAGGATCAGGCAGCAATATTTACTGTTCTGCAGCCTCTGCTAGTGACACCCAGGCAAATAAGGTCTGGAGTGGACCTCCAGAAAACTCCAACAGACCTGCAGCTGAGGGGCCTGACTGTTAGAATGAAAACTAACAAACAGAAAGAAATAGCATCAACATCAACAAAAAGCACATCCACACCAAAACCCCATCTGTAGGTTACCAACGTCAAAGACCAAAGGTAGATAAAACAACAAAGATGGGGAGAAACCAGAGCAGAAAAGCTGAAAATTCCAAAAAACAGCACACCTCTTCTCCTCCAAAGGATCACAGCTCCTCGCCAGCAAGGGAACAAAACTGGATGGAGAACGAGTTTGATGAGTTGACAGAAGTAGGCTTCAGAAGGTCGGTAATAACAAACTTCTCTGAGCTAAAGGAGCATGTTCTAACCCATCTCAAGGAAGCTAAAAACCTCGAAAAAAGGTTAGATGAGTGGCTAACTAGAATAAACAGTTTAGAGAAGGCCTTAAATGACTTGATGGAGCTGAAAACCACAGCACGAGAACTTTGTGACGCATGCACAAGCTTCAATAGCTGATTTGACCAAGTGGAAGAAAGGATATCAGTGATCGAAGATCAAATTAATGAAATAAAGCAAGAAGAGAAGATTAGAGAAAAAAGAGTGAAGAGAAAAGAACAAAGCCTCCAAGAAATATGGGGCTATGTGAAAAGAACAAATCTACATCTGATTGGTGTTCCTGAAAGTGACGGGGAGAATGGATCCAAGTAAGAAAACATTCTTCAGGATATCATGCAGGAGAACTTCCCCAACCTAGCAAGGCAGGCCAACATTCAAATTCAGGAAATACAGGGAACACCACAAAGATACTCCTCGAGAAGAGCAACCCCAAGACACATAATTGTCAGATTCACCAAGGTTGAAATGAAGGAAAAAATGTTAAGGGCAGCCAGAGAGAAAGGTCGGGTTACCCACAAAGGGAAGCCCATCAGACAAACAGCTGATCTCTCGGCAGAAACCCCACAAGCCAGAAGAGAGTAGGGGCCAACATTCAACATTCTTAAATAAAATAATTTTCAACCCAGAATTTCATATCCAGCCAAACTAAGCTTCATAAGTGAAGGAGAAATAAAATCCTTTACAGACCAGCAAATGCTGAGAGATTTTGTCACCACCAGGCCTGCCTTATAAGAGCTCCTGAAGGAAGCACTGAACATGGAAAGGAACAAATGGTACCACCCACTACAAAAACATGCCAAATTGTAAAGACCATCAATGCTATGAAGAAACTGCATCAATTAACGGGCAAAATAACCTGCTAACATCTTAATGACAGGACCAAATTCACACATAACAATATTAACCTTAAATGTAAATGGGCTAAATGTCCCAGTTAAAAGACACAGACTGGCAAACTAAATTGTCAAGACCCATCGGTGTGCTGTATTCAGGAGACCCGTCTCACATGCAAACACACACATAGGCTCCAAATAAAGGGATGGAGGAAGATCTACCAAGCAAATAGAAAGAAAAAAAAAAAAAAAGCAGGGGTTGCAATCTTAGTCTCTGATAAAACAGACTTCTATTAAATCCACTGCAGTCTCTGATAAAACAGACTTAGTCTCTGATAAAACCAACAAAGATCAAAAGAGACAAAGAAGGCCATTACATAATGGTAAAGGGATCAATTCAACAAGAAGAGCTAACTATCCTAAATATATATGCACCCAATACAGGGACACCCAGATTCATCAAGCAAGTCCTTAGAGACCTACAAAGAGACTTAGACTCGCACACAATAATCATGGTAGACTTTAACACCCCACTGTCAATATTAGACAGATCAATGAGACAGAAGGTTAGCAAGGATATCCAGGACTTGAACTCACCTCTGGACCAAGTGGACCTAATAGACATCTGTAGAACTCTCCAACCCAAATCAACAGAATATACATTCTTCTCAGCACCACGTCGCACTTATTCTAAAATTGACCACGTAATTGGAAGTAAAGCACTCCTCAGCAAATGTAAAAGAACAGAAATCACAACAGTCTCTCAGACCACAGTGCAATCAAATTACAACTCAGGATTAAGAAACTCATCCAAAACCACACAACTACATGGAAACTGAACAACCAGCTCCTGAATGACTGCTGGGTAAATAACAAAACGAAGGCAGAAATAAAGATGTTCTTTGAAACCAATGCGAACAAAGACACAACATACCAGAATCTCTGGGACACATTTAAAGCAGTGTGTAGAGGAAATTTATAACACTAAATGCCCACAAGAGAAAGCAGGAAAGATCTAAAATGGACACCCTAACATCATAATTAAAAGAACTAGAGAAGCAAGAGCAGACAAATTTAAAAGGTAGCAGAAGGCAAGAAATAACTAAGATCAGAGCAGAACTGAAGGAGATAGAGACACAAAAAAACCCTTCAAAAAATCAATGAATCCAGGAGCTGGTTTTTGAAAAGATCAACAAATAGATAGACCACTACCAAGACTAATAAAGGAGATAAGAGAGAAGAATCAAGTAGACACAATAAAAAATGATAAAGGGGTTATCACCACCAATCCCACAGAAATATAAACTACCATCAGAGAATACTATAAACACCTCCATGTAAATAAACTAGAAAATCTAGAAGAAATGGATGAATTCCTGGACCCATACACCCTCCCAAGACTAAACCAGGAAGAAGTTGAATCTTTGAATAGACCAACAGCTTCTGAAATTGAAGCAATAATTAATAGCCTACCAACCAAAAAAAGTCTAAGACCAGATGGATTCACAGCCGAATTCTACCAGAGGTACAAAGAGGAGCTGCTACCATTCCTTCTGAAACTATTCCAAACAATAGAAAAAGAGGGAATCCTCCCTAACTCATTTCATGAGGCCAGCATCATCCTGATACCAAAGCCTCACAGAGACACACAAAAAAAGAGAATTTCAGGCCAATATCCCTGATGAACATCGATGCGAAAATCCTCAATAAAATAGTGGCAAACCGAATCCAGCAGCACATCAAAAAGCTTATTCACCACGATCAAGTTGGCTTCATCCCTGGGATGCAAGGCTGGTTCAACATATGCAAATCAATAAACATAATCCATCACATAAACAGAACCAACGACAAAAACCACACGATTATCTCAATAGATGCAGAAAAGGCCTTCGATAAAATTCAACAGCCCTTCATCCTAAAAACTCGCAATAAACTAGGTATTGATGGGACGTATCTCAAAATAATAAGAGCTATTTATGACAAAACCATAGCCAATATCATACTGAATAGGCAAAAACTGGAAGCATTCCCTTTGAAAACCAGCACAAGACAAGGATGCCCTCTCTTACCACTTGTATTCTGCATAGGGTTGGAAGTTCTGGCCAGGGCAATAGGCAAGAGAAAGAAATAAAGGGTATTCAAATAGGAAAAGAGGAAGTCAAATTGTCCCTGTTTGCAGATGACATGATTGTATATTTAGAAAACCCCATCGTCTCGGCCCCAAATCTCCTTAAGCTGATAAGCAACTTTAGCAAAGTCTCAGGATACAAAATCAATGTGCAAAAATCACAAGCATTCCTATACACCAATAACAGACAAACGGACAGCTAAATCATGAGTGAACTCCCATTCACAACTACTACAAAGAGAATAAAATATCTTGGAATACAACTTACAAGGGATGTGAAGGACCTCTTCAAGGACAACTACAAACCACTGCTCAATGAAATAAAAGAGGACACAAACAAATGGAAGAACATTCCATGCTCATGGATAGGAAGAATCAATATCATGAAAATGGCCATACTGCCCAAGGTAATTTATAGATTCAATGCCATCCCCATCAAGCTACCAATGACTTTCTTCACAGAATTGGAAAATATTACTTTAAAGTTCATTTGGAATCAAAAAAGAGCCCACATAGCCAAGACAATCCCAAGCCAAAAGAACAAAGTTGGAGGCATCATGCTACCTGACTTCGAACTAAACTAGAAGGCTACAGTAACCAAAACAGCATGGTACTGGTACAAAAACAGATATATAGAACAGAATAGAGGCCTCCGAAATAACACCACACATCTACAGCCATCTGATCTTTAACAAACCTGACAAAAACAAGCAATGGGGAAAGGGTTCCCTATTTAATAAATGGTGCTGGGAAAACTGGCTAGTTATATGTAGAAAGCTGAAACTGGATCCCTTCCTTACACCTTATAGAAAAATTAACTCACAGTGGATTAAAGACTTAAATGTTAGACCTAAAACCGTAAAAACCCTAGAAGAAAACCTAGGCAATACCATTCAGGACATAGGCATGGGTAAAGACTTCATGATGAAAACACCAAAAGCAATGGCAACAAAAGCCAAAATTGACAAATGGGATCTAATTAAACTAAAGAGCTTCTGCACAGCAAAAGAAACTATCATCAGAGTGAACAGGCAACCTACAGAATGGGAGAAAATTTTTGCAATCTACCCATCCGACAAAGGGCTAATATCCAGAATCTACAAAGAACTTAAACAAATTTACAAGAAAAAAACAACCCCATCAAAACGTGGGCAAAGGATATGAACAGACACTTCTCAAAAGAAGATATTTATGCAGGCAACAGACATATGAAGAAATACTCATCGTCACTGCTCATTAGAGAAATGCAAATCAAAACCACAGTGAGATACCATCTCACGCCTGTTAGAATGGCAATCATGAAAAAGTCAGGAAACAATAGATGCTGTAGAGGATGTGGAGAAATAGGAATGCTTTTACACTGTTGGTGGGAGTGTAAATTAGTTCAACCATTGTGGAAGACAGTGTGGCAATTCCTCAAGGATCTAGAACTAGAAATACGATTTGACCCAGCCATCCCATTACTGGGTATATACCCAAAGGATTATAAATCATTCTAATATAAAGACACATTCACATGTATATTTATTGTGGCACTATTCACAATAGCAAAGACTTGGAACTAACCCACATGTCCATCAATGATAGACTGGATTAAGAAAATGTGGCACATATACACCATGGAATACTATGCAGCCATAAAAAGGGATGAGTTCATGTCCTTTGCAGCGACATGGGTGAAGCTGGAAACCATCATTCTCAGCAAACTATCAAAAGGACAGAAAACCTAACACTGCATGTTCCCAGTCATAGGTGGGAATTGGACAATGAGAACAAATGGACACAGGGTGGGGAATGTCACACACTGGGGCCTGTTGGGGGGTGGGGGTCTGGGGGAGGGATATGTAAATGACAAGCTGATGGGTGCAGCAAACCAACATGGCACATGTATACCTATTTAACAAACCTGCATGTTGTGCACATGCACCCTACAACTTAAAAGTATAATTTAAAAAAAAGAAAAAAGGTATTCCTTGCAATGTAGTTTGTGATAATGAAAATCTAGACATAGTTTAATGTCTTATAATTAGAAATTAGTTAAATATATTATGGTATAGTCATGCAATGGAATACTATGGAACTATAAAAAATGATGATGTAGTGCTGTATTTATTGATATTGCAGGAGGTCCACAATATGTCATGAAATGAACAAAAGTAGATTCCAAACACTTTATATAGGCCAGGCGTGGTGGCTCATGCCTGTATTCTCAGCACTTTGGGAGGCGTAGGTGGGTGGATCACATGAGGCCAGGAGTTTGAGACCAGCCTGGCCAACATGGTGAAACCCCATCTCTACTAAAAATACAAAAAATTAGCCGGGTGTGATGGTACACACCTGTAATCCCAGCTACTCAGAAGGTTAAGGCAGGAGAATCGCTTGAACCCAGGAGGTGGAGGTTGCAGTGAGCCGAGATCGTGCTACTGCACTCCAGCCTGGGCAACAGAGCGAGACTCCGTCTGCAAAAAAATAAGAAAACCCAAAACCAAACCAAAACAGAACAAAAGCAGTATATATAGTATGATTACAAGTGCATGTATATATTTATACATAAATTTATGTATAAGTATGTGTATATATGTATTTAAATAAGTATATGTATAAATATATACATATATAACATATGTGTATGTATATTTATTTAAGCACATATATAAATGTATACATACACATATAAATATACTTTAAGCATTTATGTATATTGATTGAAAAAAGTACATGGAGAAAAATACAAAAGTGTTCATGGTAGTTATTTTTAAGTGATATAATATTGCCATTTTTTACTCATTTTATGACTTTTTTTTTTTTTGAGACACAGTCTCACTCTGTCACCCAGTCTGGAGTGCAGTGGCACGATCTCAGCTCATTGCAACCTCCACCTCCCGGATTTCAAGCAGTTCTCCTGCCTCAGCCTCCCCAGTAGCTGGGACTACAGGCGTGCTGCCATGCCTAACTAATTTTTGTATTTTTAGCAGAGAAGGGGTTTCATCATGTTGGCCAGGCTTGTCTCCAACTTCTGACTTCAGCATCCCAAAATGCTGGAATTACAGGCGTTAGCCACCACGCCCAGCTGTACTTTGTAACATTTTTGATACCAACTTTATTTTTCATAATAAGGATATGTTACTTCTAGAATCAGAAGAAGAAACCTCTTTGTTTTAAAAAACTTCACCCAAAAAGTCATCCATTCAAGAGTTGTTTTTCTCCACCCCAGCTGACGTGACAAAATGCTGCCAACAATTTTGATGCCAATAATGACTTCTACATATTAAATACTTCTACATACTGACAAAAAATTATCTCTTAACAGCATGAATTGAATTTTATAAAAAAAAAAATTTGATTGGGAATATCTGCTCCAGTACTTAGAGGTTTAACTAGTAGCAAACCACTGGTTTATTTTGGAGTGAATCAATCTACATTGATTCTATGGAAAGAGTCCTAAATCTCTCTCCTGTCAAAGGAAATATTTGGCATGAAAAAAGGCAGCTTGTATATTTGCTTGACAGCATGTTGTGGTTTAATGAATTAGAACCATAATTTTTAGCTTTGTTCTTAAAAACAGACTGATTTTAGAGAAATAGAAATAAAATGTATGGAGGTGATAGAAAATACAAATTTCCCAGGTACTAAAGGAGGGCCTGTTTTACTCCTTGTTTTAAATCCCTCCTGAGTGCCAAATCTTAACTACCAATTGCCTGATGCTTATCTCCACATGAACAGCTACACAGGCACCTTAACTCATTTACAAAATTGAATGTGTCATCTTCTTCCTACAAATCTTCCATTTCTTCCTCAGTTCTACAACATATATCTAAGAGCAAAAACCATCCTTCCCAACACCCGGATTAAAATAACCTCTAAGTCTGGATGAAAAGAATGGAGGGATGGGAATAGGATAGAAGGGATGAGGGGGGAATGGCATTTTTGTGACTTTTATAACCATAGTCACAACCATTTTGTGACATTTATAACCATATCAATGTTTCATACATTCAATAAATAAAACCAACAGGATGGGTGGGGAGAGGGGACCTGAAATGGAATACTAACTATAACAAATGAACCTAACCATATTACGAATGAATAACAACCGCACTGAAGGGTGTGGAGAAGAAAAAGAACAAATCTCAATAACTCTGGAAAATAATATTTTCACTACATGCTGTATGGCTAAAAGACAAAAAGCTGTGCACAAATAGAAATGCACATGACTAAAACTGTATACAAAGAATTATATACAAATATTGTACTTTAGCTAGTAAGTTTATTTTTCACAGGGGTATGAAATGGCAATTCTGCATCTACTTTATATATATATATTATAGGATTGAGCAAACTAATTTAGATTTTAAAAGACAAAGAAGGTCTGTAAATAATTCCCGAGAGCCAGGGATCTCACTGTTGGAGAAAAAAAGTCAAAAATGAATAAATAAAAGGAAAGGGAGAAGGGTAGAATGAATCTTGTGATATATAAGCTATTAATTTGAACTACAAATTAAACTGTAAATTGTATGTATATATAGAGAGGGTGGTAGGGTGGTGTGATGATGGTGGTGGTAGCGGGGTTTGGTGGTGGTGGTAGTGGGTGGTGGTGGTGGTAGGGTGGTGGTAGGGGAGCAGTAGTGGTGGTGGTGTGTGCGTGTCTGTGCATACTTAGGATATGTTTCCTAAATCTGTATGCAGAGAGGGCCTGGAATCAACACTACTGTACCAACGAGCATGCCTAGCAACCAGGTCTAATTTCTAAATATCATTCTCTCATTAAAAAGAACCAGGGCTCTTTGGAAAGTGCTTGATACCAGGGCAGGGGAAAGAAATGTAAAAGATGGGTCTGTAACATTGTGTGGTGTTGAGAAGTAAGAAGGTGCTCAAAAACAGATGGGGACATGTTGACAGGATACAGGAGCCACCTGAGGGAACTCCCAGTAGTAAAATTGGGCATAATTTAAACAAAATAATACATAAGGAGAGTAATGGACCATACTCTATAGAATAAAATAAGTTTCCATGAGTTCACTGATACAAACAATTGAATAAATAATAAATAAATAAGTGGTGGAAGAGGGGAACATGCTCTCTTTTTTTTAACAGTAGAATTCTAATTCACAAATAGAGAAGAAGTGACGGAAATAGAAAAATATCGAGTGCAGTGGCTCACGCCTGTAATCCCAGCACTTTGGGAGGTTGAGGCGGGTGGATCACTTGAGGTCAGGAGTTTGAGACCAGCCTGGCTAACATGGCGAAACCCTGCCTCCACTAAAAATACAAAAATTAGCCGGGCATGGTGGCGGGTGCCTGTAATCCCAGCTACTCGGGAGGCTGAGGCAGGAGAATCGCTTGAACCTGGGAGGTGAAGGTTGCAGTGAGCCGAGATCAAGATTGTGTTACTGCACTTCAGCCTGGGTGACAGAGCAAGACTCTGTCTAAAAAAAAGGAAATAGAAAAATATCATTTGGCAAACATCACATTAATAATTGTTTCAATCAAGAATCACTAATGGCTACTAACATCATGCTAACACATGATGAGAAACAGGATATTTACATAGCCTTGAATATGTCCCCTCAAGATAGTCACAGATTATAAACGGAAAAATAGAAACTTTTCAGTGGAGAAACCTAGCAGATAGCATCTTAACCAAATGACAGAAGTTATCATTACCAGTAGTGAGATGTTCCAGCACCATATGTCTCCTAATACATGTACTGAGAAAGGCACAACATCTTCTCTTGGGAGGACATAATTCTGCCAAAAATGCACAGTCTGAATTTAATCATGAGGAAACATAGGCAGTCTACAGAATGACTGACTAGTAATCTTCAAAAATAGCAGGGACATGAAAGACAAAGCAAGGCTCAAGAACTATCCCAGACAAAGGAGACTGAGAAACCATGACGACTAAATGCAACGCGGGATCATGGATCAGAAAAAAAGACATCAGTGGGACAATGTCTTTGGGGATAGCTGAAGGTCGATAGGTAATTTTTGATGTTACTTCTCACTTTTTATACACCTGAAATTATTCTGAAGTGAAGAGTAATAAAAACTTTAGACATTTGGTCTGGTGCCGTGGCTCATGCCTGTAGTCCCAGCACTTTGGGAAGCCGAGGTGGGCAGATCAAGAGGTCAGGAGTTCGAGACCAGCAGGGCCAATGTGGCGAAACCCCGTCTCTACTAAAGATACAAAAAATTAACCGGGCATGGTGGCGGGCACCTGTAGTCCCAGCTACTCGGGAGGCTCAGGCAGGAGAATTGCTTGAACCCGGGAGGTGGAGGTTGCAGTGAGCCAAGATTGCGCCATTGCACTCCATCCTGGACCACAGGGTGAGACTCTGTCTCAAAACAAAACAAAACAACAACAAAAAATAAACTTTAGAAATTAGTTTTTTAAAAAAAACATCAATTCACAGACTGGTACACTGTGCTGAGGGAATGACGAGAACAAAGAGATGAGGAGTGGAAGCTTGGGAAGGCTGGGCACAGGTGGGGCCTTCGGGGGATGGCCCTGGGAAGCAGGGCTCGGGGCAGAAATGAAGGGGGTTGCATGTCACAATGGAGAGCAAAATTTTAACAGCTACAAAATTGGACCCTCATATAAAGTGGTGGATTCCCCTTCATTCCCCTCTCCCTCCATATTATGAGGAGGATTTTCTTCCTTTAAATAATAAAAATTATTATCTTACTAATTTATTTTCATTTGTGTAATATGACAAACCCAAAAGAATGTGCTGCTACATAATTTAAAATAACATAAAGAAAATGCATTTTAGAATGAAGCAGTTATAGGAGAAAACCAAACCTAAAACAAACACAATCTGAATCATTTTGATTCTGCATTCTCCTCTCTGCCGGCCTTGCTTTTCCTGCCTCCCCCACCCTATTCTCCCTTATTCCATCTGTCACCAAGCCCTGCCAATTATAACTTCACACTATTTCTTACACTAGGATTCAAATCTAAAGGCCTCAGGTTTCATCTTTCCTCTGTACTTACTAGCCCTACTACTGTGGACGATTCTCTCTGTGCCTGAATTTCTCTCTCTCTTTCTCTCTGTCTCTCTCTCTCTTTTTCTGTGTGTGTGTGTGTGTTTGAGGGGAAGGTAGGAGTCCAGTAAGATAATGCACATGCCCTTTATAAACAATAATCTATTATGAAATGCTAAGGTTTATTTGGGGCTTTAATGTGTATTATCTCGATGAGTGGTTTCCAAATTTTATGATTTTATGAAACTAAAAAGTTTGATTAACTGATAGAATTTTCAACTTGATAAAATAAAAAAAATCTCCTTACTATACCATTTCATATGAATAAAAGAAAGGACATTTTAACAAAAAAAGGACATATTCTCAGAAAAAAGGTCTTTCCCAACCTTGCATTGTGTTACATTTCTATACCCATGGTTCTTTCTTTTTCTCCTTTTAAGCAGACTGACCCTATGCCATCAATGGTTCTAGGGTCAGCATTTAGGAATTGTCCTGGACTAAAATGTCCGAAGTGATAACTTCCTGAGCTCCTTGTATCCAATCTTGCCTTCTTTTCCAGTCCACCCTATGCTCGGCATCCAACAATTTTTTGTTAAATGAATCAATGGACAGATACTCATTTTGAAACCAATGAAGAATTGAGCCTGATTATTTTGGAGTTAATTAAAGTGAGGAGATATAGGAGACAGATGAGCCAGCATATTCATACTTGGATATAGAGAGGAGAGCTGAGAATCTATTTACCACTTCTTTTCTCTTACATTTTCTGATTTACTGTTCAGTGATTTTACCTAAGTTGAGGGTGTGTCTTTAAAGTAGCAGAACCTTGCTGGAATAATAAATACATAAATGGAAGTGCTCCTCAGGGGCAGAGGGGTTTAATTTATTCTGCAGGCAGTGGAGGTGGTGGTTTAGCATATGAGTCTCTTTCTTTTGCCAAGCACCACTTGGCAAATCCACAGAAGGATTGACGTTCTTTGTCTGCTAAAACCTGGGGAGAGAGAAATGGAGCAGACACCCTCCCATGGGACCCCCCAACTTTTCATCGCTGTGTTTACTCTATACATCTATATGAAATTATTTACTGAAGGCTAAGGGTAATTTCAAAAATAACTTACAATATGGGAGGGACAAGTGTTGAAGTTTAAGCCCTCTTGGACTTTCCCTGCATCAGAAGCCAAGGCCTGCAGATGCATTGTCCATTTTGGACTTGGCTTTTCAGCCCTTATAGTTGCATCTGCACCTTATACTCCCTCTGTCCTCACAAGCACCTGGGGCTTCAAGTATCTTAGTCCAGGAACTTTAGCCCCTCTTGAGAACCTTCAGCTCCTCTGCATGAGAGCAGATCTAGAATAGAATAAACACCCTGGGCTTCAGCTCTGAGTGGGCAAGGATACTTGCTGTTCATTGCTGTCCTGTCTCGTGTGCCTGTATGAGCTCGTGTGTGTGTATGTGCGTGTGTGTGTGCACGCATGTGTACATGTTGAGGGATCTGAAAATCGGGTAGTGGATGGGCTCCAGACCCTTGAGTATGGTTTACTGTGTGCCTTCTAGTTTGAACTCAATCTTCCCATAGGTAAGAATGATGAGGCTGTTGGCTTCTTTATTAGTTGACTCAAATGACCACATTTTTCAAAGTTAGACATTAATTTTTCTTTAATAAATCATAGTTTAAACTTGGGTTGCTATTTTCTCTACTAGCGTAGTTCTGGTTTGGCCTTTAGAAACAACAGTCCCCGGCCGGGTGCAGTGGCTCACACCTGTAATCCCAGCACTTTGGGAGGCCGAGGCAGGCGGATCAAGAAGTACCTTTATTTCTTTATTAAAGCATCTTGATTCAAAAGGTTTCCCTCTTACCAAAAAGGGATAGGGAAAGTTGCCAGTTAAATTTTCCATCCTAATAGTAATGTTGCTGTGAGAGAAGGAGATTTTGGAGAAATAGGTAACTGATTTCAAACACATGATGCTTTAGGGCTATTTATTTATTTTTGCTTAAAGGTCTTTGTTGTAAAAACAGAAGTAAGATCTGACGGTCCTAAGAACAGGATGCCACTGCTTCCATACCTAGTGTGGATAGGACCTTTTTTCTTCTTTTATTATCCTTCCTACCTGTTGAAAGACTGTTGTCAGTCAGAGCTGAAACCCAGGTTGGCCCTGAGCTCAAATCATAGTCAAGTATGGTAGTCTTAAGAATGGGAGAGTCAGCTGGGTGTGGTGGGTTATGCCTGTTATCCCAGGACTTTGGGAGGTCACGGCGGGTAGATCACCTGAGGTCGGGAGTTTGAGACCAGCGTGACCAACATGGAGAAACCCCATCTCTATTAAAAATACAAAATTAGCTGGGCGTGGTGGCCCATGCCTGTAATCCCAGCTACTCGGTAGGCTGCGGCAGGAGAATTGCTTGAACCCAGGAGGCGGAGGTTGCGGTGAGCCAAGATCACACCATTGCACTCCAGCCTGGGCAGCAAGAGCAAAATTCCATCTCAAAAACAAACAAACAAACAAAAGAATAGGAGAGTCTGGGTGCAGTGGCTCACGCCTGTAATCTCAGCACTTTGGGAGGCCAAGGCAGGCGGATCACTTGAGGTCAGGAGTTTGAGACCAGCCTGGCCAACATGGTGAAACCCCATCTCTACCAAAAATACACACGCACACAAAAAACGAATTAGCAAGGCATGGTGGTGCATGCCTGTAATGCTAGCTACTTGGTGGCTGGTGGCTGAGCGTGAGAATCACTTGAAGCTGGGAGGTTGAGGTTGCAGTAAGCCAAGATTGTTCTACTGCACTCTAGCCTGGGCGACAGGGCAAGACTCTGTCTCAATAACAACAACAGAAAAAGAATGGGAGAAATATACCTAACAATAAACCTGCAGATTATTAATTCTATGAGTGTTGAAGTCAAGAATGAGTTCAGACTGAATGTGATGTAACTCTGGTTCTGCTTTTCTTTGCTTTCTCCATGGCACTTATTCAGGATAGGCACTTCAGAAGACATTCCTATTTACTGGCTGGGAGGCCAAAAGCTAAGACAGAACTTTCAGTCTCACTCTTAGGGGTCACAAAATTATTGCTTTCCAATTTAAACTGTTTCACTTCCAAATTTGAGCCCCCAAATATGAAATACTGCCTCACCTGTGCCTTTTATGCTGAAAATATAAAATATTTTAGGAAAAGAAACACATTTTAAATATTAATATCTGCTAAGTAATTTTGTTATTAATTTAGTTTTTGAGCAGAGTTACATTTGAAAAAATATATAAAAGTTTGAATATGGATAGAGAGATAGATAGAGTCATTCCAGGTTATTTAACTGTTGACTCTTTAAGTGCTGCATTTAAGTACATACTTGAATCATTGGAAGGCATTTTTGACTTTTCAGTGTTTTCCCCAGCACTTTTCCATGGGTTTAACTGAGTGCTGGGTTGTTGAGTCTTAAATTGTACATTAAAAATTAGGTGTCCAACAAATATAAGAAAATTATGTGGTTATCCACTTATGGTTAAGAAATAAATATATAAAATGTCATCACTAAGACATTTTATGTATTTAGCCTCTAGCCTCTCAAAGGCATAACTACTAAAGCATATTTTTCTGCCTTAATATTTTGTAACTCCATTAGGGTTAATGGATGTTCTAAACAACCTTAAGCTATTTGGAAGAGTGCCTTATATAACAATGTTGTTTATCTTCCACAGAATAAACACTCGAAAGGCCTAGTACTTCTCTCCCTAAGCCAGTGCATTCTGGAAAGAACTCAGTCATAAGAGTCCATTATTCAAATAAAATGACTGTTGAAGCAGAAAGTAATAACTGATTTTTTAAAGAAGATCGTTTTCTAAGATTTCTAAAATTGTCAAAAACCATTTTAAGTTACTGCAGGTGCATTTATTCTATGAGTTGTGTTATAAATCAAAAGATTTCCTATTAACCTATTTTAGGAATAGACTTGTAATTCTCAAACTTGAGTAATGTAATGTAAAAAAGCCCTTAAAAGGAAGAAAATATTTAGATTATTAGAATACCCAGAGTTGATGTATATGATTTTTATGTCATTGTTATTGCTATGTCTTTCTATGTTTATAGCTAATATGTCCACGTAAAAGCTAAGTTTGTATATATTTATAGCTAAGATATCCACATAAAAGCCAAATACATTTACATATTAAATACAAGCCAAATGATAAAAACTAATATAATTAAAATTGACAACATTAATTTGCTAGATGATGCTTTGCTGAAATTGAAGAGCATATGTTGAGGTTAATGATAGGAAGATTTAGTCACTTACTTTTTTACATGATTTTTTTTTTAGTGCAATAGATTATCATGTGAATCACTGTCATCATATTTATTTATATTTTAAAAATGATTTTGTTTTTATCCACTACAATTTATTGGTGGGCCAATTTAATTGTTCACTCCAAAATGCAAGAGAGAAAATCTGACTGGAAAATCCTTCATTGTATATTTATTTTAATAGATACTACTTGCATACTGTTGTAATTTGGCACATACAGAGACAGAATCAGAACAATACTTCCACTTGTGATACCAGTAAAGCACTGGCTGGATAACCAGGGCAGCCTCACTTATGTCTTTTTCAATTAATTAATTAATTAATTACTTTTTTTGAGATGAATTCTCCCTCTGTTGCCCAGGCTGGAGTGCAGTGGCACCATCTCGGCTCACTGCAAACTCTGCCTCCCTGGTTCAAATGATTCTCCTGCCTCAGCCTCCCAAGTAGCTGTGATTACAGGCACCCGCCACCATGCCCAGCTAGTTTTGTTTGTTTGTTTCTGTTTTTGTATTTTTAGTAAAGATGGGGTTTCACCATGGTGGCCAGGCTGGTCTCGAACTCGTGACCTCAAGTGGTCTGCCTGCCTAGGCCTCCCAAAGTGCTGGGATTACAAGCCTGAGCCTTTGCACCCCGCCCACTTCTGTCTTTATAATTGTTGGGGGAAAAACATCCAAATTGAAAGCAATAATGATGCAGGATGATGGTTGATATTTTTACTTTATAACCCACAATCTTTGATCAGCTAGCTATCTATGCTTACCAGTACATTTTAAGGCAAGCTGTGTCATTTCAGATGCTCATATGTGTCACCAATCCCATTGGGGTCACATGAGAGGCTGGCATATGGTACAATTTGAAAATAACACAGTCATCCAGACAACCCAGGATATGCTTTTTATGAAACTTATAAAAATGGATGGAAAAAAATGGAAAAAATAAAAAGGAAATTATAATAAAATGAAGGGACCCCAGAGAATCAATTGGTTGCAGAAATCCTGGGTTAAATCATACAAATGAAATTGCTTTGAAAACTGTAGCATGCTTTACAAGTGCCAATACTGTATTATTATGAAACAAATATAATTGGAAAGATCTGGACTTACTAGACAATAAAAAAGATTGGATTAACTCTACATGCAGACAGAAAATTCCCACAGTGAAGGTCATTAATCAGAGTTTGTAGAAAAACAGCTGCTCCTGCCATTCCACTGGAGAAAGCACAAAACAACATAATTGCTTCATAACTGTACTCTGGGGAAGACTGACCTTGGTTCTAAGAGTTGCTTGTGTGGCCTGGTTCTGTGTGTGGGTTAGGTGAGGAGGAGGAGGTGTTGAGTGGGGAGGGGAAAGGACCCCTTCCCTCTGAAAGAAACTGAAGCATTTGATCTGGGGCTGTTCCCTGGGGCATTGTGGGGCAGAGACCCCTGGAAAGAAAGCAGTAGGTGAGATGCCTAGGTGAGAAGTAGAAGTAGATGAGAAGTCTAGGGTGGAGTCCCAAGTACATACTCGACTACTCCTAGGGCACTGACCCTAAAATAATTAACCTCGTAGGAAAAAATCATGTTCCCTATAGAAACATAAAGTTTTTACTACTTGGCCCCTAAGTGATAGATTATATGTTGTTGCTCAAAGAGAAGAAAATGCAGATGAAGTAATTCCACATGCATCAGGAAAGTCCCTTTCCTCTCTGTACTCAAGATAGCTCTCAACATTGATCTTCAAGTATTGATTAGTCAGAGAAAGGAAGATTTATTATTATTCTCTAATTTCCACTTTCTGAAATGTTAATATTGTTTTCTTACTGAGAATGTGAACTTTTGGATGTGATTATCAGCTAATCCAGTTGGAATTCAATCTTGGCATTATAACAGGATCATATTTACAACCTACTTCAGTTTCCAAAAATCAGCCAACTGAGAGAAAATATTGTGATCAGGAATTTCAATGGGAAAGCCAAAATCTAGAGTGAAAACACATCTTCTGTGAAGGATTACATCATAAAGTGTATGCGAGCCTATCTGGAATTAGGGATAAGTACAGAGAAGTTCAGTTCAGTTCAGCCGACAGCTTTGGAGTGTCTGGTCTATGTCAGGGACTATGGTAGAGGCAGGGGTGCAGAAATGGGCAAGATAGTCTGCTTGGTCTCAAGGAGCTCATGATCAAATAATCAGTCTCATGTTAAAAACTGAAATATTCAGAATCGTTTCAGCTCAAACAGAGAGCAACTGATGTTGCCAGGATCGAGATGGATTCATGTGAAATAACTACGTCATTTTAGAACAGAACATTGAAAAGTGCCATCAATTATAGAGCATAAAGTGAAATTGTAATTGAAAGTAGTTTCTTTGTTACTTAGATTCTTTTATTAGGCTCCTTTGTTCAAATCAATTCTTTCTTTTAAACACAAATAAGATGATTCTGGGTAGATGGATCTTCAAGTAGATTTTAGTCCAGCTTAAATTTAAATAGGGAAAGAACAATCAGGGATATTCTACTAAATTGTTAGGCACCGAATTGTGTTATGTTCTTACTAAAAATAGGTATTTCTTATAATCTTCAGATGCTCTAAGCTGGCATGAATAACTAGTACTGTAATAAAATAAGTTCTGCCAAAAAGTTAATCTGACACACAGCAATGAAATGCCTAAAGCTGTGTGTCATAGAGTCATTATCCATAAATGATAAATGATGCTCATAAATACCAGTATTGAAAATTATTTCCCCATGGCTAAACCAAGGTCAGATTTTTTTCTTGCACTCTTTTTTAGTCCTCTATATCCATAGATAGCACCCAAGAGTGAACAGTTTTGCTGAATACTATGTTCAGGGTGAGATTCATTTCACTTCGTACCCCCACTAACCTCACTTACCATATGGATAAACTTGAAGCAAAGATATTGGATTAAACCCCATATGGTTCCTATCCTGTGTGTCTCTTCCTTCCATCCCAGGGCCAGACTCAGCTCCAAACTATGGTACCCAAGTGAGAGGGCCAGACTAGTGCATCCAAATGCTTCCCACTACCATCTCTCAGATGCATCTAGGATGTTGTGAAGCTCCAGGTAGGATGAATTCTGTCTGGGAGGTTCAGGTGACTCCCGACCATGTCATTATAGCAAGAGACGAAATTCACTGTCAAGTTATGGTAAGAACTTAGGTGAGGGTGCTGACTCAGTAAAAAGGACCTTTGCATCCTGGCACCAGAGAGATTCAGAGACAAGGGAGACAGATAAGGAAGAGGAACTGTATTGTCAGGGTTCGCTCCCTTCCCAGATCTATGCACAGGAGTGTCAGGGGACCTAACAAGTATATTTGCTGTGGAGGAAACTTCCCCACTGAGCCATCAGCAGTCCGCGTCCTGAAACCTCAGCCTCTATTACAATATTAGATCTGTCTTGGGTCTAATAGGGAGAGAAAAGAGAGGGCCAAAGGTCCCCACCTGTGCATCTTCTTTCTTCTCCCCAGAGTTAACCACTATCTTGAATTTGATCATTTCCCACTGACAGTATGTACTCCAGTATGTATTATTCCACTTTCAAAAAAACTTTTATAAAAATGCTGAATAGTACCAGTCATGGTTCAACAAGGAACAGATGGCATACTCAAAATAGGCTAATTTGGCCAGGCGTAGTGGCTCATGCCTGTAATCCCAGCACTTTGGGAGACCAAGGCAGGTGGATCACGAGGTCAGGAGTTCGAGACCAGCCTAGCCAACATGGTGAAACCCTCTCTCTACTAAAAATACAAAAATTAGCTTGGCGTGGTGGCATGTGCCTGTAGTCCCAGCTACTCGGGAAGCTGAGGCAGGAGAATCACTTGAACTCAGGAGGCACAGGTTGCAGTGAGCCGAGATCAAGATTGTGTTACTGCATTCCAATCTTTCCAGTCTGGGTGACAGAACAAGATTCTGTCTCAAAAAATAAAAAAAAAATAAAAAAATAAATGCTAATTCAAGGATGGTTTTTTTTTTTGGAGACGGAGTCTTGCTCTGTTGCCCAGGCTGGAGTGCAGTGGCACAATCTCGGCTCACTGCAAGCTCTGCTTCCTGGGTTCACGCCATTCTCCTGCCTCAGCCTCCTGAGTAGCTGGGACTATAGGCACCCGCCACCACACCTGGCTAATTTTTTGTATTTTTAGTAGAGATGGGGTTTCACCGTGGTCTCGATCTGACCTCATGATCCGCCCACCTCGGCCTCCCAAAGTGCTGGGATTACAGGCGTGAGCCACTGCGCCTGGCCAAGGATGGTTTTTTTTGCAGAGATTATTTACAAAGGTGTGGGAGTAGGGAACCACAATGGATAGATAGGGCAATTAATCAGGGCTTACTCGAAGTCAATATGTTACTGTCTCTAGGTCTGAAAGGTAGAGGAAAAGGAGCTGTTACCAGACCCAAAGTGAGAGGGTCCTTTAGAGTCTGTTGCCACCTTGAGAGAAGCAATGACAGGTTGAGGGACACAGGTGGCCTTGCAGGGAGGGGATAAATACATTGATCTCACTTTCTTCTCTTCTTCCTATTTCCTTTTGGGGCTTTTAATTGACCTAACCTAACTGGAAGCAGAAAGCACAGAAATCTGTTTATATGGTCCATTCATTTAAGAACACAGAGCAGGGGAGGGGGCTAGAGTGGTTTTAGGTGATGGGGTGGGAAAAGGAAAATATCCAGCATATACAGTATTGTCCTATGACTTGCTTTTTTAGTTAACATTATATTTATGTGATTCATCCATGTCGATATGCTTACTGTAATTGTAGTAGTTCATTCATTTTTCACTTAAAAAATTCCATTGTATGAATACACCAGAATTTATTTATCTATTTCTTTTTCTTTTTTTCTCTCTTTTTTTTTTTGAGACAAGGTCTTGCTGTGTCTCCCAGCAGGAGTGCAGTGGCAGGATCATGGCTCATGGCAGCCTCCCAGCCTCAGGTGATCCTCCCACCTCAGCCCCCAGAGTAGCTGGGACTACAGGCTCGTGCCACCATATCTGGCTAATTTTTGTATTTTTTGTAGAGGCAGGGTTTCACCGTGTTGCTCAGGCTGGTCTCAAACTCCTGGGCTCCAGTGTTCCACCCTCCTCAGCCTCCCATAGTGTTGGGATTACAGGTGTGAGCCACTGTGCCTGGCCCAGTTTATCCATTTCTGATGATGGATGGTTTCCAGTGTTTGAGTATTTTGATATTGCCACGAATGTTCTTGTTCATGTTTTTTGATGTCTACGCTCAAAACTTTCTCTAGAGAATATACCTAGACTAGAATCACATAGTGGGATAAAGAGTCATATGTTTTCAAATTTACCAGGTAATGCCACATTTTTCAAAGTAGTTGTATCAATTAACAGTTTTACTTATAGTACACGAGTTCCTAGTCAACACGCAATATTTTCAAACTTTGAAACTTTTGTCCATCTGGCACCTGTAGAATATTATCTCATTGTGGTTTTAATTTGCATTTCTTCAATTACTAATGTAATTAAACATATTTACATATGTTTATTTATCATTTACATTTCCTTCATTGTGAAATACTTGTTCAGGTTCCCTTTCTCTTTTCTACTGTTTATTTTATTTTATTTTTCTTTTTTTTAATTTTACTTTAAGTTCTGAGATACATGTGCAGAATGTGCAGTTTTTTTGTTTGTTTATTTTTTTTTTTAGTATTTATTGATCATTCTTGGGTGTTTCTCAGAGAGGGGGATGTGGCAGGGTCATAGGATAATAGTGGAGAGAAGGTCAGCAGATAAACACGAGAACAAAGGTCTCTGGTTTTCCTAGGCAGAGGTCCCTGCGGCCTTCGGCCCTGTTTGTGTCCCTGGGTACTTGAGATTAGGGAGTGGTGATGACTCTTTTTTTTTTTTTATTATACTTTAAGTTTTAGGGTACATGTACACATTGTGCAGGTTAGTTACATATGTATACATGTGCCATGCTGGTGCACTGCACCCACTAACTCGTCATCTAGCATTAGGTATATCTCCCAATGCTATCCCTCCCCCCTCCCCCCACCCCACCACAGTCCCCAGAGTGTGATATTCCCCTTCCTGTGTCCATGTGATCTCATTGTTCAATTCCCACCTATGAGTGAGAATATGCGGTGTTTGGTTTTTTGTTCTTGCAATAGTTTACTGAGAATGATGATTTCCAATTTCATCCATATCCCTACAAAGGACATGAACTCATCATTTTTTATGGCTGCATAGTATTCCATGGTGTATATGTGCCACATTTTCTTAATCCAGTCTATCACACATTTTCTTAATCCAGTCTATCATTGTTGGACATTTGGGTTGGTTCCAAGTCTTTGCTATTGTGAATAATGCTGCAATAAACATACGTGTGCATGTGTCTTTACAGCAGCATGATTTATAGTCCTTTGGGTATATACCCAGTAATGGGATGGCTGGGTCAAATGGTATTTCTAGTTCTAGATCCCTGAGGAATCGCCACACTGACTTCCACAATGGTTGAACTAGTTTACAGTCCCACTAACAGTGTAAAAGTGTTCCTATTTCTCCACATCCTCTCTAGCACCTGTTGTTTCCTGACTTTTTAATGATTGCCATTCTAACTGGTGTGAGATGGTATCTCATTATGGACTTCACGTCCAAAACACCAAAAGCAATGGCAACAAAAGACAAAATTGACAAATGGGATCTAATTAAACTAAAGAGCTTCTGCATAGCAAAAGAAACTACCATCAGAGTGAACAGGCAACCTACAAAATGGGAGAAAATTTTCGCAACCTACTCATCTGACAAAGGGCTAATATCCAGAATCTACAATGAACTCAAACAAATTTACAAGAAAAAAACAAACAACCCCATCAAAAAGTGGGCAAAGGACATGAACAGACACTTCTCAAAAGAAGACATTTATGCAGCCAAAAAACACATGAAAAAATGCTCATCATCACTGGTCATCAGAGAAATGCAAATCAAAACCACAATGTGGTGATGACTCTTAACAAGCATGCTGCCTTCAAGCATCTGTTTAACAAAGCACATCTTGCACCGCCCTTAATCCATTTAACCCTGAGTTGACACAGCACATGTTTCAGAGAGCAGGGGGTTGAGGGTAAGGTTATAGATTAACAGCATCCCAAGGCAGAAGAATTTTTCTTAGTACAGAACAAAATGGAGTCTCCTATGTCTACTTCTTTCTACACAGACACGGTAACAATCTGATCTCTCTTTCTTTTCCCCGCATTTCTCCCTTTTCTTTTCGACAAAACCACCATCGTCATCATGGCCCGTTCTGGATGATTGCTGTCTCTTTGGAGCTGTTGGGTACACTTCCCAGATGGGGCGGCCGGGCAGAGGCGTTCCTCACATCCCAGACGGGGTGGCGGCCGGGCAGAGGCGCTCCTCACCTCCCAGACGGGGCGGCCAGGCAGAGACACCCCTCACCTCCCAGATGGGGTGGCCGGGCAGAGGCGCCCACTTCCCAGACGGGGTGGCCAGGCAGAGGCGCTCCCCACCTCCCAGACAAAGAGCGGCCAGGCAGAGGCGCCCCTCACTTTCCAGGCAGGGCAGCCGGGCAGAGACTCCCCTCACCTCCCAGACAGGGCAGCAGCTGGGCAGAGGCGCTCCTCACTTCCCAGACGGGGTGGCGGCCGGGCAGAGACACCCCTCGCCTCCCAAACGGGGAGGGGCCGGGCAGAGGCGCTCCCCACCTCCCAGACGAAGGGCGGCCGGGCAGAGACGCCCCTCACTTCCTAGTCTAGGCGGCCGGGCAGAGACACCCGTCACCTCCCAGACAGGGTGGCGGCCGGGCAGAGGTGCCCCTCACTTCCCAGACGGGGTGGTGGCCGGGCAGAGATGCCCCTCACCTCCCAGACGGGGCGGCCGTGCAGAGGCGCCCCTCACCTCCCGGACGGGGCGGCCGGGCAGAGGCGCCCCTCACCTCCCAGACGGGGCGGCCGGGCAGAGGCGCTCCTCACCTCCCGGACGGGGCATCCGGGCAGAGGCGCTCCTCACTTCCCAGACGGGGCGGCCGGGCAGAGGCGCTCCTCACTTTCCATTCAGGGCAACCAGGCAGAGGCGCTCCTCACTTCCTCCCAGACGGGGCGGCGGGGCAGAGGCACTCCTCACTTCCCAGAGGGGGCGGCCAGGCAGAGGTGCTCTTCACTTCCCATTCGGGGCAGCCGGGCAGAGGTGCTCCTCACTTCCTCCCAGACTGGGCGGCCGGGCAGAGGCGCTTCTCACGTCCCAGACAATGGGCGGCCAGGCAGAGACGTTCCTCACTTCCTAGAGGGGGCGGCGGGGCAGAGGGGCTCCTTACATCCCAGACGATGGGTGGCCAGGCAGAGACGCTGCTCACTTCCTAGACGGGGTGACCGGCGGGCAGAGGCTGTAATCTTAGCATTTTGGGAGGCCAAGGCAGGCCGCTGGGAGGTGGAAGTTGTAGCGAGCCGAGATCAAGCCACTGCACTCCAGCCTGGGCAACATTGAGCATTGAGTGAGCGAGACTCCGTCTGCAATCCCAGCACCTCGGGAGGCGGAGGCGGGCAGATCATCCGAGGCCAGGAGCTGGAGACCAGCCCGGTCAACACGGCGAAACCCCGTCTCCACCAAAAATACAAAAACCAGTCAGGAGTGGCGGCGCGTGCCTGGCAGGCCGAGGCGGGAGAATCACCGGAGCCCGAGGCAGGGAGGTTGCAGCGAGCCGAGATCATGGCGGTACAGTCCAGGCTCCGCAAGAAAGGGAGACCGTAGAAAGGGGAGAGGGGAGAGGGGAGACGGGAGAGGGGAGAGGGGAGAGGGGAGAGGGGAGAGGGGGGAGAGGGCTTTTCTACTGTTTTTTATTTTTTTCTTATTATCTTGATACTAACAATGACCCTGTGTTAATTTTATCATCTCGCAATTTGTGGATATCTAAAAAACTGTGTATTTATGTACTTTAAAAAGTTTTATGTACTTTTAAAAAGGTCAAGTGTGGTGGCTTATGCCTGTAATCTTAGCACTTTGGGAGGCCGAGGCAGGAGGATTGCTTGAGTCCAGAAGTTCAAGACCAGCCTGAGCAACATAGTGCAGCCCCATCTCTACAAAAAAATTTAAAAATCAGCCAGTCTTGGTGGCATGTGCCTGCAGTCCTAGCTATTTGGGAGGCTCAGCTGGGAGGATCGCTTGAGTCCAGGAGGTGGAGGCTGCAGTGGGCAGTGATAGCATCACTGCACTCCAGCCTGGGCAACAGGAAACCCTGTCTTGAAAAAACAAATGAACAGAAACTCCCTCCCCATGCAAAATCCCTTAAGTTCTTAATTTAATGTAGTTAAAATGATCAATCTTTCTCTTTTTAGCTTGTTTTTTTAAAAAAAGTTTAAAATATACATAACACAAAATTTACCATTTTAACCATTTGTAAGTGTACAGTTCAGTGGCATTAACTACGTTCACATTATTGTGCAACTATCACCATTATCCATCTCCAGAACTGCTTATGCTTTTTCTTAATGTCTTGTTAAATAAATTCTTTGGACCATCAAGACCATAAAGACCGTCTATATATTTGTTTTAAATTCTTAAAATTTTGCCTTTCATATACAAGTTCTTAAATCATCTGGAATTGATTTTTTATATAGTAGGAGGTAGGGAATACATTTTTCCTCCCTATAGACAGCCAATTGTCCCAGCACCATTTAGAATTGTCTATTTTTTTCTTCCATTGATTTGTACGGTGGATCTGTCATATACTAAGTTTCCTCATAGGTGTGGGACCATGTTTGGGTTTTCTATTCTGTTCCATTGATTGATGACTTTATTCTTGTACCAATATTGTAATGTCTTAAATACTAATGAATTAAGATTAGCCTTCCATCTGCCTGAAATGCTATTCTCCTAAAGATAGACATGACTAAATCCCAAGTTTTCTTCTGGTCTCTGTTTCATGGCCACATTCTTAGCCAGCCTTTCCTGGCTATCTTTTCTAAAATTTCATTATCTCCTTGAAAAACTTTACATTCTTCTTTTCTGATTAATTTCTTTCTGTTTAGTAGTTGTTATCTAACATAATTATTTATGTCTTTAACTTGTTTATTGTCTCTCTTCCCCATTAGAAGATTTATAAGAGCAGGATTTTTTGGCTCTCTCATCATTCTCATATCCCCAGCATAGAAAATGTTGCCTGGCACTTAGTAAGTGTTTAATTACTATTTCTGGAACACACCAAATAATGCTGATATATGGAAGGGTAGTGTTTCTTCACCGTGCTACCATTAAGAATGTGCTTTCTGTCAGTTCTCCTGCTCCTTGATTTTGACTAATAAAGCAATCTAAAGCAAATGGAGAGAGAATGAAGTGCTTTCTTTAGGTTGTTTCCCAGCCAACTCCGAGAGGTAGGCAGTGAAATGGGGAGGGTGGAGGGCCAGAGGTTGGCTAACTCTGCATTAGCTTTTATGGGTCAGCTATCTTGCTGGAAATACCTCATGTTCTCTGCTTTTCATGGCAAACACAGCTGGTAGGACCTAGAATTTACAGCATGCTTACTCAGTAAAGAAGCTTACCACGCCTTTGGTTTTCAGGGCGACACACCCCGCTCAGAAGAGGAATGAACACTCACTTAGATTTACCAAGCATGGCAACTAAATTCTCAGCTGTAAGTGTGACACTTTTTGGGATAGAAGTTCTGGAGCTGTGGAGGAGTTATCTCAGGGTGAATGCCACGTGGGGCAGTCTGTCTGTAGCTGGGTAATGCCCAAGGCAGGCACTGAATTGAGCAGTGATGATTCATGGAAATTCTGCCAGAGAAGGTACTCTGTGCTTTATTACAGGCTAAACTAGGAAGCCAACTCATTCTGGAAGGAATGTGTATAATGTTTTCAGATGAGGACTTGAAGTTTTATAGGTTGGAGTCACATTTGATTCAAACCATCTGTTTAATGGGAAGCTGAACCCAGCATTTTTTTTCATATGTCTCTCACAGTATTCAACAATTCAGTATGGGCTGGGCGCAGTGGCTCACGCCTATAATCCCAGCACTTAGGGAGGCCGAGGCAGGTGGATCACCTGAGGTCAGGAGTCTGAGACCAGCCTGGCCAACGTGGTGAAACCCCGTCTCTACTAAAAAAGCAAAAAAATAGCTGGGCATGGTGGCAGGCGCCTGTAATCCCAGCTACTCGGGAGGCTGAGGTAGGAGAATTGCCTGAACCCAGGAGTTGGAGGTTGCAATGAGCCGAGATCATGCTACTGCACTCCAGCCTGGGCAACAGAGCGAGACTTCGTCTCAAAAAACAAAACAAAACCAAAGAAAAAACAAAAACAATTCAGTTTCATAAGTATTTATTGAGGGCCCATGGAGTGCCAGGCACTGGGGTCACAGAAATGAATGAAACAGTCATCCCTGTTTTTGAGATGCTATGGTTCAGTGGAAGTAAAACTTACATGTTTATGTATGTTTTCCTTCCCATGATTGTGAGGTCAATGTCTGTATTTACAAGAATCTTGGTTGCCAGGGCTGAGCATTGTGTCAATCAATTTTTTGTAGATGAAGTGAATACATGAAAGAGCTCACAGTGATTTACTGAACATGGCTGCTGAAATGTATAACATTATTGTGCATTATTGCTACCGTGATATGCGGATTTATATTGCAATTGCCTCTGGATTCAGAAAAACACCCTTCACAGTGAGGTAGTGACCAAAACTGTGGCATTAGGAAACAATAAAAATGCTGGAATAGCTGACCAACACAGGGTATTTTGTTCCCCGGGGCTTAAAATCAGTTTTTAATATGATGAAAAGGCAGCTATTATGTGACATAGTAAGATATTGGTATGTTAAGCATGAACATATATTTCCAGTTTTCTCTGAGCTGGTCATGAAATGACACTGGCTACTTCGTCTTTTAATTGGGCAGATATTGTAGGAAGTACTTTGGGGATCACAGAGATGAACAAAAGGGCTCATCCAAAGAAAGCTTAAAACCTAGTAGTGCTGGAATTCTTAACTAGCCACATATGGTGATCTTGAACCTCTTGAAATAGTATAGATGTGTGTGTAGGTGCATTTTTCTGAAGAGAGCTTTCATCACATTGTCCAGTGGTTCATAGACCTAATTAACATCCCTCTACTACAGAAGTTCTTAATCTTGATCTTCCAAAAGATAAAGAACTTCTGTAGTAGAGGGCTATAATTATTTAAAGAACTACACCATATGGGAGTCATGAAGAGCCTCAGGGGTTTAAATGAGGAGCAAAACAGGTGGCAACACTGAGTAGTTTCATTATAAAATCCTTGACAATTTTGCAGGAGAAAATTTCTTTGCCTCTAGTGATAAAAACATTTTTCATATTTAACAGTAGTTATTTTTTCTATGAGTTACCTCTTCTTCTTCTTGTCCTATTTTTCTGTTTGTGTCTTAGGATTTTTTTCCTAATGAGTTAACTTCTTTGTATCCTGATGGCATTAACCTTTTCGATGTTATACTTTTGGTAGACCTTTCTCTAGTTTGATGAGTGCAAAATACTTCTGTGAATTTTTTACATGCATAATTTTATACTTTTTATGGTCAAGTCTTTATATCTTTTTTCTTTGTAATTTATAATATTTAAATTTGTTTGCTATCCAGAGATAAGATATTCATGTAAATATTCTTATGGTCTGTGATGCAGGTTTTTTCAGGCAGTTTATATGCTTTCAGGTGTCTTCTTTGGACCACGTGATGTATTTGTATTACGTATTTGTATTATGTATTTAATACAGAGAGGAAGAAATGAGGTGAAGCTCTGCTGTCATATTACTGGAATTGGTGTAGTGAGATCGTTAGCACAGTGGGGCCTGGAGAGTTTCTCTGGGTTTGAACATGGCTCTGACATTTTGTGTCCTTTTGACTTCATTTAACTTCTCTGTTCTTCAGTTTCCGTATCTAGAAAATACGTTTAATATAATAACCTTTGGGAGGCCGAGGTGGGCGGATCACGAGGTCAGGAGTTCGAGACCAGCTTGCCAACATGGTGAAACCCCATCTTTACTAAAAATACAAAAATTAGCCAGGCGCCTGTAATCCCAGCTATTTGGGAGGCTGAGGCAGGAGAATCGCTTGAATCCCGGAGGCGGAGGTTGCAGTGAGCCAAGATCGCTCCACTGCACTCCAGCCTGGGCGACAGAACAAGACTCTGTCTCGGGTATTGGTGGTGGGTCGGGGGGAATAACCTATCTTATGTGGTTATGATAATAAAATGAGTTGATATGTAAACCACTTAGAACAGGTCCTGATATAAAGTCAGTGCCAGCCACAGTTTAGTCCAGGCTGGGTAGATGCTTTGAAGCTTGATATTGTTTCAATGTACTTTGCATTTCTAAAAACGTGAACATTTCAAAGCATTCATTTGATCTCCTAAGGACTACCTATACCGGAGCCTCATTCCAGCACATTTGTAAGCGAGGCACGCCTCCTAGAGGCCACGAGTGAAGTTAATTTCCAGTTCTCGAAAATCTTACAGACAGCGGAGAACTGGTGTGGTGGCTCTGACGCCCCGCTTGTGAGTCTGCAGTCGGACATCTGGAAAGTAAGCGGCACGTCCGCGTGATTTCCAGTGCTTCATCTTCTTCCACCCTACCTTCCCTCCGAGGCTGGGTTCTTCTAATTCCTGTAGATTGCAGAGCGATTCCTGCGAATGTGCCTTCTTTCATTCATTCTAGTTCATTCCACAGATAATTCAGCTGCGCGCTTCCTCTGTGCGAGGCATTGCCGGAGAGCGGGGAGCGAATTGAACGTGGAACCTGCCAGTAGGGGCTTGCCGCCCAATACGAAATTCAAAATATGTATTGTATGTAGACGGGCAAACTAACGAGGATCTTGTAACTTGTTTTCTCATCTGCCAAATGGGGGTAATACGATCTTATAGGACCTTATAGGTCGCTGAAAGATTAAACGAGCGGAAAAAAAAGAGCCCCTAATAGTGAGCTAGGTGCAAAAAAGATCCTAATGCCTTTTTTCCTCATTCCTCCCCAGATTGAAAGTGATGAGTGCCAGCCCTGAGGGTTAAAGCGCCATATTTTCCTCAATATAGGGAATATTTGTTAGTGTCCCCAGACGAAGTTACATTGGTTCAATTTTCGGCGTGTGGGAGTTTTCGCCACTAGCATTCAGCACCCCAGTTTCAACCGTTAAAGCTACCGACTCCACATACAGGAAATGCATCTTAAAATTTGGAAAAAAAATCCCCAAAACACTGACATCCAAACACTTTAAAGCTGCCAAGGTGGACGGAACACCTTGAATTCCCAGACGCGCTCCACTGAGCATGCCCAGAGCCTCAGGCCAAACCCCCTCCTACCCGCCAAGGGGAGGTGGGGCAGGGCTGGCCTTCTGTGCTAGTCACTTCCTCTTCCGGTTTCATATGAACTCTCCCGCCACCCGGGAACAGTGGCTGCCACCGTTTGTGTTTTCCCGAGTTTGAATTCTTGCAGGTAGGGGAAACTTCCGCGAATTTAGGACAGAGAGCAATCCTGTTATTAAGGCTTGCAAGTCGAGAGAAAGGAGAGATGGATCACTTTGCAGGCAGCAGTAGCAGAAGGACAGACTTGGCGGGTTGGTTGTTTGGGGCAGACACCCAGGTACCAGGGAGGAGTTGGGGAGAGATAGGTTTGCCAGTGGAGTGAGGAGGGGTGTTGGGGATGGAACTTTTGTAAGGCACTTGTGGATGCTCCCGAAAAGGAGTTCCGAAAGACAGTTGCTCTGTTTCCCAGAGTCATAACAGAGGAAGTGAGTAACTGGACCCAGTCCATCAAGTAAGACCCTCATTTAGCCAGAACCTACAGCACTTTCCTCTAAGTTCAGGATTGCAGACCACGTAAAACCTTATGTTAACTCTTGGGATCGTAAAGATCCAAGAACAGTGACACACAGGCCTATAATGAGCAGGCAACATCACCTGACTTTCATGTTGCTGAAAATTAGGATCACCACCTGCATCTGCTCTAGCGCCTCTCCCACCCCCATTACAAAATTATTATAGGTGTATTGTAGAAAATCTGGAAACGAGAGAAGGACATCACCCAGGAATTGCCACTGCTAACATTTTGTGCATGCCCTCAAATCCATTTTTTTTCTGTGTTTGTGGAATTATTTTTTCGTGTTTTTTCTTTTTTTTCCCCCAACTTTGTTTTCCATCATTTTACGCTTTTTGTGTACTTCCTTCTAAGGTGACCAAGATGGAGTTTTCTGGAAGAAAGTGGAGGAAGCTGAGGTTGGCAGGTGACCAGAGGAATGCTTCCTACCCTCATTGCCTTCAGTTTTACTTGCAGCCACCTTCTGAAAACATATCTTTAATAGAATTTGAAAACTTGGCTATTGATAGAGTTAAATGTAAGTACTATTTAAATTAGAATGTATATATTCTTGAGAAGCTCACTTACCCTTTGTGAGAATGAATGAAGGTAATTCATTTCCTTCATTCAGCAATCCATTCAACAAGTATTTATTGAGGTAATTCATATCCTTCATTCAGCAATCCATTCAACAAATATTTGTTGAGGGTTTGGTACTCATTCATTTATTTATTGTACAATGCATATTATTGAGTGCCATTATGTTCTAGGTGGCAGGGATTTTGAGATGAATAATGTTATTTTTTGTTGAAGTTTTATTCTAGTACATGGAGACAGACATCCAAAATAATAGTCATAATTCAGTATTTTAACTGCTCTAGTAGAAGTAAATGGTAGTGCTGTTGAAACAAAGAAGTGGGAGTGACTGACTTAGTCTTATTAAATGAGCTTCTTAGAGAAGTTGAAATGTGATCTGGACATACTGAAGAATGAGTAGAAATTTTCCAGCAGAGAAGAAGTGAAGAGTTTTTCCAAGCTGAGATAATGGCCTATGCAAAGGCTTGGAGCATGAAAGAGAATTTCATATTTGAGCTAACAGTAACAAGTTCAGGAATTCAGGGTGGATGGAGAAGTATGGAGGGCATTTTGTGCCATGCTAATGATATGATATTGGGGTGTAAGAAGGATGTGGCCACCGTCCTGGGGGCCTACTTAATCCTCAGTGTGTTGCTAGAGAAAAGAATGGGCTAGACATGAATTGAAACAGAAACACTAGCGTTGTCTTCAGAGTTTATGTTCCAGGATATCCCTGTGGGGAAATCAGAAGGAAAGGTGAGATACTGTTAATCATTCTTAGAGGAGCAGGGTAAGCACTGCTAATACAGAGAGGAGGCACTCAGTGCCTGTGTGTTGAATGAAAGAATGAAGACAAGGGAGAAAAGGGTTTTAGAAAGCTTAGCAGTGTCAATACTTCATAGGGATTAAGATGGTGATTGAAAAGTGTCCCTTGGGTTTGGCACTTGAGGTGAAATGATAAGGGCCTGAACTATGATAATGACAATGGCAGTGGTAGGAAGGGAGAGAGTTAAGGGATACTGAGGAGTTAGCATTGATAGGATTTGGTGACTGGATATGAGGAGTGAGGGAGCAGGTGTGGAGTGGCTGCAGTTCCTGCTTGGATGATCTGATGCATGGAAACTCTGCTGCTGGAGATGGGCATGGCAGGACGAAGAGTAGGAATGAGGGGAGGATAATTAATTTGGATACCCATACCTGTGGGACATGGGGTTTATGTTCAGGAGACAATTAGAAGTTCTTCATTCTTGACTTCAAAAATGCCTCCAGAGAATAATTCATCTGAGGAAAGATTGATATGGTGCTTTAGGAACCTTTGAACAGTATGTAGCATCTGTTCAGGATGGTTCATTTGGCTGTTTGGATGGCCTTTCTTCTTCACTGTTGTGCTCTGTCCTCGGCTTCATCAGGAAAGGAAGGGATGCTTTTTTTCTGTTGAATCTATGCCAAGTAAATGATGCCTACTGCCTAACAGGCAGCTCCCATACGAAGGATGCAAACAAGGAGTGCCTAGTTTTTTTTTCCATACTGACATACTTTTCTGTTCCTCAGGAATGATTATTCACCATCCATCCCTCTTCCCTGATTGAGAATCCCTGGTATTAAATTATGCTGTGGGACATGGATATTTTCTGCACATAGATGGACATTATCCTCTTATAAGCATATGTAGTTTATATGATGTCGTTACAGGAAATAAACTGGCAATTACCTGTCATGTTCTGTAAACAAGTAATTATGGAATTGCCCTCCATAGATTTTGTCTTGGATTTAGTTTTAAAACATTATCTTGCATTTATACCTTTTTTCTTTTTTTTAGTGTTAAAATCAGTTGAAAATCTTGGAGTGAGCTATGTGAAAGGAACTGAACAATACCAGAGTAAGTTGGAGAGTGAGCTTCGGAAGCTCAAGTTTTCCTACAGAGTAAGTAAAAAAGGAAAAAAAAGTTCCTTCAGTTTCTATGCATTTATGTATTGAGTGTCACTTGTGGGAAAGATATTATATTAGGCACTGGGCTTTTATAAAGACTAATGTATCATTAGCCTGAAGGTTCTTCAGTGTATTAGGGGTGATTGACATGAAGTCAGATGATTATAATATGGCAGGGTTTCTCAACCTCAGGACTAACATCATTTTGGGTCTGATAATTCCTTGTTGCAGGGATTGTTCTGTGCACTGTAGGATGCTCAGTAGCATCTCTGGCTTCTACCCCTACATATTTCCAGACATGCCAAATGTATCCCGTGCAATACAGGATGATGACTGTGTTTATAGATGCATGCTCCAGGAACTCCAAAAACATACATAATTATGCAGCTCAGATTGGGGAGGTTTGGGAAGGCTTTCCAGAAGAGGTAGTAGTGGAGCTGCATGTTGACAGATGTGATTAGATTTTCATTTTGGGAAGATGACTGCCAGCAGCAGATTGACAGGGTCATGTCTGTTAGGAGGGAAACCAGTTAGAAGCCCGGAAATGATGAGAGTCTGAATTAAATGAGAGAAGGGGACCGGTTGAAGAGACATTAAGAAGGTAGAATCAAAAGGTTTTAGTGACTGATTGTAGGGGGAATGGAGAGAGAAGAGTTATAAATGACACCCAGGTTTCTAGTTAGGAAAATTAGTGGATGGTGGTAATATTTTGAGATGTGATATGCAGGAGGAGAAGCAAGTCTTGGAAGACGTAGAGTTTAGTTCTTAACATGAATTTGAGGTGCCTGTGGAGATGTCTAGTGGACAATTGGATATACAGGTCTGAATATACAGGAAGACATGTGGTGGGAGTAGATTTAGCAGAAGGTTGGAATCATCAGGAGTAGGTAAGAGCACCCTAGAAAAATATTTGAGTGAGAAGAGATGACAGTGGAAGTTAAGACATGAGGAATACCAATATTGAAGGTAAAGTGGAATTGGAGGAATTTGGGAAGGAGAATGGAAAGGAGCTTTCTCAGAAGTAGGAGATGAACCAGGATAGTAGTGTCATAGAAGCCAAGGAGGGCTAGAGTTTCAATAATAATGATCATGATATTAATAATGATAATAGGGAATAACAGCAGATATTTATATTAATAGTATGTTTGCTATGTACCAGATTTTGTTCTAAGTGCATTACATATATTAACCCATGTATGTAATTCATACAGCAGTCTTATGAGGTGGGTATTATTATCATCCCTATTTTACAGATACAGCCTATTTATTCACAGACTGAATAACTTGCCCAAGCTCATAAGATGGTAAATGGTGGAGCCAAGATTTGAATCTGGGTATTTTGTTTCTGTAGTGGTGCTTTTAACCACAATAGTTTCAGAAGCTTAAGATAGATTATGTAAGATGAATTGTACAGTGTCCATTGGATTTAGCAGCTGGATGGGCCCTTATAGATAGGGGCAGAGACCAGAACAATGACAGTGGTTGGAGAAGGAAGGTGGAGCGGTGGATATAGAAGATGTACTTTTTTAAAATGTGTAGCTGAAAAGAGAAGAGAAATAGGGCAGAATATAGGGGTTGTTTTAGGGAAAAGAGAAGATATACAAGCACACACTTGTACATATATGACAGGAGATACTTAAACATGTTTATAAGCTGAGCAGAAGATCTAGAATAGAATGGGGAAGAGGGGAGCTTGAAGTTGAAACTTTGAGAGAGCATTTGATAAGTCAGGGTCTTTAAGAGGCACAAGCAAATGGGTTGCGGGGTTTAGGTGCAGGAATTAGCTTTTCATATGGTTTGGCTGTGTCCCCACCCAAATCTCATCTTGAATTGTAGTTCCCATAATCCCCATGTGTCATGGGAGGGACCCGGTGGGAGGTAATTGAATCATGGGGGTGGTTACCCCCATGCTGCTATTCTAGATAGTGAGTTCTCACAAGATCTGATGGTTTTATAAGGGGCTTTTCCCTATTTTGCTCAGCACTTCTCCTTACTGCCACCATGTGAAGAAGGACGTGTTTGTTTCCCCTTCTGCCATGATTGTAAGTTTCCTGAGGTCTCCCCAGCCCTGGGGAACTGTGAGTCAGTTAAACCTCTTTCCTTTTATGGGTTTACTCAGTCTTGGGTATGTCTTTATTAGCAGCATGAGAATGGACTAATGTAGCTTTACATGCCAGGAAGAGGAGATGCTTTGTAGAGATGTATGGAAGGCAACACAACATGTGTATGCGGAAGCTTGGGACTGAAGGATTCTGCCTGGTAGCCTTTATTTTCTGTAAAGTAGGTGAAGTCATCTGTTCAGAGAGAAGGGAAAGGTGCTATAGTAGGGGTCTTGGGACAACTGGTGAAGACTGACGATTTTCTGAGAAGTGAGGAAGGAGATGATTTTGTGTCGAATCTCAACACTGCTGCTTACTCTGGACAAGCTTTGTGACCCTGAACAAGTTACATAACTTCTCTGTGCCTCAGTTTCCTTATCTGTAAAATAAGATTATAGTAGTGCCTCCCTCATAGGGTTTTTTTTTTTTTAAAGGATTAAATGGGTTCATGCCTTAAAAATTCTTAGGGCACCGCCTGGTACCTAGTGAGTGCTCAAGACATGTTTGTTCTTATTATTTTGGATCCAACTGTTGGTAAGGATCTAGTTGAGATTATAGGCCACGAAATTATATTTTCCAAATTCCCATAGTTGTGTTTTTTCTCCAGAGGTTCTTAGCATTTTGAGAATAGGACTGCAGAGTGTAGTTGTAGATTAAGAATCTAGGTTTTGCCAAATGGTTGAAATTAAAGAAGCTGAGGTTGGTGTAAGAAGTGGTTGAGGTGGTGAGCACCTTGGATATAGGCTGGATAAGAAGAAAATTAAAAGAGAGGGGTTGGTGGGAAGAAAATAGTGCGGTCCAAACTCAAGGGGTTTTGTCAAGATTAGTTTACTTCTCGGTTTCATCTGATTGATAGCTTAAGGTAAATGATAATTATCCTGAAAAGCATATTAAGAAATGTTTTGGCAATGAGAACACATGGACACAGGGAGGGGAACACCCCACACCAGGGCCTGTCAGGGGGTTGGGGTCAAGGGGAGAGACAGCATTAGGACAAATACCTAATGCATGTGGGGCTTAAAACCTAGATGACGGGCAGCAAACCACCATGGCACACGTATACCTATGTAACAAACCTGCACATTCTGCACATGTATCCCAGAACTTAAAGTAAAAAGGAAAAAAAAAAAAGAAATGTTTTGGGACTGGGTGTGGTGGCTCATGCCTGTAATTCTAGTGCTTTGAGGGACTAGAGTAGGAGTCTTGAAACCAGGAGTTCATAACCAGCCTAGGCAACATATTGAGACTCCATCATACAGAAGATAAAAAATTAGCGGGGCATGGTGGGTGTCGCTTGTAGTCCCAGCTGCTTGGGAGGTTGAGGCTGGAGGATCACTTGAGCCCAGGAGTTTGAAGTTACAGTGAGCTGTGATTGACCACTACTCTCCAGTCTGGGTGGTAGAGCAAGACCCCATCTCTAAAAAAAGAAATGTTTTTGAAACTTACTTTACCATTGGCTTAGGCTGGCTCAGTATTTCCTTACACCTCTTACCATTCTAATGCATTTATTTTATTCATGTGTCATTATTTTTAAGGAAAACTTAGAAGATGAATATGAACCACGAAGAAGAGATCATATTTCTCATTTTATTTTGCGGCTTGCTTATTGCCAGTCGTAAGTATATGTTTATATTCTCACAGTCAAATCTGGTGTCATGGGTTATAAATTGGTGTGTGGTAAGTTGATGTGTTGTGCTAAACATAGGAAAACCCAGAATAACATCAGGAGCCGGTTGATCATGGGGTTGAACACTGACAGTAAATTGTTTGGAAGAAATTGTTTACTTAAAAATATTGAAAAAAATTCTATCGCAGAATTTTGCCTGATGAAACACTTCTTAAGTTTGTGAGATAGACTCTTCATTTGGGATTTTAAATTGGAAAGGATTTTATTGGGAAGAAGGACTTTTGATATTTTTCCTGCAAAAAAATGGTAATATTTATAAGAAACAATTAATGAAACCCACACTTGAATTTGATACAGGTTTTTGGAATTTGAGCTCTATGGGCCAGTTAAATCGAAGATATTTTTGTTTGGTAGTTGGTTTCTTTTAAGTTAATAGTGCCACCCAGAGGTAGTAAAGTTAGTTGCTTTTTTAAAAATTGTTTTTCCCTCACATGTTAATTTTGGTCACATAATTTAGTTATGGCTGTCTTTTTTTAAAATTAATAAGCTTATCAAGTGAGACTCTGGAATTGCTTACTATCCCAAGATAATAATTGAGAAATTACTTACCAGTTTTGGTTCTAGAGTTTTTCTTCTGTAAAAAAGCATATGTAGTTTGTGAAATTTATATAATAAATATGTTGCTGACAATCTGTGAAAATCTCCTAAAAATGTGAAATCATATTTTGCATCCAGTAGGGTAATTATTTTATTATATAACGATAATGCCCATTAGTATCTGCCTTATAAATGAACGTTATTGCTTTTAAATATTGTGGTATATATGTGCATATTAAATTTTGTGAAATTATCAATTATAAAGCCATAAGCAAAGTTTCCTTTGCAAAGTTAATCTGATCAAAGTTGCCTTAAAAAATTTGGTGTCTTTTATTTGGCATTTATAAAGACACCTCAAGCCAAAGGAGTGCCCCATTTCCCCATTTTCTTTTTTTTTTCTCTTTTCTCTCTCTCTCTTTTTTTTTTTTGAGCTAGGGTCTCATGCCATTACCTAGGCTGGAGTACAGTGGTGTGATCTCGGCTCACTGCAGCCTCAACATCCGTGGGCTCAGGTGATCCTCCCACCTCAGCCTCCTGAGGAGCTGGGACTATAGGCACATGCTACCATGCCTGGCTAATTTTTTTGTAGATATGGGGTTTTACCAACTTGCCCAGGCTGGTCTCAAACTTCTGGGCTCGAGCAATCTGCCTGCCTTGACCTCCCAAGGTGCTGGGATTACGGGCATGAACCACGACGCCCAGCCCCTATTTTCTAACATAAAATGAATATTTTGCAGTTACATTAAATGCATGAAGTATTTTATGTTATTTAAAAATAATGCAGCTAGTCTCGAAGCATTCTTGTATTTAATCTTTTTAATTTTTAACACCCCCTATACCTTGTACCCAACCCATCCTTAGAAGATTGTGATATGTGGTATTGATATTCTCCTTACCGTGATAGAGGACTTGCATGTTTTTAACTGCTGTCCATTGGCATCTTGCTGATGTTTGAATATTGTTTTATAAACATTTCTTAGATTTAATAATTACTGGATTTTTAGTTTGTACTCATAATTTCTGTCTTCATTTCAGTGAAGAACTTAGACGCTGGTTCATTCAACAAGAAATGGATCTCCTTCGATTTAGATTTAGTATTTTACCCAAGGATAAAATTCAGGATTTCTTAAAGGATAGCCAATTGCAGTTTGAGGCTGTAAGTATATTTTTGTAGTTATTTCTAATTGTTCTCACCATTCATTTTTCCCTTCTGTCTTAAGTGCTGGTACTAATGTGTAGTGTGTTCTCTTTACATTCTCCAAGTACCTGCCTGAAACAGTAGCTAATAGCTTTGGATAACAATATATCTTTCCTTCTCTATGACTAGAAGAAAAGGACTCCTTAATAACAAAGTCTCACACTTACTTGCTCTGTTAAATGTGTGCTTTATTAAAGCACAAGAAGGTTTAGTTTATAAAGGTTCATCTTTAACCAAAATTTTGTCGGCCAAAATAAAGCTAATAATGTGTTAAACTAGACAAGTGGTAGTTTCTTATTTATAGTCGTGAAATTTAGAGGAGGTAATACTTTATTTAAAAGTCAGTTGTCAGGCGGGGCGTGGTGCCTCACACCTGTAATCCCAGCACTTTGGGAGTCTGTGGTGGGCAGATCACTTGAGGTCAAAAGTGCGAGACCATCTTGACCAACATAGTGAAACCCCCACTCTACAAAAAATACAAAAATTAGCCAGGCATGGTGCTGCGCGTCCATAATTCCAGCTAGTCAGGAGGCTAAGGCATGAAAATTGCTTGAACCCGGGAGGTGGAGGTTGCAATGAGCTGAGATCATGCCGCTGCACTCTAGTCTGGGCGAAAGAGCAAGACTCCGTCTCAAAAAAAAAATAAAAACCATAAATCAAAAATGTCAGTAAGATCTGTATGAATAGTTTTAAAAAATAATTTTGCAGACATATCTGAATGATTTACATATTGTAATTATATAAAAAAAGAAGAGATCTTTGGGACTCATTTAATGGGGATGAGTATTGGAAATAGAATTTGTATCTTTTTTTTTTTTTTTTTTTTTTTTTTGAGATGGAGCCTCACTCTGTCATCCAGGCTGGAATATGCAGTGGCCTGATCTCGGCTCACTGCAACCTCCACCTTCTGGGTTCAAGCGATTCTCCTGCCTCAGCCTCCTGAGTAGCTGTGACTACAGGTGTGTGCCACCATGCCTGGCTAATTTTTGTATTTTTAGAGACGTAGTTTTGCCATGTTGGCCAGGGTGGTCTTGAACCCCCTGACCTCAGGTGATACACCCGCCTCGGCCTCCCAAAGTGCTGGGATTACAGGTGTGAGCCACCGTGCCGGGCCTAGAATTTATGTCTTTTAGGTAGATATATGCCACAATGGGAATGTAGAAACATTATGTTTTGGAAGTTTTAGAGCAGTCAGATGGTAGTAGGACTGGCAGAGACTCTATTTTGTTGTTGGAATGCGTGGCTTAAAGCCAAATAAAATAAAAAAGTAGAAGTTGCAATAGGTGAAAGACATTGTCCTGTCTGACAAGTAGAAGACATATCCACTGTAGCAAGGAACACTATGGAGTATATGAGTTAGGGAAAAGAGACTGTGAAGGGAAGTGAACAAACATTTTGTAGACGTTTAGTGTCAAATATATGCTAGGTAGGCAGTTTCTATAGTTTCTTTCATTTACTTCATGAGGTTTCTAAGTCACATCTACCTTTGCATAGACAGATGTCATGCATGGTACCATCTGAACCAAACCCACTGCATCTTCCACTTTGCTTTTAACTTTGATCCTTGGTGAAGTCCATTATTGCAATTATCAATTACAGTTAATTTATCCATTCCTATTAGAAATAGTTTATTTTTTGCTTTTGTTGAAATTACTGATTTTTAGTAGGTCATAGAGAGAGGTGTCCTTGAGAAGGTCTATTATTTATTCTAGGGCAGCCATCTCCAACCTTTTTGGCACCAGGGACTGGTTTCATGGAAGACAATTTTTCCACGGACTGAGGTCGGGGGATGGGGAGGGGTGTGGATGGTTTTGGGATGAACAGATCCACCTCAGATCATCAGTCATTAGATTATCATAAGGAGTGCACATCTTAGATCTCTCACATGTGCAGTTCATAATAGGGTTCGCACTCCTATAAGAATCTAATGCCTCCACTAATCTGACAGGAAGTGGAGTTCAGGTGGTAATGCTCGCTCACTGCTCACCTCCTGTGCAGCCTGGTTCCTAATGGGCCATGTGCTGGTGCTGGTATTGTGGCCTGAGAGTTGGAGACCCCAGTTGTAGAGTGTCTCAGCGTCACATATACTTTTTTAAATAATAGATTTATTGAGCTAGAATTCACAAATCTTGACATGCACCCTTTTACAATGTATAATTCATTGGTTTTTAGTGTAATTACAGATTGTGCAATCAACACTACTATGTAATTTTAGAACATTTTCACCTAAAAATGAAACCTCTTACCCATTTATGGTCATTCCCTATTCTTCCTCTCCCAACCCTTGGCAACCACTAACCTGCTTTCTGTCTCTGGATTTGTCTATTCTGAACATTTCATATAAATGGAGTCATACAATATGTGGTCCCTTGTGGTTGACTTCTTTTACTTAGCATAATATTTTCAAGTTTCATCTGTGCTGTAGAATGTATCAGTATTAATTTTTTAATTGCCAAATAATATTTTACCTGTTCAGCATTCGAGGGACATTTGGATGGTTTCCATATTTTGGCTATTATGAATAACGCTACAGTGAATATTTGTGTCCAGGTTTTTGTGTGAATATGTTTTCCTTTCTCTCAGGTGTATACCTAGGAGTAGAATTGCTAGGTCATAGGGTGATTCTGTGTTTAAACTTTTGAGGAGCTATCAAAATGTTTTCCAAAGTGGCTGTATCATTATATATCTTACCAGCAGTGGATGAGGGTTCCACTTTCTCCATATCCTCACCAAAAATTGTTACCTTTTAAAAAAATATAGCCATCATAGTGAGTATGAAGTGGTATGTAATTGTGGTTTTGATTTGCATTTCTAATGAAGCTGAATATCTTTTCATATGCTTATTGGTCATTTGTATATCATCTGTGAAGAGATGTCTGTTCAAATCCTTTGCCTGTTTTGTAGTTGAATTGTTTGGCTTTTTATTGTTGAGTGTTCTTTACATATTCTGGATACAAGTCCATTATCAGATATATGATTTACAAATATTTTCCCCCACTCTGAAGGTTGTCTTTTCTTGATGGTATTGTTTGCAACAAAAAGGTTTTTTTTTTTCAGATGAAGTCTAATTTATCTTTTTTTCTTGTCACTTGTGCTTTTGGTATTGAGTCTAAGAAGTCTTTGTCTAATGTGAGGTCATAAAGATTTACTCCTACAGTTTTTTCTGTAAGAGTTTTGTAGTTTTAGCTCTTACGTTTATATCTGTGGTTCATTTTGTGTTAATTTCTATACACGGTGTGAAGTAAGGGTCCAACTTCATTCTTTTGCATGTAGATATCTAGTTGTCCCAGCATCATTTGTTGAAATAACCATTCTTTCCTCATTGAATTGTCTTGGCACACTTGTCAAGTCAGTTGACTGTTGATATGGTTTGATTGTGTCCCCACCCAAATCTCATCTTGAATTGTAGTTCCCATAATCCCCACGTGTCATGGAAAGGACTTGGTGGGAGGTAACTGAATCATGGGGGCAATCTCCCCCATGGTAGTCTCATGATAATAAGTTCTCACTAGATCTGATGGTTTTATAAGGGGCCTCCCCCTTTGCTTGGTTCTCATTCCCTCCCCTGCCGCCCTGTGAAGAGGTGCCATCTGCCATGATTGTAAGTTTCCTGAGGCCTCCCCAGACACGCAGAGGGCTCAGGATTAAACCTCTTTCCTTTATAAATTACCCAGTCTCAGGCAGTTCTTTACAGCAGCGTGAGAACAGACTAATACAACTGTAAATGTAAACATTTATTTCAGTACTCTTAATTTTATTCCATTGATCTGTCTGCTTATCCTTATGTCAGTAGTATGTGGTCTTGATTATTGGTTACTGTGGCTTTATTGTTAAGATTTAAAATTGAGAAGTATGAGTTCTCCAGCTTTGTTCTTTTTTAAGATTGTTTTGGCTGCTCTGGGTTCCTTGCATTTTTTAATGAATTTTGGGATCAACTTGTTAATTTCTACCAAGAAGCTAGCTAGGATTTACACTGGGATTACATTGAATCTGTAGATCAGTTTGGGAGGTATTCTTTTGTAATGATATTAAGTCTTCCAATCCATGAACATGGGATGTCTTTCTATTTATTTAGATCTTCTTTAATTTTTTTCAACAATGTCTTGTAATTTTTTGTTACATTTATACCTAAATATTCTTCAATGTTATTGTAAGTGGAGTTGTTTTCTTCATTTCATTTTTGGAATGTTCATTGCTAGTATATAAAAATCCAGGTGATTTTTGTATATTGATCTTGTATCCTGCAACCTTGCTGAACTTGTTTTTTTTTTTTGTTTTTGTTTTTTTGTTTTTTTGTTTTTTTTTTTTTGAGATGGAGTCTTGCACTGTAGCCGAGGCTGGAGTGCAAGCTCCACCTCCTGGATTCATGCCATTCTCCTGCCTCAGCCTCCCGCCGGCCACCACACCCTGCTAATTTTTTGTATTGAACTTGTTTTTTAATTCTAACAGTTTTATAGTGGATTCATTATGAGATTATGTTTACTACAGAGATATTCTGACTCCTTTCTAATCAGGATGCTTTTTGTTTCTTTATTTTTGCCCAATTGTCCAGCTAGAATCTCCAGTACAGTGTTGAATAGAAGTGGCAATAGCAGTGATCATGATCTCAGGGGAAAGCATTTAGTCTTTCACTATGTTGCATGGTTTTAGCTGTGAGTTTTTTTTATAGATGCCCTTTATCAGATTGAGGAGATTTTCTTCTAATTCTAGTTGAATATTTTCATTAAGAAAGGATGTTGTATTTTGTCAGTGCTTTTCCTGCACCAATTGAGATGATCATGTGGTTTCTGTCCTTTATTAATATGGTGTGTTGGGCCGGGCGCGGTGGCTCACACCTGTAATCCCAGCACTTTGGGAGGCCGAGGTGGGCGGATCACAAGGTCAGGAGTTTGAGACCGGCCTGACCAACATAGTGAAACCCCGTCTCTACTAAAAAAAAAATACCAAAAAATTAGCCAGACGTGGTGGTGCGTGCCTGTAGTCCCAGCTACTCAGGAGGCTGAGGCAGTAGAATTGTTTGAACCCGGGAGGTGGATGTTGCAGTGAGCCGAGATCGTACCACTGCACTCCAGCTTGGGCAAAAGAGTGAGACTTTGTCTCAGAAAAAAAAAAAAAAAAGTTCTGTTACATTAATTGATTTTTGGATGTTACACCAACCTTGCAATCCTGGAATAAATCCCCCTTGGTCATGTTATATAATCTTTTAATATGCTGCTTGGTTTGGTTTGCTAGTATTTTGTTGAGGATTTTTGCATCTATATTGATAAGGGATACTGGTCTGTAGGTTTTTTGTGATGTCTATATCTGGTTTTGGTATTAGGATCATATTGGCCTCATAGAATGAGTTGGGAAATGTTTCCTCCTCTTCCGTTTTTTGGAGGAGGTTGTGAAGGATTGGTTTAAATGTTTGGTAGAATTTACCAGTGAATTAATCTGGGCCTGGGCTTCTCTTTGTGGGTCATTAAAATTACCAATTCATTCTCTTTACTTATTATGAATCTATTTAAGTTTTATATTACTTTTTGAGTCAGTTTTAGTAATTTGTGTCTTTTTTGGAATTTATTCACTTTATCTAAGTTATCTAATTGATTCATGCAGTTATTCATAGTTTTCTCTTATCCTTTTGATTTCTTTAAGAAAATAAAAGGATTGGTGATGATGTCTTCTCTTTCCTTCCTGATTTTAACAATTAGAGTCTTCTCTTTTTTTTTGTCATCTAGGTAGAGGTTTGTCAGTGTTACTGGATTTGTTCAAAGAACCAACTTTTGGTTTCATTGATTTTTCTGTGTTATTCTCTAGACTCTATTTCACTAGTTTTTACTACAGTCTTTAGTATTTCCTTCCTTCTGCTTGCTTTGGTTTGGTTTGCTCTTTTCTTCTAGTTTCTTAAGGTAGGAGTTTAGGGTATTTATCTGAGATATTTTTTCTTTTTATATGTAGACATTTACAGCTATAAATTTTCCTGTAAGCACTACTTCAGATGCAAACCATGAGTTTTTGTATGCTGTGTTTTCTTTTTCATTTATTTCAAAGTATTCTTTTTTACTTTGACACATTGATTAGAAGTGTTTAATTTCCACGTTTTTGAATTTCCTGAACTTCTGTTACTGGTTTTAATTTAATTCCATTTTAGTTTGAGAATATATTTTATATGACTGCAATCTTTTAAAATTTATTGAATTTTATTTTATGACCTAGCATATGGTCTGTTCTGGAGGATGTTCCATGTGTGCTTGTGAAGAATGTGTATCTGCTATTCTTGGTTGGAGTGTTCTGTAGATACAGTCTGTAAGATCTGGTTGGTCTATAGTGCTTTTCAAAGCTTCGGTTTCCTTGTTCATCTTCTGCCTATTTGTTCTATCCATTATTGAAAGTGGGGTACTAAAGTCTTCAACTGTTATTGTTTATTTATTATCTTTAATTCTGTCAATTTTTGCTTCATTTATTTTGGGGCTCTCTTGTTAGTTGCATATATGTTTATAATTGTTAAATCTTCTTGATGGGTTGACCCTTTTATCATTATGAAATGTTCCTCTCTAGTAACATTTTTTTGTTGTTGTTTTAAGTTATGTTTGTTTGACATTAGCATAGCCATTCCAGATCTTTTATGGTTGTTGTTTACGTGATATGTCTTTTTCTATTCTTTTTATTTTCATCCTTTATGTGTGTTTGAATCTAAAGTGTGTTTGTTGTAAATATCATATAGTTGGATCATCTTCTTTTCTTTTTTATTCATTTTGGAAGTCTCTGACTTTTGCATGGATTGTTTTATCCATTTATGTTTAATTACTGATAACTTAGTATTTCCGTGTGCCATCTATGTGTTTCCTATGTCTTAAGGTTTTTTTGTTTCTGTATTTCTCCATTACTGCCTTCTTTGTATTAAAATGGTATTTTCTAGTGTACCATTTTAATTCCTTTGCTGTTTATTTTACTGTATTTTTTGAGTTATTTTCTTCGTGGTTTCCCTTAGAATTACAATTATATTTTATTTTAAAACAATCTAGTTGGGATTAGCATTAAGTTAATTTCAATAGTGTACAAACTTTTGTTCCCATATGCTCTGTTCCCTACTCCCTGCCATTGTCCTAGTATGGTCATACAAATTATTTCTTAATATATCAACAGAGGTAAACTTTTTGTGTTCTAGATTGTATGAAAAATGTATTTATAATACTGTCAAACTTGAGTGTAGTTTGCCTTGGTATACAGGCAAATACCTGTATGTTGGGAATATTTTTTATTGGCATTTTGGAGATATTGCTTGCTGAACCTTTTAGCTTCTAGAGTTGCTCTTGAGAAGCCTGATTTCATTTTGACTTCTTATTCTTTGCATGTAACTTTGTGTCCTTTGCCAGTCCCACTCTCTTGTGTAGTGAACTTTCATGGCGATGTCTGCACCTTTTTTCACTTTTTTGGGTTGGGAACTTGGTGGACTCTTTTAATCTGAAGATTTGATTCTTCAGTTAGAAAATTTCTTTTTATTATTGCTTTAATAATTTCTTCTATGTTCTCTTTTTATAACCTCTTGTTAGGTGGAATTTATATTTTCTGGATTGGTACTCTTATTTTCTTTTCGGTCCTGACATTCAATCTTTGTGTTTTTATTTTATTTTCTGAAAACTTTCATCAACTGTTTTCTCAATTTTCTATTTATTTATTTTTCCCTCCTGTGTTTAATTTTTTTCTTTTAAATTTACTTAAAAATTGAATATAAAATTGTATGTATTCACTGTAAAATATAATGTTTTGAAGGGTACATTGTGGAATGATTACATCTAGCTAATTAACAAATGTATTACATCAACAGTTATTTTTGTGGTGAAAATACTTAATATCCACTCACTTAGCATTTTTCATCAATACAGTTTGTTGTCATTAACTGTAGACATCATGTTGTACAATGGGTCTCTTGAACTTAATACTCTTAACTGTGATTATGCATCCTTTAACAGACATCTCCCTAACCTCTTTTCCTCCCTAACCACCCCAGCTACTGGTAATCACTATTTTACCCTCTATTTCTATGAGATCAACTTTTTTAGATTCCACATATGAGTGAGATCATGACATATTTGTCTTTCTGTGCCTGGCTTTATTTACTTAACGTAATATCCCTGTTTCATTCATGGTGTTGCAAGTGGCAGGATTTTCATTTTTTTTTATGACTCAATATTATTCCGTTATGTATATATATTGCATTTAAAAAAATCCATGTATCTATCGGTGGACACTTAGGTTGATTCCGTATCTTGGCTATTGTGAATAGTGCTGCAGTAAATATGGGTGTGCAGATGTCTTCAGCATACTGATTTCATTTCCTTCAGATACATACCCAGTAATAGATTTTGCTGGAACATATGGTGGTTCTATTTTTAATTTTTTGAGGAACTTTCATATTGTTTTTCATTTCTACAAAAAATAAAAAATAGCTGGGTGTAGTGGTGCACACCTGTAATCCAGCTACTTGGGAGGCTGAGGTGGGATGATTACTTGAGCCCAGGTGTTGGAGGCTACAGTGGACTATGATCTGTAGCCCACCCTGGGCTACAGAACAAGACCCTGTCTCTCAAAGAAATAAGAGGATAATAACGATTTTCACCTCACAGATTAGTGAGGTTTAAATGAGGTAGTGCGTATAGAGTGCTTAGTACTGTGCATGGAATATATGCTGGGTAGTAATATTACGGAGGATACAGAAGCAGCATATGCCTGTATTGTGAAGAAGTTCGGAGTCAATTAGATTGATATGTTTTTACTGCAATTAAAAAAATGGTTTTGGAATAGGAACAGCTCCGGTCTACAGCTCCCAGCGTGAGCGACACAGAAGATGGGTGATTTCTGCATTTCCATCTGAGGTACCGGGTTCATCTCACTAGGGAGTGCCAGACAGTGGGCGCAGGTCAGTGGGTGCGCGCACCGTGCACGAGCCGAAGCAGGGCGAGGCATTGCCTCACTCGGGAAGTGCAAGGGGTCAGGGAGTTCCCTTTCCTAGTCAAAGAAAGGGGTGACAGATGGCACCTGGAAAATCGGGTCACTCCCACCCGAATACTGTGCTTTTCCGACAGGCTTAAAAAACGGCGCACCAGGAGATTATATCCCGCACCTGGCTCGGAGGGTCCTACGCCCACGGAGTCTCGCTGATTGCTAGCACAGCAGTCTGAGATCAAACTGCAAGGCAGCAGCGAGGCTGGGGGAGGGGCGCCCGCCATTGCCCAGGCTTGCTTAGGTAAACAAAGCAGCCAGGAAGCTGGAACTGGGTGGAGCCCACCACAGCTCAAGGAGGCCTGCCTGCCTCTGTAGGCTCCACCTCTGGGGGCAGGGCACAGACAAACAGAAAGACAGCAGTAACCTCTGCAGACTTAAACGTCCCTGTCTGACAGCTTTGAAGAGAGCAGTGGTTCTCCCAGCACCCAGCTGGAGATCTGAGAATGGGCAGACTGCCTCCTCAAGTGGGTCCCTGACCCCTGACCCCCGAGCAGCCTAACTGGGAGGCACCCCCCAGCAGGGGCAGACTGACACCTCACATGGCCAGGTACTCCAACAGACCTGCAGCTGAGGGTCCTGTCTGTTAGAAGGAAAACTAACAAACAGAAAGGACAAACACACCAAAAACCCATCTGTACACCATCATCAAAGACCAAAAGTAGATAAAACCACAAAGATGGGGAAAAAACAGAACAGAAAAACTGGAAACTCTGAAAAGCAGAGCGCCTCTCCTCCTCCAAAGGAACGCAGTTCCTCACCAGCAACGGAACAAAGCTGGACGGAGAATGACTTTGACGAGCTGAGAGAAGAAGGCTTCAGATGATCAAATTACTCCGAGCTACGGGAGGACATTCAAACCAAAGGCAAAGAAGTGGAAAACTTTGAAAAAAATTTAGAAGAATGTATAACTAGAATAACCAATACAGAGAAGTGCTTAAAGGAGCTGATGGAGCTGAAAACCAAGGCTCGAGAACTACGTGAAGAATGCAGAAGCCTCAGGAGCCGATGCGATCAACTGGAAGAAAAGATATCAGCAATGGAAGATGAAATGAATGAAATGAAGCGAGAAGGGAAGTTTAGAGAAAAAAGAATAAAAAGAAATGAGCAAAGCCTCCAAGAAATATGGGACTATGTGAAAAGACCAAATCTGCGTCTGATTGGTGTACCTGAAAGTGACGGGGAGAATGGAACCAAGTTGGAAAACACTCTGCAGGATATTATCCAGGAGAACTTCCCCAATCTAGCAAGGCAGGCCAACATTCAGATTCAGGAAATACAGAGAACGCCACAAAGATACTCCTCGAGAAGAGCAACTGCAAGACACATAGTTGTCAGATTCACCAAAGTTGAAATGAAGGAAACAATGTTAAGGGCAGCCAGAGAGAAAGGTTGGGTTACCCTCAAAGGGAAGCCCATCAGACTAACAGTGGATCTCTCGGCACAAACTCTCCAAGCCAGAAGAGAGTGGGGGCCAATATTCAACATTCTTAAAGAAAAGAATTTTCAACCCAGAATTTCATATCCAGCCAAACTAAGCTTCATAAGTGAAGGAGAAATAAAATCCTTTACAGACAAGCAAATGCTGAGAGATTTTGTCAACACCAGGCCTGCCCTAAAAGAGCTCCTGAAGGAAGTGCTAAACATGGAAAGGAACAACTGGTACCAGCCACTGCAAAATCATGCCAAAACGTAAAGACCATTGAAATTAGGAAGAAACTGCATCAACTAACGAGCAAAATAACCAGCTAACATCACAATGACAGGATAAAATTCACACATAACAATATTAACTTTAAATGTAAATGGACTAAATGCTCCAATTAAAAGACACAGACTGGCAAATTGGATAAAGAGTCAAGACCCATCAGTGTGCTGTATTCAGGAAACCCATCTCACGTGCAGAGACACACATAGCCTCAAAATAAAAGGATGGAGGAAGATCTACCAAGCAAATGGAAAACAAAAAAAGGCAGGGGTTGCAATCCTAGTCTCTGATAAAACAGACTTTAAACCAACAAAGATCAAAAGAGACAAAGCACGCCATTACATAATGGTAAAGGGATCAATTCAATAAGAAGAGCTAACTATCCTAAATATATATGCACCCAATACAGGAGCACCCAGATTCATAAAGCAAGTCCTGAGTGACCTACAAAGAGACTTAGACTCCCACACATTAATAATGGGAGATTTTAACACCCCACTGTCAACATTAGACAGATCAACAAGACAGAAAGTCAACAATGATACCCAGGAATTGAACTCAGCTCTGCACCAAGCAGACCTAATAGACATCTACAGAACTCTCCACCCCAAATCAACAGAATATACATTTTTTTCAGCACCACACCACACCTATTCCAAAATTGACCACATACTTGGAAGTAAAGCTCTCCTCAGCAAATGTAAAAGAACAGAAATTATAACAAACTATCTCTCAGACCACAGTGCAATCAAACTAGAACTCAGGATTAAGAATCTCACTCAAAACCACTCAACTACATGGAAACTGAACAACCTGCTCCTGAATGACTACTGGGTATATAATGAAATGAAGGCAGAAATAAAGATGTTCTTTGAAACCAACGAGAACAAAGACACAACATACCAGAATCTCTGGGACGCATTCAAAGCAGTGTGTAGAGGGAAATATATAGTGCTAAATGCCCACAAGAGAAAGCAGGAAAGATCCAAAGTTGACACCCTAACATCACAATTAGGATTAGAAAAGCAAGAACAGACAAATTTAAAAGGTAGCAGAAGGCAAGAAATAACTAACATCAGAGCAGAACTGAAGGAAATAGAGACACAAAAATCCCTTCAAAAAATTAATGAATCCAGGAGCTGGTTTTTTGAAAGGATCAACAAAATTGATAGACCGCTAGCAAGACTAATAAAGAAAAAAAGAGAGAGGAATCAAATAGACGCAATAAAAAATGATAAAGGGGATATCACCACTGATCCCACAGAAATACAAACTACCATCAGAGAATACTACAAACACCTCTATGCAAATAAACTAGAAAATCTAGAAGAAATGGGTAAATTCCTCGACACATACACTCTCCCAAGACTAAACCAGGAAGAAGTTGAATCTCTGAATAGACCAATAACAGGATCTGAAATTGTGGTAATAATCAATAGCTTACCAACCAAAAAGAGTCCAGGACCAGATGGATTCACAGCTGAATTCTACCAGAGGTACAAGGAGGAACTGGTACCATTCCTTCTGAAACTAGTCCAATGAATAGAAAAAGAGGGAATCCTCCCTAACTCATTTTATGAGGCCAGCATCATCCTGATACCAAAGCCGGGCAGAGACACAACCAAAAAAGAGAATTTGAGACCAATATCCTTGATGAACATTGATGCAAAAATCCTCAATAAAATACTGGCAAACCGAATCCAGCAGCACATCAAAAAGCTTATCCACCATGATCAAGTGGGCTTCATCCCTGGGATGCAAGGCTCGTTCAATATACGCAAATCAATAAATGTAATCCAGCATATAAACAGAAAGACAAAAACCACATGATTATCTCAATAGATGCAGAAAAGGCCTTTGACAAAATTCAACAACGCTTCATGCTAAAAACTCTCAATAAATTAGGTATTGATGGGACGTATTTCAAAATAATAAGAGCTATCTATGACAAACCCACAGCCAATATCATACTGAATGGGCAAAAACGGGAAGCATTCCCTTTGAAAACTGGCACAAGACAGGGATGCCCTCTCTCACCACTCCTATTCAACATAGTGTTGGAAGTTCTGGCCAGGGCAATTAGGCAGGAGAAGGAAATAAAGGGTATTCAATTAGGAAAAGAGGAAGTCAAATCGTCCCTGTTTGCAGATGACATGATTGTATATCTAGAAAACAACATTGTCTCAGCCCAAAATCTTCTTAAGCTGATAAGCAACTTCAGCAAAGTCTCAGGATACAAAATCAATGTACAAAAATCACAAGCATTCTTATACACCAACAACAGACAAACAGAGAGCCAAATCACGAGTGAACTCCCATTCACAATTGCTTCAAAGAGAATAAAATACCTAGGAATCCAACTTACAAGGGATGTGAAGGACCTCTTCAAGGAGAACTACAAACCACTGCTCAAGGAAATGAAAGAGGATACAAAGAAATGGAAGAACATTCCATGCTCATGGGTAGGAAGAATCAATATCGTGAAAACGGCCATACTGCCCAAGGTAATTTACAGATTCAATGCCATCCCCATCAAGCTGCCAATGACTTTCTTCACAGAATTGGAAAAAACTACTTTAAAGTTCATATGGAACCAAAAAAGAGCCCGCATCGCCAAGTCAATCCTAAGCCAAAAGAACAAAGCTGGAGGCAGCACACTACCTGACTTCAAACTATACTACAAGGCTACAGTAACCAAAACAGCATGGTACTGGTACCAAAACAGAGATATAGATCAATGGAACAGAACAGAGCCCTCAGAAATAACGCTGCATATCTACAACTATCTGATCTTTGAAAAACCTGAGAAAAACAAGCAATGGGGAAAGGATTCCCTATTTAATAAATGGTGCTGGGAAAACTGGCTAGCCATATGCAGAAAGCTGAAACTGGATCCCTTCCTTACACCTTATACAAAAATCAATTCAAGATAGATTAAAGACTTAAACGTTAGACCTAAAACCATAAAAACCCTAGAAGAAAACCTAGGCTTTACCACTCAGGACATAGGCATGGGCAAGGACTTTATGTCTAAAACACCAAAAGCAATGGCAACAAAAGCCAAAATTGACAAATGGGATCTAATTAAACTAAAGAGCTTCTGCACAGCAAAAGAAACTACCATCAGAGTGAACAGGCAACCTACAAAATGGGAGAAAATTTTCGCAACCTACTCATCTGACAAAGGGCTAATATCCAGAATCTACAATGAACTCAAACAAATTTATGAGGAAAAAAAAACAACCCCATCAAAAAGTGGGCAAAGGACATGAACAGACACTTCTCAAAAGAAGACATTTATGCAGCCAAAAAACACATGAAAAAATGCTCATGATCACTGGCCATCAGAGAAATGCAAATCAAAACCACAATGAGATACCATCTCACACCAGTTAGAATGGCAGTCATTAAAAAATCAGGAAACAACAGGTGCTGGAGAGGATGTGGAGAAATAGGAACACTTTTACACAGTTGGTGGGACTGTAAACTAGTTCAACCATTGTGGAAGTCAGTGTGGCGATTCCTCAGGGATCTAGAACTAGAAGTACCATTTGACCCAGCCATCCCATTACTGGGTATATACCCAAAGGACTATAAATCATGCTGCTATAAAGACACATGCACACATATGTTTATTGCGGCACTATTCACAATAGCAAAGACTTGGAACCAACCCAAATGTCCAACAATGATAGACTGGATTAAGTAAATGTGGCACATATACACCATGGAATACTATGCAGCCATAAAAAATGATGAGTTCATGTCCTTTGTAGGGACATGGATGAAATTGGAAATCATCATTCTCAGTAAACTATCACAAGAACAAAAAACCAAACACCACATATTCTCACTCATAGGTGGGAATTGAACAATGAGAACACATGGACACAGCAAGGGGAACATCACACTCTGGGGACTGTTGTGGGGTGGGGGTAGGGGTGAGGGATAGCATTAGGAGATATACCTAATGCTAAATGACGAGTTAGTGGGTGCAGCACACCAGCATGGCACATGTATACATATGTAACAAACCTGCACATTGTGCACATGTACCCTAAAACTTAAAGTATAATAATAATTTAAAAAAATGGTGTTGAGTCTTTTTGTTTTAGGAAACAGGAATTTATGGGAAATGTATGCAGTTTTAACAAGAGTGTTGGTGTTTAAAATTACTCTAGTTGCTTCTAGTCTGTTTGCCATATTTTATTTATTTATAAATTTATATCCTGTTTCACTTTGCTAATCATTTGAGGTGCATTATAATGAACCTGTGCATTAAAGTAAGATGCATAAATTTGGATAAACTTGAAAGATTGGCTGAAGTGATGATTAATATCCGTATGTATACATCCCAGTGTGGTGTTATACAGCTTCTAAAGGGAGCAGTAACTTTGCCTTCTTGTGTGACTATTTTGATTTTTCTAGTTCAGTGATTCTCAGTGGGGGGATAGGATGGAGAGGTAGTCCTCCTAGGGTGTTTATTAGAACGTCGGTGGAGGTTAGTATAGAGTATAGAAAACATTATGCCTTATGTTTTTGAAATATAAACCATAGAATGTAAAGCTTGATCAAGTATTTGTGGCTGATGGGGATTCATGGAAGATAGAGTAACAAAGTATTGCAGAGGGCTTGACAGAATAACCATTCCCGTGATAGTCTGCAATCACTTTCCAGGCAGAGACCTTTTCCCATCTTTTTCATGGACTCTCCCATGGCATCTGATACTGGTAATTAAGGCACTTGAATTCAGGTGCTGTTGATTAGCTTGTCCCCAGGTCTCTGTAAGCTCTTTCCATTTCATTGTAGGCTTTCCCAATTTTTATCATTTCATTAATAGGAACATGCACACTTTCATCACTTTGGTTAGAATATTTAGTTTGCATTTGAAAACTGCTATAGCTAGTCAGGTATCAGTGATGCTTTTAGACTCATGACAAAGCAAGGTTTGGGGAAAAGTTACTAGCATTTGTTTCATGAGGTGGTGTCTGATGTGTGACCTGCTGCCTAAGTCAGGTGCTGCTGCATAAGTTGAGGTGGAAGGAAACAGCAGGGAGTGGGCAGCCACGGGGCCATCTTGTTTGTCACAGAAGCTGGATTGTTGGCACACATGTCTTTGAGTCAACCTGGACTTAAAGTGCTTGTGTGCTGTGTTTGTGTGCATTTCTCTGTCTTTTCGGTTTCCTCAATGCTGCAGTTGCTTTTATGTTGATCTACTTCTGTAAAATAAATATATTTTTACCTTAGGAGGAGATGCAGTGTTATACCTGAGTTGTATTGTGTCCTTCGATGGAGAAATATGTACATAAAAAGGGATCATTAATTTCTGGTGTTCTATTACTGACTTGGGCAGTGCATTGATACTTTTTTAGTCTATACTGGGTTTCTGGTGGATAGTAGATTCTGAATCCTTATCATGTAGTATAGGAAGCCTTAATATGAAGTGTTCAAAAAGGAAACTGATATTTTTCATTCTTTGACCTATATGTAAATAAATTGGATTTTAAATCTGAAATTTCTAAGGCGTTTCAATGAGTAAATATTGCTGTCCATGGTGACTATTTTGCATCTCCCACTGCTGAGTTGATTGACTTAACCTTGGTCACATTAAAGGTGAATGGGTAAGGTTAAACAGATTCTATTAATGTTTCTTCAGTTGGCCAGTTAGGGAAAGGTCAGCTTTGGCAGCTGTCAGCCTTACAGACAAAGGGTTTCTGTGCTCTCGCAGTCTAGAGTCTGACAGCAGCTTCTAATTTACTTGGATGCTTTTTAAAACCTCCTTAAGACAGTCAAGAAATATTTCTTATTGGCTTTGCAATACCAGTGGGTCTAATGGTAGGATGCTTTTCATTAGAGTACTACAGAATGGCAGGGACAGTGAAAATGAGCATTCTTAAAGATGTGGAAGAATATTCTGTGTGTCACAAATGATGACTCTACCTCATATTAAAAAGACCTAGTGTTCAGTTGCTATTTATGTTCAGGGAAGTGAGGGCTTTTGGGTGAAGGCAAGTGAAGTTGGTAACCTCGTTGCCTCACTAAAAACAAGTACACGTAAAACTTTGAATTACTTCTGTTTATTTAAAAGTAGTTTTTCTTATCCTGAGCCTGACATCTAAAATTTGTTTCTCATCCCTTTTAGTTTAAAGCCTTAATTTCTTTTATCTTAGAAATTATTTCATGTCATTCTTGGTTGGTAATTACTTTTCAGTGAGGATGAATTCAAGTTTAATTTGTCATTTGTTATTGAAAATGTCAATTATGAATTTATTAGGAGCCTTTGGAGGCTTTTCTCCAGTTAACATTGGAACATTGAGTTTACGTTGATTTAATAGTTTTAGGTGTATTGAATTTTAAAATACTTTTGGTATTCTGTCTTGATTTCTGAGATACTGCAAGTTGGCCTTAAATAGTCATAGTTTTTTGATCATTTTGGCCCTTACTGTGTTGTTTTTATTGTTTATTGGTATAGTTTGGGTTGTCATAGTTCGTTTCGAATGTGTATTCATTATCATGACCTACTCCATTTCTATTATGTAAAATATGAACATCCCATGCATTGATATACATGACTCTCTTTATACCTACCCTCTTGGGTCTCAAGTTATTATAAGCCTATTAACAAGTTGCAAAGCAATTTTTGTGTGATGCCTGCAAAATAGAGAGCTGTGTGTACCTTTTTATATCTTTTGACACAGAATGAACTTTGATACAGCCAATAAGGAGTCTGGTGGAACAGCTGAGACAGGACACACAGATGTAACAGTAGAACAGGCTAGAGAACACATGTGTTTGATAAGCCTGGAAGCTTTTCACAGGGCTTCTGGCAAGCCGTTGACTATGACAGGAGTGAAAATGGAGCCTGAAGAAGAGTGAAGTGGGATGGTAAAACACACACTCTCAAACACTCTTAGTGGAAATTACGTAAAAGGAATTAGGAGGAACGGGATTAATAATCAGATGAAGAGTGTTAAAGAAAAAAAATTATTCATGTCATTTGTTAAGGATAGTAAGGAAGACTTTATTCAAAGGGGCTACTATAATAGGTTTTTGTAGTAGGGGAGAGAGAGAAGCTGAAGTTGGAATATGATAGGATAGGTGGGGATTTGGAGCAGGGGTCAGGGTGGATGGAAAATTATTAAGAGGTAGTAAAGTGACCTAGGGAATTTTGCTGAAGGCAGACCAGGATCATAAGATATTAAAGATGGTCAGACGAAGGGTGGGGGATTTTCCCTAAACTTACTTAGCAGGATTCTCACTGAAACTGAATTAGCAGGCCTTATCAAGAAGAGGTTTCAGGAGCTTGACAAGAGTTAGGTCAAGGAGAGAGTCTTTGTCAAGTGTCAAACATAACTTCTGAATAGAGAAATAAATTGTTTTATGTTCCAAGGCTGTGAAGTAGGCAAGATTGACAGTCCCAGGCAGGGTACTCTCTGAGTGTTGAGTGAATGTTTAATGTCTAGAGAAAATACTAACTGAATTCAAAAGATTTATCTCAATTCTGTTTCATAAACACTAGACATCTTTAAGATGAGTATAGCAAAATTGAGTAATTATTTTTTTTCAAGGTTAAATATTAGATAATAGGTATATGTTATATATGAAATGAGCTTTTCTATTGAGCTAGATTTGAGGGATTATGCTGCCTTGCAAACTTTTATTTGTTCTGTTTCTAGGGAAGTTTATGATTTAGAAAGAGCACTGTGTATTTCTGTTACAATTGAATACCTTTCAAAATGATTTAAATGAAGGCATTAACACAGGGCTTCCTTTTTAAAAGTAAACACTACAAGTATAATACTTTTGTTCTCATAGTGGTTTTTGGCATCAAATTATTATGGAAGCCAACCTGGTATTATTTTATGTATATTTATTGGGCAGTTACAGTAAAATATTGATACATTTTATATTTGGAGAATGGAGAAAAGTTTATTAAGTTTTCTAGTTAGTTGAGGCCTAACCATTTATGCATATAGTTGTAAAAATACACCATGGCAGATGGTCTTAGTGACAATATTTTAGAGTTCACAGAATTTGGGTTTTTCTAATCAACCTACAAAATTAGATTCTGCTCATGATAATATGGTTTAAGCCTAGAGATGCTATGGCTAAATGTGAAACTTCAAGCTGAATTACCCTTAAAGGCTAAAATTATCATATGCAGAAATTTCCAAAATGACTTGTGAAAGTCATTTCTCTTTTTTAAAGTTTTCATATAGCTTTTGAATATAGGACTCTTTGTATTCTTATTGTTGATGGCTTTCCATGCCTATAACTTTTGCCCTTGAAAAAAAAAGTATGTCTTTAAATGAGCTGAAGTTTCCCCCACACAGAGCTATGTCCTATTTGTTTTATAATGATATATATCTATTTCAATTTTATTAATTTTTTTTTTTGAGACAGGGTTTCACTCCATTGCCTAGCTTGAGTGCAGTGACGTGATCTTGGCTCACTGCAACCTTTGCCTCCTGAGTTCAAGGGTTTCTCTTGCCTCAGCCTCCCTAATAGCTGGAATTGCAGGCATGCGCCACCAGGCCCAGCTGATTTGTGTATTTTTTGTGTTTTTAGTAGAGACGGGGTTTTGTCATGTTGGCCAGGCTGGTCTCAAACTCCTGGCTTCAAGTGATTCATCCACCTCAGCCTCCCAAAGTTCTGGGTCTACAGGCGTGAGCCACCATGCCTGATATATATATATGTGTGTGTGTGTGTGTGTGTGTGTGTGTGTGTACATACATATATATTTATATCCTCAAAGAATGAAATTAATTACACTAAATATAATTTTCAGTGTTAAATATTCTCTGTAGTTTACCATTTACATTATGGAATGTAGTTTCCAGAAAGGGGTTCTGATCCAGACACCAAGAGAGGGTTCTTGGATCTTGTGCAAGAAAGAATTTGGGATGAGTCCGTAGAGTAAAGTGAAAGCAAGTTTATTAAGAAAGTAAAGAAACAAAAGAATGGCTACTGCATAGGCAGAGTAGCCCTACGGGCTGCTGGTTGGCTATTTTTAAGGTTATTTCTTGATCATATGCTAAACAAGAGGTGGATTATTCTTGAGTTTTCTAGGGAAGAGATGGACAATTCCCGGAACTCTGGGTTTCTCCCCTTTTTAGACTATATAGGGTAATTTTTGGATGTTGCCATGGCATTTGTAAACTGTACTGGTGCTGGTGGGAGTATCTTTTAGCATGCTAATGGATTATAATTAGCATATAGTGAGCAGTAAGGATGACCAGAGGTCACTTTTGTGGCCATCTTGGTTTTGGTGGGTTTTGGCTGGCTTCTTTAATGCATCCTGTTTTATCAGCAGGGTCTTTAGGACCTTTTGTCTTGTCATAGCCAGTCTTGCTGACCCTTTGTCTCATCCTGTGCCTGAGAATGCCTAACCTCTTGGGAATGCAGCCCATCAAGTGCGAGCCTCATTTGATCCAGCCTTTGTTCAAGATGGAGTTGCTCTCGCTCTACTAGAGTCTTTTGGCAGTGTTACTCATGGTTTCTGAAGGTGTTCTGAAAAAAGATACTGAGCTTTTAAATGTATACTTTTTTTTTTTGAGACGGAGTCTCACTCTGTCGCCCAGGCTGGAGTCCAATGGCATGATCTCAGCTCACTGCAACCTCCTCCGCCTCCTGGGTTCAAATGATTCTCCTGCCCCAGCCTCCCGAGTAGCTGGGATTACAGTCGCCCACCACCATGCCTGGCTAATTTTTGTATTTTTGGTAGAGACGGGGTTTCACTATATTGGTCAGGCTGGTCTTGAACTCCTGACCTTGTGACCCGCCTACCTCGGCCTCCCAAAGTGTTGGGATTACAGGCGTGAGTCACCACGCCCAGCCATGTATACATTTTTAAAAATTCCATAATCTTTATAATCTTTCCCTCTTTCCTCCAAGTTCCCTGAAAAGTTAATTCTTTTTGGCTGAAGTCTTGTGTCATGGTCTAGTTCAGAGTCTAGGTCAGATTGCCTTATCCTAGGTCTTTTGGATGAGAATAAGAACCAGGGATGTGGAGGGCAAATGGAGTTGTAAAGGTAATCATTTTGTGTTCTCAGTCTTTGAGTGGCTTAATCTGAGTTACAAAGGGAGGAGGAAGTAGTTGCGTAACAAATCCATTTGGTCCAGGCCCTGTGAATATATCCATTCTGCTACTCCCCACCCCTCTGAAGGCATACAAAGGACAACAGCACAGTTAATACCCCTATTCTGGACTTGTCTCCATTTATTCTCTGCTTGCTTCTGTTTGTTTATCTCCATGACTTTCAAATACCTTGTGCTGTACTTCGGCTATTGATACCTGCCTCCTGTCTGGCTTTGTTTCCTGTTCATCTCTGGTCAAAGTGTGCTCTCCCCATTCCAGGAGAATCCTTCTGTTATCTTGGAGCTTAATAGCCAAATATATTCCAATTCCCTTTAGTTGGTCCAAGGAATAAGGCTTCTGTATGAATATTGGAAAACCCAGAGGACTGTTTCCAGACTTGGATGGGGTCCTTGTTTTCTAAAGGAGGAATATTTATTGATGACTGTATAAGTAGTGGACTTATTAAGGTTTAGATTTATCTGGTGATATAAGGAGACTGAGGAGAGATTATCACTAATAGCTAACATTTGTAATGTGTTTGTTAAGTGCCAGGCACTTTGGTAAATACTTCACATGGGTAAAAAAATTTAACTTCTTCTTCTGTGGTAGAGACAGTTTTGCTCTGTCGCCTAGGCTGGAGTGCAGTGGTGTGATCACAGCTCACTGCAGCCTTGAACTCTTGGGCTGAAGTGATCCTCCCACCTCAGCCTCCCAAGTAGCTGGGAATACAGGCGCATGCCACCCTGCCTGGCTAATTTTTTCTTTTATAGAAATAAGTTCTTACTGTGTTGCCTAGGCTGGTCTTGAACTTCAGGCCTTAAGTGATCCTTGCAACTTGGCCTCCCATAGTGCTGGAATTACAGGTGTGAGTCACTGTGACCAGCCAGGTTTATGTAATTTAATCCTCACAACAGCTCCATGAGGAAACTGAAGCTCAGACAGGTTAAGTAACTTTCCTTAAAATTAGTCTTCTAAATATTTAGAGATGTATAAGTCACAAAGCATGTTACTAAATATATGAGTAGATTTCTTCACAGCTTAACTATTGAAATGAAGTGGAATAGATGCTGACATTTAAGGTGACAGGGCCCATCAAAAGTGCTATACAAACACAGGTGTGAGTTTAGAGATTTACATTAGTTTCGGAAATTAAAGCATTAACTATAATTTTACTGAGATGTTTCATTTTAGCTGACAGTTGTTGGCAGGAATGGAAACCAAATATATTAAATATACCATTGGTAGCTTTCTCGGTATAATATTGCCATCTCTAGGGAAAACATTATATTCATCCAACTTAGTCGTTGAGGGGTTTGTTTTCTAGCCCGTAGTTTTTCTATGCCCTTTTTGTTTTTCTTCTCTGCTACCTTTTGTTTATCTTTTTAAAAACATTTTTCAGATCACATTGTATATTTTAGTTCATGTTCAACAATTAACTCATGTATAATATTCAAAGATCAGTGTAAATCAAAATCCAGGCAGTAGGTAAAAAATATATTTTTAAAATTTTAAATTAAGTTTTATCAGGCAGTAGATTTTGTACTTGAAGTGGGAGTCATTATTTTAATAGGCCAGGAAAAGAAAAGTTATGGACTTGAGTTGGTTTTTTTTACTATCTCACAAGAGAGATGCCATAGAGGAAAGCCTACTGTTTCAAACTGAGCCTTTCACAAGGATGGCTTGTTGGTTCAGTCCAGTAGTTCTGGACTATAGGGGTTATAGTCACCCCTGCTGGATATTTTGGCCATCTTTATGGTATTTTTGGTGTTTGTAAAAATGATTGGCAAGTCCAACAGGTGTTTAGTAGACAGGAGATGGGGATGCTGGTGCATTTACAGTGCACTGAGTAGTTCTGTACAACCACAGATTTTCCCACATCCTTCCTGCCCTTTTTTTTTTTTTTTTTTTTTGAGACAGAGTCTCTCTGTTGCCAAGCTGAAGTGCAGTGGCGCGATCTCGGCTCACTGCAACCTCTGCCTCCCGGGTTCAAGCTATTATCTGCCTCAGTCTCCCAAGTAGCTGGGACTATAGGTGTGTGCCACCCCGACCAGCTAATTTTTGTATTTTTAGTAGAGACGGGTTTTCACCATTTTCGTCAGGATGGTCTTGATCTCTTGACCTGGTGATCTGCCTGCTTCGGCCTTCCAAAGTGCTGGGATTACAGACGTGAGACACCATGCCTGGCCTCCTTTTTGACTTTTTATATTCATGTGAACAACAACAGAAACCCAGAAACCAAAAAACTAAACTGTTTCTAATTATCTGAATCTACAACTAAACACTGTTCTATAAATCAACACAAAATATTTTTCCCCCATATTTTTGGTATACCCTCATTGTTCCTGGACTCCAACTAGCCTATGAGTTGAGGAAGATAATACTTTGTTTCGTTCTGAGTGTTTCTGAGTTCGCTTTTTTGACAAAGAACATCACTGATGTGGTATTTGAAACACCAATGCACACACCGTGTCAGTTTGCATTGGTAGGTGGGTTATTCCCGATGTTTTTGCTGATGGGTATGGTATCTAACTACTTGATCATGTAGTCTAGGGCACTGTGTCTGATCAATTATGTATGCCACTATTTTTTTGTTTTAAATTTTTAAATATTTTATATATATTTAGTTATGGAATTCTATTGATATTAAAAAATTGTGAATTTTATTTTTGGATAGTAATACAAGTATTGCAACATATTTTAAGTATTAAAATATTTAAAGAAGCATTGGGTCTGATCAGGTTGTTAACCACTAGTTCCACCCAAGGTGTGTTTCTTTGCTTTGCAGATTCTCAGGTATGATTCTGTTACATTCTTGCGTGTAGTATTATTAGCCCTGACTGTAGCATATTTCTTATTTTTTTTGTCTTTTTGGAAGATTTAAAGTAGTTTTGGCTTACAGTTCTACTTTTCTTTTTTAACACTTTTCTCTTTTTAAAAAAAGATATTGTTTGCCTTGCTAATACTAAAGTAGCTTTCACTGCAGTCACATTGTTTTCATAACTCAAGTTATATCTGGATATTTTCCTATTTTTTGTAAAAACAAAAAAAATCTTCTTAAACCTTCAATATGACTTACTTTCAGTACCCTTAAGAACTTATTAGCAAAGCAGATGAAGGAAAGAGCCCAAAGCAAAAATAATAATAATAACTTCTTCTTGGACCCCTTCATATACAGAGTTCAAAGCTCTTCATTTCTTGTGAATGCAGAGCTTCCCAGAATCCCTGTGGAACAGGGCAAGCTAACCTCTCAGATAGGAAGGATTAAGACTGATTGTCTGTTTACAGATTTTTTGGTGGGGATATTCAGTTCTTTCTATTTCCCTTGGAGAGTTCTTCATAGAACATGTAGTGAAGGTGCCTTTTTTTCTGAGCTTGTACTGTTGATATAGTGAGGTTTCTGGTCTTTGGATCACTTTTGTATAGAATCCTAGAAATCATCCATTTATGACTATGATTTAAAATAGCCAGTCTTGAGGAATTCTAATCATAAAAATAATTCTAATTTTCAAAATTAATTTTATTTATTTACATTTTGATGATGTTAGTGTAAAGAAAACCATAGAGAAATCTCACATATCATAAATCACTGAGAGAACTTTGCCTTTGGATTAAAGGACCGCTGAAATTTAACTTGTCAATCTGCAAGCCTCAAAGATAAATAAACCTCAGGGGAGGCGTAGGAGGGGTGGTTTGGGATGAGATGAGTAGGTCGGGGTGATCTCTTTCCCTTGCTTCTTTGAGAAGGCTAAGTGCTGCTAGAGCTCTGTTCTGAGGACCAGCTGGTGATAGATGAGCTTCAGTTCCTTCTTTTTTCCAGCAACAGCAGCCTTAGTGTAATAGTACTTCAGTGCCGCGTGGTTCTTTCTTCCCTTTCCAGCTTGAACACAGACATAGGCCCATCATCTCATTTTTTCTAACCACAGTATAACCTTTACTTTTGTGGACGTTTCCTAGATGTCATATATTCTGTTTACTTAACATTATTTTAATGATACCATCTCCTTTTTTTATTTCAAGGAAATGTGCTCATGTATTTTCCACATTAATCTTGATTCTGGTTTTACATTTTTACTAAAAAGCAGTTTGTCATGGGAAAGAGTGGAAGATGAGACTAGCAAGATAGGAGGGCAGGAAGGAATTGTGGAAGGTTTTTGAGGATCAGGGTGACATGTTATAATCTAGTATGATGAAGAGAACTGCAACAGCTGAGTAAATAAAGGATTGGGGAATTGAGACCCAAGTTGAGACATAAGGTCACCAAGTAATTAATTATAGGCTGAGTATCCCTTATCTGAAATGCTTGGGATCAGATGTGTTTTGGATTTCTATTTTTTTTCAGATTTTGGAAAGTTTATCTTATACACTTACTGGTTGAGCATCTGAAAATCTGAAATGCTCCAGTGAGCATTTAACCTGAGTGTCATGTTGATGCTCAAAAAGTTTTAGATTTTGGAGCACTTTGGATTCTGTATTTTCAGGTTTGGATGTTCAACCTGTTGAATGTTGAGACTTATGGTAGAGACCTCTTAGAAGGATATTGCCAGTGTTCAGGTTAATGATAAAGATAATTATTTGTTGAGCAAATAGTGAGTGACCAAATGAAGGACTGAATGAGGATGTGAACTATATTAGTAGCTGTGAGAATGGAAAGAAGTGGGCAGATGTGGTAGACATTATGGAAATAGCCTAAAGACTTGATGGCTAATGGAATGTGCAGTGAAGATGACTCCAAGCCATCTGGTATAGAGGACAAGAGTAGTGTAATGTTAGTAATGATAGTGAACATAAAAAAAAAGGAGTATGTTTTTGGGTTAGGATAGTATATTTGATGTGAAGATATTGCTTGTGAGTGCTATGGGCCAGTAGAGATAGACAGTGGGCAGTTCAAAATGTTAGGTTGAGTTCAGGAGATCGTTGTTGAAAGTATATAATCACAATATCACAGAAAATAGTATTTGCAACTGTGAAAACAAAGCTTGCTAAGGGAGAGAGGATGAATAAGATCTGGGAAAATTAATCTTATAGTAGATTTTTCATGACCCCGTGTAAGTTACTGACCCTTTCAATGCCTCATTTTCTTCTACTATAAAATGAGGAAAATTATAGTATCTCCTTAATAGAATTGTTGTGAAATTGAATGGAATCATCTATGTAAATTGCATAGAGCTTGGCAGGCATATAGTAAATACTCATTAAAGGTTAGCTATCTTATTGTTTATTGAAGGTTTAAAATTAAACAAGTGATCTTATTAGCAGTGATATTTTTATTTCTCAAGTTAAAACTGTTTGGTTTTTGTAGGTGTGGTTAGTTGTAATCTTGGAACTAATTTTTTGTGATAAATATGTAATTCACGTTTGAGTATTTTTATTTAAAAGTGTTCACTTTTCTTTTCTTTTTTTGAGCCAGAGTCTCGCTCTGTTGCCCAGGCTGGAGTGCAATGGCGTGATCTCGGCTCACGGCATCCTCCGCCTCCCAGGTTTAAGCAATTCTCCTCCCTCAGCCTCTTAAGTAGCTGGGATTACAGGTGTTCCCCACCATGCCTGGCTAGCTTTTGTATTTTTAGTAGAGATGGGGTTTCACCATGTTGGCCAGGCTGGTCTCAAACTCCTGAGCTCGTGATCCATCTGCTTCGGCCTCCCAAAGAGCTGGGATTACAGGTGTGAGCCACCACGCCCGGCCTATTAAAGTGCCCACTTTTCTTGACATCCTCTAAGATGTAGACTTTACCCTTGGTTGAATATATGTTTTTCTTTGATTAGAGTGGGGTAAATGAAGGGTGATGATACTCACACTGAATCTTGAATTTGACACATTTCTTCCAATGAAAATGGGCTGCAAGGAACCCAGTTGTATCTGGCACCGTTTTTTAGTTTTTTTTTCTCTGACACAGGATTACTGTGCTGTAGAAGTGTCATTTGGGGGAGCCAAAGCACTGTACTATAATATATATACCAGTCCATTCAGTGTAGAAGGGGAAAAAAAATAGTGTCATGAATTGAAGTTCATGCTTTTCAGGTGTTTGTATGTTTCTTCCTTCTGCTTTAATAGTAAATGGTTAGAGGGATTTGTTAAATAGTAAATGAATAAAACTAAATGCAGAGCACAAATATAGCTAGAATTTTAATTTTTTTTTACATTTGTATTTTAGTTCTATTGATATTTTAAAGGTAATGAGAAATTAGCATCTTCAGTTGGATATGTGTCATATCCCTTCAAAGCTGTAATTGCTTTAAATTAGACTGTCAATTCCTTGTCTAATTGAGACCCATGGTGAAATCCCAAAAAAAAAAAAAAAAAAAAAGCAGTCTTTGGATTTTTCCGGTCAGTGAACTGGCTAATATTTTCTGAGTTCCTGTAGATACAAAGCACTGTAAATTATATTTACAATATCACCACTTGAGTAAGTACTTAAAGAGACAATTTTGGAACTGTTTGGTTGATTAGTGTACATCAGAGCTATTGTTTGGTTTCTCTGGGTAGAGGTTGTTCAGGGATGTAATAGGATCTGCATACAAATAGATTGCAATTTGTGTTTAGAAAGGATAACTTACTTTTAAAATTCTGTCTCTCCTGATTTTCATTTAGTTTGCTGTATACCACTTAAAATGGATTAGAATTCATTTTCTTATTCCTGTTTAAAATAACCTTGGCCTGATTATTTTTCTTTTTATTTACCACTCCTCTTGAGACAGGTGTGTGCACATGCACACATACATAAAGAAGATCTACGGTTTTGGTGGTATTTATAGCAGGGAAAAGAGATGATTTATTTGAACTTTTTAGTAGATTACTATCGGTAGTCTTAGGAAAAGTCTATTTTGGAATTTCACTGCCTCTTTTTTATTTTTTTATTTTTTGGTGAGAGGTTGCTAGAGCAGAGGGGCTGTCTCCAAGACCATGTCTTCATCAGAAACTGGGGTTTAATAGACGTTAGAAATGGTATATATTTCTTCCACCATCTCTTAAGCTCTTCTGTTTATTACCTGACTTTTGTTTATCAAATTCCAGAGTTGCTTACTTTTGTTTTGTTAGCTAATAGGGGTGCTTCGGGTGGGTTAAGAGAAGAAATACTTTTTTCAAAAGTCACCATCATTCTGTGTGAGAGAGAATGTAATTCCTATAGAGAAAAGTAATTAGTTAGCTTGGTGTGTTGTAATGGCAGCTTTGCTATTTTTTTGTACTCTTTCTCTTTCTTCGTTTCACAAAGAAGGTTGACAAGCTACTTACCTTTCTATGAATGCTTTTCTTTAAAACTATATAATTGAATGCCTAGAGAAATGAACCTTGGCTTTAGCAGTACTGAATGGCAAAAGTGGAAAGAAACTCATTTTTCCCTTCCTTCCTTCCCTACTTCTCTTTCTCCTTCCATGCTTTCCTTCCTTCTTTCCCTGTTTCTTAAAAAATGCGATTTGAATCTAGTTTGGGTAAAGTTGACCTGTGGGGAGTTGAATGAGAAAACTGAAATTAAGTATTTTTCTTCTGAGTATTGTGTTAATTTGCTCCAAATGACAGAATTAGCCTAAATGTTGAGAAGTGCTAAGTTTCAGCAAATGAAATTGAGCTTAATTTGTATTTCTTTATGTTTACTGTGTATGTGGTAAAATTAGATAATTAATAAAGGTTTAAAGGGATTCTAACTGATAAACTCACCGTTTCACCTTCTTAAACCTAAGAAGCATAATTTGCCTAAATTATGCAAAATGCTAATTAAAGGGTTTAATTTGCTAATCATATCCATTTGATTAGAGGCAGATGCTGATTATCTGCACAATTCTAAATGGACCTTTCAAAGATGGCTTTCATTATTTAAAATCAACTTGTCAAATTAAGGCATAAACTTAAGGAATAACAAATACCAGTAGTTAACTATGTACTTCCAGTGTAACGCAGGGCAAGATGATTCACAAATGCTGTGCATCAAAGACTTGGTGTATTCAATGTCATTATGAATTTCAGTAGTCCCAAAGTTTAAGAGTTGAACTTTGTTTGGCTTTTTTATTGAGCTTATTAGATTCTGTAGTCATACCTTTGTTGGTCCTTTGGGTCTTTGACTATTTTCCTGGCTCTTTTTTCTTCCTGCTGTGAGTCAGACAGCACAAAGAGCAGAGGCAGTCTTGTCCATGTGCATTCACACCATGCATAGAAATGGTCAGAACATATCGGGCTGGGCGCGGTGGCTCACACGTGTAATCCCAGCACTTCGGGAGGCTGAGGTGGGCAGTTCACTTGAGGTCAGGAGTTTGAGACCAGCCTTAACAGCATGGTGAAATCCCGTCTCTACTAAAAATACAAAAATTAGCTAGATGTGGTGGCGGGCGCCTGCAATCCCAGCTACTCGGGAGGCTGAGGCAAGAGAATCACTTGAACTCGAGAGGCGGAGGTTGCAGTAAGCTGAGATTGCGCCACTGCACTCCAGCCTGGGTAACAGCGAGACTCTGTCTCAAAAAAAAAAAAAAAAATAAGTAAATAAAAAAGAGGAAAAAAAAGAATATTTAACAGACAGGTATGCCACGCTCCCTTTATAGGTTACCAAATCTTCCTCTTACATATCTAAGAGATGTGGCAGGAAACAGACAACAGGTATGGGTCAGTGTTACTGCTGGGAAGCAGGGGGAACATCTCAGTTCAATAACTGAACAAGAATTTGGATCCAGGCACCCAGCCTTTGTATTCTCCCTGGCTTGTCTTTTTCTTAGAGTGAAGACAGAAAACTATTTATAGACTGGTCAAGTGTGTCTGTGGCTGATTTAGGGCAAAGACTAGGGAAACCAAGGCAGAAACTGCATTACTTTTTTCTTTTTTTTTGAGATGGGGTCTCATTCTATTGCCCAGGCTGGAGTGCAGTGGTGCGATCATGGCTTCACCTCCCCAGGCTCAGGTGATCCTTCCACCTCAGCCTCTTGAGTAGCTGGGACTACAGGCATGTGTCACCACGTGTGGCTAATTTTTGTACTTTTTTTTTCTGTAGAGATGGGTTTTGCCATGTTGCCTGGGCTGGTCTCAAACTCCTGGGTTCAAGTGATCTGCCTGCCTCGGCCTCCCAAAATGTTAGGATTGCAGGTATGAGCCACTGTGCCTGGCCAAAACTGCATTACTTCTAATCCAAGTTAGAAACAAATGGCCCAGTAACAGAAAATGTTTGGGGTTTTGCATTCGAGACCTAGGGTGTTAGGATAGGGCATCTGAGGTATAGACATATGAATCCTGCTTTGACCTGCATCAAGATCAAGGGTAGTAGGATGAGAGCGTGCTGTCTAAGCGGGGATACACCAGAGAGGTCATATAGCTTGTGAGTGAAGAGCATAGGCTCTGGTGCTGTAACACCTGTAGTTGAATACTGGTGCTGCTATTTACTAGTTGTTTTTCTTCTCTGACTTAGTTTTGTCATCTGTAAAATAGAGTATATAATAGTATTACCTCATAACTTTGGGAGGCTTTAATAAGTTAGTACTTTTTCTAAAGTACTTATTAACAGTGCCTAGCATATAGTAAGTACACAACAAATATTAACTATTATTTATTATTATTTGTTACCATTCTAGCTTTTGTATGAGATTTGCAAATGATAATGTATAGGGAGAACACTGGATTTCATCCCCCAATACCCACTTGAGTTCTTTAACTGTGCTACAAATATATGTAGAGTAATAAGTTATAAGAACTTCAGTAGTATAAAGCTAATAGAACTTGAAATACTAGAGTCTTATTAAAATGAATAAGCACAGATTTGAGTCCAAATCTTCTTTTCATGCAGTCTGAGGAGGTTAGGGATATGTGTAAATTGTTGCTAAACTGACAGCTATTGGAAGAACCTGATCATGAGCACTTTTTACATTTGAATTCAAAGGGTAAAAGGGGAGGTTCCTTTAAATTTAGTTATTTTTTGGCTTTTAGAGGATTAGATTTGTGATAGGATAAGGAATAATAGAGTGCTGTTGATTTTATCCTGGCTAAGATTAATAGTCTGTTTGCCACTTCTATGCCTAAATGTCTCTAGAATCTGTCCATCTCCTTTCAGTTTCATTGTCATTATTCTAGCTTGGGCTACCATGATTTCTTATCCAATCCATTCTTTTTTTTTTTTTTTTTTTTGACACGGAGTCTTGCTCTGTTGCCCAGGCTGGAGTGTAGTGGTGCAATCTCAGCTCACTGCAACCTCGGCCTCCTGGGTTCAAGTGATTCTCCTGCCTCAGCCTCCCAAGTAGCTGGGACTACAGGCGCACACCACCATGCCCAGCTCATTTTTGTAGCTTTAGTAGAGACAGGGTTTCACCATGATGGCCAAGCTGGTCTTGAACTCCTGACTTTGTGATCCCCCCACATTGGCCTCCCAAAGTGCTGGGATTACAGGAGTGAGCCACCGTGCCGGCCTATCCAATCCATTCTTTACCCTGAAGCAAGAGTGCAGATATTTACAGATGTCTATGCTACAGCCCCTCCCCAACTCTTCAGCAATTTCCTATTAATATAATGTTAATCTTCAAAATTTGTAATAAGTTACCTCAAGCTCTCATCCCTGTTTACCTCCCTAGCCTCATCTCTTACCACTAATCTGTAAACTCTATGGACCAGCCATGTGAACTTCCTTTAGTTGTGAAAACATGTTTTTTCCCCTTGACTTTGGATACTCTTCCCTACATTTCGTCTAATTCTGACTCATCTGTCATGTATCAGCTTAAACAGTTTTCTTTCTGGGACATTTCCTTAAGTTTAGCGTAGAAACCCATCCTCTGTGGCTTTTTTTTTTTTTTTTGAGACAGTTTCGCTCTTGTTGCCCAGGCTGGAGTGCAGTGGTGCGATCTCGGCTCACTGAAACCTCTGCCTTCTGTATGTTCAAGAGATTCTCCTCCCTCAGCCTCCTGAGTAGCTAGGATTACAGGTGCCTGCCACCACTCCTGGCTAATGTTTGTATTTTTAGTAGAGATGGGGTTTCACCATGTTGGTGAAGCTGGTATCGGATTCCTGACCTCGTGATCCACCCGCCTTGGCCTCCCAAAGTGCTGGGGTTACAGGCATGAGCCACCGCACCCGGCTTCCTCTGTCAGAGCACTTGTACTTGAGGGTTATCACCCGCCTGTCTTGAAATGGGCTCTAAGTCTCCTGAAAGCAAAGGACCCTGAATATGGTGTTTATTACCTAACACAATGTCTAGCCTATAGGAGGTACTTAATGTATGTTGGTTGAACAAAGGAGTAAATAAATGAAGTAGCTACCTACAGTTGTTCCCCAGAAGATACATTACTTAAGCACCCTAGAAACTGTTTGGCCTTTTGAATGTTTATTGTAAAGTTTAAATTCTCAGTTGTTTGTTCTTAGTTTGTGCTAACAGCTTCATAAAATGGGTAGATCAAGCAATAGTGTGCAGTTAGCAAACTGGGTCCACAAACTCAAGATTCAAATCACTTTTGGCTAATTGTGTACTTATGGACATCAGATTGCTCTTGTATTAAAATTTATTAGGCAGACTTTGAGTGGGAAAATAAAAATCTTGATTTGGTAGATGCTGGAGAACAGTAAAAAATAGAAAAATTTGCAGGTTGGTGAGATTTCCCAGATTCAGTGTGTGGTGTATCTCTAAAGTTCAAAATCCTTCAAGAAGGTTGCTGGTGTATGCTGGGTGTCAGAACAGGAGAGATGTTTTTAACACCTAGCACAGCTGCAAACTAGGTGGTCTGGAATTTGCAAGTACATCTTTCAGTTTTATTTCATCTTGAAGCTTTCATGTGGGTTTAACAGTTATTCAATGTAATTGAAGTTAATGTAGCTAAAATTGCATATTATTTTTGAAGTGTTAAGAATGAAAATAATTTATGGTCTTTAAGAATGAATATGCCAATATTTCATATTCTGTATTGGCAGTACAGTAAAAATTAATTATTTTCACTATAAGTATTATATAAATAATAAAGATATTTAGGAGGGAGTATATATGCTAATAGGAAATAAATGTTTTGCCTCCCAGGAGATCATCTTAGCTGGTACAGTGGATTAAAAATGGCCTCAAATTATTTGATATTTTCTCATTGAGAAGTGGGATCTATGTCACCACCCCTTGAATCTCAGTAGCTTTAAAAAATTATGGTTAAATATACATAATCTTTACATTTTAAACTATTTTTAAGTGTACAGTTCTTTGTCATTAAGTGTATTCACATTGTTGTGCAACCATCCCCATTCATCTCCAGAACTTTTTCATCTTCTCCAGCTGAAACTCATTACCCTTTAAATACTAACTCCTCATTCTTCCCCTGCCCACCTCTTGATGTGAGTGGGTTTTGGCAAATAGAGTATGGATGGCAGCAGTGACAGAGTACCAGTGTCTGGGTACAGGCTTTAAGAAACTGGGGGCTTCCACTTTCTGTCTCTGGTACACAGTCTTCAGGAGCTCTGGGATGCCATTAAGAATTCTAAGTAGACTTGATGGAGAATCTGTTCTGAAACCTGGCAGTAACTAGTAATTGCCATGCTGGAGAGGCATGTTGACATTCCCACCTGAGCCCAGCCTTTTAAGCATCCCTGTCACGGTGCCATACATGAGAGCAGAGCCATCTAAGAACCTCCAGATTAATCTGTTCACCAGCTCAGTACCTCTGGTGACTTCATTTGGTGCCACATGGAGTAGAGACATTGCCAGCAGCACCCTTTCTGAATACCTGACCATCAGAATTGAGAGCTGTAATACAATGGCTGTTATTTTAAACTGTTAAGTTTTGGGATAGTTTGTTATACAGTGATAGATAATTAGAACTGGTAGCTAGAGCTTCTGGCTTCTTGAGTTTGAGCTGAAAATAGCAATCAGTGTATCCTAAATACCTCAAAACAACTGTACTATGATTTGGAAAGACTATATAAAATGTAATGAAAGATACTATTAACAATTAAATAATATGGAAAATGAAATTCCAATAATTAGTTGAGTGGAGAAGACAACTCTGAGGAGCCCAGATTACTTAGAAGGGACAGAAATGGGAAAATTGTTGATAAATGCTTTTCACCTTTCAGAAATTTGATTGGTGAATCTGCTTAAAAGTTAGCTGAGAAGTTTGTGGCTTTTTCATTTTGAAGAAGAGATTTGCCAGGAGTCTGAGAATCCTTTAAATTCTTCCAAAGACAGCTTTATTATGTTTAGGACAGTGGAAAGTAATGTAATAAGGTATAAGGTATGAGATAATGAGGTTGATGTTTTTATGTGGTGCTCTTAGCCCCTTAGAGTTTGCCAAAATTTAAAGCAGACCAAGTTTAATGAGTGTACTTCATAGTATAGATTGTGGACAGTCCTTTTTGCTTGCTAAATTCAATTTAGCTCAGATGGTGAATACCAATATGTTCAGAGTACTGTGTAGGTGCTATGGGGGATTTAAAAACACCTTCTTAAGTAGAAAGAGGTATAAATAAATGAATGAAACAATCATAAGTTACTATAGACACCACATTATACAGGCTTCTTAATTTTTGTATGCCATTTCTAAATGGTTGCAGATTTTTCTCCTTTTATTTTCAGCATTTAATGCTTTATATTGGCTCTTGATATATGGAGTTTGGATTATGGAAGGTAAGGGGGAGATTTTAATTCATATGGAAATCTATGGAAATTATTTCTTACTGAAAAACTGAAAATAGATAAAATAAAAAAATACAATTTCGTAAGTCCAGGAAAGCAGGACAGTTGAGGCCTAATAATACCCTTTTGTGTTGGCAGACAGATTTGCTGCTATTATGACACTTTGCTTAAGGAATGGGAGTATCGTGGATGAATACAAACCTATACACAGCTGTTTGTGTTTGCTGCACAGCTTTCTGGATACCTTAAGCTGTATCACTTTTGGATTGTAATGATTTTACTGGAGGCAAGAAACAAAGTGAACAAGATACAGCATCAAAATTCTCTTTTAAGTTTCCCAAGGCTGCTCTTATTTCTCTCTACAAAATAGAAATAATAATTTTGCCCTTTTTTTGATAACACTAGCAGTAGCAAGCAAAGTATAGATAAGAACAAGTGACATATTTTGAGTAAGTGATCAATGTCAGGATCTTTACAGAGAACAATAAGATGGATCTAAAATGAATGAACTGAGTGTTTTCTCTTTTTTTGCAGTTTTGGGGGGCATCGAATGAAAATGGCCACATTTAGGTAGGGTAGGAGAACAGGCTTTGGAAGGAGCGGGTATTTTATTACAGTGTGAATAAAATAAATATTTAGAACATTATAAGAATGATGGCTGACACTGAGAGATTCATGTTAATGTTATAGGTTTCTCAAGGCTGATAGGAGCTCTTATATTGTATTTCTAATGTAGAGGAATAGAAGGAAAGCTATGGATGGGGTGCAGAAGAATGGCCCTTTGGCAGTGTAGGTAGTGCTGCTTCCTGTCACACTCTAGTGTTACAGCACTTATAAACTGGATGTGCCTTCTGAGGATACTATCCTTTCTGAGTGCATCGTGGCCTCTTCCTATATTTGAATCCATGTTTTAAGTGCAGATGAAGCGCTTGGACACTGTGGCACTGTAAGTAGGATTAGAACCGTGACTTAGGATAGGGTATAACCAAGGGGAGGAAGCTTGGTGGACCTTGAAGTAAGATAAATGTGTGAGTAGCCTCTTTCTCCTTCTTGATGCAGGGCACATGGATGAGATGGTTGGGAAACACTTTTTAAGTCCCTGTGAATGTCAAGAAGTGGCTTGAAGGGGCTTTAATCTCTCAATCCCTTCCCCACCAAGGTACCCCAGATTAATGAACAATTGATAAAAAGTGTGCTTTCTATGCAAATGTGTCTTTTAAGATAAGTTCCCTAGCAAAATCCCACTCCTAAGCACATCCTATGTAGAAATTCTGGAGCCACTGTTGTCCTTTATATTATTTTATAGCTAATATTTAATAAATGCTTTATGTGTGTCCAGCATTGTGTTGTATGTTATGGAAGATTTGCATTAACATGTTTATAGTTGAAGAGAGCAGGAAAAGACTGATTTCAGGAAACAGAACAAGGTAAAATAATCTGGTGTCAGAATATTTAATATGGTCTACAAGGGTTATAGGGGGAAAAAAAAGTGGGCATTGCCATGGGCTGGATTAATGTAGGAAGGCGTCATTGAGCTGACAGCTGTGAACAGCATCTTAAAAGATAAGGCAGAAAGGAGGTAGCAGAGATACTCCAATGGATGGAATATCATGTGCCAACTGCAACTTTAAATGTCTGAATAATTTTCTGAGGAACTAAAAATATTGAATTGGGTCAACAAATAGGATACCTTTGTCAAAGCCATAGAGCTGACTTCTAATATTTTCAGTTACAAATATATATATTTGAGCATCTTTTAGAATAAACACCTCCCTTCCCTTCACACCAGGTAAAAAAATAGCTGGTATTCTACCATCCATATGAATTTGAAATATACGATAGAAATATAAATTTAGTAACACCTGACTTATTAAAAATTGCCAAAGATTTGATTTCCTATGGTCTATAAGAGAAAATTGCTACAAATCAATTTATTTTTTGGAATTTATTTTTCCTTACTCTTATTGCTTGAATAAACGTGGCTGCATCAGTGGTTCATGTTGACTCAAAGCAAGTTTCTCCCTTTCCTCTCCAGCTAAGGAAAGCCATATTTTTTTTTGTACTATGCTACTGTTAGCTGCTTGGCTTGGAAGACTTCGGTTATCATTATATCTTTCATGACTCAGAATCTGGCTGCCTCTCTTTCAATGATCTTGAAAATGTCCAAGATGCTGCATGATTTAGAAATGTAGAACCAAGTTAAGTTGAACAGTTTTCTACTGGGCTACATTGTAAAAATGGGAAAGGGAAATTACTTCCTTTTTTTTTTTGGAAAACACTTGCCAGTTGGAGCCTCAAAGAAGATTGAGTTTGAGAGGCCTTTAATTGTGCACCAAAAGGTTATTGCAGAAGATAACATAAAGGAGATGTCATAAAGAAGAAAATTTGAAGCTCAGTAAGAGAAAGCTGTGTGAAAAAATAGGCATTCTGCCAATTAACTGGGTGCTTGAAATAAATAGTTTGTAATTAAAGAAACGGTTGCAAATTTCAAAGACTTGATCAGTTTAACTTAGCTCATAGGGAAACCGGGGTGGTGGTGGGTACAAATTTCAGTTGTGAAAGCATGCTTACTCTCATTAAAGTTTTGCTTATCATTCATTAAATATTTACTGTTTGTAAGGTTTAGTAATATAAGATCAGAAAGTTTGTTAATCTAATATTTAATGTTAAATTATTGAAATAAAATTTCAACTACATTTGGGTAAAAGTGAATTATGATCTTAGGAGTTCAGTCATGAACTATTGACCATCTCAGTAGTTAGTATTTCCCAAACTGGGCAAAGTATGGGTGAGAGTGTGTAGAGGGGAGACCCAAGAAAACATAGAAATGGTCCATCACCCTTGGGTCTACTCATCTACTGAAGAACCATGACACAATTATATATGTAAGCAATTAGTAATAAAATATCATATGTTTATAAGTATAAAGGAGACATACAAGAAAACATTAAATGTTCATCTTTCCATACATGTCTGTCTTCATGTTGCATTAGTTTCAAGTGAAATGTGTTTTTTTATGTTTTATTACTATATACTATACCTTTTCATCCAAAGAAGAAATAAGAGATTGTCTCCTTTATTGGAAGACATTTTTGCTGGATGTAGAATTCTAGGTTGGCATGTACTTTCTTTTAGCACATTAAGATATATCACTCTGCTGCCTTCTGGCTTCTCCTCTTGCTGTGGGGAAATCAGCTGTTAGTCTAACTGTAGCTCATTTGAAGGTAAGACAGCCACCCTGCTCTTAGTCTCCTTTTAAGATATTCTATTTAATTTACTTTTGTTTGATTTAAATATTCTGTTTGTCTAGGAGTAGAATTCTTTTTATTTATCCTGCTTGAGTTTCACCAGCGTTCTTGAATTTGTAGATTGGTGTCTTATATTAATTCTGGAAAATTCTCAGCCATTATTGCTTTTAAACTTCCCTCTACCTGTTCTTTCTCCTCTCTGTCTGGTGTGTTAGTCAACTGTATTTTAGGTCTTCTTAGTCATTCACTTTTCATCCTCAGGTTGTGTCTTCCTTCTTTTTGTTCTTTCTCTGCTGAGTTACAGATTATTTTTTCTGAACTATTTCCCAGTTTGTTATTTCTATATTCTGTTTTGTCTGTTCTACTCCCATTGAATTTTAAATTTTGGCTACTGTAATTTATTTGTTTTTTTTTTTTCACATCTGCTATGTTGCTTTTTATGGATTCCTATTCCTTGCAGATATTTTAATATTTGCTTTTCTTTTTCAAATTTGTTGTAGGTTGCTTTTTAATCTGTCTGATAATTCTAAGAGTTAAAATCTGTGTGGTCTGTTCCTGCTATGGTTTGTGATTGTCTTTCACCCATGTTGCCTTATTTCCTTGCGTGGTTGGTTATCTTTAACTGGTTATTGCCCTCCCACAGCCTTTTTTCAGGACATTTTCAGGGTGAATGTGCTCTCCTCTGAGAGGTACTGTGTTTGCTTTTGCCAGGTTTCTGAGAGTATTACTTTAGGGGTATTATGTCAGGTATTAAGTCAAGGACACTTTTTAAACCGTATTTAGGATTGTGTCTCTGGCCCATCCACACCATATATACTTTGGGTGGCCACAGCTTCTCAAAAACTTCATTTTCCTACCTTTTTCTTTTCCTGCTTTGCTCAGTGACAAGTCAGCTTGCCCTTCGTTCTTCTGTGGTTAGGAGAGAGATGGTGGGTCAATTCTAGTTCACTCTTTCTCTGAAGATGTTCTTCGTTTGGGTCTCCAGTTTAATATAGGGAGGGCCTCTTGCAAGAGTCTTCCGCTTGGCAGGCCCTAATCCTTGTGTTTTGCTACCTTGCCCCTTGAGACTGAAGATCTGAAGTATGAGGAGATGGCATTTACTAATGTCCTCAGAGCAAAAATGGCATTAGTTCTCCTGGGTTTGCCTCAAAATTTGGCCAACAAGTTCCCTTTTAAACTAAATATTAGTTTAACAGTATTTTTAAAATGCTGTTAAGCTAATATTTTTAAGTGTTTTGTCCATCATTTTTGTTGTTTTCAGTGAGATGTAGATCTGAATAACTTAAGAAATCAGAAACTGCTAATAGCACGGAGCCCATCTGCTGCTGTGCTGTTGGTGATGTTGCAAATTGTTCCCCTCTCCCCTTAACATATTCTGAGCCTCAAGTCAAGACAGCTTACTGGGCTGGAGAGGTGATGGTCTAAAGAATTATAAAGATTTTTTAAAAATTTAAGTTAAAATAGCTTCTTAAATTATTATATCAAATTAATAGAGAAGTATTATTTCTTTAATTTGTTTAACTGCCCTTGTGCTCATCTGGAGAAACTGTCAGGAAAGATGATTTTTATTAAAGGCACTGCTGTTACATTCACTCAGGCATGATTCTGTCATAACTTCTTGGTATTTCCTTTCTATCTTTCTTAATTGCATGTTTTCCCTCCATCTCTGTCACAGTGCCAATTCTAGGACTGCCTTATTACTGCTTGTTGGTCTAGCAACTTCTTAACTGTTCTTTAATTATTAGCGGAATTGAACATTATTTTGTGTGTATGAATTTTTGTGCCTTTTCGTGAATTAATCTGTTTTTTATCTTTTGATGAATTTATTTTATTACATCCTATCATTAATAATTTTTAGTCTTTTGGGGTTTCATCACACAGAATATTTATTTTTCTCTTATTCTAAGCTTTTCTGTATTTCTTCAGTTTGAATATTGTCACTTTCCATAGTTTGTGTATTTCAGTCAGTAAACATTTCATCAGGTATTGTGGTAAGAACTGGGAATATAGGCTGTGTGCGGTAGCTCGCGCCTGTGATCCCAGCACTTTGGGAGGCCAAGGCAGGAGGATTGTTTGAGCTAAGGGGTTTGAGACCAGCCTGGGTAACATAATGAGACCCGGTCTCTACAGAAAATTAAAAATCAGCTGGGCATGGTGGCGCGTTAGCACGCCTGTAATCCCAGGCTATTTGGGAGGCTGAGGCAGGAGAATTGCTTGAGCTTGGGAGATCAAGGCTGTAGTGAGCTGTTCCAGCCTGAGCAGCAGAGTGAGACCATATCTCAAAAAAAAAAAAAAAAAAAAAAAAAGAACTGGGAATATAATCGTTATGACACATTTACCTGTGCTTAGGTTCATATGTTAGTGAGGGAGATATAAATGCTTATAGTATTGTACATAAATAATATAAAAAAAAACTGTATCTTCAAGCAGACAGGTATGTACCAGCATGGAGGTGGGAGTAACTATGCCTAAGGAAATCTGGTGCAACTTTGCAGAGGTAACCTGTTAGTTGCATAGAAATTTGCCAGTAGAAACACAGGGTATAGAAAGACATTTCAGATGTGGGAAATATGTGTAAAGTCATAGAAGTGAAAGAAAGACATGGTGCGCTATAGGAAGTGCAGATAGGTTGGTATAATTGGAGGGCAAAGTATTTTAGGGGAAGAAAATTGAAACTAGAAAGAGTTTAAAGGCCTGGGATAAAAAGGAACTTTGATGGACACAAAGAGCCTGTGTAGTGGGGATAATGGAGTAAGTGAGCAGGAAGGACATGGAGATGTGGTTGGGGAAAATGTGTGAGGGTAGGGGTGATGCGTTGCTTGTGAATTGTGCTGTGATCGTGGGAGTGGGCTGCAGAAGTGGAGGGTGAGTGGGTCAGAGGATGCTGACGACTGTGAAACTAGTGTTGACTGGATCATCCATATGGGTGTAGCAGTCCATTTGGACAGTGGCAAGAAAGTGGATGTTGTGATGTCGACAAGATTTGGATTTGGACCGTGCCTGTTCCAGTTTTAGTACTGGAAGTCCCACATCCTTAGAAACCTCTCATTCCTGGACAAACTGGGATGGTTGGTCACCATAATGAGGTGCCAGAAGGATATGATGAACTTGAGGCATTGAAACGTGGAGAGCAATAATCTGTAAGTGGGGAGCAGCTGGCTAGGGTGGAGGAAAAAGGAGGGAATAAAGTTATGTTAATTTATGCTAGCACGGTGTTCTCATGAGATAGCAAGGAGGTAGAGGTCTTGATTAAATTACCTATTTTTTTTCAAAAATATTTGTTTTCTTGTAGAAGAGATGAAATATGCTTTAGTATAAGTAAATAATCTTTCCTTTTTAGTGTTAATTTTACTATATTCCAAATGTGCCTATGCTATTAAAAAAACAGTAATAAAGTAACCAGACAATTGATTTTTATATTGATTAGCTTGACAGTATTACTGAGACATCAACATACTAATTAGAATGTCAGGATATTAAATTATTCATTTTCTAACTTTTAATGTTTTGGATGATTATAAATGACAAAAAAATTTGTGAGTGAAGTACCATACTATCCTATCAATTTTAGTTAATTAATTCAGCCACAGAGTGGTAATTATTTCCTTTTTTATTTTCTATTTTTGTCTCTTTGTTAAAGATTTTCCAATTAAAATTTTTTCCTATTATATGGCTCTCCTTTATACATTTAAATGAAGAAAGTACTTTGTAAGAACTGGATTACAGATAGAAAAAAATGTTTAAAACTAACTTATTTTAGGTTGATAAATATTTGGGTTATTTATCACTGTGTCAGAAATACCTCCAAACCTAAAACAACAATTCCAAAACCTAACATTAAAACTTAAAATCAAAACTTAATTCTAAAACTTAAAACAGTACCCATCTTATTATATCTCACACTTTCGAGGGTTAGGGATTCAGAATGGGCTTACAGGGCAATTGTTCTGTTCCACATAGTATTATATATGGGCTTTCTTAGTTGACAACTAGTCTGGTCTAGGATGTCTAAGACAGCTTTACTCACATGCTTGTGCATATGTGAGGACTTCTAAAAGGCTGGACTCTGCTGGACGCCTTTCCATGTGATCCCTCAAACGAGGTGGTTGGACTTCTTACTTCATGATCTAGGACTCCAAGTGAACAAGGCAGAATCTGCCAGTCCTCTCAAAAAATAGGCCTGGGCCTGGCAGGGCATCACTCGTTCCTGTCAAAGTAGTCACAGGCCAGGCCAGATTCAAGGGGAGGGCAAATAGATCTTAGCTCTCAACGGAGGATGTGTCAAAGACTTTGCAGCCATCTTTAATCCCCATGTACTCCAGATTGATGATTACATCACAGTGCATTTGGGAAACAAATTGCCCTTTATAATCACAGTATTTGCTACCAATATAGAACCTATATTTATTTGAAATGATAATAACAGTATTAAAAATTATGATATTTGCTTTCAGCATTTGATCTATTCACAGTTTTAATTTCTTTATAAATGAAATGATTCCTAATTGTTTTATATATATCATATATATATCATACATTTATTTTAGAAAAGCGGATTCTTTTCCTGGGATATGCTGTTTAGACCAGTGATGTATGTCGAACCACTAATGGACCTTAAAAAAAAACATACAGCTCAGGGCTTCAGTCTGTAGGTCTGGGTGGCACCAGGAATCTGTAATTTTAAAAAGCTTCACTGGCAAGTAATGTACATACTTACTTAATGACCAGGGTCTAAGAAAGCTCTGTAGATTCAAATAGAAACTATCCAAACTATTTATAAATGTGATTGAGTATTGTTGATTGGAAGCTTATAGAAGCTTAAATCTCTGGGAAGCCTTATTTATATCTTTACTTTTGATGCCAGTGTACTAGACTAGTGGTTCCAACATGGCATCCCCAAGATGATCATTTGGGAATGTGGGAAAGAAATAAATAATACAACATATATTTTTAGTCTCATCCGTTCCACATTTTGGGGATGGGTATGGCATGTTTTAAGTGCAGAATGTACAGTAATACATACATATAATTTATAAATAAATATACATATATTGGAAGTATGTGCTGAAAAAACTTCATTGATGACAATGTGTGATGCAAAGATGAAGGTCACTGTTCCAGTCAGTTTAGTTTATGCATTGGTAACGACCCCCAAACCTCAGTGACTTATAGAAAGGTTTGTTCCTTGTTCATATTCTGTGTCTTCATGGGCCAGCTACAACCCTGCTGTGTGTCATTTTGTCCCTGGACTCAGGCAGATCGAGTAGGCTCTGTATACCGGAACTTCACCAGTTGCTGCGGCAAAAGGAGGAGAGAACTGGGTAAAATACATGCTCAGAAAGCTTTTGCTTAGGAATAACACACGTCACTTCCACTCACATTTCACTGGCCAAAGCAAGTCACTTGGCTACACTTTAGTTCAGCAGGTAGGGGGTGTATAATTCTCCCTCAGTGAGGGACTCAGTACAGGGTGAATAGCGATACAGTCTACACAGACATCCACTACCCTTCTATTTACTGTGTAGAGTATTTGCCTCTCTAGAGCTGCTCCTTAATCTGCTTTCAGGATTTCAACAGAGTGAAATTGCCTCTCTCAGTTCCTGGTTTGATGAAGAATATAAAAAAGAAAAAGACACACAGCCAAAATCCTTAATTCTGTTAGCAAGGCAGCATATAAAACAACATAATTTTGGAATATGGAAATATAACTTTGCCAAAACAGTTAAAACCCAGTGTAATTTTTACTTGATAAAAAACTATACCGTTATACCATGTGCTACCATTTGAAACATTCAGGTACTGACTGTTGAGTGGGTGGATATGAATAATAGGGATTGAGATGTGGGGAATTATGAGTAGTAGTGGCAAGAGCAGAACTTCAAAGCTAGAATGTTCAGAGTCTCTGTTGATTGGACATTAATCAGAGTGAAGGTTGAGCATCTCTAAAATAGTAATGTAAGTCACTCAAAAAATGTGTGTTTCATGTTGAGCCATTTGTTTATACACCTCTTTTTAGGAGGATGTTTACTTTGTGAAGCATACTACACCTTGATTATAAGATGTTGCAGTGATAACCTAGCTGGCTTTTATCAGTTATTTTGAATTCCCCTATACACCAAGACCTGTGTTAGTTTAATGAAATGACAAGTTTATAGAAACTGCATTAGTTGCAGTAAACATTTCACTTTATTACTTGAGGAAAAAGCCTGAAATACAGAAACTAATCAAAATGTAAATTACAGGTAGTAACAACAAGTGTTTACCATGTACTAAGGGTGTGCTGTATGTTAGGCCTATTGTACACACTTTACATACTTTATTTAATCCCAAGAAAAGCTACATGAGATAGGTATGATTTTCTTCATTTTATCCCTGAAGAAACTAAGGTGTAAAGAGGTTAACTAACCTGTTTAAGATTCAAAGACAGGTTTCTATGATTTTGAAAACTATTCTCTCTACTACTTTACTCTGCTTTTATAATTGTTCCACTCTATCTGTTTTTACTTGTATTCTTTGTTAGTAGAAGTAGGAAGCCATTTAATCTTGTCTTGCTCTTTCAGAGAATGAGTATTTTTTTTAGGTATGCAGCAGGTAATCTCATTTAGGAGAACCTAAATAAATGAAATATCCTTATATTTTGTCCAATAGTTTTTAAGGAGAAAGCAAGAGTAAAGAGAATATTCAGGATTATTTTAGGATTTCAAAATAATGAAGTTAATAGCAGTTTATACTAATTATTTAATAGTAAAGTTTCTGACAGTCATCCTACATTTTTCAATGAGAATTGTCTTGTATTTTCCATTTCCATTTTGGTTATAACTAAATAGATAAATGAAGATTTAGAATTTGTTTGACAAATGGATGTATTTTTTAATTCATCAAAGAAAACCAGAATATTTACTCATAGGCCATGAAACAGGAAGTGACATGAAATTTAGATCGAAGTGCATGATTTAGAGTGTGTTTGCTTACTTTGGGTGAAAAGTTTAGAAACACATTGAATTCCTTAGAATTCTATCTATAGCTTTTTTTTTTTTTTTTTTTGAGATGGAGTCTCACCCTGCCACCTGCGCTGGAGTGCAGTGGTGCGATCTCAGCTCACTGCAACCTTTGCCTGCCTCCTAGGTTCAAGCTATTTTCCTGCCTCAGCCTCCTGAGTAGCTGGGATTACAGCGTGGGCCACCATGCCCGGCTAATTTTTGTATTTTTAGTAAAGATGGGGTTTCACCATGTTGGCCAGGCTGGGCTCAAACTCCTGACCTCAGGTGATCTGCCCACCTCAGCCTCCCAAAGTGCTGGGATTTCAGGCATGAGTGACTGCACCCAGCCCAGAATTTTATCTATAACTTCTAATCTGAGCAAGACTAGATAGCTTTTATTCTTCTTTGGGTGGGGGTAGATTTCAATGAGAAGAAATATTGCATTAAACTCTAATTTTTATTTAAGTTCTTGAGGTTTGTTTTTTTTTTTTTTTCAAAATTATATCTTGTATATTTCCAAGGCAGAAGACTATTTGGAGAAGTAAAGTCTGTTGTAGCTAAAGTATTCTGTTGTGTGGCAGTTGAACTGATGTGTGCTTCCCTGACATTTACTTGGTAAGTAGTTAATTGCTTACCAAGTTAGAAATAACTGTGGTATCAGTAATACAAATACTTGAATTTAGGGAAAGGTGAGATACTATATTATGCTAGGTGAAGTATTAGTGGTACTTAGTTATTAATGTGGGATTTGTTTAGTTAGAACCTAAAACAATATTAGGACAAACATCTGTATGTTCAAAGATACTAGTTTCTTTATTGCTGGGTAAAAGGTGATTATAAAAGGATCATGACAGGTTAACACATTTGGCTTCAATTTCAGTTTTGCCAGATCTAGGCAAGATTTATTTGGGCAACAAACAATACATGTAATCAATTATAATTATTCTTATTAATGGTGGGGAACACAGAGATGTATATTAAAATTTTATTTAATTTCAGATAAATGTTTACTGGGAAAATTTGAAATATATTTTTATATTTAGGTTGGATGCTTACTTAAAAAGCAATGAAAGAGCATCGTGAAGACATGAAGATTTCTTCTCCTTTCACCCTATCTCCCCAATCAGTTTCTTCCTTCATTAATTGCTGTTTGAGAATTATAACTTGGCTCTAAAACTTAAAATAGCTACTTCCTCTCAGATATTTTCTGCATTGTGTGTCTGGTTGCCTATTTGAGTTTCAGAGAATTTCCCTTATGGAATGCAAAGTGAAAGGTAAATAGTCAATTAAGTAGAAAAGTTACTGTCAACAGAGATATATGTAAACATAGCAAATACGAAAGCAAAATAATCTGGCTTTAGCTCTTAGGGAAATATTTGCTATTGCTAAACCTCAATTTACATACTCTACAATGAGTGTTGATTATCTGTAATTTGTGCTCTGACCCTTTAAAATTTTTACTTATAAAACTTCTCATGGCATCTAGTTGTATTACATTTTTAGTTTCTGTATCTTTATCTTGTCCATCACCAAAGAGGAATTGAGGTGAAAGTTTCCAGTTGATGAATTTGTCTTCCATTGCTTTTAATGTTACATGTTTGTTTAGCTTTCCTGCAAAGTAGTATCTGTTTATTTGTTTGGAGACCACATGGCCTAGTGGACCTTAGCATTGGATAGACTTTGGTTGGAAATCCAGTTTGGTTTCTACTCATATTAATTAGCTATAAAACTAGGATAATATCCAGCTTATAGGGTTATTAGTAGGATTAAGTGAGATAGTATAAGTAAAATAGCATAGTAACTAGTAGATAGTACACATGGATTTCAGTCATCATCAACTTTTGAATAATCTACTAGATTGACACAACTAAACTTCATCCTCTGCTGTATTTCAACTTTCATATAATAAATGGTGAGTGAGGTATTAAGCCCAGCATCTGATGCGCTCCCTCCTCTCACCTCCCACCCTCCAAAAGGCCCAGTGTGTGTTTTTCTCCACCAAGTGTCCATATGTTTTTATCATTCAGCTCCCACTTATAAATGAGAACATGTGGTATTTGGTTTTCTGTTGCTGTGTTAGTTTGTTAAGGATAATGGCCTCTAGCTCCATCCATGTCCCTGCAAAGGACATGAGCTCATTCCTTCTTAAGGCTGCATAGTATTCCGTGGTGTATATGTACCACATTTTCTTTATCCAGTGTATCATTAATCGGCATTTGGGTTGATTCCATGTCTTTGCTATTGTGAATAGTGCTGCAGTGAACATATGTGTGCATGTATCTTTATAATAAAAAAATAAAATGATTTATATTCCTTTGGGTATATACCCGGTAATGGGATTGCTGGCTTCAATGATATTTCTGCCTCTAGGTCTTTGAGGAATCCCCACACTGTCTTCCACAATGGTTGAACTAATTTACTCTTCCACCAGCAGTGTAAAAGCATTCCTTTTTCTCCACAACCTTGCCAGCATCTGTTGTTTTTTGACTTTTTAGTAGTAGCCATTCTGACTGGTGTGAGATGGTACCTCATTGTGGTTTTGATTTGCATTTGTCTAATGATCACTGACATTGTTTTTTTTTTCATGTGTTTGTTGGCCGCATGTATGTCTTCTTTTGAGAAGGGTCTGTTCGTGTCCTTTGTCCACTTTTTAATGTTTTTTTTTTTCTTGTAAATTTGAGTTCCTTATAGATACTGGATATTAGACCTTTGTCAGATGTATAGATTGCAAAAATTTTCTCCCATTCTTTAGATTGTCTGTTTACTCTGTTGATAGATTCTTTTGCTGTGCAGAAGCTCTTTAGTTTAATTGGATCCCATGTGTCAATTTTTGCTTTTGTTTCAATTGTTTTTGGTGTTTTCATCATGAAATCTTTGCCTGTGCTTATGTCCTGATTGGTAATGCCAATTCTGGGGTTTTCATAGTTTTAGGTTTTACATTTAAGTATTTAATCCATCTTGAGTTGATTTTTGTATATGGTATAAGGACAGGGTCCAGTTTCGATTTTCTATGTATGGCTAGCCAGTTCTCACAGCACCATTTATTATACAGGGAAATCTTTCCCTGTTGCTTGTTTTTGTTAGGTTTGTTGATGATCAAGTGTTGTAGGCATGCAGTCTTACTTCTGGTTTCTCTAATCTGTTCCATTGGTCTATGTGCCTGTTTTTATACCAGTGCCATGCTCTTTTGGTTACTGTAGCCCTGTAGTATAGTTTGAAATAGGGTAGTGTGATGCCACCAGCTTTGTTCTTTTTGCTTAGGGTTGTCTTGGTTATTTGGGCTCCTTTTTGGTTCCATATGAATTTTAAAATAGTTTTAAAAAAATTCTGTGAAGAACGTCAGTGGTAGTTTGATGGGATTAGCACTGAATCTATAAATTGCATCAGACAGTATGGACATTTTCATGATACTGATTCTTTCTATCCATGAGCATGGAATATTTTTCCATTTGTTTGTGTCATCTCTGATTTCTTTGAACAGTGGTTTGTAGATCTCCTTGAAGAGGTCCTTTACTTCCTTTGTTAGCTGTATTCCTAGGAATTTTATTCTTTTTGTGGCAATTGTAAATGGGATTGCCTTCTTGATTTGGCTGTTGGCTTGGCTATTGTTGGTGTATAGGAATGCTATTTATTTATTTATTTATTTATTTATTTATTTTTTTTGAGACGGAGTTTCGCTCTGTCGCCCAGGCTGGAGTGCAGTGGCGCGATCTCGACTCACTGCAAGCTCCGCCTCCCGGGTTCACGCCATTCTCCTGCCTCAGCCTCCCGTGTAGCTGGGACTACAGGCGCGCGCCACCATGCCCGGCTAATTTTTGTATTTTTAGTAGAGACGGGGTTTCACCATGTTAGCCAGGATGGTCTCGATCTCCTGACCTCGTGATCCGCCCGTCTCGGCCTCCCAAAGTGCTGGGATTACAGGCGTGAGCCACCGCGCCCGGCCTTATTTATTTATTTTTTGAGACAGAGTCTTGCTCTGTCGCCCAGGCTGGACTGCAGTGGCGCGATCTCAGCTCACTACAACCTCCACCTCCCAGGTTCAAGTGATCTTCCTGCCTCAGCCCACTGAGTAGCTGGGATTACAGGTGTGTGCCACCATGTCCGGCTAATTTTTGTATTTTTAGCAGAGACGGGGTTTCGCCGTGTTGGGCAGTCATGAACTCCTGACCTGAGGTGGTTCACCTGCCTCAGCCTCCCAAATTGCTGGTATTACAGGTATGAGCCACCTCACTCAGCTGGAATGCTAGTGATTTTTGCATGTTAGTTTAGTATCTTGAGACTTTGCTGAAGTTGCTTATTAGCTTAAGAAGCTTTTGGGCTGAGACAATGGGGTTTTCTAGATATAGGATGATGTCATCTGTAAACAAAGATAGTTTGACTTTCTCTCCTCCTATTTGAATACTCTTTATTTTTTTCTCTTGCCTGATTGCCTTAGCAGGAACTTTCAAGACTATGTTGAATAGGGGTGGTGAGAAAGGGCAAGCTTGTCTTGTGCGGGTTTTCAGGGGGAATGTTTCCAGCTTTTGCCCATTCAGTATGATATTGGCTGTGGGTTTGTCATATATGGCTCTTATTATTTTGAGGTATGTTCCTTCAATACCCAGTTTATTGAGAGTTTTTAACATGAAGGGATGTTGAATTTTATTGAAGGCTTTTTCTGCATCTATTGAGATAATCATGTGGTTTTTATCTTTAGTTCTGTTTATGTGATGAATCACATTTATTGATTTGTGTATGTTGAACCAACCTTGCATCCTGGATATGAAGCCAAGTTGATCGTGGTGGATAAGCTTTTTGATGTGCTGCTGGATTCGGTTTACAAGTATTTTGTTGAGGATTTTTGCATCAGTGTTCATCAAGGATATTGGCCTGATGTTTTCCTTTTTTTTGTTGTATCTCCGCCAGATTTTGGTATAAGGATGATGCTGACCCTTCCTCTGTTGCCCAGTCTAGAGGGTAGTGGTGTGATCATAGTTCACTGTAGCCTTAAACTCCTGGGCTCAAGAGATCTTCCCGCCTCAGCCTTTTTTTTTTTTTTTTTAAAGTAGCTGTGTGTAATGGTGTGTGTCTGTAGTCCTATCTCAGCTGGGACTACTAGGTACTCACCATCACACCCAGCTAATTAAAAAAAATTTTTTTTAGTTTGGGTATAATGGTTTATGCCTGTAATCTTAGCCTATTGGGAGGCCAAGGTGGGAGAATCACTTGATTCTAGGGATTTGAGACTAGGCTGGGTAACATAGTAAGACCGTGTCTCTATAAAAAATTTAAAAAATGGCCAGGCATGGTGGCTCACATCTGTAATTCTAACACTTTGAGAGGGCAAGGGAGTAGGATCCCTTGAGCCCAGGAGTTCAAGACCAGCCTGAGCAACATAGGGAGATCCCATCTCTATAAGAAAAAATATAATATTAAAACAATTTAAGAATAATTAGCTGGGCATGGTGGTTTGTGCCTGTAGTCCCAATTACTCAGAAAGTTCAATTACTCAGTGATCCGTGATCATACCATTGCATTCCAGCCTGGGTGAACAAACAAGACCCTGTTAGAGATGGGGGTCTCACTTAGTCGCCCAGGCTAGTCTCAAACTCCTGGCCTCAAGCGATCCAACCACCTCAGCCTCCCAAGTAGCTGGGATTACAGATGCCAACTCCCATGCCTGGCCATTTGTATATTTTAACCATTCTAATTGTCATGTAGTGGTATGTCATTGAGGTTTCCATTATGGTTTCAAACCCTGATGACTAAGGAGGTTGAGCATCTTTTAATACATTTTTTGGCTCTTTGAGTTTTCTCATTTGTAAAGTGCCTGTTAATGTCTTTTGCTAATTTTTCTATTGGATTGACTCTTTTTTTTGTTATTTCTGTTCTGGCTGTTCTTGGCCCTTTGCATGTTCATGTACATTTTAGAACCAGAACGTCCACACACAGAGGCATACACAAAAGCTATTACGATTTTATTTGGGATTGTATTGAATCTATAGGTTAATTTGAAGAGATTTGAAACATTTACAATATTAAGTTTTCTGGTTGATGTTTAGGGTATCTCTGTTAATTAATTTTTCTCCAGTTTCTCTAAGATTTTATATTTTTGTTGGTGAAGGCCTTGCACATATTTTGTTAGATTTATTCCTAGATCCTTGATAGTTTTAATTCTGTTGTAAATTGTAGCTTAAAAAATTCCCTTACTGAATTTTGTTGCTGGCATATAGAAATACAATTAGTTTTTCTATATTTTTTATTTTTTGAGACCGAGTCTCGCCTTGTCGCCCAGGCTGGAGTGCAGTGGCACAATCTGGCTCACCGCAACCTCCACCTTCCAGGTTCAAGCAATTCTTCTTCCCCACCCTCCTGAGTAGCTGGGATTACAGGCGTGCACCACCATGCCCAGCTAATTTTTTTTTTTTTTTTTGGTATCTTTAGTAGAGATGGGGTTTCACCATGTTGGCCAGGCTGGTCTCAAACTCCTGACCTCATGATCCACCCGCCTCAGCCTCCTGAAGTGCTGGGATTACAGGTGTGAGTCACCGCACCCTGCCGGTTTTTCTATATTTGAATCCAGAAACCTGACTCAATTAGGCCAATAGTTTTAATAATTTGTCGTGGATACTTCTGGATTTTCTAAGTATACTAAATCATATAATCTGCAAATAGAGTTTTAGTTCTTCTTTTTCAATCTTGATACTTTTTTGTTCTTACCTATATTGTTTTTATTCATGGAGTCTCATTTCCTGGTGTGCTTTGTTACTGTTGTATGCTGGAGATTGTGTTTCGAAAGTTATGTGTGGACTATATTGAAGCTTAGGAGGATTATATCTTTCTGGAAGGGTTTTCATTTGTTTTTTTTTTTTCATTGGCCTGGGGTCATTGCTGGTCCAGGCTAATTTTAATTTAAATCTGGGATCTGAGATCTCAGAATCACTAGATAAGTTGAAAATGGGTTGTAGATCCATGTGAAGGCTGATAAGGTTCTGGTTCATCCTCAAGTAATTGTTCACAGCTACAGGAATTTCAGGGGTTTCTTCCTGACTCCATTGAGTTTTAAATTTCTGTGCCTAAATTTTTTTTGTCTATTTCTAGAAATTTTTTTTTCTTTTTCCTCTTTTTCCTTATATAGGCCTAATCATCTCTGAAATGTCATTTCTTACATTCATCTAAATGTGTGTTTGGAACCTGTTTAATAAAACACAGGTTTCATTTAGTGATATAAAACAACACATCACAAAGGTTTTGTGCACATTGCTTGATTTTAGGTCTTAGGGCTGGATGTTTGTATGTTCCTGTAAGGGCTCAACGGGCTCAGAAATGTCATTTCTTAGATTCTACAAACTGTGTGTTTGGAACCTTTTTAATGAAAACCCAGGTTCCATTCAGTGATGTAAAACAGCACATCAGAAAGCTTTTTCTTCTTCTTCTTCTTTTTTTTTTTTTTGATAATGGTTTGCTGTGTCACCCAGACTGGAGTGCAGTAATGTGATCATGGCTTACTGCAGCCTCTAACTCCTGGGCTCAAGCAATCCTCCCACCTTAGCCTCCCAAGTAGCTGAGATAACAAGTGTATACCACCATACCTGGCTAATGTTTTAATTTTTTTTTTTGTAGAGATGGGGTCTCACCGTGTTGCCCAGGCTGGTCTCAAACTCCTGGATTCAAGTGATCCTCCCGCCTTGGCCTCCAAAAGTGCTGGGATTATAGACGTGAGCCACCGTGCCCAGCCTTTTGCTTTTAAAAAAAAAATCACTTTTTATAGTTTCCACTTCATACAGATTGTGCTTGTCTTTTATTTCTGTACACATGGTAGCATAGTTATTATCTGTAAACTTTGTGAATTCTTCCCTGTTGTTTTTGTTCGTGAAGTATAGTTTTTTTCTATACCTTGTTATAAAATACAACGTGCTTGACATTGTATTTGGAAATTTATTTGTAGGAATACTTTGAGGTGTAATGTGAAGGTTCCTCCAGAGAGGATTTGAGTTTGCTTTTGCGAGGTGCCTGGGCATTTGAATCAGGTACCGCCTTAAAACAAGTTCAAGGCTTGGGATTCCCTGATATCCTACATCATTTGAGCAGGAAGGTCTCTCGTCAGATATCCCACTTTGTGTGGGCCTGACTTTGTATATTAACTTTCTGTGCTGTAAAGATGTTTTAAAAATTTTATCAGTGTTTTGTTTTGTTTTGTTTTCTCTAGGAGGTTGACCCAAATAATATAGCCTGTTTTACTGAAACAGCAAGTTCTACTGCAGTTTGTTTAACTAGATACATGTTGGACATTTAGTTTTTTTCTTTATTATTATAAATAACACTGTAATAAAGAAACGTTTTTATTTGTGTGCTTGTCCTGTTATTTACTTGTGATTAATCTGAAAATAAAATAGTTACAATCTGCATTTTTAAAGGCTATTTGATATGTATTATCAAAGTATGGTACACAAAGATTGTCCTAACACTGTGTATTCTAAATCTTTTTAACTTTTACCATTTTGATAGATGGAAAATAGTACACATTATTATTTTAATTTAGCATTTATTATTTTTACTTATATAACTATTGGCTGTTCATGTTTTACTACTTTTGGGTTATGAAAGCTTACATACTGCCAACTAGGGGCTTACTGAGGCTAACTCACACATCAGATGATGTAAATATTTCCCTCAGTTTGTCACTTATATTTCATCTTCATTTACAAAAATATATATATGTTTTGGTATAGAAGTTTAACGCTTGTACTAATCAGATCTATCAATTTTTTATAAAGCCATAATCAGTCTGAGATAATAAATTTATAGTTGTTCCTAGAAAAACTAGTGTTTTAAGTTTGGAATTGTCTTATGTGGCTAGAAAATTGAGAAATAGTCAAACCACTCTAACCTCAATTAGGATATTTTAATATATTAACATAACTCAAATTAGGATAATGCTCATTTTTAGTCTATATTAACCTGAGTTTTTATGATAAGTTTTTTCCTTTTTCTCATTAAAATATTTTCTCTTTGTCTGCTACTGTTCTTTTGATGTATACCTTCAGAAATTGGCAGGGTTGAAATTTGAAAGAATATTCAATTTAGGTTTTTTTCTGTATTTTGCCTTCACTAATGATAGTGATTCAGATATCATGTTAGAAATGATTTGAGATATCAAGGTTTTAAAATTTTTAATAAAAGTAAACAGTATTCATTAAAACAGGAAATCATTTTATTGAAACTGAATGAGGACTTCAAATTTTTGTAACAGCTTAAAATATGTTTTTTTAGATAAGTGATGAAGAGAAGACTCTTCGAGAACAGGAGATTGTTGCCTCATCACCAAGTTTAAGTGGACTTAAGTTGGGGTTCGAGTCCATTTATAAGGTATGTAAACATGTAAAATACTTCCTAGGTTTTGTTAAATATGTCGCATTGAGCTTTATATACATATTTAATTAATCCATTTTTATAGCCTCTCATCATCACAGCTACTCTGTCTCCTGCACAGATACTGTCCTCATTGCACTAATGGTGTGCCAATGTTCTCTCCTGGGCTGTCTCCTTCCACGGACGCATTCCCAACCCTGCTTGGGCTCTGACCTCCCATTACAGGCTGTTTTCCTAATGGAATACCCTCCTTGCATTGTTTGGGTTCTTACACCCTGCACTGGGCTATCCCCTGCCAGGAAACCCTCATCACCCATTTGGCCCAACACTCTGTTTGGATTGCTGCCTTGCGTGGAAGCCCCCTTTCGCTTCTCTTGACCTCTGACATCGTGGTGTCTTGCCTCATGGTCTCTCTGTGATTCCACTGGGCTCTGACATTGTAAGCCTACGTTTTTTCCTATGGGAATGCCCTCCTTAACCTACTCAGATTCCATCATCCTGTGCTTGGCCACCTCAGTTTCCCCTCCCCACTCAGTTCAGATAACTACGTCACATGAACCCTTCCAGAAGGGGAAGAGGGAAGAGTTTAAATTCATTTTACAATTTGATAACTGCAACCCCACAATTTCCTTTGAAAAGAATGTGCTAATTATTATGAGTGAGTGCCAGTAGTTTAAAGTCCTGCCCCATTCCAGCTTCTTCGTTTCGACTGTTGGGCCATCATTCAGTCAGCCTTTCAAGCCTAGAGTGTGGTGATCAATATTTATTTCTCTTACACCACACATTTCCAGTTACTCTGCCTTCACATCATCTTTTGCTTCTACTTGGGCATTTTTGTTTCCACTGTGACCACCTTAATAAGCTAGAATCATGAAATACTATGGCTAAAGAATCCCTAAGGGTCAGTTAGCCTGTGTCTTCCTCCCCTCTCTCAGCTTTACAGATCTGGCTGCTGAGATTTAGAGGCATTCATTAAATTCACCAAATAAGTCTAGTCAGTATCAGAGCTTGGACTAGAACTCATGTTTCTTCCCTATATTATTGCAGTAAACCCTCTTACCTGCTCATCTGATATGTCCTATGTAAGCTACCTATTTGGTGCAGTATCACACAATTTACCCTGTAGGTCTGTTTGACTTTCCGTGTGTGCCCATGAGGGCAGGGACTGTGTTGCAGTTGTAGAAATAGGTAAATTAATTGAAAGTTGTTAAAAAGCACATGATCTGTTTATAGTGTGAGATGTCGTTGGATATACAGAAAATTGTATGCATTTATATTTAATTCTTCCTTAAAACTTGAATGAATAGGCAATTTGGGAATCATTTTTCACCTAATTTTTTAACCTCGTTTTTTAAAAAAGAAAAATTCTATTGGAGAGTAAGAATGATTTTTACAGTTTACTAATATCATACTTCGCTCATCTCTTAGAATTTTAAGATTGTTCATAGGGTTTAAAAATCTAAGATTTTTAAAAATAAATTCTTGGGGCAAATACTTCTTTTAATAGCAAAACTGAATGCTTATTATTTCCATTTCTTAGTACTGAGATTAGCTTTTTCAGTATATTTCTCTGGAGTGAGAATGGAAACATACATGAAGAAATTGGAATTTACTTACAAGTAATTTTCAGCTCTGAATATGTTGTTTACAAATTAGGATTCTCTCTGATGCAGAATACAAAGTGGGATATGTGAGGTGAATGCAACATGTGTAGAAGTCTTGAGTTAAGAGTTTGAAATCCTGGGGATTATGTTTTGTAAATTCAGAGGTTAAGGAATAAAAGTAAGCATTCCAACTTGGCCTTTTAGTGTTACTATTTTTCAAAACATCAACTCTGAAACGAACATATTTTTGTACTGCCACTGTTTGCTAATGCTGTTGAGTTTTAAGGAGGATAAATTAATCATTTTGATATTCTTTTGGCTCTGCTAGGACTAATGAATTTCTTTGTTTATACTTTATACATATGAAGACTTAGGATTTCTTAATGACAGGTGCTGACTTATTTTGCCTGTTTTACTCTTAATTCAGATCCCTTTTGCTGATGCTCTGGATTTGTTTCGAGGAAGGAAAGTCTATTTGGAAGATGGCTTTGCTTACGTACCACTTAAGGACATTGTGGCAATCATCCTGAATGAATTTAGAGCCAAACTGTCCAAGGCTTTGGCAGTGAGTATTTTACTTGATTTCTGTATCTGACATGTTCACACTTTCAGTTATATACCCCTGGTAGTTTTATTCTGTGTTTCTCTAGGAAATAAGTTAATTCAGTTTTCATAATGATATTCAGATTACATATGATGTTGTACTGTTAATCCCAAAATTCCTAGGTTTTTATTTGTTACTATCCATAGTTGGTTTTTAAGTTTTTTTTCTTGATCCTACTAATACCAATGCTGAGTGATTAATTTTGTGAGTAACCTCTGTGGGTTTCTTCATGGTCATGTCTTTTTTCCTTAGAAATAGACTTCGTATATGGCTCTTAACAATTAGTGTGGCCTGTGGTAGATATAACTCCTAGATTTCTGTTCTGAATTAGTATTTGGTATCAGTAGAAGACAATATAGAAGAAAATCTTAAGTACTAACACTGTGATATGCTAGTGCTGCAATGAGTAGCTCCATACTGGGTGAATTTGGAGGTAGCTGTGTTGAACAAATGACATGATCAGTGATTTTTAAGTAGTTTGTTGGAAGTGTGACTCTTAAGTGGTGATATCTTAAAACTATACACATTTTTATATGTAAAACACATATTTTACAGTTGTTGTCTCTTAATCTGAGTCAGTTTTTAATACTTTTTTTGTACCTAATGCAGAAGAAGACTTCAAAGGTTTGTGACATGGCTGTTTTAAACTGTACTGATTATAGTGTAAGCATATGCCAAGCTTTCCTTCTCAGTTAAAAATTGTAGTATTTTCTGATATAAATAAATTTTTATTGACTCTCTGGGGTTACCTAAATATGTATAATTTAGCTATGTCAGCACTTGGGAAGACTAAAATACTAACTCTGTGTTTATTAAATGAAGGAATTTATGAGAACACCTAGCATAACAGGTATTTAGTAACTGTTAATATTCTTTCTCCATTCCTAATCCTGTTATTTCTTTATCCTCATGAAAGTTGATGCTTTTAAATTTTTTCTTTACTTGTCTGTCACTACCCTAGATTATATTCTAGTTACAGCTAAGAATAGTGTCTTTCACCACTGTGGAAGACACTGATACTTGTCTACTGTTTGGCCATTGCTCTTTTATTATTCTTAGTTTTATTCACCCATATTCTCTCTGTTGACATTTTAGACCACACTTCTTTGTGTGAAATAGACAAATATTTTCCAGCATATTGGATAGTTTTAGCTGTCATCTATTAAATGCTGGTGGTGGACCCCAGTCTCCATGACAACCAAAAATATCACCGTGCATTTCAGAAAACTTCTGGCATGTTAATGCTACTATTAATCTGATCATAGTCATTTCCTTCTTACCAAATTTTTAATTTATGCCTGTGACAATGTCATTGTGGCTAAAAAGTATGAGTTCTTTGGGGGCTCCTGAAAAAAGTTTTTCTTGCTAAAAAAAAAAAAAAAAAAAGGCATGTGGGATGAAGTAGTCTTTTTTTCCCCCCTCTGGATATTGTTGTAACTGAATGTGATGCCTGGAAGAGCTACAGCCATCTAGAGATGAGGCAGGTAACTTCGGGACAACCCAATTTGCTGCATAGACATGTAGAAAGATGGAAAGAATCTGAGTCCTTGTTGCTGTCGTTGAGTTGCTGAATTAACCTATTCTGGAACCACCAAACTTTTTATTACATGGGATAATGAAGTTTTAATTTTTAAAGGCACTAACTTAGGTACTCATATTTGAGTGGAATTCTCTTTCTCTAGTAGCAGAAAGCATCCTGGTACCTAGATCAGTGTCTGCGTTAGTTAGTATTTTCTTTTCTAGTTGCAGGTAACAGCCTATGCTACATTAACCAATAAATAGAATCTGTTAGCTCATAAAAGTGAGAAGTCTAGATTATAGTATGGACTTCAGACATAGCTTGCCCAATGTTTCACCCCTTTCTCTGAATATGTCTTTACCCTTATGTGTATGCCTTATCCTCAGTCTGGCTTTCTGATGGTTGCAAAAATAGTTACCATGGGATCAGGCTTTATTTCTATATAGCATACTATCTGAAAGAGTTTCTTTGTCCCTGGGCAGAAGTTTGAAATCAAGGTGTCGGCATGGCCATGCTTCCTCTGAAGGTGCTGGGGAAAGATCTATTCCACATCTGTCTTCTGGCTTCTGGTAGTTCTTTGACTTGTGGCAACATAACTCAAGTCTTCACATGGCATTCACCCTGCATGTCCCAAATTCTGCTTTTTCTAAGGATATCAGTCATATTGGGGTATCATTTTTCTAAGGATATCAGTCACCTCTCAACTCCAGTGTGACCTCATTGTAACTAAGTACATCTGCAACAATCCTATTTCTAAATAAGGTCACATTCTGAGGTACTGGGGGTTAGTACCTCAACATATGATTTTCTTGGGACAGAGTTTAACCCATATCACATGTCTATCACTAAAGCAGCTATTGTGGTTTAAGGGATAGCCTAGCCTAAGATCATGTGTCTGCCCCTTTAGATGGGGTATCATGGGAGCTGAGAGTCAGTGTGTTCCTGAAACCACAATATCCCAAACAAAAATGGATGATTGTTAGGAATGGGGAGAGGGGAGAATGAAGATGGGGAGGCAGACAACAATTGTCTACTACCTAGAAAAGACACTGAATATGAATTAAATGTACAAAGTTTTTCACTTTGTAATTTCTTTCAAGCCAAGCTGCCCAGTGCCCAAAAACCTAACTATGAAAATGCATCTGAAATTCTTTTACTTTTGGGTTTAAAGCTACTTCTGATTTTGTGTATTGCAAAGTTTAAATAAATTTTTAATAAGTTTTGACTGTTTTATAAATTTGCCTTGAAAGCAACTTTAAAAATGTAAAAAAAATTTTACATTTGCCACACATTTTTATTTTAGATAAGTCAAGATATTCTATGTATATTTGTGATTTATCATCCCAATATTCCAGTGTAGAAAGAAGGATATGTGGCAGATTTTTGCAAAATTTTACAATTTTTTTCTACTTTCTGGGTAGAAGTGGGGGATCTATACTGAGAGAAAAGACAGAACTTGGGTTCCTAAGTTTGTAATAAATTCATTTCAGCCAACTGCACCTAAGCTTTCTACCTTGTTGTTAAGAAATAAGAGTATTTATGAACTTTGAATTCCATTCTTCTTCACTTCTTTCTACTCATTCTTCCCCTTCCAAACATACTTTTTAAAAAATTAATACTTTAAAAAAATTTGAAATATCACAGACTTACAGAAAATTAAGTAGAAAATAGCAACTTTTTCTTTAAACCATTTGAGAATAAGTTCCCAGCCTGATGTCTTGGCACCCCCAATACTTGTTAGTGTTTATTTCCTTCAAACAGAACATTTTCCTGCATAACCACAATTCAACATCCAAATAAGAAAATTAATGTTTATAAGTTACTACCATCTAACCTCCAGACCCCATTCAAGTTTCACCAGTTTTCTCAATCACATTCCACAGGCAATTTTAATTCACATGTATTATTTAGTTGTCACGTCTCTTTAATCTCCTTCAGTCTGCAATAGATTCTTAGTTTCTCTTAGATTTTCATGGACTTTGTTACTTTTGAAGATTATCAGCAGTTATTTTGTATCTCTCAGTTTGGGTTTATCTGATGTTTCTGCCTAGATTCAAGTTAGACATTTCAAGTAGTACTGTAACAGAAGTTATGCTATGTTCTTTTCATTGCATTCTATCAGATTACATGATTTTGATTCAGCCCAATTCTGATTGACTTTATCAAAATTTATCCATTCTATTGTTGATAGGCATTTGGCTTTTGTTTTCTTTTTTTTTTTTTGGTTATCACAAATACTGCTGCTCTGAACATTGTAGCACATATTTTGGAAAACATATTTCTGTTGGTTATGTGTTTAGGAATGGAATTGTAGGGTATTGAGTATATCTGTGTACAGCTTTAATGGATTTAGATTTACTTTAAATGGATTTATTCTGGCTGAGTGGGGTGGCTCACACCTGTAACCCTCGTCCTTTGGGAGGAGGAGGTGGGAGGATTGCTTGAGCTCAGGAGTTTGAGACCAGCCTGGGCAACATAGTGAGAATCAGTCTCTACTAAAAACAACAACAACAACAACAGCAACAACAACAACAACAACAAAATAGCCAGTCGTGGTGGCATGTGCCCGTAGTCCCAGCTACTTGGGAGGCTGGGGTGGGGGGATCACTTGAGCCTGGGAGATCAAGGCTGCAATGAGCTATAATCATGCCATTGCACCCCAGCTTGGGCGACAGAGTGATACCCTGTCTCAAAAAAAAAAAAAAAAAAAAAAGAACGAAAGAAAGAAAGAAAGAAAAGGATTTGTCCTGATTACAGGTGGGTTGTGGAGAGTTCTGGCCTTGGTGTCTTGGATTTAATAGAAGACAGACAGTGACTTGCTTTCTCCTGGGTGGTTCAGGGCCGAGCCTGGTTGAGAGGAGGTCCAGAGAACACTTTTTCTTATGTAGGAGAGTGGTGGGAGTTGTTGCCTGGGAGCCTGTCCTGACAGCTGTGGAAAGGAGCAGGAGGGAAGCGAAGGAGTTCATTTAGGGCTGTGGCGAAGTAGAAATCTAAACCTATTGCTATGGTCTCTTTATTACTGTCCTTTCCATTGAGGAAGGTTTTGACCTTGGAGTATGTAATTGAAAACTTTCAGCTTTATAAATGGAAATATTCTTGTAGGATAAGAAAAAGTACCCTAAAGTAGATTTTTTGAAAGGTATTTTGATGAGTGGTAGAGGATGAAATAAATGGTTCTGGGGGAAGTTGTAAATTGATGAGAGTTTTACCCCAGGTGACAACTGAAAGCTTATTCTTAACCTGTGACCATATGACTTTTATAATATGACTATCTAGCTTTTGAACATGGTTTAGGACTGATAAAAAATTGACATTACTTTTTCCTTTGATAGGAACTCTGTGGCCCAGAACCTTCCCTTTAAGTCCCAAGATTGTGCTAAGTATATCTCCTTTGTGTTCCCACAGCATTCTGCACACGACCAAATTACGGTGAAATTATTCTCATTATGTGTTTTCCTCCTCAATTAAAATGTAAGTTCTTTGAGAGTGAGGAATTTCTCTTAATTCAAATTTTTATCTGGTATAGCATGTGGCACATAGGGTTAGTGGTCAGTAAAATTTTATTGAACTGACAGATACCAAATAATGATATAAACTTGCTTTTGTTCACAGTTTACTGTTTATACATACTGTTAATCCCACTATAAGTCACTGAGAGAGAAAGGGGTTATAATGTGCATTATATGGATGAGGAAAATGCAGCACAGAGAGGCCAAAGTAATTTGTCTAAGATTATGTTGGCTAATAATTGCTGGAGCCCTGACTTGATCTCAGGTTTTCTGATTGTAATTCTTAGGGTCTTTTGATGGTAACTGTGCCTTTGTCAGGAGTTGTATAACCAGGTGATTTAGGTCTTCAAACTCTGATAAAATATTCAAAGGTAAGTATATTAAGGTCCAGTCACAGAGCAGGCCCAAGGGGTGAATTTGGAGCTACGGTAGAATAGATTGATAACCAGTTAGGGAAAAGAATGAGGGAAAGATAGATTTTTTTTGCTTCATATGGCAATTTTAGAAGCTATAGCCAGTTCTTTTATTTAATGGTTTATTTTTAAATAACTTTTTATTTGTTCATCCATGCATAGGTTTGGGTACTAGAGATACTACTTAACAAATTAGATGAGATTTCTTCTCTTACAAAGCTTATATTCTAGTGGGAGACAGACAATTACTGAAGAAATAAACAATAACAATATTGTAAATGACATGAAGGAGCCAGCTGAACAAATATAGAGGAAACTGCATTCCAGGCAGGAAAAGTCACTAATGCAAAGGCCCCCAAAGGGAGGAATCTTGGCCTTTTTTTTTAGAATCAAAAAGGCCAGTGTAGCTAGAGCATAGTGAGCTACGGTAGAGTGCTACCATGTGAGGCTGCAATGGCTAGGTGTAGACTCTGTGAGACTTTGAGGTAGAGTCCCAGGGTAAAGAGTTTGATTTTTTTTTAGCCTAATGTAGTTGAAAGACATTGGATGATTTTGAATAAGTGAGTGATATGATCTGATTTATGTTTTAAATAGATGACTGTGGCTGCTGCTTGAAAGCCATTTTGGAGGATAAAAAAGGAATGGAAGCGGGAGGACTAGTCTGGAAGTTTTCACATTAATCTAGATAGTGGCTTGAAATGGATTGGTTGTGGTGATATGACTGACAGAAGTCAGTGGATTTCAGTTAGTTTTTAAAGTAATATTGACATGGTGGATTGGTTGTGAGAGAAAGAGAAGAATCAGCATAATGATGATGATGATGAGAGCTTAAGCATAGTGAAAATTTAATATTTGCCAAGTGCTATTCTAAATGCTTTATATGAATTAATGCATTTAGTCTTTATGGTAACCCTATAAGGCAGGTACCATTATCACTCTCTGAGGCTTGTAGTATCTTTATACAGGTAGTGAGGAGCAGAAGCAGGATTTGAATCCATACAGTCTGGCATCAAGGTCTATGTTCTTGACCATTATATTACACTGCCTAGAATTTTGGCTTGAATAATTTATTAGGGGGTGATGCCTTTGCCAAGATGTAGAAGACTCCGAGAAAAATATGTAAAATAAAATAAAGAGTTCTATTCTGACCACGTTAAGTAGAAGGTGCTTATTGGTTACACAAATGGAGATGGCAAGTTTGAAGTTGGATTTGAGTGTCTAAATTTTTGGGGAGGAGAATGTGCAGCCATGAGACTCCAGGAAGAGTGTGGGATGTCAGTGGAGAAGAGAGGGGGCCCACAGCTGAGCTTGGTTTCCATACACTTCCACTTGATTTCATTAAGCAGAGAACATACTTCATTTGTTGTTAGAAAATGGGGCAGATCCTTAAATTGGAGCTGGATTTCTTTAAGGCAAAAATCTCTTTCTCCTCACACAGTGTGACTATTTATTTTTATTTTTATTTTTTATTTTTAGACAGGGTCTCTACTCTGTCACCCAGGCTGGAGTGCAGTGGTGCAATTACAACTCACCATGGCCTTGACCTCCCAGGCTCAAGCAGTCCGCCTGCCTTAGCCTCCTAAGTAGCTGGAGCCACAGGCCTGTGCCAACAGTGCCTGGCTAAGTTTTTATTAATAAAAGTTTATGTAGAGTTGGGGATATCCCTATGTTGCCTGGGTTGGTCTAGAACTCCTGTGTTCAAGTGATCCTTCTACCTGAGCCTCCTAAAGTTCTGGAATTACAGGCATGAGTCACCATGCCTGGCCTTAATTTCACTTTCTATTTGTGAGACTCATCTTTAGAAGGTACTGGTAAAACGTTAAAGAAACCAGACTTCCAAAAAATGTATTTATACACATCTTATTTAGATACAGAAAAAAGGACTGAGAAGTTCCCAGGAAGATAATTGAAAGGCAGGTAAGTGGCTCTTACTTGGAGTCACAGAGAAAAGCAAGGATTTTCTTTTTTGAAAAGGATTTCCTTTTTCACATTTAGAAAGTACCAGTTGGGTCTGTGGCTCACTAATTATTTGTTCGTTTGGAAAAATATGCTTTGTAGGCACTTGATCAGGTAATTTTTATTTCTAAAGAGTTTGGAATCCTCTTAAATCTTGTATCCTCTTTTTAAAAGTAGTGTTCAATTTTCTTCCTTAAACTGTGATTAAATATAATTAATTTTCTTGAATGGTTACTTAGTTGGGAATCATATAGGAGTTTTCTTACTATTTGTGTACAACTAGCTGATTTCTTGGGTTCTGGTTAACATGTCTTTTTAAATATACTGATCATTTAATGCCATTTTAAAGTGGGTCACTGTGAACTTGTCAGTGCTGCAGCAAATCCATCAATATGCAAGTAGCATATCACGATATGCAAGCATAACATGCTTTCACTTCCACCATTACTGTCAGGCACCAGTTCATTTGGTCTCCCTTGCTGCTGATCTGTGGGAAACAAAACGTTGCAGTTGAAAGCCATGAGACTATTAGGATGGTGCAAAAGTAATGTGGTTTTTTTCTTTACTTTTAATGGCAAAGACTGCAATTACTTTTGCGCCAACCTAATAACAGAAAAAAAATCATTTTTCGGGGGAAAATAAGCATATGCTCTTTCTAGTTTGACAGGTTTGTTGACTGAGGATGCTCAGCTGAACTTGATTGTTGTTCTATTTGTGAGATACTGGTTTGTTAACCTTTTTCTAAGATGCAGTTTACAATCTGTTGTCTATTCAACACATATTTCTTTTTTTTTAACTTTTAGGTTTGGGGGTACATGCGAAGGTTTGTTACATAGGTAAACTCATGTCATGGGGGCTTGTTGTACAGATTATTTCATCACCCAGGTATTAAACTCAGTACCCAATAGTTACCTTTTCTGCTCCTCTCCTTCCTCCCAACCTCCACCCTCAGGTAGACCCCAGTGTCTGTTGTTCTTTTCTGTGTGTGCAAGAGTTCTCATCATTTAGCTCTCACTAAGTGAGAACATGTGGTATTAGGTTTTCTATTCTTGGGTTAGTTTGCTAGTTAGTAGCCTCAGGCTCCATCCATGTTCCCACAAAAGACATGATCTCATTCTTTTTTATGGCTACATAGTATTCCATAATGTATGTGTACCACACTTTCTTTATCTAGTCTGTCACTGAAGGACATTTAGGTTGATTCCATGTCTTTGCTATTGTAAATGGTGCTGCAATGAACATTGGTGTACATATGTCTTGATGGTAGAATGATTTATATTCCTCTGGGTATATACCCAGTAACGGGATTGCAAGGTTGAATGATAGTTCTGCTTTTAGCTCTTTGAGGAATCAGTATACTGCTTTCCACATTGGTTGAACTAATTTACACTCCCTCCAACAGTGTATAAGTGTTCCCTCCTCTTCGCAACTTCATCAGCATCTGTTATTTTTTGACTTCTTAGTAATAGCCATTCTGACTGGTATGAGATGGTATCTCATTGTGGTTTTGATTTGCATTTCTCTAATGATCAATTGATACTGAACTTTTGTTCATATGCTTCTTGGCCACATGTATGTCCTCTTTAGAGAAGTGTCTGTTCATGTCCTTTGCCCACTTTTTAATGGGGTTGTTTATCTCTTGTATATTTAAATTCCTTATAGATGTTGAATATTAGACCTTTGTCAGATGCATAGTTTGCAAGTATTTTCTTCCATTCTGTAGGTTGTCTGTGTACTCTGTTGATAATTTCTTTTGCTGTGCAGAAGCTGTTAAGTTTAGTTAGATCCCATTTGCCAATTTTTGCTTTTGGTGTCTTTGTCATGAAATTTTTGCCCATTCCTATGTCCAGATGGTATTGCCTAAGTTGTCTTCCAGGGTTTTCATTGCTTTGGATTTTACATTTAAGTCTTTAATCCATTTTGAGTTGATTTTTATATATGGTATAAGGAAAAGTCCAGCTTCAATCTTCTGCATATGGCTAGCCAGTTATCCAGCACCATTTATTGAATAGGGGTTCTTTTCCCCATTGCTTGTTTTTGTCAGCTTTGTTGAAGATCATATGGTTGTAGGTGTGTGGGCTTATTGCTGGGCTCTCTGTTCTGTTCCATTGGTCTATGTGCTTGTTTTTGTACCTGTACCATGCTGTTTTGGTTACTGTATCCTGTGCTGTAGTTTGAAATTGGTAGTGTGATGCCTCAAGCGTTGTTCTTTCTGCTTAGGATTGCCTTGGCTATTCGGACTCTTTTTTAGTTTCATATGAACTTTAAAATAGTTTTTATTTATTTATTTTTTAGTTCTGTGAAGAATGTCATTGATAGTTTGATAGGAATAGGACTGAATTATATAAATTGCTTTGGGCAGTATGACCATTTTAATGATATTGACTTTTCCTGTCCATGAGCATGGGATGTTTTTCCATTTATTTGTGTATCTCTGATTTCTTTGAGCAGTATTTTGTAATTCTTATTGTTGCGATCTTTCACCTCCCTGGTTAGCTGTATTCCTAGGTATTTTATTCTTTTTGTGGCAATTGTGAATGGGATTGCCTTGTTGATTTGGCTCTCAGCTTGGCTTTTGTTGGTGTATAGGAATGCTAGCGATTTCGTTCATTGATTTTGTATCCTGGAACTGCTGAAGGTCTTTATCAGCTGAAGGAGCTTTTGGACTGAGACTGTGGAATTTTCTAGATATAAAATTACATCATCTGCAAACAGGGATAGTTTGATTTCCTGTCTTCCTATTTGGATGCCTGCCCTTCATTTCTTTTTTTTGAATTAATAATAGCTGAATAGTGACTTTATTCTCCCTTATTCTTAGCATTTACATTATATTTATAGTTTATTAATCCATCTGATTCTAAAAAGTTTTGCAATAGCCAAAAATTTATCAAATATCAAAATTCTTTCCTAAATCCAAAGCTAGTGAAAAATTAGGTCTCAAATAAAAAGGAACATAGAACTGATAAAGACAGTCATAGTTTTCATGGAATAGAAGGGCCACTAATAGCCTAGAGAGGGAGAAGGAAAATATTCGTTTTTTTTTTGTGGATATCCAAATTTTTATTTATTTTTATTATTTTTAATTTTTCCATAAGTTATTGGGGTACGGGTGGTATTTGGTTACATGAGTAAGTTCTTTAGTGTTGATTTGTGAGATTTTTGGTGTACCCATCACCCGAGCAGTATACGCTACACCATTATTTGTAGTCTTATTTTTTGTCCATTGTATCATTCTTATGCCTTACATCCTCATAGCATAGCTCCCACATATCAGTGAGAACTTACGACGTTTGGTTTTCCATTCCTGAGTTACTTCACGTAGAATAGTAGTGTCTCATTCAGGTCACTGCAAATGCTGTTAATTATTCCTTTTTATGGTTGCATAGTATTCCTTATTATATATATATATACATAGACACACACACACCACAGTTTCTTTACCCACTCATAGATTGATGGGCATTTGGATTGGTTCCACGATTTTGCAATTGTCAGTTGTGCTGCTATAAACATGCATGTGCAAATACCTTTTTCGAATAATGACTTCTTTTCCTCTGGTAGATACCCAGTAGTGTTGCTGGATCAAGTGGCAGTTCTTGATTCTTTTAGTTCTTTAAGGAATCTCCACACTGTTTTCCATTGTGGCTGTACTAGTTTACACTCCCATCAGCAGTGTAGAAATGTTCCCTGTTCATCACATCCATGCCAACATCTCCTGTTTTTTGATTTTGATTATGGCCATTCTTGCAGGAGTAAGGTGGTATTGCAATGTAGTTTTAATTTGCATTTCCCTGATCATTAGTGATGTTGAGCATTTTTTCATATGTTTGCCGGCCATTTGTATATCTTCTTTTGAGAATTGTCTATTCATATCCTTAGCCCACTTTTTGATGGAATTGTTTGTTTGTTTTTTTCCTTACTGATTTGTTTGAGTTTGTTGTAGATTCTGGATACTAGTCCTTTGTCAGATGTATAGATTGTGAAGATTTTCTCCCACTCTGTGGGTTGTCTGTTTACTCTACTGGCTGTTCCTTTTGCCATGTGAAAGCTCTTTAGTTTAAGTAGGTCCCAGCTATTTATCTTTGTTGTTATTGCATTTGCTTTTCGGTTCTTGGTCATGAAATCCTTGCCTAAGCCAGTGTCTAAAAGGGTTTTCCCAATGTTATCTTCTAGAATTTTTATAGTTTCAGGTCTTAGGTTTAAGTCCTTAATCCATCATCAGTTGATTTTTGCATAAGGCGAGAGATGAGGGTCCAGTTTCATTCTCTTACATGTGGCTAGCCAATTATCCCTGCACCATTTGTTGAAAAGGGTGTCTTTTCCCCACTTTATGTTTTTGTTTGCTTTGTTGAAGATCAGCTGGCTGTAAGCATTTGGGTTTATTTCTGGATTCTCTATTCTGTTCCATTGGTCTGTGTGCCTGTTTTTATACCAGTACCATGCTGTTTGGGTGACTATGGCCTATAGTATAGTTTGAAATCAGGTAATGTGATGCCTCCAGATTTGTTCTTTTTGCTTAGCCTTGCTTTGGCTATGCGGGCTCTTTTTTGGTTCCATATGAATTTTAGAATTGTTTTTTTCTAATTCTGTGAAGAATGATGGTGGTATTTTGATGGGATTGCATTGAATTTGTAGATTGCTTTTGGCAGTATGGTCATTTTCACAATATTGATTTTTCTCCTGCATGAGCATGGGATGTGTTTCCATTTGTTTGTGTTATCTATGATTTCTTTCAACAGTGTTTTGCGGTTTTCCTTGTAGAGGTCTTTTGACTCCTTGGTTAGGTATATTCTTAAGTATTTTATTTTATTTTTTTGCAGGTATTGTAAAAGGGATTGAGTTCTTGATTTGAATCTCTGCTTGGTTGCTGTTGGTGTATAGCAGAGCTACTGATTTGTGTACATTAATCTTGTATCTGGAAACTTTGCTCAATTCTTTTATCAGTTCTAGGAGCTTTCTGGAGGAGTCCTTAGGGTTTCCAAGGTAAACGATCATAACGCCAGCAAACAGCGACAGTTTGACTTCCTCTTTACCTATTTGGATGCCCTTTCTTTCTCTTGTCTGATTGCTCCGGCTAGGACTTCCAGTACTATATTAAAGAGGAGTGGTGAGAGTGGGCATCCTTGTCTTGTTCCCGTTCTCAGAGGGAATGCTTTCAACTTTACCCCATTCAGTATTATGTTGGCTGTGGGTTTGTCATAGATGGCTTTTATAACATTAAGGTATGTCCCTTGTATGCTGATTTTGTGGAGAGTTTTAATCATAAAGAGATGCTGAATTTTGTGGAATGCCTTTTCTGCATCTATTGAGATGATCATGTGATTTTTTGTTTTTAATTCTGTGTATGTGGTGTATCACATTTATTGACTTGCATATGTTAAACCATCCCTGCATCTGTGGTGTGAAACCCACTTGATCATGGTGATTATCTTTTTGATATGTTGTTGTATTCGGTTAGCTAGTATTTTGTTAAGGATTTTAGCAGCTATGTTCATCAAGGATATCAGTCTGTAGTTTTCTTTTTTGGTTATGTTGTTTCCTGGTTTTGGTATTAGGGCGATGCTGGTTTCATATAATGAATTAGGGAGGGTTCCTTCTTTCTCTATCCCGTAGAATAGTTTTAAAAGGATTGGTACCAATTCTTCTTTGAATGTCTGTAGAATTCTGCTGTGAATCCATCTGGTCCTGGACTTTTTGTTGTTGGTAATTTTTAAATTACCATTTCAATCTTGCTCCTTGTTATTGGTCTGTTCAGGGTATCTAATTCTTCCTGATTTAAGCTAGGAGGTTTGTATTTTTCCAGGAATTTATCCATCTCTTCTAGGTTTTCTAGTTTATGTGCATAAAGGTGTTCATAGTAGCCTAGAATGATCTTTTGTATTTCAGTGGTGTCAGTTGTAGTATCTCCTGTTTTGTTTCTTAGTTATGTTATTTGGATTTTCTCCCTTCTTTTCTTGGTTAATCTTGCTAATGGTCTATTAATTGTATTTATCTTTTGAAAGGACCAGCTTTTTGTTTCATTTATCTTTTGTATTGTTTTTCTTGTTTCAGTTTCATTTAATTCTGCTCTGATCTTGGTTATTTCCTTTCTTCTGCTGGGTTTGGGTTTGGTTTGTTTTTGTTTCTCTAGTCCTTGAGGTGTGACCTTAGAATGTCAATTTGTGCTCTTACAGTCTTTTTGATGTAGGCATTTAGGGCTATGAACTTTCCTCTTAGCACTGCCTTTGCTGTATCCCAGAGGTTTTGATAGGTTGTGTCATTATTGTTATTCAGTTCAAATAATTTCTATCTTGATTTTGTTTTTGACCCAATGCTCATTCAGGAGCAGGTTATTTAATTTCTATGTATTTGCATGATTTTGAAGGTTCCTTTTGGAGTTGATTTCCAGTTATATTCCATTGTGGTCTGAGAAAGTGCTTGATATGATTTCAATTTTCTTAAATTTATTGAGGCTCGTTTCATGGCCTGTCATATAGTCTATCTTGGAGAAGGTTCTATGTGCTATTGAATAGAATGTGTATTCTGAGGTTGTTGGATGAAATGTTCTGTAAATATCTGTTAAGTCCAATTGTTCCAAGGTATAGTTTAAATCCATTGTTTCTTTGTTGACTTTCTGTCTTGATGACCTGTCTAGTGCTATCAGTGGGGTATTGAAGTCTCCCACTGTTTTGTCTTGCTATCTCATTTCTTATGTCTATTAGTAATTGTTTTATAAATTTGGGAGCTTGAGTATTAGGTGGATATATGTTTAGGATTGTGATATTTTCCTGTTGGACAAGGCCTTTTACCATTCTATAATGTCCCTGTTTCTGTCTTTTAACTGCTGTTGCTTTAAAGTTTGATTTGTTTGATACAAGAATAGCTACCCCTGCTCACTTTTGGTGTCCATTTGCATGAAATGCCTTATTCCACCCCTCACTTTAAGTTTATGTGAGTCCTTATGTGTTAGGTGAGTCTCTTGAAGGCAGCAGATAATTGGTTGGTGAATTCTTATCCATTCTGCAATTCTGTATCTTCTGAGTGGAGCATTTAGGTCATTTACATTCAATGTTAGTATTGAGATGTGAGGTACCGTTCCATTCATTGTGCTATTTGTTGCTTGTATATCTTGGTTTTTTGTTTTTGTTTTTTAAATTGTATTTTTGTTTTGTAGGTCTTGTGAGATTTATGCTTTAAAATGGTTCTGTTTTGATGTGTTTCCAGGATTTATTTCAAGATTTAGAGCTCCTTTTAGCAGTTCTTGTAGTGGTGGCTTGGTAATGGTGAATTCTCTCAGCATTTGTTTGTCTGAAAAAGATTATATCTTTCCTACATATATGATGCTTAGTTTTTCTGGATATAAAATTCTTGGCTGATAATGATTTTGTTTGAGGAGGTGGAAGACAGGGTCCCAATCCCTTCTAGCCTGTATGGTTTCTGTTGAGAAATCTGCTGTTAATCTGTTAGGTTTTCTTTTATAGGTTACCTGGTGCTTCTGTCTCACAGCTCTTAGGATTCTTTCCTTCATCCTAACTTTGGATAACCTGATGAAAATGTGCCTAGGTGAAGATCTTTTTGTGATGGATTTCCTGGGTATTCTTTGTGCTTCTTATATTTGGATGTCTAGGTCTCTAGCATTACCGGGAAAGTTTTCATTTATTATTTCCCCAAATATGTTTCCCAAGCTTTTAGAATTGTCTTCTTTCTCAGGAACACTGATTATTCTTAGGTTTGCTTGTTTAACATAATCCCAGACTTCTTGGAGGCTTTGTTCATATTTTCATATTCTTTTTGCTTTGTCTTTGTTGGATTGGGTTAATTTGAAGACCTTGTCTTCAAGCTCTGGTTTTCTTTCTTCTACTTGTTCAGTTCTATTTGCTGAGACTTTCCAGAGCATTTCACATTTCTAAAAGTGTGTCCAAAGTTTCCTGAATTTTTGATTTTTTTTCTTTAAGCTATCTATTTCCTTGAATATTTCCCCCTTCACTTCTTGTATCATTTTTTGGATTTCCTTGCATTGGGCTTCCCCTTTCTTGGCCCCTCCCTGATTAGCTTAATAACTAACCTGAATTCTTTTTCAGGTGAATCAGGGATTTCTTCTTGTTTTGGATCCATTGCTGGTGAACTAGTTTGCAAAAAAAATCAACTCCTGGGTTTGTTGGTCTTTTGAATGGTTTTTCATGTCTTGAATTCCTTCAATTCAGCTCTGATTTTGGTGATTTCTTGTCTTTTGCTTGCTTAGAGGCTGATTTGTTTAGGCTTCTCTAATTCTTTCAGTTGTGATATTAAGTTGCTAATTTGAGATCTTTCTAATTTTTTTTTTTTTTTTTTGAGACGGAGTCTTGCTCTGTTGCCAGGCTGTGAGATCTTTCTTTCTTTCTTTCTTTTTTTTTTTGAGACGGAGTCTTGCTCTTGTTCCAGGCTGGAGTGCAGTGGCGTGATCTCGGCTCACTGCAGCCTCTGCCTCCCGGGTTCAAGCGATTCTCCTACCTCAGCCTTCTGAGTTGCTGGGACTACAGATGCACACCACCACACCCAGGTAATTTTTGTATTTTTAGTAGAGGTGGGGTTTCACCGTGTTGGCCAGGATGGTCTCGATCTCTTGACCTCATGATCTGCTTGCCTCGGCCTCCCAGAATGGTGGGATTACAGACATGAGCCACCACGCCTGGCCAATCTTTCTAACTTTTTATGTGGCTATTTAGTGCTATGAATTTCCCTCTTAACACTGCCTTAGCTGTATCCCAGAAATTCTAATATGTTGTATCTTTGCCCTCATTAGTTTAAAAGAACTTCTTAATTTCTGCCTTAATTTCATTTTTTACCCAAAAGTCATTCAGAAGCATGTTAATTTTCATGTAATCACATGGTTTTGGGTGATTTTCTTAGTCTTGACTTCTATTATTATTGCATGGTGGTCCGTGAGTGTGTTTGTTATGATTTATGTTATTTTGCATTTGCTGAGGATATTTTATGTCCAATTATGTGGTCGCTTTTAGAGCATTTGCTGTGTGGTGATGAGAAGAATGTATATTTTATTGGTTTTGGATGGAGAGTTCTGTAGAGGTCCATCAGATCCATTTGGTCCAGTGTTGAGTTCAGGTCCTAAATATCTTCGTTAATTTTCTGCCTCAATGATTTGTCTAATACTGTTGGTGGAATGTTGAAGTTTCACAGTATTATTTTGTGGGAATCTATGTCTCTTTGTAGGTCTCTAAGAACTTGCTGTATGAATCTGGGTGCTCCTGTGTTGAGTGCATATATATTTAGGATGGTTAGGTCTTTTATTCAATTGAAGTCTTTACCGTTATGAAATGCCCTTTTTTGTCTTTTTTTTATCTTTTGTTTTGTTTGAATTCTGTTTTGTCTGAAATTGGGATTGCAACCCCTGTTTTTTTCTGATTTCCATTTGCTTGGTAGATATTCCTGTATCCCTTTATTTATTTAATTATTTTTTATTTATCTATTTTATTATACTTTAGGTTCTAGGGTACATGTGTACAACATGCAGGTTTGTTACATATGTATACATGTGTCATGTTGGTGTGCTGCACCCATTAACTCATCATTTACATTAGGTATATCTCCTAGTGCTATCCCTCCTCCATCCCCTGACCCCACGACAGGCCCTGGTGTGTGATATTCCCCACCCTGTGTCCAAGTGTTCTCACTGTTCAGTTCCCACCTATGAGTGAGAACATGCAGTGTTTTGTTTTCTGGCCTTGCGATAGTTTGCTCAGAATGATGGTTTCTAGCTTCATCCATGTCCCTACGAAGGACATGAACTCTTCCTTTTTTATGGCTGCAAAGTATTCCATGGTGTACATGTGCCACATTTTCTTAATCCAGTCTATCATTGATGGACATTTGGGTTGGTTCCAAGTCTTTGCTATTGTGAATAGTGCCGCAGTAAACACACGTGTGCATATGTCTTTATAGCAGCATGATTTATAATCCTTTGGATATATACCCAGTAATGGGATTGCTGGGTCAAATGGTATTTCTAGTTCTAGATCCTTGAGGAGTCACCACACTGTCTTTCACAATGGTTGAACTAGTTTACAGTCCCACCAACAGTGTAAAATTGTTCTTATTTCTCCACATCCTCTCCAGCACCTGTTGTTTCCTGACTTTTTAATGATCGCCATTCTAACTGGTGTGAGATGGTATCTCATTGTGGTTTTGATTTGTATTTCTCTGATGGCCAGTGATGATGAGCATTTTTTCATGTGTCTTTTGGCTGCATAAATGTCTTCTTTTGAGAAGTGTCTGTTCATATCCTTTGCCCACTTTTTGATGGGGTTGTTTGATTTTTTTTCTTGTAAATTTGTTTGAGTTCATTGTAGATTCTGGATATTAGCCCTTTGTCAGATGTGTGTTCCTTTATTTTGAGCCTATGGTTGTCATTACGAGACCCATTAAGAAATGGGTCTCTTGAAGACAGCATACCATTGGGTCTTGCTTTTTTATCCAGCTTGCCACCTGTGCCTTTGAAGTGGGACATGTAGTCCATTTACATTAAATGTTTGTATTGATATGTGTACATTTGATCCTGTCATTGTGTTGTTAGCTGGTTATTCTGCTGGCTTGTTTGTGTGGTTGCTTTATATTGTCACTGATCCGTGTATTTAAGTGTCTTTTTGTATTAGCTGGTAGCAGTCTTTCCTTTCTATATATAATGCTCCTTTCAAGATCTCTTGTAAGGCAGGCTGGTGGTAATTAACTTCCTCAACATTTTCTTATCTGAAAAGGATCATATTTCTCCTTCACTTAGGAAGCTTAGTTTGGCTGGATGTGAAATTCTTGATTGAAGGTTTCTTTAATAAATATTGAATATAGGCCCCTAATCTTTTCTGGATTGTAAAGTTTCAGCTGAGTGATCTGCTGTTAGCCTGATGGGGTTCCCTTTGTAGGTGACATGTCCTTTCTCTCTAGCTGCCTTTAACATACTTTCTTCCATTTTGACCTTTGAAAATCTGTTGATTATGTGTCTTGGGGATGATCTTCTTACGTAGAATCTTGCAAGAGTTCTCTGTATTTCCTGAATTTAACTGTTGGCCTCTCTCACAAGATTAGGAAAGTTTTCATGGATGATATTCTGAAATATGTTTTCCAAGTTGTTTGCTTTTTCCCCTTCGCTTTCAGGGATAAAAGTGAATAATCCCATACTTCTTGGAGGTTTTGTTCATTGCATTGTAGGAATGGACAAAAAAGTAGGTCTACTTTTATTCTTTTTGCTTTATTTTTGTCTGACTGTCTTATTTCAGAGAGCCAGTCTTTAAGTTCTGAGATTCTTTCTTCAGCTTGGTTTATTCTGCTGTTAATACTTGTGATTGGATTGTGAAATTCTTGTATTGTGTTATTCAGCCCTGTCAGATGCGTTACGTTCTTTTTTATACTGGCTATTTCCTCCTTCAGCTCCTTTATCATTTGGTTGTGATTCTTAGTTTTCTTGGATTGGGTTTGAGTCTTGATGATCTTTATTCCTGTCCATATTTTGAACTTTATTTCCGTCATTTCAGCCAGCTCAGCCTGGTTGACAACTCTTGTTGGAGGGCTGATGTGGTTGTTTGGAGAACATGCGTCACTCTGGTCATTTGAGTTATTGGAGTTCTTGCTTTGGTTCTTTCTCATCTCTGCATATGGCTGTTACTTTAACCTCAGTGTAGATCGAGTAGTCAGTAGTCTATTGAGAAGTCAATAGACTTCTTTTCTTGTGTTTTCACAGGGCCAAGCCTTTGTGCAGGGTCTTGATGTGAAGCTGACTTCTTGTCTTTAGTTTAAGAGGAGGGTATATTAGCAAGCTATTTCTGGTGTTGAAGCTTTGGGGTGTGATGCGGTAGGTGACATTTAGGCATATTAATCAGCTGGTAGACTCTTGCTTGGTTTTGTGGCTCCCTTATATTTCCTTACAGGTGGAGCCATGTTCCCTCTTAATGTGTGGGGTCCTCTCCCCTTTGAGTGCTGGCTGTAGATTGCAGCTTGGCACTCCTGGGCCTGCCCAGTGCAGTTCTGGATGTGCTCAGTGTTTATGTTCCTTCCCCATCTTGGAGACAGCAGAGAAAGGGACCTTAGTAGTGTTTGTGCCAAGGGTCTTTTGCTTGTCTCATGGGGGCTCCACTCCAGAGACGTGCAGGTCTGCAATCACCCAGTGCAATCAGCCCAGGATGGAGGGCCTGTGCTGTGGCCCCAGCCAGGGGTTCTCTGTCTGGTGATGAGCACTGGGGGTGGGTAGGTGGAACCCATGGGAGATGGACTGGTCTCCTCCCCTTGGCTCAACTGCAGCTTGTTGGAGGTATGGATAAGGCATTGAGGGTCTTTGCTCCTTCATTAGTCTGAGGGTAGCAAGGGCAGTTCTGCTGCAGAGGCAGTGGCAGGGAGGCTTTCAGTTGCCCCTGGTTGCTCTGTCCAGGGAGTTGCAGAGCTGCTACTGGTTTGATATATCTGGCAGGGGGTGGCTGGAGGCCCAGGCCTGGCGGACCTGCCCAGTGAGGAGATAATATGGGAACATGCACCTACATAACAGGCTGGCCACTTTTCCATAGGGCTGCTGTGGTATCCTGGGGGCCCACTCCAGTCCCTAGTCACCTTGGATTTTCCAGTACCTGGAGGTATCAACAGTGAAGACTGTGAAACAGCAAAGATGGTAGTCTGCTCCTTCCTCTGGGAGCTCTGTGCCAGCAAGGTATGGACCTGTTGCTTGCCCAAACACACCTGTAGTTGGTGGCTGGAGACCCCACATTTCTCTAATATATGTCAAGTTTACTGCATGGTGCCTAGGTCTGGGAAATGGGAAGTTGATGAGACATAACCCTGGTCCTCAAGAACTCTCTTTGTAGTGGGGGGAGCTAAGATGTCCATAAAGGACTCAATGACAAGGTGAAAGAGAGGAGTAGCCTGAGAGCTGTATTACCTAAGTTCAGAGAAGTTTGAGAAAAGATAGAGTTGATACTGGCTTTAAATGATTTGGGTAAATGGAGATGTGCAGCTTACAGAGAGTAGTAGATGTAAATGGTTAGGTGCTGGAAAGTATAACTATGTTTGGGGAATGGTGTTAGTGGTATGATTGGTATGGTTTAATGTCTATGAATAAGAATAGCAGAAGATCAAATTGTCAAAGTAAGTATTACCAAGCTTATGAGTTTGAATTTTAGTGTGTGTGCTGGTGGTTTCTAAACTTTTGATTGTGTCCCCTCAGTTAAAATATTACCCCTGCCCACAGATGTAGGCAATATAAAATGGGGGTTTTAAAAAGGAGAAAAATAGAAATACATATTAGTAATTTCTTTCCCCACCTCAGTAGTTCCTCTTGCACATATCCAGTTTAGAATCATTGTCAGCTACTGGTGTTATTGTTGGAGATGTGTTTTAGCAATAGGGATATGAAACATCTTCATGTTTTTCTCCATATGTATATGTATGTACAGAAAAATTACACATTATATATACACACATAATTTTATTTTAGAAAAACAAAGCTATTGGCAATATTCATGGAATAGTATTGGATAAAAGTTATTTTCTTGTTTTAGTGAAATATTTTAGGTTTTTGATAGAACTGGTTTCATTCATTACAGAAGTCAGTATTGTATATGAAAGTTTTTTGAAAATTCCAAAGTGCTGTGTATATTAGGTGTTTCTTTGAAGGGATAGTTCAGGTGAAGAATTTTTTTTTTTTTTTTTTTTTTTTGGAGATCCAGTCTCGCTCTGTTGCCCAGGCTGGAGTGCAGTGGCGCGAACTCGGCTCACTGCAAGCTCTGCCTCCCGGGTTCACACCATTCTCCTGCCTCAGCCTCCCTAGTAGCTGGGACTACAGGCGCCTGCCATCACACCCGGCTAATTTTTTTTTTTGTATTTTTTAGTAGAGACGGGGTTTCACCATGTTAGCCAGGATGGTCTCAATCTCCTGACCTCATGGTGCATCTGCCATGGCCTCCCAAAATGCTGAGATTAAAGATGTAAGCCACCGCGCCTGGCCCATGTGAAGAATATTTTAAGAAGTTTTGGATTTTCCTTTTATTTCTCTCTATAGTGCTTTGCACAGTTCTGTGTTTCATAATTATGGAAAATATTGGCAAGAATTTTAATGATTCTCTCATTTCAAGTTTTCTTTGTTTTCTAGTTGCCAGTAAATTTTATCATATAGAAATAATTTTTAGAGGAGGAAAGCATTTTAGAGTTTGTGTAGTAATTATTTGTGTGCTATCTTGCCCTCTTCCTTGGCAAGTAGACTATAAAAAACTGTAGGCTTATAGATATTGTCTTAGTTTGGGCTGCTGTAACAAATTATCACAGACTGGGCAACATCAACAACAGACTTTTGTCATCATTTTGGAGGCTGGTGGGGGCCTGCTTCCTGGTTTGCAGATGGCTGTCTTCTCATTGTATCTTCAAATGGTTGAGAGCAGAGAAAGAAGCAGCAAACTCTCATGACCTTATTACCTCTCAAAGGCCAATGGATATATTTGCTTGTTCTATTATTCATGGTAGTACTTAGCAAAGTGTTTTCTAAGAGGCTGTCTATAAAACTTACCAAGCAGGCCTCTTCATTTTGCCCATGAACGTCTAGCCTCAGAAAGGTTGAGCGGCCTGCAAGAACTCACATTGCTCATTAGTGAAAGACCTGGGTCTTTTGCTATATGTCTCTCGAAACTCAAGTTCATTGCCTGTTCTACTATAGTTTGTTGCCTCTCCTGCTTTCTCTGATTTACCCTCAAGCAGGTGTTTCCATTGCATATTTTAAATACTTCAGCAGCTCCAGGGTACAGATTGTGTTATATTCAACTTAGTGATCTCTGATACCCAGCACAATGCCTTATGGAGTAGATGCTCAGGATCTGATGAATTACCTTGTGAGAGCTGCATGTTTGCATACTCTTGATTTGTTGAGAAAACTAAAGTAACTTGGGGTTGCACCTCAGTGTACTGTTTATAAAAGCAAAGATTAAACTGTATACCTGATAATATGTGTGAAGTGCTGTACATGCAGAATATTTCTGAAATCCCAATTGCAAATGTTTATGAACTCGGAAAACTCCTGAAGAACTGTTGCAGTTGGCTGCAGTAGTTCAAGCTGTTATTCACTGGACAGTTTTTCTCTGCAGTATGTAAGATGTGAATTTTATATTTTGCTTCAAAATTTATGATGCAGCATAAACCAGGTTTAAAGTCTAGCTACCTTGCAAGGAGCAGCTTCCTTCTTCATGGTTGAACTCTCCAGAGTAATCCTTGGGTTGCTATTTTTGTGGTCACCTTTGTGGATTTTTTTCTCTTTCCTCATTCATGGAAAAGATCAGACCCCCTATACTTTTTATAATAAACTCTAATTTTCCAGATCATTTATCATACTTAAGAATTATAATTACCCATTTTAAAAGCTTCAGCCTAGATTGGCTAGAAAATACTTAATATTTTTATACATTATTTATCCTTTTTTTTTTCACTGAGCTGTGTTGCTTTCATTGACACCTGAATGCACTGAAACACAGATTTTATCCCTATGCCTACTTGTGATGAGAAAGTATCAGCAGATTCAGTTGCTAGGAAACAGCTGAATACTGAAATAGTTTTTTTTTTTGGTGGGGAGGGGTACTTGTAAATTCAGTTCTTTGACACGTCTACTCTCATACAGCAAAAATTTCTTCGGTCACTACAAAGAAAGATGCATCACCTGTTAGTTTTCCAATTTAGAAATTTTGCACAGGGGAGCTGGGCATATGTAAATGTTACAGGGTTGATAAAGTGCTGAGAGTGTAATTTTTAACAGTGACTGGACATTGTAAAGTAATGATTATGTATATGCCTTTGAGTTTCAGTTTTCTCAAAATTTTCTGATTCATCATTAATGAGAGAAAGAGCAAGAACAAGAGAGAAACATATGCAAACACATACACATGACACATAGGAATTTAAACCAAAGTAAAATACTGTATTAATTAAACTAACTTTCTCATAGTAATAGGATTGGCCACATCCTATATTAAATTACCCAGCTCTGGATTTTTACCTGTGATGCTTAATAATTATGTGCCAGAGCAAGAATAAATGTTAAAAAGAAGTGTGTGGTTTAACTTTCTTTTATAACTGATTGCCATTTATTTTTGTCATAGTAGTATAACCTTTAAGTAACTTTTCCTGAGTAGCCACTATGTGCCAGGCAAAAACATGGGAGACATAGGTATGTTTAAGCTTTCAGGGTGCCTAGTATGTGTGAGAGGTGGCAGCCAACAGATTAAATTGAGAACATATATGAGAAATTTAATTGTGTCTGGTACACAGTATATGCTTATTAAAAAATTAGAAACCTGCCTTCATCATCAGTACCACCATCATCATCATCACCCAGCAAGCCAATTCTTCAACTAAAATCAGTTCAGAGTAAGCAGGGAGACATATAAACAGTCATCATATGTGTGGTCAATAAAAAGAGAAGTCTGTACCAGGTAAAGAGGCAGCACAGAAAATAGAGTGATGGACTTGTCTGGGGATTGCAGAGAGAGCTTCAGAGACGTCAGGTCTGAGCTGGATTTTGCAAGGCTCTCTCTTAGATGTAAGCATTCCCTTGACCTTGTCTTTTTTAGGGAGTAGGGAGTGGGGAGTAAGACCACTGCTTTTTTTTTCCTTCTTAAATTTTTTAAGTTCTCTCATTTCTTCCTTGTCCATACCCTTGCTGATAATGAGGCTTGACATCTATCTTCCTGCCTGCTCCATTCAGACAGATGAGTACCGTCCATGGTTTCTAATTCTGTACCTTCAATTTTCACTGCTTGTCTGTTTAATTGCACATATACGTTTAGGAATTTGTCAAGGAGTACAGAATCCATCTTCTGATTTACATGCATTGAGAGTCTTGTGTCTCAGAAATGAAAATCTTAATAAGGCTTTTCCATCTTTATCCGAGTGACAGAGAGAACCCTGTGAACTTAAGTAGGCAGTATATATACTAAAATTGGAGTGGTGCAGAAAATGTTACCCAACAAGTTCTAGGAGAGTAATGTGTAAGTTCAAATAAAAAATAAAAACAAAAAATGAAAATCGTCTGAGACTAGTTGATTGGAAATAACCAAGGAATGAGAGAATTGAGAATAACAAGCTTGGTTTCCCTTAAAATTTTAAAGGGGTACTAAGAGTAGAAGGAAATGTTTTATGAGACTCTTGCTGTTTTGTATAAAATCTTATTTTTAATAATTTTATATTTTTCATGCCTACATTTTAAAAGAGAGACCTAACATACAGTTATGAGACTTCAGAAATATCATGGAAAGTACTTATGCTCTGGTTGCGGTTGTCCCTTGTGGCACTATGATTTTGTTCATGTATAAGATTGTATTTGTTGAGTTGCAAAACAGCCAGGTGAACAGTGTCATTGAGTTTACTAAATTGAGGTGTGAATAAGGTAATGATCTAGAAAACAGATAACTGAACCTGGAAAAAGATATAGAAGACAGATTACTTGCTTATAAATTTGAAACAAAAGAATGGTAAACAAGATTGGTAACCCGAATGTTATCTTCTTTAACTGTGTCATCAAAAACTCCACAGTTATAACATTGACTATTAAAGGCTAAAATAATGGAAAGGAAATGAAATAATGTTCAATCTTTGAGGAAAAAATGAATATACCTTTTTGGATTTTGGCGGGGCAACTATAATCTCAAAGAAAGAGAATAACAATTTGCATTTATAATCTTTTCTTCTAAGTAGCTTAAAGTTTTGTAAGTATATTTTCATTAATCCTTTGGACTATATTTGAATTTTGTTCAAAATATTAAGAAGGAAATAATCTGTACTTCTTGTAGATGGCTGAAAAAATGACATACTGAAAGTCACAGATTTTTTTTTTCACTTAAATGGCTTCATTGTTTTATGTTTCCAGTGTGGGTTTTTTTTTTGTGTGTGTGTGAAAGCAAGTTTATTAGGAAAGTAAAGGAATAAAGAATGGCTACTTTATAGGCTGAGCAGCCTCCACTGTTATTTTTTAGCACTTTGCCTAAGGAATTTATTTATCCTTCAAATACGTATCATTTGCATATTGCGGGTTAGGCCTGAGGCGGTACACAGTGGCACACCCACATGGGGTGAAGAGCAGGGAGAAAAAGAGAATTTGAAACTGTGTATTTTCTCCTTCAATTTCATGTGGCATTAAATCATTCTTTTGAGGTCAAGAGCCTCTGAACTGATTAGTTAAAGAATTGGCTTGCTGGATGATGATGGTGGTGGTAGTGGTGGTGAAGGCAGGTTTCTAATTTTTTAATAAGCACATACTGTGTACCAGACACAATTAGATGTATTATATGTGTTCTCAATTTAACCCTGTTGGCAACGTTATGAGATGGTTATTTGCATGAATTTTGCAGAGAGGGAAACTTGGGAAGGTTGGGTAACTTATCCAAGGTCACAGAATTCTAAGCCAATGTACCTGTATCTGTAATTTTTATGCTCGTGATCTTTAATGATGTTACTCTCCCCCTTTGTGGGAAGCAGGCACAAATATTCCTTTTTTTTCCCCACTTTGGATACGTGTTGGTGAGCATAAATGTGCCAATCATTGTGATATGGCTTCGATGAGTGGAAGAACACCAGGGCTCTTGTCTCATGCCCAATTAGATAAGATGACATGGGTGCATGTGGAGTGGTTTTAAGGAGCGGAGAGTTTAATAGGCAAGACAGAAGGGAGAAGAAAGAAGCAAGAAGCGCCCCTTTACAGAGCCAGAGGGAGAGGGGGCTCCAAAGCTGAGAGAAGAGACCCCCAGTGTGGTGGAAACCTGCCAGGTATATGAAGAGGCTGGAGGAGACGGTGTCTGATTTGCATATGGCTCAGGTGATTGGTTTGACCAGGCATGTCATTCACATAGCCACCCACATAATAAATGCATAATAAATGCCATGAGAAAGTAGATTTGTTGGGGGAGTAAATTGACAAATCAGAAGATTTTATTGTGCTTTTGTACAATAAATAGCCTTTAGCATTTAATTTCCTCCCTCCACCCCTGGCCCTGGGCAAACACTCATCTGTTTCTGTCATGATAATTTTGTTTGTTTTAGAATTCCGTGTAAATTGAATCATACACTATGTATTCTTCTGCATTTGGCTTTTGTTGATCTGCATTGTGCTTTCGACATTCATCTATGTTGTTGTTGTTTTTAGAGGTAGGGTCTTACTCTGTCACCCAAACTGGAATGCTGTGGTGAAATCATAGCTCATTGCAACCTTGATCTCCTGGCTCATGGGACCTTCCTGCCTCAACCTCCCAAGTAGCTAGGATTATAGGTGCATACCAGTACACCTGGCTAATTTGTAAAATTTTTTGTAGAGACAGGGTCTCGCTGTGTTTCCCAGACTGGTCTCAAACTCCTCCCATCTCAGCCTCATCTATGTTGTTTCATGTATTGGTAATTCATTCTTCTATTCTTTTATTTTTTTAATTTAAAACATTTTTTCCATTCTTTTTAATTGTTAGGTAGTATTCCATTGTATGAATATACCACAATTTGTTTATCTAGTCCCCAATTCAAATGTCCACTTGATGGACATTTAGATTGTTTCCAGTTCTTGGCTATTATGAATAAAACTGCTGTGAATATTTGGATAAATACTTTTTTTTTTTTTCGAGATGGAGTCTCGCTCTGTCGCCCAGGCTGGAGTACACTAGCACGATCTTGGCTCACTGCAAGCTCTGCCTCTCGGGTTCACGCCATTCTTCTGCCTCGGCCTCCCAAGTAGCTGGGACTACAGGTGCCCACCACCGCACCGGCTAATTTTTTTGTATTTTTAGTAGAGGCAGGGTTTCACCGTGTTAGCCAGGATGGTCTCAATCTCCTGACCTCGTGATCGCCCTCCTTGGCCTCCCAAAGTGCTGGGATTACAGGTGTGAGCCACTGCTCCTGGCCTGGATAAATACTTTTAAGGAGGATTGCTGGGCTGACCAATAAATATGTTTAAAGTATGTTTAACTTTATGAGAAATTGCCAAACTATTTCCAAAGTGGATAGATATGTTCATCTCCAGTAGTGTATGTGTTCCAGTTATTCTACCACCTTGCCAAAAGTTGATATTGTCAGTTTTAAATTTTAATCATTCTAATGGATGTATGATGATATCTCATTGTGCTTTTAATTTCCATATCTTGAATATGTGTGTGTGTTGCAAATATTTTGTCCCAGTCTGTGGTTTGCCTTTTGTTTTAACAATGTCTTTTGAAGAGCAACAAAGTTTTACAATTTGATTCAGTCTATTTTATCAGTTTCTTTCTTTTATGGTTTACTTTTATTAAGAAGTATTCAACTGACCCAAGAGCATGAAGAATTTTTCCTGTATTATCTTTTTGAAATTTTATAGTTTTAGCTCTTGTATTTAACTCTATGACCCATGTTTTGGTTAGGTTTTAGACATGTTGATTTTTTTTTCCTTGTTGGTTTCCTTGTTGGTTTTGGCACTATTAGTAGAAAAGACTGGGCCGGGCCAGTGGCTCACGCCTGTAATCCCAGCACTTTGGGAGCCCCAGGTGGGTGGATCACATGAGGTCAGGAGTTTGAGACCAGCCTGGTCAACATGGTGAAACCCTGTCTAAAATACTAAAAAATACAAAAAATTAACCGGCTGTGGTGGCGGGTACCTGTAATCCCAGCTACTCAGGAGGCTGAGGCAGGAGAATTGCTTGAATCTGGGAGGCAGAGGTTGCAGTGAGCTGAGATTGCACCACTGCACTTCAGCACTCCAGCCTGGGTGACAGAGTGAAACGCCATCTCAAAAAAAAAAAAAAAAAAGAAAGAAAGAAAGAAAAGAAAAGACTTTTCTTTTTCATTGGATTCCCCATTTTTCACCTTGTAAAGAATAATTTGATCATGGGTATGTTTCTGTACTTTTTTCTGTTCCATTGATATAAATGTCTGTCCTTGTAACAGTATCACTCTGTCTTGATTATTGTAGCTTTATAATAAGTTTTGAAATTAGGTAGAGTCAGTGTTTCAATTTTGATCTTTTTCCAAAAATTGTTTTGGCTCTTCTAGGTCTTGTAACTATGCTAAACTTATTAATTTTAGTAGCCTCTTGGTAGATTATTTGGTATATTCTACATAGATGTCTATGTTGTCTGTGAATATAGTTTTATTTTTTTTCTTTCCAACTGTATGCCTTTTATTTATTTTTCTTGCCAATTACCCTGGCTAGGACCTCTGCTACGATGTTTAATAGAAGTGATGAGAGTGTGCATTCTTGTCTTGTTCCTGAACTTAAGGATAGATACATTTAGTCTGTCACTATTAAGTGTGATATTACCTATTGGTTTTTCATAGATGGCCTTTTATCAGGTTAAGGAAGCTTCTTTCTGTTTCTCGTTTGCTTTTTTTTTTTGGTTATCAATGTGATATAGCTTGGATATTTGTCCCTGTCCAAATCTCATGTTGAAATATAATCCCCAAAGCTGGAGATGGGGCCTGGTGGGAGGTGTTTGGATCATGCGGGCAGATCTCTCATGGTTGGTGATGTCTTCATGGTAATGAGTTCTCCTGAGATCTGGTCATTTAAAAGTGTGTGGCACCTATCCCCCCAACTCTCTCTCTCTTGCTCCTGCTCTCACCATGTGAAGTACCTGCTCCTGCTTGACCTTCCTCCATCAGTAAAAGCTCCCTGAGGCCTCCCCAGATGCAGATGTCGCTATGCTTCTTGTATAGCCTGCAGAACTGTGATCCAATTAAACCTCTTTTCTTATAAATTACCCAGTCTTGCCTAGGCCTAGTAGCTTACGCCTATAATCCTCGCACTTTGGGAGGCTGAGGTAGGTGGATTGCTTGAGCCCAGGAGTTTGAGACTAGTCTGGGCAACATGGTGAAACCTTGTCTCTATAAAAAGTATGATTAATGAATGTGGTGGTGCAGGCCAGTAGGCACAGCTACTTGGGAGGATCACCTGAGCCTGGAGACGTCGAGGTTGCAGTGAGCTGTGATTGCACCACTGCACTGCAGCCTGGGCCACAGAGTGAGGCCTTGACCATTTATTCATCTACTGGGTTGACAATATTGTTTAAATTTTTTAAAATCTGTGAATGTGTACTTGATTACATTGATTAAAACAATATTAAGTCAATTTTGCATTCCTGGGATAAACCTACTATGTCAAGGTATATTACCTTTTTTTATATATTACTGAATTTTTGCTTTACTGCCAATGAGGGATGTTGATCTAGACTTTTCCTTTCATGTAAGGGCTATCTGATTTTGGTATCAGGTAATGCTGACCTTGTTAATGAGTTGGGAAGTATATTCCTTCTTAAGTATGCAATTTATATAGCAGCATAGTATAAATAATACAATTTAATAATGTAATATATAGAGTTGTTTAAATTGCCAACATTTTTCTCTATTTTAAAGTTTTGTCTAAAATAGATCTTAACTAGGTTTGTCTTATAAGCTGGTTTAATATTTTATAATTAAAATATTTTTAATATTAAGATTTTTTGAGAACATAGGGAAAAAGCTCTGTGGTTTTAACAAATATATAAGTATGCTAATTTTAAAACACTAAGCCTTTTTGTAGAAAATTTGGAGAGTACAAGACTGCATGAAGACAAAATCATTATGTAGATTTTATTGTTGAGATAATATGGAATTTAACATTTGGAACTCATTTTCTTAACATGCACAAGCATTTTCTCAATATTTTAATTTTTATTAACAGCATGCTTATGACTGTGTAATCTATCACATGGATTTAGAATATTTGTCTATAATATAAGTATATTTGTTTTATTTATCTAATTATTGATATTAGACTTTTACCCTGTTAGCAATTTTCTACAATCACATATAATGCTGTGATGAGCACTTCCTATGTAAGCCTCTGTTTTTATTTACGATTTGTTTCTTTAGGTAGATTTATAAATTAAATTATTGGGTCAGAGGGTCGAAATGTCTTGAAGCTCTTGATACATTTATGGAACGGCTTTTATCTATACTACTTCAGTTTGTACTTCTCCACATGATATACGAGAAGAGCTGGTTCAACTCTTCAATTATTCAGGATTTTACAGTTAAATATCTTGGCTAACATGATGGGTAAAAGTAGTAACTTATTGCATTAATTTTCATTTCTTTAGTTACTTGGGAAATAATTTTTTAATTTTCTTGAAAAGTTTTAGACAAGTCACCCAGAAGAGTTATGCAACAGAAATATTAAGAGGAAATAAATATATGGGAAAACAAGTTCCTGTAATAAAAGAAACAGAAATGGAAAAACAAAGGCATAAGGCTATATAAAATCTGTATGCCATGAAGAAAGAGAAAGTAGTTTTAGTTTGTATTAAATAATTTCATTACGTTACTGGGAAATGGATAGAGTGATATAGAGTATAAGAACCATAGTCTTATCTTCTCCTTTCTTCGAAATGTACTAACACTTCATAAGCTTAATAAAAGAACCTCAATGCTTGTAAGTTAGTTTTTTGTGGCTTCTATCATTGTTGAAAGTTTCTGGGGAGTAGCTACCTGTTAACTAAAAATAGGTATCTGGAGCATGGCAAAAGAGACCACTTCAGCCTTGCAACTATGATATTGATCCACTCAAAAGCAGTAATTTGAAAGAAGTGAAAGAAAATAGCGGTGAAGCTCAAACTATGTGAAGGTAGAAAATTTGGTCTTTACAGTAAATTTGATAGTTGTCTAACAGAAACTTAGGGGAGAAGGAAAAAATGGAGGGGAATAAATTTGAATTGAAGTGTATTTTGATGGATAAAAGAAAATGTGAATTTTTAAATATAAACTTGGTATATAACTTTTCCATAGTAGGTAAGTTTATTTATAACCTATTTGTTTCCCTAAAACATCAAGGCAGCTTATAATAAAATCCATTGACCGAAATATGTATTCCAATATCAAATGGCAAATTCCAACAATACAAAAACTGCAATTATGTTTGCACCAACCTGATAGTAAAAGAAATAGAAAATTAGAACTAATGGACAACTCATAACTCTTGAATATCAGCATGGATGCTGTGCTTGGGCTTCACATTTGGTCATAAACATCCAGGGAGTAAAGATGAAAAGGAAGCTACTCATTTACATAGAAAGGAGGGGCTGTAGCAAATTCTGAAATATGAGACTTAAGAACGTAAGTAACTTGCTGTATTAGTTAAAATTTTACTGGAGGATATATGAATTAACATTAAAAAATCATCAAAGTGTCAAATATTCCAATATATTAATACTGTTGTAAAACATTATAGTAGACATGTGATTTGACTGTGTATCTTGGGATTTATGTATTTATCTCATCTATGCAGTATTCAGTGAGAAGCTACTATACACTTAGCATTCTTACCAGGGCTTTGAAGAGTACAGATGCTTTAACTAGTCCCACATTAAAATTTAAGTGTTAGACAAGAAGGCAAATAAACAGCAGGAAATGCTTAAAGGTAAAGTTAGGGGTACTTGCTATGACTACATTGATGTGGACTAGGCAGAATACTTCATTTAGTTAAGGGGGAAACAAGCGTTTGGTTAAGTGGGGAATAAGTCATGGTATAGGAAGAAGTTCTGTTGAGATCTGCTGTGGGAAGGATTGAGGTGCACCTGAGCTTTTTCTTTTGAATTCAGTTCAGAGCCCAAATAATATCATAATATAGAATGTTAAGAGATCCCTTTTGATATCTTCTTCAAAGGATGCACAAATGATACTTATTTGAAGAACATGAATATTTCTATGACAGTTGAGAAACATAGATCCATCTTGGTATCCCTAATGCTTACCATACTGCTTTGCATATTATACTGGTTCTATAAGTGTTTATTGAATGAACTACTTAAAAGAGAAAATGGGAGAGAGGTGTTCTCAATTTGTAAGGATAAATATTAAGTATAAAATAGAAACCTTTAAACCTGTAAAGAAAGGATTTAGTGATGAGAGTTGTTTATTTTTCTAATGTAATTATGGTGACAACTTGTTAATATTGTTTTCACTGGAATCTTATTAATCTTAGGAATTTTTATGTACTTACAAAATAATTCCATATATGAATCTTTTGTTACTAACCTGGTAAAGAAACACAGATTTTGAATAGCTAGATGGTAGTAGCGGATGAAACATTGCTTCTTAATTATCAGAGTTCTTTGATTGCCTTGTTTATTGCCTATCAGCCTGCTGGACTGTTATGTATTGGATATTTCTGACACAGCTAAAATTACTTTGCCTTTCTTTATGATATATATAAATTTTATAGCCTTTATGCCTTTGTTCTTTTATTTCTGTTTCTTTTACCTCAGGAACTTATTTTCCCATATATTTATTTCCCCTTAATACTTGTGTTGCATAACTTCTCTAAAAGTCTTGAAGAGACTGAAGAAGTATTTTTCAAGTAATTAAAGAAATGGAAATTAAAAGCAACTTGTTATTTGTAGAATATGTAAACAAATGTTTCTGAAGTGCTTTCTACATATGAGGTATAGACTAGAAGTGGTTTAAGGCAGGATTTTTGATGTAAGTGACTTATATACTCTTCTACTTGACATGAACAAATAAACAGATAATTTGTATAGCATTAAAAAAATCACTGAATATCCAAGAGCTATGTCAGTTCAGAGAAGGATGGACTAGCTATAATTTGTTAAACACTAAAAGCAACACTAATTAATCTTTAAAACAAAGATAGATGTTTTATTTACTTATTCAGTCACCTTTTACTTGTTAAAGTAAGAAAAGGAATTACAGGCCTACATCAAAGATATTGCAGGTTCTGTTCGAGACTAATAGAGTGAATATTGCAATAAGGCATGCCATATAAATTTTTGTTTCCCAGTGCATGTAAAACTTATGTTTACAATATACTGTAGTCTATTAAGAATGCAATACCATCTTTTAAAAAACAATGTACATACCTTAATTTAAAAGTGCTTTATTGCTAAAAAATGCTAATGATCATCTATCTGAGTCTTCAGTGAGTTGTAATCTTTTTGCTGGTGGAGGGTCTTGCCTCAATGTTGATGTCCGCTGACTAATCAGAGTGGTGATTGCTGAAGGTTGGAGTGTCTGTGGCAATATCTTAAAATAAGACAACCATTCAGTGTGCTGCATTATTTCAAAAGAATGAGAGTCTGTCCTCTCAAAGCATTCTACTACTTGATAAACTAAGTTTATATAATAATCTAACTTCTTTGTTGTCATTTCAACAATGTTCATAGCATCTTCACCAGGAGTAGAGTCTATCTCAAGAAACTACTTTCTTTGCTCATCCATGGGAAACAACTCCACATCCTTTAAAGTTTCATCACCAGATTGCAGCTGTTTAGTCCCATCTTCAGGCTCCACTTCTAATTCGAGTTCTCTTGTGATTTCCACCACATTTGCAGTGAACTTCCTCCATTGAAGACTTGAACCCCTCAAAGTCAACCATGAGAGTTGGAATCAACTTCTGTATCCCTGTTAATGTTGATATTTCCTCTCCCGTGAATCACAAATGTTCTTAATGGCATCTAGATTGGTGAATCGTTTCAGAAGGTTTTCCACTTACTTTGCTCAGATCCATCAGAGGAATCGCTATCTATAGTAGCTCTAGTCTTACAAAATGTATTTCTTAAATAATAAGATGTGAAAGTTAAAATATTCCTGATCCATGGGCAGCAGAATGGATATTGTGTTAGCAGATATGAAGACACTAATCTCCTTGTACATCTCTATCAGAGCTCTTCAGTGACCAGGTGCATTGCCAACAAGCAGTAATATTTTGAAAGGAAACTTGTTCTGAGCAGTGGGTCTCAACAGTGGGCTTAAAATATTCAGTAAACTATGCTGTAAACGCATGTGCTATTATTTAGACATTATTGTTCCATTTCTAGAGCACAAGCAGAGTGGATTTGGCCTAATTCTTAAGGGCCCTAGGATTTTCAGAATGGTAAATGAGCTTTGGCTTCCACTTAAAGTCACCAGCTGCATTAGCCCCTAACAAGGGAATGAGCCTGTCCTTTGAAGCTTTGAAGCCAGGCTTTGACTTCTCTCTAGCTATGAAAGTCCTATATGGCATCTTCTTCCAGTATTAGGCAGTTTCATCTACATTAAAAAGCTGTTGTTTAGTGTAGCCACCTAAACAACAGCTTTTTCATGATCTTAGCTAGATATTCTGGATAACTTGCTGCAGCTTCTGAAGCTCTTGCTGCTTCACCTTGTACTTTTATGTTATAGAGATGGCTGCTCTCCTTAAACCTCATGGACCCATCTCTGCTAGCCTCCAACTTTTCTTCTGCAGCTTCCCCACCTTTCTCAGCCTTTATAGAATTGAAGAGAGTTAGGGGCTTGGTCTGGATTAGGCTTAAGTTTAATGGAATGTTGTGGTCCATCCAGACCATTAAAACTTTCTTTATATTGGTAATATGGCTGCTTCACTTCACTTTCTTCTTTTTTTCTTTTTTTTTTTTGAGACAGAGTCTTGCTCTGTCACTCAGGCTGGAGTGCAATGGCGCATTTTCAGCTCATTGCAGTCTCCGCCTCCTGGGTTCAAGCAATTCTCCTGCCTCAGCCTCCCGAGTAGCTGGGATTACAGGCATGCACCACCATACCCGGCTAATTTTTGTATTTTTAGCAGAGACGGGGTTTCACCATGTTGGTCAGGCTAGCCTCGAACTCCTGACCTCAGGTGATCCACCTGCCTCAGCCTCCCAAAGTGCTGGGATTACAGGCGTGAGCCAGCATGCCTGGCCTTCACTTTCATATCATTTATGTGTTAACTGGATTAGCACTTTGAATTTCCTTCAGGAACTTTTCCTTTGCATTTACGACTTTGCTCACTGTATGGCACATGAGGCCTAGCTTTCAACCTATCTCCATTTTTGATATACCTTTCTCACTAAGCTTAGTCACTTCTAGCATTTGATTTAAAGTGAGAGAGGTGAGAATCTTCCTTTCACGTCAATACTTAAAGGCCATTGTGAGTTACTAATTTCAATATTATTGTTTCTCAGAGAATAGGGAAGCTCTAAGGAGAGGAGAGAGACAAAGGAATGGCTGGTTGGGGAAATAGCCACAAGACACACAATATTTCCTGATGAAGCTCATCTTATAGGGGCATAGTTGATGGTGCCCCAAAACAATTACATTAGTAACATCAGAGATCACTGATCATAGATCACCATAACAGATAAAATAATAATGAAAAAGTTTGAGTTATTGCAAGAATTACCAAAATGTGACGCAGAAACACGAAGTGAGCACATGCTATTGGAAAAATGCAGCCCATTGTCTATCTCAATGCAGGGTTGCCACAGACCTTCAAATTGTGTTCAGTTTTAACACAATTTGAAGTGCAGTAAAGTGAAGTATGGTGAAATGAGGTATGCTTGCATGCATTTCTCTTCTTTTGGCAAGTATATGTGCAGCCATCTAGATCCTCGCTAATCAATTAGAGCACAAAGATTATAAATCATTATTTTAACAGGAATATATCCTAATTGCAAATATGTGAATACTTATAGCCAGAAGGTTGCTTTAACGCAGCTCTGAGGAAAATTGTATTGTAAAATAAATGCTTTAAAAAATGCCTCAACAAACAAGGGAGAATAGGAGGTACTTATAAAGAAGAAGGCTTAAAAATGGCCATGTAAAAATGCTATGATAGTAAGAGTAAATGGAGAAAATAGGCAGAGGACCACAAAATGTAGGGGAGATTTTAGGGAGGAAACGCAAATAGAACAAAGTTTATTTTGGTCAAAAGGAAGTTTTAAAAAAAGAATCCTAGAGCCGAATTAAAAAGATATAGGATGAATAAAGATTAAGCTTAGAAGTAGTAATGGGATAAGGTAATGTTTCCTATGTGTGTGGTTTTTTTTTTTTTTTTTTTTTTTTTTTTTTTTTTAACAGATTCTCACTCTGTTGCCAGGCTGGAGTGCAGTGGCATAATCTCGGCTCACTACAACCTCTGCCTCCCGGGTTCAAGCGATTCTCCTGCCTCAGCCTTCCGAGTAGCTGGGACTACAGGCGCGTGCCACCACGCCCAGCTAATTTTTTTTTGATATTTTTAGTATAGATGGGGTTTCACCATGTTGGCCAGGATGGTCTTGATCTCTTGACCTCGTGATCCACCCGCCTCGGCCTCCCAAAGTGCTGGGATTACAAGCATGAACCACTGTGCCCGGCCTGTTTCCTATATTTTTATATTCTTATTAATTCATTAAATATTTCACGATTGCCTCCTCAGTCCACAGTCTCTATAGAGGGACTTAGGAAATAGCTTTCATGTTTTACTTTTGTCATGCCAGTTAGAAACTAGATTAATTATCTGCTTGCCAAACCTGATTATCTTTTGTATTGCTACTCACATTTCATTGTGTAAAAGGGGTGAGGCTGATGGACAAATTGTAGGTCTCCTTTTTTCTAGGAATGTACTTTAGAATACTGAGATTTAATTATTTTGGGGTACATTTTCCATAGTGCTTTCTGTATTTACTTTTACTTTATTGAGTTGTTCAGAGAATTAAATATTTGATGTGAATTTTATATGCATGTGTGATTGTAGTGGTGATGGTACAAGGGGAACTTTGGTGTAGAAGAATTTGTTAGGATGCTCTTGCAATATTCATGTAAGAAGTTATGAAGACCCAGACTGGAATGGTGACAGTGAGGATAGGAGGGAGGGACGAGTGTGAGAGATGTGCCCTAGGATCTTGGTGGCCATTGATGGGGAATGACTGGTTCTGGAGAATGGGGTGGTTAGACTACGGGGAGTTGCCATCCATATCCTAGAATTCAAAGGGTATGTTGAACTTAGGGTTATTCTAGGTTGGTTTTGGTGTCCAATAGGGTTCACTTTGGTGTATGTGATACAGTGACAAAAGTTTCTTGTTATTTCCAATTTATAAAGCCTGTAATGGCATTGAGGAGGTTTTTGGTGGTCTGTACTGTGTGGAGGAGGAACCAGCTATGACAAAGGGAGGGAGTATTTACTGGTCTTAGGAACAAGGTGTGGTTTCCTAGGGCATAGTGGCTGGCATCATGCAGGCAGGGAATTTGGGCTCCAGCCAAATACTCTGAGCTAGAGACTGGGTCCAGTTCCAGCAATTCTGTTAATATATATTTACCAGACTCTGGTATGATTTTGTATGAATTTATTATAGGATTGGAGATGAGGGCAGGAGGGAGGGGTAGTATGTAGTAGTGGTTGCATTCATATTTAACCCTCGGTTTTTGAATAAAGTCTTACATTTGGGAATTTTTTTTTAATAAATAAAATGTCTTGCTAATGTAAGTGTTACTCCCACCAATATAGAAGACAGCACTCAAATTCTCATTCTCTTTTGTAACCAGATCATAAGCATATGACTTATACTTCGTTGATTAGACTCACCTCTCACAGGACTTTGATTTGGAACTGAGGAAACAGAACAGGACTTTGATTTGGAACTGAGGAAACAGAATCTTCATCGAGCTTTTGTGTTTGGTGGTGGCAGTGGTGGATGTGAGCAGAGACTTTCTGCCTTTGGTGGCAGCAGTGTCTTTTTGGTGGTTGCTAGATTGATTTCCCACAGTGGGAGTGGTTTTCTTTAGTACTCTGTGGGATGCTAAACAGCAGTGATGGCCATTTTCTATTAATAATTAGTCCTGTTTTAGAACTAATTAGTTCCTCTTTTGAGCCTGGAAGCTTAACTTTAAGAATAGTTTTTTGGCCAGGCACAGTGGCTCGTGCCTGTAATCTCAGCACTTTGGGAGGCCAAGGCGGGTAGATCACGAGGTCAGGGGTTCAAGACCAATGTGACCAACGTGGTGAAACCCTGTCTCTACTAAAAATACAAAAATTAGCTGGGTGTGGTGGCGTGCACCTGTAATCCCAGCTACTCAGGAGGCTGAGGCAGGAGAATCCCTTGAACCCAGAAGGCGGAGGTTGCGGTGAGCTGAGATTGCACCATTGCACTCCAGCCTGGGTGACAGAGGGAGACTCCATCTCAAAAAAAAAGAATAATATTTCATCTTCCCAACAATTCTGTGAGCTTCCTAGTAGCCTTTTAATAAACTCATTTTCTGCTAGTCAGCTTCTTCCATGTTCAGCTAACAATCTTAGCTGGTCCTGGGTTGATTAGAAGATAAGGCAGCAAAATGAAGACAGAGGCTTTTTGATATCTGCCAGGATGGCTAAGAATTGATCCAAAATCCATGGGGACTTGGTATCAGATTGTATTTTGGGGTGAATTGGAGGAGGAAGGAAAATAACTATGTTGATAGTAGGTCTGTTTGGATGTTGGAGGGTATGGAACAATGATTTTAGTTTTGGACATGTTTACTTTGAGATGCCATAGAAATATTCACTTGTGGAGATATCTGGCATGTAATTGGAAATGTAATTCTAGCATTCAGAAAAGAGATCAGGGATAGTAGTGACAGTTATTCAAGGTTGCATTGAAATTGGATTAGAGTACTAAGGGTAGCAGCATGAAATGGGGAGAAAGGAGAGGCTTTTCACAATTACAGGGCAGATGGTGGAAGGAGACAGTGAAGAAATCTGAAAACGAATCTTCTAGAAGGATGGAAGAGCACTCAGAGAAGCTCAAAGATGGTAGACCAAGGAGCAGATAGTCAGGAGTATGAAGACTGAGAAGAGGCCATTGTATTTAGTGATTTTCAAGAAAGTCATAGAAAATAGAACAAAACCTTACAGTGGTGAATAAAGGACTAAAGTAATATCTGGAACAAAAGAGATTAAATAAAATTTGAGTCAAAAATTTTATTAGACATATTTAGAGCCCAAATCACAAAATAAAGTTTGAAACCAGAGACACAACCCCTATCTTTTTCCTTAACAGATTTTTATCAGGCTAGTTGTTAAGTTTGTCTATTTGAGTAATGGCACTGATATATCAAATTCTTTTGTTTTAATGAAGCAACAGCTCTCTAGTATGCAAAACTTGGGAAAATATTTTGCTTTACAATTTTAGTGTTCATTAAGCCTTATTATGTAAGCTGTAAGCAAATGTTAGAGAATTTTAAATGTTTGTGACATCTGTGTTTTTATTGTGAATGTGAGTTTTCTTTTGTAAGTATTACAATGATCATTGTTAACAGTTTGACCTTGCTTTACATTTTTGCCAGACTATTCAGTGATAGCTATTTGCATGCTGTCTTTCCTTTTATTTCAGCTTTCCATCCCACTTCCTCTTATGTTGCCAAATGAGAAGCTTGACTATTGGTGGTTAGAGTCTCTGCCACTCAAGATTTTCATTTTTCTGTATTTTGAAGTACTGTCTTTGTATGCTTTTCTTTTCTCCATTCAAAGAGCAGTCTCTTTACATTTGATATTCTGATAGAATTTATCTGCTGAAAATCAAAGTCTGTGCTCCTTGAATTCTGGCTTCAAAATAATCATCTAGAATAGATGTAAGATACTAGAACCAGATGAAAGATTCAAAAGATGTCAGTCTTAATTTATAAGTTTATTATCTACAAGACTGGATCTTGACTGTACCAGTCTTAAAAATATATCTTGCATTATAATTTGAGCTATGACATTTCATCAAACGTACAGTTTAAATTTATAGAACTCTTTTTTTTGCATTAATTTATGTAGTCAAATAGAAGACATTAAATTCAAAAGTATTTCTTTTCTTTCTTTTTTTTTTTTTTGAGATGGAGTCTCTCTCAGTCGCCCAGGCTGGAATGCAATGGTGTGATCTCGGCTCACTGCAACCTCTGCCTCCTGGATCAAGTAATTCTCCCACCTCAGCCTCCCAAGTAGCTGGGATTACAGGCACCCACTTTTTGTATTTTTGTAGAGACAAAGTTTCACCATGTTGGCCGGGCTGGTCTTGAACTCCTGACCTCAGGTGATCCTCCCGCCTTGGCCTCCCAAAGTGCTGGGATTACAGGTGTGAGCCATCATGCTCAGCTGAAAATATTTCTTAAAGATTTATATTTTCTGTCATTATTTTATGCAGTGCTTTAAAATTAATTGCTATTAACTTTTAATTAATGGAATATGATGACCTGAGTATTATTACATATCACAGAACTTTAATGTAAAGATACATCAATGAAATTTAGAATTTTACTTAGATACCAAGTTAATATACCAAAAATCCATTTAGACTAATTTTATTAAAACAAATGTATCAGAATTTCAGTGGCAATAATACTGTTTACATTTTTTTGATGGAATTCTTTTTTTTTTACATGGTATGGCTAGTATACAAATGATAGGGTTTTATGCTAAACAGGTTTTTTTTCCCCACATGCAGCAGAACTCTGCTTACATTATGACCTTTCAGAATAAATTGGCAAGCAGGTCAGATACCAAGAGCTAAGAAAGGATGGAAACAAATGTAGTATTTTGCAGGTGAATTTTTGAGATGCCCCATTTACTTGAAATTTTAAATAATGGAGGTAAAAGACTTTAGTTGAAGTTTGAATGTCTCAGAATGATGAATAAGGAGTTTGTCAGGTATTATATTTTCAGTGTTAGTGCAGAGTAATTCCTTGTAACACAAATGGCTGATTTTTGTAATATGTACACACAAGCTTAGTATGGTATGATAATAAGACAACAAAAACCTAGTAGCCTTTGCTTTTTTTCACTTTGCAGTTGACTTGGTAGCCTATCGGAAAGTCTGTTTTCATTTCTTCATTAGTATTATACCTTGGTGTTTTTCTAATAATTTATGGTAGTTTTTTTCTTTAATCAGAGAAGTTCCAGATGTAGGAACATGTTTTCATAGACGTTTGCATGCTTTCACATAGTTCCTTTAATTTTCCATTATTCTTCAAAGAAGCATATATATAATTTTCATTTGGGGCCAGTGTACTGTGGTTGACAACATATAAAATTAATCAGAGTCAAGCAGTTGAAGGTTAACATGAAAGAAATCTAGAAGAACCCAGTGCAAAATATAAGACAACACAAACTTTACATTAGACCCTATTGCTCTGAATGGATTGGAGGGATGGCGACCTTGCCAGTTGGAGTGACATGAGTGCAGTGGATGAGCTGTGGCAAAGTCAGGAAGCTTGGGAGCAGCAGAATTAGCGAAATGTTAGTAGTTGCTAGGTAATAGGGTTTATGTTAAAGATCGGAGACTAAGACGTGGTCATTGTTAAATCCCCTTGAGGAATTTATGGTGAAGTAGCCAATTAAACTTGGTATGTGCAAAGCCAAGGGAAGCTTCATGTTGCCTTAGTAAACATCTCTAATTGAATACTAAAGGATCCCGTGCTGCCTGGTGGGTATATCCCCTAGAGTAGTACTCACTGTGATTAAGGGTACATTGTTTCAGTAACTGATCCCTTGAGGCAGTGAATTGCCCAGTCAGTGCAGGAGTTTTAAGGGTCCAGGTCTAAAGGTGGAATTGCATCTTTTGGCTCTGTTTGAAGCTCCTTCTTGTGTGCCTGCACAGGAGTGCAGTGGGTACATACCTGTGAGCACATGTACCCTATTTCTTGGAATGACATTCTTGCTTTTAATTTTGGGCTGACTAGAAATTTTTGTCTGTGATGCCAGTGGTGGGTAGATAGGTAAGGATGGGCACAGTTTAGCCAGCGTGGATTGTGAAAAAGTACATTTATTTCAGGAAATTGTAAGAAAAACAAAACTGGGACCTAATTTAAACATCAGGCACTCCGAGAAAGTAGAGATTCTTTTTCTGTTTTTTCAGTGTTAGCTGTCTGGAGCTTAACTGAGAGATCAAGATAAGTTCAGTTCTTCTTTGTCACATCCACATCTTACAGTACTTGAAGCAATGTACTTTATTAACAAAAAGATAGTACATTTCTAGCCAAAGTAGAGGATTTAGGGAAAAGTTCTTTTAAATTTTATCCAGGGAGAGATTAAACAACATTGAGAGCCTGGGCAAAGAAAAGCAACTAGATTTTACATATTTAGTTAATTATATAAGAACAGATGGAAAAGATATGAGCAAATGCCTGACTCCACAAGATAACATGAGTAAGTGCTAAAATAAAGGTATTTAAACTTGTCTAGTAGTTGGTAAACAGCGTATCAAGAATGGAGATCTTTGCAACAGCTTCATAAAAAGACTTTATCAAATTTGGGAAACTCTTATATTAAGGAGATTACCATTAAATCAAAGCAATGCCTTAAAAACACAATACTGGTCTGTAATTTAAGGAGGATCATATTTATATAAGAAGAATACATTAAAAAGACATTGAGTTGGATAATTTAAATGGAAGAAATTAGAATGTGCATTTTTGACATCAGTTATTCCACCTGAAGCTAGAAATATTTTTTGATCAGCAAAGTCATTGCAAATAAGTTATATTAGTCTTAATGTAATTTGCATAATTTGAGACAACTAAAATATATTATTAAATGAACTAATAACTGTCACTTTAGAGCTTTTATATATATGCAAATAAATACTGTTCAACTAAAGTAACTCAAGAAAAACCTTGCTAGTGTTCCCTTAAGTGTAGGATAGAGGAATACCAAATGAATGAATAAATGAATAAATAAACATGTATACACATATATTTTATCTTGGTTAAATAGATAACTGTGAAATATTATACTTAGGAATAGCTTTGACTTTTCAAGTTTTTCTCACTTAAAATATGTTCTGTGTCTATCTAGTTTTTATTATGCAGCGTGTATTTAAATTATATTTTCATTTCTTTTCCTTTTTGAACAAATAATTAGGATTTATTTGATTTAGATTCTAAACACATTTTTTAATGGAATTATTATTATTATTTTTGAGAGGGAGTCTCGCTCTGTCGCCCAGGCTGGAGTGCAGTGGCGCGATCTTGGCTCACTGCAACCTCCACCTCCTGGGTTCAGCCTCCCAAGTAACTGGGACTACAGGCGCACATCACACCCAGCTAATTTTTGTATTTTTAGTAGAGATGGGGTTTCACCATGTTGGCCAGGATGGTCTCGATCTCTTGACCTTGTGATCTGCCCACCTTGGCCTCCTAAAGTGCTGGGATTACAGGCGTGAGCCACCACACCCTGCCAATGGAATTATTTTAAATTATTCATAGTATGGTCTAATTTATAACAACATTAGATATTTGAAATATTACTCAAAGATTAGAAATCTCCACCAAGCATAGGAAACATTTGGTCAACATAATTTTAATGGCCTTTTTAGAGACTGTAGTAATAATCCTCAGAAGCCAGAAATTATTAATAGTCTGAGTAATGATGAGAGTCATTCTAGGAATAGAATTAGAAGGTACTTACAGGAGGCCAGAGATCTGAGGGACAGAGGGTGGTGGAGACAACGGTAATCACACCTCTCAGATATAGTGTACCTTTTTATTAATTCATTTTTTTCTTAGTGGTCAGTTAAAGTATGGTAAAAATAGGTGGAAACTCAGAATTTCAGGGTCTTTTACTCAAATATAGGCCTGTTTATGCCCAGAAGAGACCCTGAACGTAGACTTCAGAAGCATTATCAATTTCTATTTTAAAAGTTAAGTATATGTGGACAGCTAATAACTCAATATTTCTTTTCACATAAAGATATATTTTAATTCAAATATGATAATTGAAGATGGAAAGTAACTCATGTCGTGTCTACTCATATATACTTTACATATAATAATCTGCATAGATTTTAAATACACAGGTCTCTAATATTTGGCAAAAGTATACACTCATCATATAAGTATTATGCCAAATGAGATAAGGAACATTCCCACCTTCCCAAATATAACCTTGTGCTTTTTGTAATCATTCATCTCAAACTCTCCGTCCCAAGCAACCACTGAGTGATTTTGAATATTATAGATTAGTTTTGCCTATTTTAGAGTTTTATGTAAGTAGACTCACATAGTATGTACTTTTTTGTGTCTGGTTTCTTTTGCTCAGCCAGGTTTCTGTGTGTGTCATTATTTGTTCTGTTTTATTTCTTTTTATTTAGGATCAGTATTCAAGTGTTCAAGAATCCCAAAGTGAGGAAAAGATTTGAACAGACATTTTACAAAGGCAGATATACTAATGCCCTTAAGTGTGTGAAAAAGGATGCTCAGTATTGCTAGTCATCGAGGAAATGCAAATTAAAGCCACAGTGAGATACAGCAGTACACCCACTTGAATGGCTAAAATTTAAAAACTGGTAAAACCAGGTGTTGGGGACCAAGTTGTATTTGCATTGCCGTTGAGGGGTGTACATAAGACTTGTTCATGATTATTCATAGCAGCTTTATTCATAATAGCCACAAATTAGAATCAAATGAAATGTTTCTCAACAGGTGATTAGATAAATACATTTTGATATAGTTTTGATTTTGTTCTTCTACCTGAGGTTTCTCCTTGGCTAAAGTAGAAATGTGTACAATTTTCCGAAATTTTGATAGGGAAAGATTATTGAAATAAATAGCCAGGTCTTTGTTAAGCCAAAGCTATGATAGAATCCTATTTCATATAATTAATACATTAAAAAGCAGGAAATTTCTGCGTTGTGTTTGTGATCTAGAGTAAGCTAGTAGAATGTGATTGAAAATGTTGTCCAGCTATATTTTCGGCTTGTGTGAAAATGGCTGCCAACTGAAATTTCTCTTCTTTTTTAGAACTGAATTATCTAGAAAATGGAATGAACTTCTTTATCACCCTGGCAGAAATTGGCAAAAACTGTAAAGCAGTTTGTTTTAATTCATCCTGTATTTTTTCAGTCTTAGTTTTCGTGTTACAGGTTTTCTTATTTTCCAGATTTCATAAGTATTTAATGAGATTTTGGGAATGGCTTTGTTAAAAACTATTAGCTAAATTGTAATTTAAACCAAAAAACTTCTTTGGAATTGTATTTTAACTGGGTTATTCAATTCTTTTTTCTTTGAGACTTGTCGCTCTGTTGCTCAGGCTGGAGTGCAGTGGCCCGATCTCAGCTCACTTCAACCTCCGTCTCCTGGGTTCAAGCTATTCTTTTGCCTCAGCCTCCCTAGTAGCTGGGATTCCAGGCATGCGCCACCAAGCCCAGCAAATTTTTGTATTTTAGTGAGGACGGAGTTTCACCATGTTGGCCAGGCTGGTCTCGAACTCCTGACCTCAAGCAATCCACCTACCTCGGCCTCCCAAAGTGCTGGGATTACAGGTGTGAGCCACCATGCCCAGCCTGGTTATTCAATTATTAACAGCATCACATAGCAAATTTTTATCAATGTCATTTGTATTATAGTGATAATTTTTTTGGGGGGAGATTGTTGTTTATTTATAAATGAGATTAAACTCTATGAATATGTTAAGGATGATGAATTAAGGGACCTGTCAGGAATACTTTCTGAGATGGCAGAAAATTGGTGAGATCAGAAGTCAGAATTCTTGAATCCTTTATGTATAGTTTGTATATTGTAATGCTGCTTTTCCTTGAAATAAGAATACTATAAATTTGAACCTTATTCTTATAAATGCAACTTGGAGGATTAACTGCAAGTTTCAAGCTGTTTCAAATTAATTTAAATTTGCATGGAAAACTCACATGGTGATTGTTTCCTAAGGGGACTCTAGGAATCCTGTGGCTACATTTAGACAGGAGAGAAGCTAGGTTAAAAACTGACTTAAAAAAAAAATTGCAGTAGAATTATGGCAGGCTTAATTTTAAACATTTAGAATTGACATTTTTTAATTTAAATACCCAAGGTTTATTTTTACCTTGGAAAGTGTTTTTTTGTTTTTTAAATTTATACATACAAGAAATGTGTTAAACCTGTCATTGTCTTATTGCTGAAGTGTAATCATTTTTGAGGCAACTCTGCAGTAAATTGATTATGAATCAATATCAAGTTGTAAAGTTGTTTGCTTTTCCCCTGACCATCTTACTTCCTTGTTTCCAAAAGTAAATCAAGGGAGATTAAAACTAACAAACAGACATTAGTGTGAAATTGCTGTTAAGATCCAAGACTATATATTCAAGGTAGATTATTCAAATCCTCATGTAAATATACTTGAAGAAAGAAGTAATAAAACTATTGATAATCTTTGCCTAAAACCCCGTTTCACAAATATTTTTCAGTAGGGCTCCCTATTCAAGTTTTCTCAAACCATTGACAGCATGCCTACAAGTACTGTGGTGTGGGACATGAGTGTTTGGGTTAGGGGACAACCTGATAATATAATTGTTCTTTTGATGGGGAGTTATGAAGGGAGGGCATTGTGCTTGTTGCATAACCTCTAAATATGGTTCTCTAGGCTTCCCTAGAGATTCTATGAGCTATAAAGAGATATTTAAAAACTTTTTATTTGGAAATGATTTTAGACTCACATTTACAAAAATAGTAGAGAGTTTCAATTGTACCTCCCATTCAGCTTTCCTTAATAATATCTTATATAACCATAGTGTTAGTGTTAACTAAACTACAGACCTTATTCATATTTCGCCAGTTTTAACATGCATTATTTGTATGTATATATGTATTCTATGAACCTTTACCACATGTGTTGATACTTGTAATCACCACCGCAATCAGGGTATAGAACTTTCTCATCATCCAAGAGAAACTTTTTCATGCTATTCCTTTATACCATCTCTGCAGCCTTGGCAACCATAATCTGTTCTTCATCACTATAATTTTGCCATATTGAGAATGTTATATAAATGGAATCATACTGTTGTTAAAGAAAAAACTTATTTAAACTCTTGTGCAAGACAGTAAGACCAGACTTAATTCACTACTCCATTGAGGTTTTGCCCTATGGGAGGGAGATTGGGCTCAACTCAGAATATAACAAGGACAAGTGGATATTTATAGCCAAGGAGCAGGGTGGGAGTCAGTGGATGGAAAATTACTAAGAGAAAACATCAAGGCTGGAGGGACTCTTGCTAGACCAACTCAACAGGATTCTTGCTGAAGACAGGCCAGGGTGGTAAATTATTGAGAATGGGGGATTTTCAGTAAACGGACTTATTAGCAGGATTCTTGCTGACATTGGACTAAGTGGACCAAGGACAGAACCCAAGGTCAAGGCCCAGTCAGAAAGAGGACCCAGAGGAGCCTGACTCAAGGTTTGATAAAAGAGTCTTTATCAGTCTTAAGGTGCTGAATTGTGGCCCCCCAACATTTATATGTTGAAGCCCTAACTTCCTGTACTTCAGAATGTGACCGCATTTGGAGATAGGGCCTTTAAAGAGACAATTAAGTTAAAATGAGGCTTTTAGGGTGGGCCCTAATACAATCTGATTGGCCCTAATACAGTCTGATTGTTGTCCCATAAAGGAAATTGGGAGACAGAGACAGGAGGGCTGTGAGAACAGAGGAAAGACCCTGTGAGGTTGTAGTGAGAAGGCAGCTGTCTTATTCTGGTTGGGCTGCTATAACAAAAATTCCATAAACTTGAGTGGCTTAATCCTGGCCATTTTAATAGGCATATCTAATAATGTTGGTATCTCATCACGGCTTCAATTTGCAATTCCCCAATGGCTAGTGCTGTTGAACATCTTTTCATTTGCTTATTTTCCAACCCCTATATTCTCACTAGTTGAGTAATTGTTTCTTATTTTAGTTCAGATGTAGAACATTGCCAGCCTAGAGTCAAGGCTAGGAAGTTGAAATTGGGGATGGGGGATAAAGGGCATTTGGTATTAGCAGAGAGGTGGGATACTTTAGGGACTGTGAATTGTTAGTTCAGTCACAATCAAATAGCCCTTTGAATTTAGTTCTGAAATTGGGGTCTGTCCTTGGGGTTATGCTTTTTGTGTCATGTTAAGAAAAATCAGTGCTTGAGTGAGATATGTATTTTGCTAGAGACTGTTAAAATATATGAATGTTATTCTGAAGGGAATAGGTGAACTAATTGCTACCCCTTTACATACTTGCTCATAGCATTAAGTAGCTAGTAAAAAACCAGAATCCAGAAGACATTGGATTAAAGGTTGTCTATAAATAAGATATGGAAAACGAAAGTAATTTTGTATGTAATGTTAGCTTTGTATAGGAGTTTCTTTCTTTGTTTTTTTTTTTTTTTTTTTTTTTTGAGATGGAGTCTCACTCTGTTGCCCAGGCTGGAGTGCAGTGGCGCAATCTCAGCTCACTGCAACCTCTACCTCCCAGGTACTAGTGATTCTCCTGCCTCAGCCTCCCGAGTAGCTGGGACTACAGGTGCCCACCACCATGCCCAGCTATTTTTATATTTTTGTGTTTTTAATAGAGATGAGGTTTCACTATGTTGGCCAGGCTGGTCTCGAACTCCTGACCTCAGGTAATCTGCCCACCTTGGCCTCCCGAAGTGCTGGGATTACAGGTGTCAGTCACTGTGCCCGGGCAGGAGTTTCTTAAATCTTGAAAAGCTACTGTTGTTAGAAGCAAATGAGGCTAAAAGACAAAGAAAATAAATCTCTTAATGTAGGTTTTGTAGATTCTTTGGATAATTTTTAAGTGTATCCTCTGTTGACTTCAGGCATTTACTTCAAATAATCTTATCTTAGTTTTAATGGGACTGATTGTAGAACATCAAAACAGAAAAGCTTTTGCATGTTTTTGAAGATCTATTATCCTTTCATATCAGATTGCTTTTTCATATAGCATTCATAACTGGATTTTAGGTTATATAATTTTAGGGAGAGTTTAAGAGTGAACATGTGTACACACACAGACACACACACAATCTTCGTCGTGTCCCTTTTCTTTTTTCTTTGGGTTTGACATTTCTTCTCATCTGTTTTATTGCCTCTTTTTTTTAATGTGTCCAAATAGAGATTTGTACTATTCTTAGGTTTCTGTTATATGTAGCACAATGGAAAGCACACTCAGAGAAGCATTGCCATTTCTCTGGTGGTCGCATAACCTAACTATCTGTCCCCAATTTAGATAACAACTGTGAACTACCTCAGTTCTGATTTCAGTGTCCTGACATGCTTTTAAAGAAAATTTGGAGTCTGGGCACAGTGGCTCACACCTGTAATCCCAACACTTCGGGAGGCCAAGGTGGGAGGATCACTTGATCCCAGGAGTTTCAGACCAGCCTGGGCAATAAAGTGAGACCTCCATCTCTCCTACAAAAAAATTAAACAATTAGCCAGGCCTGGAGGTGCACCCAGCTACTTGGGGGGCTCAGGTAAGAGGATTGCCTTAGCCCAGGATTTGAGGCTACAGTGAGCAATGATAGTGTCACTGCATGCCAGCCTGTTCGACAGAGAAAGACCCTGCCTTTAAAAAAAAAAATGTGATTTGTTTTGTTTGAGCAGTTCATTTTTGAGAGATAAACCTAGGGATTGTAAGTCATCATGCACCTAATGATACTTTCATAGAAAAGCTGCTAAATGTGTGCTGATATTGTGGCCTAGGTCTAGTTTTGATAACTTCACTGTGTTTACCTTATCTCTCTTCCTTCACTAATGAAGATAACATTGTTTCATTCTTATGAGATTCCTGTGTATGTGTGTGTATGTTTTATTTCTGTATATATTTTGGACTTAGTAAAATTGCATGGGTAGTTGTGGCTGAAAGGGAGTGAAACTGAAGCAGTCTTCTTAGATCACTGCAACATTTGGGTCTAATGTAGGTATTTTAGGATATTAAAAACATTAATTTTCTTCCTTAATATGAATGTATTCTAAGCCAAGTAATATGTTATCACCAATTTAGCCTTTTTACATATGAGATGAATGAAATACTGGCATTTGAGGTTTCTTTTTGTTTGTGACAGAGGAGGAAGTAAGATTATAAATTTGCCAACAATTGGACTAAATGAAGTTGGAAGTAAAGTGAGAAAACTTTCCATTTTTGGGGGGGGTTGGGTAAGTTATATAATTACTTTCATGAAAGGAATTTGTTTAGATTCTACTGAAAATGGCAAAGGAGGAAATTTCAAAACAGGATATGTATGTGGAAATACTAAGAATTGTATTCATATTTTTCTTCGAAGTCAGAAGACTGAAGGGCATTGAATGAGAAATCTGGGAGGCAGGAGTTCAGTTCTACTTGTTCTGTGACGGGCACTATTAAACCTAAAAAGAGTGGACACTTAATAGCTTCTCAGAAAATGTACAAAAAGAAAATCTGTTTGCCTTGATTATAGCCAATTAGCAAGTGAAGTGTTTGCACTTTAAAAAAAGTCCTTAGTGTTATTATGGCATTAAAATAAAATTTTTATATTTTCCATTTTAATGTTAAGAATATGACAGTTAAAAATAGTTTTGAGAAGAATTTCTGTAATTCACAGGTTAACATGATCATATGTTCAGATTTTTCTTTTTAAGACCTTATATACCTCACAGGATGTTAAGCTTTTAAAAAAATTCCTGTAGAACATTGAAGAACTGAGTAGTCCTTTGTCATCTACATAGCAGGCAGTCAAATATTTGTTTCTTTGATCTGAAAACTAAATTTTGCTGTAGTTAAGCTGTATTAGCAGAATGCCCAAAGGCTAGTCTAACTCCATATCATAATCTAAACAGGAACATTTACTAGAAGCAGTTAGGACTTTTAGTTCACAATACAAGTAATACAGCTTTTTCTAAATTCTACCATTAGTACTTGCAGGTACCTGCTAAATCAGGAGTTGACACACTAAAGCCATTCAAGCCAAATATAGCCAGCTGCTTATTTTGTAAATAAAATTTTATTGGAACACAGTCATGCCTATTCGTTATGTATTGTGTATGGTTTCAGTGGCAGTGTTAAATAGTTGTGACAGAGATCCTGTGGCCTTCACAGCTAAAACATTTACTATCACATTGCCAACCCCAGTGCTAAATGATGGCATGAAAAAAATGTATATAAACCTTTGTTCTATTTTATTTTATTTTAATTATTATTATACTTTAAGTTTTAGGGTACATGTGCACAATGTGCAGGTTAGTTACATATGTATACATGTGCCATGCTGGTGTGCTGCACCCATTAACGCGTCATTTAGTATTAGGTATATCTCCTAATGCTATCCCTCCCCCCTCCCCCCATCCCACAACAGTCCCCAGAGTGTGATGTTCCCCTTCCTGTGTTCTATTTTAAATAGTGTTGAAAGACTAGAACACTTTTAAAAAAATCAAACTATTGCTCTTACTGAAAGGAAGCAGAGCACATATTTTGTCCACTTTCGGAATCCTTAGGGGAGCAATTTGTTCCCTTGAGTATGAAGCAGAAGTTACTAAACAAACTTGACTTTAACTGCAGTTACATTATAACCTTAAAGAGCTGGCCAGAAGTTTCAATGGTTGAATAAAGGTGAAAAACTAGTGTCTTTACAGAAGTTAGTGGTTAAATTATTCAAGACACTCAAAACAGACATTTAAAACCATTTCTCTACATATTTTATTTGGTTTACAGTGTGTAGCAACTTATTTCACTTGTTTTATGGTATAAAAGTCATTCAAATTTCCTAAAGCTTGAATGAGGCCATTATGTGGCATATCTAGAAAGACTTGGGTTTGAATCCTGCTTTCTCCACTTAATAGTTATGTGGGACAAGCAACTTCTCTGTTCCCTGTTTTTTTTTTTTTTTTTGAGACAGAGTTTCGCTCTTGTTGCCCAGGCTGGAGTGCAGTGGCGCAATCTCAGCTCACGGCAACCTCTGCCTTCCAGGTTCAAGCGATTCTCCTGCCTCAGCCTCCCTGGCAGCTGGGATTACAAGCGTGCGCCACCATGCCCAACTAATTTTGTATTTTTAGTAGAGACGGGGTTTCTCCATGTTGGTCAGGCTGGGTCTTGAACTCCTGACCTCAGGTGATCTACCCGCCTCGGCCTCCTAAAGTGTTGGGATTACAAGTGTGAGCCACCATGCGCAGACTTCCTGAGTTTTTAAATATGTAAAATGTACAAGGTCTACTTCATAGGGTGGTTGGGTTAACACATGTAAAGCACTTAGAACAGTACCTTGCATGGTTATACTGATAACCATGTTATCAGTATGGTTTGCTTTTATAATGCTTTATTGAAACTCCTCCAGTCACAAGGTGGCAGCTTTTGTTGAAAGCCATGTAATTGATTAAAGCCTTAAAAAAAAAATCTCAAGAATTTGCCCTGAAAAGCCCCAGTTTTTTTTCTGTAACACCAATAATTGACAAGTGATGCCATTCATGAGGTATCAGAATTGAAAACCAATCAAGGAAGTTACGTTTCTGAAGTAACATGGAAGTTACCCATATAGTAAAATCAATTTTAATTATTGAGTAAAAGTTAATTGAAGCACATTTCTTTTAATCTCTTGATTTATTTTTTTTCTTTCGCTTGACTGCCTTCTGCCATTTAACTATCTTCCTCCACCAGCTTGGGTTTCTGAAAGTGTAGTGTATTTTTTAATATATCAGAATCCTGGGTCTCTGCTCTCTCTCTCTTTTTTACTTTTCTTTTCTTTTTTTTCTTGCGACAGGGCCTTGCTCTGTCCCCCAGGCTGGATGGCACAATCTTGGCTCACTACAACCTCTGCCTCCTGGGCTCAAGTGATCCTCCCACCCCAGCCTCCGAGTAGCTGGGACTACAGGCACATGCCACCATACTCAGCTGATTTTTGTATTTTTTTTTTTGTTTTTGTAGATATGGAGTCTTGCCATGTTGCCCAGGCTGGTCTTGAACTCCTAGCCTCAAGTGATCCACCCACCTCAGCCTCCGAAAGTGCTGGGATTATAGGCACTAGGCGGCATGCCTGGGCCCTCTACTCTGTTCTGAATAAAAAGTCTCTGGGGATGGACCCTAGGTGATTCATAGGCACACTGAAATCTGAGAACCAGGTACAGGAAATAAAATTATTTGAAATGCAAACCATTGAATTTTATGACTTTTTCATTGCTTTTGGTAAGAGGCTGGACTGTGGAGGAGATGAAAACTTGACCAAAAATGGATTTCTGTGAGCACCACAGAATTTGGTGAGGTTTAGTAGGACTCCGGAGGAATAACATTCGGGAAGGACAGGATGTCTGAACTGTATGACCAGTCCTGTCCTTTTTGCTGTTCTCTCCCTGAGACTCTTTTTTCACCTGGATGATTCCTTCCCCTTTTAACCCCCAGCCAAAACTGTGCTTACAGTGATCAGGCAACAGCCTGATCATTCCAAAGGAAATTTTGAAACTGAGGAGAAACAAATACTTAAAAGAAGAAACATCATAAAAGTATGGACTTCTGAAATATGGGCTTCTGCTCCTAAGATCCTGTTGAAGGGACTGAAGAATTTATTGAGCCTCAGTTCTCTTTCTGCTAGTACCTGATGAGCTGGTGTAACCTGCCTGGCTGAACTTTGCCCCCAGTCTTCATCTCATGGGTACCTTCTTATTTATTGCCACATTGAGGCCATCTATTGTCAAAGATAAACATAACCAGACATTTGTTAAAGTGGTACAAACAGATTTTATTCAGTAAGTACTGATAGTACGGGAAAGAGCTGAGCTCATTCCAATGTGCACAGGTGGTTTGGGCATTTTAAAGGGTGTTTATTCTTTTAATGCACCAATGGGGTATATTATGTTTTTTGAGTGTAGTCACTGATCATTTTTAAATTTGGAATCCTCTACAGCTGATGCTTGATTTGCCTTGTCAGCATTTGCCAAATTACATTCAGAGGCTAGGAAAATTATGCCATCCCCTTTTCGTTGATAAAATTAGTTCTACATTCAGCTTGCAAGTTTTAAATAATTTCTTCTCCCATCTCCTCTTTTTGTTCTGTTACCGTCTTCTCTTTTCCTGTTTATCTCTTCCTTGGATTCATTCCCTCCTCTTGTGTTTTAGGATGAGGAGGCTAATATTAGATTTTAGGGATTTTGCTTAGTTTGCCAACAGTGGTATTGACTGGGTTGTAATTTTTAAAAACCACTGGGACAGCTTGGTTTTAGATGAAGAGGATTTCAGTGAGTAAAGGTATGAATAAACCACACCATATCTTATAAATCCTCATAAAGTCGCTAAGTCTCTTTCAGAACATAATGTGATTTGTCAGTTGTCACACTTTGTGAACTGCAGATGCCATCAATCATGAGAGAGAGAAATTCCTATTTAAATGTTTGATTATTTGTCTTCAGAAAATGTGATTTTCAACTATTTTAGTCACAAACCTTATAAGCAATAATGAATTGGACTCCCATTGGTAGTCCTGAACACTGGGGAGTGTTCATGAGTGAAATACAGACTGATTTAACTTAGTTGGATGCTGCTTACCTAGCTCTTAAGGCTTTAAAAGTTGTGCATTAGGCTGGAATGTTGATATGCGAAGGATTTGTAAAGAAATATATTTCTAGTTAGTGCATTTCATGTAAAGATTTAACCCTTTTTTGTTGTTGTGATAAACAGATTTATTTTCCCGAAAATGGACATTTTCTCTATAGATTATTTTCTTTTATTTAATTAAATTGCATATGCCCCAGGAGTCTCATGGGTATGTACACACTTAATAAATATTATTTTGTAGTTTGGTTTTGAAATTGGAACAAAGTGCTTACTACTTAAGATTCTCTCTTTCTTGTCACTGCAGTGTTAATAGAACATAATTACATACCTTATATAAAAACTTGGTGTATTAGTCCATTCTTGCATTGCTATAAGGAAATACTCGAGACTGGGTAATTTATAAAGAAAAGAGGTTTAATTGGCTCATGGTTCCACAGGCTGTACAGGAAGCGTGGCAACATCTGCTTCTGGGGAGGCATCAGGGAGCTTTTACTCATGGCAGAAGGCAAAACAGGAGTAGGTGTCTTACATGGCAGGAGCAGGAGCAAGGAGAGGGGCAGGCACTGGACACTTAAACAACTAGATCTCAAGAAAACTCAGTCACTGTTACAAGAGCAGCGCCAAGGGCATTGTGGTAAACCATTCATGAGAAATCCACTTGCATGACCCAGTGACCTCTCACCAGGTTCCACCTCCAACAATGGGGACTACAGTTTGGCATGAGAGTTGATAGGGACACAGATCCAAATCATATCCCTAGGTATTCTATTTTGCTTAGAGACTATCATTATTTCTCCCTACCTTTATTCACTCATTCTTTGTCATCTTCCATTACTCTGTTTTCACCTGGTGGGCTCTCTATGTGCTCCTGCTCAAACTTTCTCTCCTACTCTTTACTTAGCACAGAGCTGAGGTGACAGAGGTAAAATCATAGAGTGACACAGGAACAAAAAGTTTTTTTGAGGAGGGAGTAAGACCTAGATCTCATTTTCAGTATAGAATTTTATGAGATAAAGTGATTGAGAGATTATCTGTACATTAACAACTAACAAAGATCCTTGGGAAGGATTCCTTTTTTTTTTTTTTTTTTTTTAAGACAGGGTCTTACTCTGTCATTCAGGCTGGAGTGCAAAGGTGCGATCTTGGCTCACTGCAGCCTCGAACTCCTGGGCTCAAGCGTTCCTCCTACCTAGCCTCTCGAGTAGCTAGGACGAAAGGCAGGTAGCACCACGCCTGGCTAATTTTTGTATATCTGGTAGGGATGGGGTTTCACCATGTTGCCCAGGCTGGTTTTGAACTCAAGTGATCTGCCTGCCTTAGCTTCCCCAAATGCTGGAATTACAGGCATGAGCCACCCTGCCTGGACAGGAAAGATTTTAAAGTACATTCTTTCCCTGAATCCTACTCCATAGTTACATGGTTATTGGTCACTGAAAGAGGAAGTTAGATTTTTCCCAACAACATTTTAAAATTATGGTTTAAAAAAATCAGTTTTCAACTTTGAAACATTTTCTGTGTCGTCTTTTGTTTAAAAGAATCAACTAAAAATCCATTAGATATTTTTCTCAAATATATAATTTGTTCTTTTAGATTTTTTTAAAACCTCATAAATGTAAAATTCACTTTTTAATATTGTATCTGTGATGAGTTTTCTCTGCAACAATGTTTAGCTTTACAAATTCTGCTACTTTAAAACAAAACATACTTCAAGGAATTGTTACTGTTTGTGGCTGGGTTTACATACTCTTGAATCTGAGGGACTGTTATGAAAGGAAATGAAAAGATGGAAAATTGTTGCTAAAAATAATATATAGGAAGTGCTTTACTGGCTCTTACATCTTCAATAAAGAGCTGATGGCTTCTGAAATGACCAGCTTTGATGAATGTGATTATACTTTAAAATTAAGGTATTTTAGAAATCATCTCAAATCTGAATATTGGTACATAAGAAGTTATATTACCTAAGCATTAAGGGAAATGGAATACATTTAAATACTCTTGGAAAGACTTAGTTTAAAAAGATCAATTTCTGAAACTTGGAGAATTTTATGGAGTCTATTTAAAGACAATGTTCATTTATGTGGGCAGAAAACCATACTATCTCCAGGGGGAGGGTGGTCTCTGTTTCTCTAGGTTTATTCCCCAAGTTCATGAATTGTGCATGTAGTTTTCGGCATTTTTTTTTTCTTTTTTTTTGGGGGAAACGGAGTCTCTCTCTTGTGCCCAGGCTGGAGTGCAGTAGTGTGATCTCGGCTCACTGCAACCTCCGCCTCTGGGGTTCAAGTGATTCTCCTGCCTCAGCCTCCCGAGTAGCGGCCATGTTGGCCAGGCTGGTCTGGAACTCCTACCCTCAAGTGATCTGCTCACCTCGGCCTCCCAAAGTGTTGGGATTACAGAGTGGGCCACCGTGCCTGTTCCTAGTGTTTGAGCTTTTTAAGGAAATGTTGCATCTTAGGATAGAAATCACTTAGTCACTATTGGGTTTTTGAGGAGTTCAGCAGTCATAACTTGGATTTATTACATTGTTTAGATGAAACTCTTTATTATTTAAAAACATTTTTAGTCATGGTCACTTTGGCTTTGGGTTTGTGGTTGAAGACTTTAGATATTTTGTCTTTTTAGTGGAATTGGCAGTATTGTATAGAAAAACTTAAATATGCATTTTACCTTTTTTATTTAATTGAATCTAACCTTGGAAAACCTTTCTGTTTCTGAGCGTTCTCTGTATTCTGGCCAGTAGTTTGAATTATTTTACTACCTTTGCTCTGTGTTGAGAGGGTTGGACTGTCATGAGCTTTGAGTAGAGGTACTCTGTTTTTTTTTTTTTTTTTTTTTTTTTTTTTGAGACAGAGTCTTGCTCTGTCACCCAGGCTGGAGTGTAGTGGCACCATCACGGCTCACTGCAAACTTTGCCTTCTGGGTTCTAGCAATTCTCCTGCCTCAGCCTCCCGAGTAGCTGAGATTACAGGCACCCGCCACCACGCCCAGCTACTTTTTGTATTTTAGTAGAGATGGGGTTTTGCCATGTTGATCAGGCTGGTCTCAAACTCCTGACCTCAAGCAATCCACCCTCCTTGGCCTCCCGAAGTGCCGATATTACAGGCCTGAGCCACCGTGCCTGGCCGAGGTGTTCTTTTTTAATGTTAAACTTAGGTAAAATATGTTATTTCAGATTATGTAAAATATGTTTAAAGCACATGCCCAAATTTTAATTTTCATGCATCAAAAACACTGAAATTGACATCCAGAATTTTTTGAAGCATTTTAATAAGGCTAATAATTAGATTATTAATTCAGAATTCAGGCTTACTTCCTGAATTAATTTAAAGTGGAAGACTTTGGAGTGGTTACTGCTCATTTAAAAATATTATAAATTACATGTATATGCATATAAATAAATATTTGTTCGCGTTTTTCTGTTGACTAGAGTAATATATGTTCTTTTCGGAAATTTCAGAAGATACAGAAAAGTACCAATAAGAAAATTAAAACTATTGAGAATCCCATCATGTAGAAGTAACCACCATTTACATTCTGGCAAATAAGCTGTTCATTACCTTTTCTAGCTCAAATTGTATTATATTTTATTTTTAGGAGGACCTTTTATTTTTTTCTTTTCCTTTTTTCCCCCAGACACCAGTGTTACTTGCCAACAGGAAGACATTTTAAATCCACATTTTCTTTCTGTTTATTTATTTTTATTTTTTATTTCTTTTCAAGACAGAGTCTTGCTCTGTCGCTTAGGCTGCAGTGTTATAGTGTGATCATAGCTCACTGTAACCTTGAGTTCCTGGGCTCAAGCATACATCCACATTTTCAACCAAGAATCCTGTAAACAGTCTTGATTATTTGTTGAGAGCAAGAGAGACATATATTAAAAAGAATTAGAAGTTAATACCTGGTTTAGGATCATATTCCTCTCTAATTTCCTCTTTTGAGAAAGTAATTGTAGTTGTTTGTAGATAGCTGATTAACTTTGAAGCATATACATATATTCCTCTGTGCCCATGACTGAAGAGTTTTCTTTGGGTTTCAAGCTCTGCAGTATTCTCACTAACCCAGTCTTCATGAAATCTTTTGACATTGAGGGAATACCTTTGACTTTTGACTGGCAGCACTGTGAACCATTCCATCAGCTAACAAGGTTTTACAGTAACTGTCTGTTGACCAAATTAAATTGCTTCCCAGGAGTCTTGTTCTCTGTGAAGCTGTCTCTGTCTAAATCTTTTCCCTATAGAATTTCCTACAGACAAATCTTGAAGTAAGACCTTTATGTTTGCCATTTAAACAGCAAAATTCAAACAATGCCCTGGTGCAAAATAAGTATAGCAGAACAGAAATTATGCTGATTTGGCATAAACAGTATCAGATCCTCTCATTGAACCATCATGAATGTCTGCATCTCTGACTTAGCAACTGTGAAAGCTATTGAACTATAGGTTACTATTTATTGCTTGCTGAAGTCAAATGCATTGTTTGTCATTTAATAAGAGTCAGTGACGTTGTGCTGATTGTCACTAGATAGGTCCCATTGCTCATCAATGTGTGAATGTGTATAGGTTGTTCACAACTCTGTGCATTCTTTCATTGTCAAGCATAATTTAAAGAGAAGCCCAATCAAGAAGATAACCCCCTTGCTAGCTGCCAGAGCTGTAGCTCTCTTGTCTATGACTTGTTCATTCTGCCAGACTTAATGGTTCAGACCTTTTTTCCCCGCTAGCTTTTTAGAGCTTACCAGGGAAATTGTAATAAATTCAGTGAGAGGAAATGAGCCAGTACATTAACATTTTTCTTTTTTTTCTTTTTATTTGCTTTTTCATACTGAAAATAATGGTCTTTTTCTAAGGGAGGCAATAGCAAGTGATAGTATGTAAATGGTTTTGGTTTTCATCAACATTTTTTTTGAACTAAGCAGTTAAGGAACAGTGGTCACATAAATACACCTACCATTCTGTACAGACATGGTTTCTGCTTTTACAAGTGTTATATGGTATTTTCAAAAAGGCAAAATCACTTAAGTCGGGAAATTAATGAGGAAATCATTAAGATATTATGACTGCCTCAAAGAACATTTGAAAAGTTAGGCATACACAAGCAGTTTGTCAAATAAATGTTTCTGGATTAGAAGGAAAATTTGTTAATGCCCAAGTCAGCCATCATTCTTTGTAGATATCTATTCCACCAGACAGAAATTATTTGCATCTCAATTAGTTGGAAATCTGCAAGTTAACAGGCAATTCAGTAAGTCTGAGACTTTAATCAAAGGTAAACTGTGTGGTGCATTGAGTACTTTTGCTTGGAGTGCCTTTTGCCTCCCCATATAATATTAAAAAGATGTACCCAGTTGTTTTTTATATTTCTAAAGTTTTGGAAATATTTTCTGATATAAGCAGGAAAAGAAAAAAAAATAGGACATAATGTTTTCCTTTACTAACAAGAAACAAGAAAATGAAGAGGAACATATTAGGAAAAAGGATGGATTTGGCAAGAAAGTTTTACTTTGGTAATGTTTCATGTAAAAAACTAAATACATTTCATATTATTTCTATAATAAACAACTTCTTCCTTTTTCTCCTGGTCTGTAATTAGGTGCTTCTCCACCTAAGTGGAAAAGGTTAACTTGATTGAATTCATGTCTTAGGGCCTCTGTTTGTCCCACAACTGAGTGGGATGAACTCTTAGTAGAACTGTGATCTAGTTAGTTAACATTGTAGCAGATGACTTACTGAGTCATTTTCTATTTTGGTTCATTTGTGAGACACAGCTCATGGCACAGGGAAGGATATACAAAGTATTCAATGAATAATTAATAGGAATATGTGCTATAGGAATTTACAAGAAGAAGGGGACTGAGATGAAGATGCTAAAAATGTAAATAATTATGCAAAACAGCAGATGGGTAAGGGCCCAAAGGACTAGAGAATTATGGTCAGGAAGCATTTTTTTTCTCCAGGGAGGCAAACTTGCTGCAGCACCAATCCTCCTTTTGTCACCTAATTTAATCATGGTGGTATTTTTTTGGTTCTGTCATTGTTGTAGTAATTTTACTTGGTGGTGCCATTAAAAGTTAATTTAAATGGAATTTTTATTGTAAATTGGCAGTTTATAATTATACAAAGTTATGGGTCACAAAGTTATGTTATAATTTATGAATACAATGTGGAATAATGAAATCAAGCTAGTTAATATGTCTGTCACCTCATTGGAATTTACTCTTAGCAAGTTTTGAAATGTGCAATACCCTGTTATTAACTATATTCATCATGCTGTGCAAGAGGACTCAAAGAAAAAAAAAATTTCTCTTAACTGATATTTTGTACCCTTTGATCATCATCTCCTTATAACTCCCACTCCCCCAGCCTCTGTAACTACCTTCTATTCTCTGCTTCTGAGTTCGATTATTTTAGATTCCCCATGTGAGAACAGATGACTTTTTTTCACTTATCATGTTCTCTAATTCCATCCATATTGTTGCAGACAACAGAACACCCTTCTTTTTGTAAGGCTGAATAGTACTCTATTGTGTATACATACCATATTTTCTTTATCCTTTCACCTGTTGATAGATACTTAGGTTGATTCCATAATTTAGCTATTGTGAATAGTGCTTCAGTGGACATGGGAGTGCAGATACCTCCTCAGCCTACTGATTTCAAATCTTTTGGGTAAGTACCCAGAAGTAGGATTGCTGGATTTTGTGGTAATTCTATTTTTAGTTTTTTGAGGAATCCTTGTAACATTTTCCATATTTGCTGTATTAGTTTACATTCCTGCCAACGGTTTACAAGTGTTCCCTTTTACTCCATGCCCTTGCCACCACTTAATCCTTCATCTTTTTGATAAAAGCCATTCTGGCAGGTGTGAGATGGTATCTCATTGTGGTTTTGATTTTTCATTTTCCTAATAATTAGTGAAGTTGAACATTTTTTAAAAAATGTGTCTTTTGGCCATTTGCGTGTCTGCTCTTGACAAATAATGTCTATTCTGGTCCCTTGCCCATTTTTAAACTGGATTTTTTTTGGTTTGTTTTCTTGCTATTGAGTTGTTTGAGCTTCTTATGCATTTTGGATGTTAAACCCTTATCAGGCGTAACACTTGGAAATATTTTCTCCCAATTCATAGGTTGTCTCTGCATATTGTTGTTTCCTTGGCTGTGTAGAAGCTTTTTAGTTTGATGTAATCCCAGTTGTCTGTTTTGCATTTGTTGCCTGTGCTTTTGGGGTCAAATTAAAAAAAAAAGTGATTGCCTAGATCAATGTCATGTAGTTTTTCCCATATGTTGTCTTCTAGTAGTTTTAGAGTTTCTGGTCTTATGTTTAAGTCTTTAATTCATTTTGAGTTGATTTTTATATATGGTGTGAGATAAGGGTCCAAGTTCATTCTTCTGCATGTGGAAATCCAGTTTTCCCAGCACCATTTGTTGAATAGACCGTCCTTTTCCCATTGTATATTTTTGACACCTTTGTTTTAAATCAGTTGGCTGCACTTGTGCAGGTTTATTTCTGGGCTCTGTATTTGGCCAATTTTTATTGGCCAAAATTACTTATATATTTAAAAATTTGGGTGATTCAAACACCTCTCAAAGTATATATGTTGGTGGCTAGACATAATCCTGTGTAGTCTTATGGTAGGCAGCTACTTAAATATGTATTTCCTAAAAGAATCATTTGAGTAGAATAAAAATTATGGTATTATAGGCTGGGCGCGGTAGCTCATGCCTGTAATCCCAGCACTTTGGAAGGCCGAGGCGGGCGGATCACTAGGTCAAGAGTTCGAGACCAGCCTGACGAACATACTGAAACCCCGTCTCTACTAAAAATATAAAAATTAGCTGTGTGTAGTGGCGCACGCCTGTAATCCCAGCTACTTGGGAGGCTGGGGCAGAAGAATCGCTTGAACCTGGGAGGCAGAGGTTGCAGTGAGCCGAGATCGTACCACTGCATTCCAGCCTGGGTGACAGGGCGAGATTCCATCTCAAAAAAAAAAAAAAAAATTATGGTATTATAATGTCTATGTTAAATTTGTTTCGTTACTTGTAGGAATGGCAAAGTTGTGACAAAGCAGAAGAGTTCATAGATACATGTTTGTTTTACAAGGGCATTTTATGTGTTTTAGCAGAAAGGTTAACATTTTGACTGATATATTTACGAAGGTTATAAGAAGGAAAAGCTAAAATTAATATTTCACAATTCTAATTGCTTTTGCTTGGCTCCTCTCTGCATAGTATGTATTCTGGTTTTTAAATATTTAAAATTTCATCTCCTCTGGTGTAAAGTGGAAATGAAATAATTTGGGGTGGCAGATTTTTGTTAATGATAGTCTCCTTGCTCCTTTTTTAAAGCAGAGTAATGCTCATGTTGTATCTTTCTAGCATTAAGAAAAATTATTTGCTGAAATGACAATTTCTTAAGCAGTAACAACGTCTAGAGAGTGAACATTTATAACATGCTACTTTGTGTTGTGTGATAGATATAATTGATAATTCTGCTTTTTCCTGTTGACTAATTTCTAACTGTCATGATATATATCTTTCTGAAGTATTATTTTTGGTAGGTTCAGGCAGATTGCAGAAAGGCAGGTATCTTTGTTTGCCAACATTCTCGTATAATCATGGATTGTTAGAAGTGGAAGGGATTCAGAATGATTCTAGGGTATCTCTTCATTTTCATAGTTGAAGAAACTGAGACCCTATCAGGGGACAGAGTTAGGAGAGGGGTGTGTGTGTGTGTATATGAGTACGTAACAAAATCATGGGTTCCTACTGATATCTTCAGTTCTAACCTTGCATCTTGGAGTTGTTTGTAAATACCTCCTTTGGCAGTAACATAGCACCCATTATCCTCAATATATTTTATTTGCACAATCAAAAATAATTTTCTGTATGTAGACCTCCCAATTACACTGCTATCTTCATTGTTTATCACCTCTAGGCCATCTTTGTTCCTTTGCCACTGCACCTGTTGCCCTGGGCCTGTGCACACCCCCAACCCTTTCTCACTGCCCTGTGTCCTTAGCTACCTCAGCCACTATGCTGATTCCTGAATACTGGAGACAAAAGGGAAGGCAAGATGAAAAGGGAAGGTTATACTTCTTTATTAATTCACATAGATTACCCTTGGCTCTGCCTGCCACATTTTCATGAGAATTTCTTTTATTTTTCAGATTCCTCTCTTTATAGTAGCCTGAGAATCTCTAGGTAGTTACTCATTCTTAGAATTGGTCCTGGTTACTATTTTCACAGAAGAGAAACATGAAAATCTGATTACCAAAGGGGTTGTGCTTCCTGCAGTTCAGTGTAGTCTTTGTCCACTAGAAGGAAGAACATTGTTCTCCCAGCAGCCTGACACACCACAGTAATGTATGTGTATGCTGCCATTGCTGGTTCAGCATTTATTTCTGTTGGTGGAGTGAGGCTCAGCCATGGTCTTTCTAGTTCTGTAGTTACAGCTTCTTCAGAATACACAGACACACAAAGCCATTTCTTGGTAATTCACTCTGAGGAGTAAATACTTCCTCAGAGCCAGGGGATTGGTTGGGAGGAGTTTGCAGTTCTAGACAGCCAGATAGCATTGTTTCTGAAAAGACGTCTTGTAAAACTTTAGCATTCTGGCCCTTGAGCATAGAACAGTCCTTTCTGTTCTCAAATCTATTGTCTTAAGCCTTTTCCTACCTCAGGATCATGAGTAACTGTTTTTTTTGTTTTTTTTTTTTTTAGAAGTAATAGAAAACTTGCCTCAGAATAGCTTCAATAAGAAAGGAAATGAATGTGCTCAGATAACTGGCAGAATTCACTGATAGCATGGGCATAGGCCTGGCACACGCCACTTCTTTTTTTTTTTTTTTGAGACAGTCTTGCTCTGTCACCCAGGCTGGAGTGTAGTGGCACCATCACGGCTCACTGCAACCTGTGCTTTTTGGGTTCAAGCAGTTCTCTTGCCTCAGCCTCCCCAGTAGCTGAGATTACAGGCACCCGCCACCATGCCTGGGGCTGCTTTCCTAGATACACAGAAAACAAGGTGGATAGGTGAGAAGCACTAGAAATATCCATTCAGTTATTAGTGGGGATTAGGTTCAGGGCTGTTGTTTAAGGAGCCCTTAAACTTTAAATTTCAACACAGGAATGGAGGTCCCTGTGTAAGGATTGGGAATGGGACCTAATAACTGCTCCCTCAAGGTGAGTTGCGAGTCAGCTGGCCATCTCCATCTCCCATGCATTACCTTGATGTACCTTCCAGTCCACCATCTGCTTGTGCACCAGGCTGCACCTACTGTTCCATGATGGAAGGGAAGGTAGAAGTTGGGCTGGAAGGAGATGTTGGTCCAGATCTGGGTACATTTACCCTTGTGGTACCTCTTGGGAGCAAGAAAGTCCAGGCCCTGGAGCCTTCCACTGACAACTCTTGAAGGCCCACCTCAACTGAAGCCTCACTGATAGCACTTTCATGAGATGCTGGTCAGGGAAGAGCTTCTGATTTGGCCTAGGCTAGTGGCAGTGCCACCAGGCAATTGCTTAAAATCTTCTTTCTGCCAAATTCTGTGATGTATTAAAGTATGCGATACATGAAAATTGAGAGTGGCTTTGGTTTTGTTGTAGGTCTGGATCTATTTACCTTTATTAAGCTCTGGAGACTGACATATGATATTTTTAGATGTATGAGTGCAGATTTATGGAGATATTGGTTCTGGATTTAGTATGAGATGCTAAACCTGGTCCCCATTGTTCTCAAGGAGATGATTACAGAAGTGACACACATATGAAACAATTGAAGAACAAAGTAACACCTCTGTGGCAATTATTATTAAAGTTATTAGAGATTCAGAGATCAGATCCTTCTGGTGCAAAGCTAAGAGATGGGTATTAAGCTATTCCTGAAGACGAGCCAAATATGGGTAGTTGGAGAGGAAAAGGAAGGCAGGCATTCCTGAGAGAATGAGCATGGGTAGGAAGGTGTGATGAATGAAATAAACAGTGGGAGATAATGATCACATTGATTTAATTGAAGCAGAATCTATTAGGAGCATAGAAATAAACTTGACTAGGGTAAGATACCGTAATAGAAGGCTGTAGAAGTGAGGCAGAGTAAATTTGTATACTGGGAATATGGTATTTGTGGAACTATTAAAATCAAGCTTGTCAGCAATAGTTTCTTTAAGTATAGAAAGAAGTTATCTTTCACATGATTCATTCCAAATTGAAGAAATGTTAGAGAATTAGGAAAATCTTCTACTTTCTCATCAAAATGACCAAAACCACAAAAACATGTATGTATGCTTTGATAATTAATTGAAGGAAAATTCTGTATTTGGGATGCATAACCTTTTGTTTTTGGTATTATCCTAATAGAGAGAAAAATATTCCCAGGCTTCCAAGAGTAAATTTGAGGGTAGTTCATTTTGGAGTGTTTATGAGTATTTGCTTTATTTACTTCTGGAAAATGAAATAACCAAATCAACACTCAGTTTTTGAAAGTAAATTTGAAAGAATATAAAAATATTGCCTTCAAATGTGTAGCATGCACTTTCTCCAGTGCCGATCTTTATTTATTAAGACAATGTTGTATAGAACATTTTCCAGAGAAATGTTATTAAGGCATGTTCCTGACAAGTGATTTTAATCAAAATAGATTAATTTAAAATGCAACCATTTTTATAAGATATTTTAATTTTCAAATCAGCAAGGATTTCACAGTAATGTAATGAAAATGGAATATTCCTTTAAAGTTTGTAGGTTTTTTGAGGCATCAACATAGTTTTTGAGGGTGAGAGTAGGATTGGCAGGGGGAGGCAGTTCAAAGGAATGCATTGTTAATGGAATACCAAACTCTGTAATACATTTTAAAGAGCTTTATTCAGAGCCAATATGAGTGAGCATGGCCCAGGGAAGCACAGTCTCAAGAGGTCCTAAGAAAGTGCACGCAGGGCAGTCAGATTATAGTTTGAGTTTTTACATTTTAGGGAGACAGGAGTTAATAAGCAAATTCATAAATTGATACATGGAGGTTATACATTGGTTTGGCCCAAAAGGTGGGATATCTTGAAGCAGGGACTTACAGGTCATAGGTGGGTTCAGAGATTTTTAAATTTGCAATCAGTTAAAGAGTAAAGCTTTGTCTAAAAATTTGGAGTTGGCAGAAAGGAATGTTTAAGATAAAAAAGTTGTTAACCATTACACTCGGTCAGCATGACTTATAGGGGTGCATAACTTAGCCCTTGTCTGGTGTGACATTAGGTCCTATTTATAATTTGGTATCTTATTGCCACAAAGAGTCTGTATTGTCAGTCTTATGATCTCTGTTTTAACATTAATGCTGGTCAGTTGTGCCTAAACCTCAAAGGAAGGGGATGTAAGGAGGTGTGTCTGACCTCCCTTCTCATCACGGCCAAGAACTCAGTTTTGTAGGTTTCTCTGGGGTCCTCTTGGCCAAGGGGGAGTCTATTCAGACAGATGGGGAGCTTAGGATTTTTAGCTTACAGCACTTTGCCTAACAACATTTGTGAGAATATAAGGTTGGAATTGTATGAAATTTTTTTAAAACAATCTTTAAATCAAATTGAGGTTTATGTTTCATTTTGATCAGGGATTAATTTGGAAAGTAAAAATAAAGGGTTGCTATACATGTAAATTTCTATCTAAGAGATGACTATTTAGCCCTAGGTGCAGAATTTGAATCAAAGAATTATGATCAAATAATTTCTCATTAAATTGGCAAACATTTGCTAGGAAAAGTCTTTAAACAGTTCTCTTGAACAATTAAAATTACTTTATTGTTGTTCTTAGGCCTGACTCTAAACTTGAGAAACTAAATCTTCTCCTTGTAAGGAGAATAAAATGGCAAAATGTGTCAGGATTATTCAATTATTTTATGTAAATACATCCCATTTACTTTGAGGAGACTCATCATACCTTTTAAAATGAGATCAATCAACACCTTTCTTAGAGTTGATTTCATTGAGCTAATGAATAGGTATTTTTATTCTTGAAATATTGCATTTTTATTCTTCTTATTAATGGCCTTCCCTCTGTATGAATAAATAAATCATTTCACCGCTAGTAGCTTTAAGTGCTTTTCAAGCATTTAAGTGCTTGTAATCACTAAGCAAAGGAGTACTATAGATTAAATGTGTTGTAAACTACACATGAAAGCAATGTCTTTTTTATTATCTGTAACTTTAATGGAAAGAAAATGTTAATTTAGGGTAATGAAATAGACCTCCAAGTATGATCAGTGAATAGACCATTAGGTTAATTAAAATGAGGATATGTATCACTGTTGTGGTGGAACTACCATTGTGGAGAAGACAGATTCATTTAGTGCTTGAATAGTAAAATTCAGACTGTGTCACTCTCAACCTAGACTGACTACACAAAGGAACAAGATTAATGACAAAGGTAACTCAGTTTTGTTTCATTTACTTTTGCCTGTCACATTACTTGTTATTCTAGAGAGCCTGTCACTTAAAGGTGAAAATTTATACAATCTTTAAAAAAACCAACTAAATATAAATTTTGTTACTTTATTATCTGTCATCCCAGGTGAATTAAATACCAAAACAAGATTTAAGTGATAGTAAGTTAATAGTAACGTATACAGATTTTATAACATAACACTCATAAAGCTAGCAACTTTATAGATTTGTAAAAATGCAGTTGAAATGACCACTGCAGCTTAATAGTTAATAGTTCTTTTTGGTGTCTAATACTCAGAAACCTGTTGGAAACTAATTTTGTGTAGTTTGATATCCACTGGCCAAATTACCATTTGAATTTACTAAAGAATTCATTGCTTCACTACTGTACCATAGTTTATAAAGGACTTTTTGAGTGCTCTTTGATTCTTGTCTCTGAAGAATCTTAGCATAATGCCAACATAGTGCCAACCATAATAGTTTTCCAGTTAAGTACTTCCTATTTCTATCTAAAAGGCTTGGCATGTGTTTAAACAAATATTAAGTTCAGTATGCTCTTGAGCTTCTCAGTTTCCCCTGTCATATGGCTAATTTAACGTGTTAATATCTATTTGGGTTTTAGATTTAGAATTACTACATTTGGCCCGTTAGCCAAGCTAGCCATCATTGGCAGCTTTTTGTTTGCGATATGAAGCATGAATGCATGCAGTAAGTGATTTATAAAGCATGTGCTTTCCCTAATGATTTATATGATCAATCAGTCAAATATTTATTGAATTCTAGTTCTGAGTCCAGTATTGTAGTAGGTACTTAAGGCTTGCATATACTATACTTTAGTATACTGTACTTTATACTTCATTCAGTTCATTACAGAATCTGCATATGTTTATAAAAGAATTGTTTCTTTCCTTAGCTTTACAAGTAAGAAAACTTTTTAGGAAGGTAAGATTCTCTTCCTCTTTTGTTTTAGCCTCTTGATTCTGGGAAATGTTTTCTTATCCTTGCCTTATTTCTCTATTTTCCTGAAATTTACCTTGATGATATTTAGTAGGAGCTATTTAATGAGTTTATGTATATTTAATGTTTTTGATGATGCATGAATGTTACCTTATAACTAAATGTGATATAGTAAAATTTTGTTTTAATTATTATTATTTTTTTGAGACAAAGTCTCACTCTGTTGCCCAGGCTGGAATGCAGTGGTGTCACCTCGGCTCAATGCAGCTTCCTCCTCCTGGGTTCAAGCAATTCTCCTGCCTCAGCCTCCTGAGTAGCTGGGATTACAGGTGCCCACCACCATGCTTGGCTAATTTTTGTACTTTTAGTAGAGATGAGATTTCACTGTGTTGGCCAGGCTGGTCTCGAAACCCTGACCTCAAGTGATCTACCACCTCAGACTCTCAAAGTGCTGGGATTACAGGTGTGAGCCACCGCATCTAGCCTGATATAGTAACATTGTAGTACTTATGTTAGGAAGTGAATCTTTATTCGATAATTGGATTCACCATAAAATTTTTCTGAAGAATTGACTTAGAACATTTCACAGGTCTCATTTTGTCCCACTTTTTTCATTTAAGGCTCATTCCAGCATTTAAAGAAAAGGAAAGAATTGTAAAGATTCTTAATAGGTCCCGAAAGCTGTAGCAGTGAAGGCAGTGCTAGAGTATGAAAACTCTCATGAATTTATCCATAGGCCACGTGATCTCTTTTGATGTATCTGTTTTGTGTGTGTGTGTGTGTCTGCTTTTTTCTAACTACATACTGGCTTGTTCATTTCCTTTCTTTTTTTTTTTTTTAATTATACTTTAAGTTTTAGGGTACATGTGCACTATGTGCAGGTTAATTACCTATGTATGCATGTGCCATGTTGGTGTGCTGAACCCAGTAACTCGTCATTTAACATTAGGTATATCTCCAAATGCTATCCCTCCCCCCTCCCCTCACCCCACAACAGGCCCTGGTGTGTGATGTTCTTCTTCCTGTGTCCATGTGTTCTCATTGTTCAGTTCCCACCTATGAGTGAGAACATGCGGTGTTTGGGTTTTTGTCCTTGCAATAGTTTGCTGAGAATGATGGTTTCCAGCTTCATCCATGTCCCTACAAAGGACATGAACTCATCATTTTTTTATGGCTGCATAGTATTCCGTGGTATATATGTGCCACATTTTCTTTATCAAGTCTATCATTGATGGACATTTGGGTTGGTTCCAAGTCTTTGCTATTGTGAATAGTGCCGCAATAAACATATGTGTGCATGTGTCTTTATAGCAGCATTATTTATAATCCTTTGGGTATATACCCAGTAATGGGATTGCTGGGTCAAATGGTATTTCTAGTTCTAGATCCCTGAGGAATCACCACACTGACTTCCACAATGGTTGAACTAGTTTACAGTCCCACCAACAGTGTAAAAGTGTTCCTATTTCTCCACATCCTCTCCAGCATCTGTTGTCTCCTGACTTTTTAATGATCGCCATTCTAACTGGTGTGAGATGGTATCTGATTGTGGTTTTGATTTGCATTTCTCTGATGGCCAGTGATGATGAGCGTTTTTTCATGTGTCTTTTGGCTGCATAAATGTCTTCTTTTGAGAAGTGTCTGTTTATATCCTTTGCCCACTTGTTGATGGGGTTGTTTGTTTTTTTCTTGTAAATTTGTTTGAGTTCATCGTAGATTCTGGATATTAGCCCTTTGTCAGATGAATAGATTGCAAAAATTTTCTCCCATTCTGTGGGTTGCCTGTTCACTCTGATGGTAGTTTCTTTTGCTGTGCAGAAGCTCTTTTAGTTTGATTAGATCCCATTTGTCAATTTTGGCTTCTGTTGCCATTGCTTTTGGTGTTTTAGACATGAAGTCCTTGCCCTTACCTATGTCCTGAATGGTATTGCCTAGGTTTTCTTCTAGGGTTTTTATGGTTTTAGGTCTAACATTTAAGTCTTTAATCCATCTTGAATTAATTTTAGTATACAGTGTAAGGAAGGGATCCAGTTTCAGCTTTCTACATATGGCTAGCCAGTTTTCCCAGCACCATTTATTAAATAGGGAATCCTTTCCCCATTTCTTGTTTTTATCAGGTTTGTCAAAGATGAGATGGTTGTAGATATGCGGCATTATTTCTGAGGGCTCTGTTCTGTTCCATTAGTCTATATCTCTGTTTTGATACAAATACCATGCTGTTTTGGTTACTGTAGCCTTGTAGTATAGTTTGAAGTCAGGCAGCATGATGCCTCCAGCTTTGTTCTTTTGGCTTAGGATTCACTTTGCAATGTGGGTTCTCTTTTGGTTCCATATGAACTTTAAGGTAGTTTTTTCCAATTCTGTGAAGAAAGTCATTGGTAGCTTGATGGGGATGGCATTGAATCTATAAATTACCTTGGGCAGTATGGCCATTTTCACAATATTGATTCTTCCTATCCATGAGCATGGAATGTTCTTCCATTTGTTTGTATCCTCTTTTATTTCATTGAGCAGCAGTTTGTAGTTCTCCTTGAAGAGGTCCTTCACATCCCTTGTAAGTTGGATTCCTAGGTATTTTATTCTCTTTGAAGCAATTGTGAATGGGAGTTCACTCATGATTTGGCTCTCTGTTTGTCTGTTGTTGGTGTATAAGAATGCTTGTGATTTTTGCATGTTGATTTTGCATCTTGAGACTTTGCCGAAGTTGCCTATCAGCTTAAGGAGATTTTGGGCTGAGACAATGGGGTTTTCTAAATATACAATCATGTCATCTGCAAACAGGGACGATTTGACTTCCTCTTTTCCTAATTGAATACCCTTTATTTCCTTCTCCTGCCTGATTGCCCTGGCCAGAACTTCCAACACTGTGTTGAATAGGAGTGGTGAGAGAGGGCATCCCTGTCTTGTGCCAGTTTTCAAAGGGAATGCTTCCCGTTTTTGCCCATTCAGTATGATATTGGCTGTGGGTTTGTCATAGATAGCTCTTATTATTTTGAGATACATCCCATCAGTACCTAATTTATTGAGAGTTTTTAGCATGAAGGGTTGTCGAATTTTGTCAAAGGCCTTTTCTGCATCTATTGAAATAATCATGTGGTTTTTGTCTTTGGTTCCGTTTATATGTTGGATTACGTTTATTGATTTTCGTGTGTTGAACCAGCCTTGCATCCCAGGGATGAAGCCCACTTGATCATGGTGGATAAGCTTTTTGATGTGCTGCTGGATTTGGTTTGCCAGTATTTTATTGAGGATTTTTGCATCGATGTTCATCAGGGATATCGGTCTAAAATTCTCTTTTTTTGTTTTGTCTCTGACAGGCTTTGGTATGAGGATGATGCTGGCCTCATAAAATGAGTTAGGGAGGATTCCCTCTTTTTCTATTGATTGGAATAGTTTCAGAAGGAATGGTACCAGTTCCTTCTTGTACCTCTGGTAGAATTCGGCTGTGAATCCATCTGGTCCTGGACTTTTTTTTGCTTGGTAAGGTATTAATTATTGCCTCAATTTCAGAGCCTGTTATTGGTCTATTCAGAGATTCAACTTCTTACTGGTTTAGACTTGGGAGAGTGTATGTGTCCAGGAATTTATCCATTTCTTCTAGATTCTCTAGTTTGAGTAGAGGTGATTATAGTATTCTCTGATGGTAGTTTGTATTTCTGTGGGATTGGTGGTGATATCCCCTTTATCATTTTTTATTGCATCTATTTGATTCTTCTCTCTTTTCTTCTTTATTAGTCTTGCTAGTGGTCTATCAATTTTGTTGATCTTTTCAAAAAACCAGCTCCTGGATTCATTGATTTTTTGAAGGGTTTTTTTGTGTCTCTATTTCCTTCAGTTCTGTTCTGATCTTAATTATTTCTTGCCTTCTGTTAGCTTTTGAATGTGTTTGCTCTTGCTTCTCTAGTTCTTTTAATTGTGATGTTAGGGTGTCAATTTTAGATCTTTCCTGCTTTGTCATGTGGGCATTTAGTGCTATAAATTTCCCTCTACACAGTGCTTTGAATGTGTCCCAGAGATTCTGGTATGTTGTGTCTTTGTTCTCATTGGTTTCAAAGACCATCTTTATTTCTGCCTTCATTTCATTATGTACCCAGTAGTCATTCAGGAGCAGGTTGTTCAGTTTCCATGTAGTTGAGCGGTTTTGAGTGAGTTTCTTAATCCTGAGTTCTAGTTTGATTGCACTGTGGTCTGAGAGACAGTTTGTTATAATTTCTGTTCTTTTACATTTGCTGAGGAGTGCTTTACTTCCAACTATGTGGTCCATTTTGGAATAAGTGAGGTGTGGTGCTGAGAAGAATGTGTATTCTGTTGATTTGGGGTGGAGAGTTCTGTAGTTGTCTATTAGGTCCACTTGGTGCAGAGCTGAGTTCAATTCCTGGATATCCTTGTTAACTTTCTGTCTCGTTGATCTGTCTAATGTTGACAGTGGGGTGTTAAAGTCTCCCATTATTATTGTGTGGTAGTCTAAGTCTCTTTGTAGGTCTCTAAGGACTTGCTTTATGATTCTGGGTGCTCCTGTATTGGGTGCATATATATTTAGGATAGTTAGCTCTTCTTGTTGAATTGATCCCTTTACCATTATGTAATGGCCTGCTTTGTCTCTTTTGATCTTTGTTGGTTTAAAGTCTGTTTTATCAGAGACTAGGACTGCAACCCCTGCCTTTTTTTGTTTTCCATTTGCTTGGTAGATCTTCCTCCATCCCTTTATTTTGAGCCTATATGTGTCTCCGCATGTGAGATGGGTTTCCTGAATACAGCCCATTGATTGGTCTTGACTCTTTATCCAATTTGCCAGTCTGTGTCTTTTAATTGGAGCATTTAGCCCATTTACATTTAAAGTTAATATTGTTATTTGTGAATTTGATCCTGCCATTATGATGTTAGCTGGTTATTTTGCTTGTTAGTTGATTCAGTTTCTTCCTAGCCTGGATGGTCTTTACAATTTGGCATGTTTTTGCAGTGCTGGTACTGGTTGTTCCTTTCCATGTTTAGCGCTTCCTTCAGGAGCTCTTTTAGGGCAGGCCTGGTGGTGACAAAATCTCTCAGCATTTGCTTGTCTGTAAAGGATTTTATTTCTCCTTCACTTATGAAGCTTAGTTTGGCTGGATATGAAATTCTGGGTTGAAAATTCTTTTCTTTAAGAATGTTGAATATTGGCCCCCACTCTCTTTTGGCTTGTAGAGTTTCTGCCGAGAGATCCGCTGTTAGTCTGATGGGCTTCCCTTTGTGGGTAACCCGACCTTTCTCTCTGGCTGCCCTTAACATTGTTTCCTTCATTTCAACTTTGGTGAATCTGACAATTATGTGTCTTGGAGTTGCTCTTCTCGAGGAGTATCTTTGTGGCATTCTCTGTGTTTCCTGAATTTGAATGTTGGCCTTCCTTGCTAGATTGGGGAAGTTCTCCTGGATAATATCCTGCAGAGTGTTTTCCAACTTGGTTCCATTCTCCCCATCACTTTCAGGTACACCAATCACACGTAGATTTGGTCTTTTCACATAGTCCCATATTTCTTGGAGGCTTTGTTCGTTTCTTTTTATTCTTTTTTCTCTAAACTTCTCTTCTTGCTTCATTTGATTCATTTGATTTTCCATCACTAATACCCTTTCTTCCAGTTGATCGAATCGGCTACTGAGGCTTGTGCATTCGTCACGTAGTTCTCGTGCCTTGGTTTTCACCTCCATTAGGTCCTTTAAGGACTTCTCTGCACTGGTTATTCTAGTTAGCCATTCGTCTAGTTTTTTTTTTCAAGGTTTTTAACTTCTTTGCCATGGGTTCGAACTTCCTCCTGCAGCTTGGAGTAGTTTGATCATCTGAAGCCTTCTTTTCTCAACTTGTCAAAGTCATTCTCCATCCAGCTTTGTTCTGTTGCTGGTGAGGAGCTGCGTTCCTTTGGAGGAGGAGAGGCACTCTGATTTTTAGAGTTTCCAGTTTTTCTGCTCTGTTTTTTCCCCATCTTTGTGGTTTTATCTACCTTTGGCCTTTGATGATGGTGACGTACAGATGGGGTTTTGGTGTGGATGTTCTTTCTGTTTGTTAGTTTTCCTTCTAACAGTCAGGACCCTCAGCTGCAGGTCTGTTGGAGTTTGCTGGAGGTCCACTCCAGACCCTGTTTGTCTGGGTATCAGCAGCAGAAGCTGCAGAACAGCAGATATTGGTGAGCAGCAAATGTTCCTGCCTGATCGTTCCTCTGGAAGTTTTGTCTCAGAGGAGTAGCTGGCTGTGTGAGGTGTCAGTCTGCCCCTACTGGGAGGTGCCTCCCAGTGAGGCTACTTGGGGGTCAGGGACCCACTTGAGTAGGCAGTCTTTCTGTTCTCAGATCTCCAGCTGCGTGCTGGGAGAACCACTACTCTCTTCAAAGCTGTCAGACAGGGACATTTAAGTCTGCAGAGGATTCTGCTGCCTTTTGTTTGGCAATGCCCTGCCTCCAGAGGTGGAGTCTGCAGAGGCAGGCAGGCCTCCTTGAGCTGTGGAGGGCTCCACCCAGATGGAGCTTCCTGACCCCTTTGTTTACCTACTCAAGCCTTGGCAATGGCGGGCACCCCTTCCCTAGGCTCGCTGCTCCTTTGCAGTTTGATCTCAGGCTGCTGTGCTAGCAATGAGTGAGGCTCTGTGGGTGTAGGACCCCCGAGCCAGGCGTGGGATATAATCTCTTGGTGTGCCATTTGCTATGACCGTTGTAAAAGTGCAGTATTGGGGTGGGAGTGAACCGATTTTCCAGGTGCCATCTGTCACCCCTTTCTTTGACTAGGAAAGGGAATTCCCTGACCCCTTGCGCTTCCTGGGTGAGGCAATGCCTGGCCCTGCCTCGGCTCACATACGGTGTGCTGCACCCACTGTCCTGCACCCACTTTCCGACACTCACCAGTGAGATGAACCCGGTACCTCGGTTGGAAACGCAGAAATCACCCATCTTCTGCGTTGCTCACGCTGGGAGCTATAGACTGGAGCTGTTCCTATTCGGCCATCTTCCTTGTTCATTTTCTTACTTTGCCTCTGTCTTTTTCTGTCTCATAGCTTCTGCTTAAAGTGTCTTAGATTCATTCAGCCTTGGCATTTATCTTCCTTTGCTCGTTACACAGTTCTTTCGTTTTCTTAGTTCACATTCCTGAGAGAATCTGTTTGACTTGTGTATCGGTCAAAATAAGCTAACTTATGTTGAAATAATAGAAATGACCCACATTATTATTTCTTATTCATGCTACTTGTGCATCGTGGGTTGATTGGGGGCTCTGTTCCATATTGTCTTCATTCAGGATTTAGATTGCAGTCATAATTTGAAGCATTGCAGAAAAAAACATCATGCATGTGTACAGCTTTCAATCAAAAGTTACGTATCACCTTGGCTTATATTTCATTGATCAAAGCAAGTTATCTGGCTACAGAGGACATTAATGAGATAAGGAAGTATAATTCTTCCATATGCCCTGGAAAAGAACTGTGATTATAGAGTGGGTGTTGTGACTCACGCCTGTAATCCCAGCACTTTGGGAGGCCAAGGTGGGCAGATCACCTGAGGTCAGGAGTTCGAGACCAGCCTGGCCAATGTGGTGAAACCCTGTCTCTACTAAAAATACAAAAAATTAGTCAGCCATGGTGGTGGGCACCTGTAATCCCAGCTACTCTGGAGGCTGAGGAAGGCGAATTCCTTGAACTGGGGAGGCAGAAGTTGCAGTGAGCCGAGGTTGCGCCATTGCACTCCAGCCTGGGCAACAAGAGTGAAACTCTGTCTCAAAAAAGACAAACAAACAAACAAACAGAAACAAATCTACGATTATTTGATGAAAACACTAGTGACTCTTACAGTTAGCCCCCCTAGCTACTAGGCATTCACTTCATTTTTGTTTCCTACCCAGAATACACACTTTGTCTTCATAAAAAAATTGTATGGGAGGAATTATGTATTTGTAGTCTTAACCAGGTGACATCTGGTAACTTCCTCCTTTAGCTTGCATCCCAGAATGAGAAGACCTGTGAAGAGGACCTGCAGCGTTGAGCAGAGCTTTACTCAGCCCTTAACTTTTGTTTAGTATGAACAAAAAAATAACTATTTGGTGTGGTAAGTCACTGAGATTTTGGGATTGTTATTATCAGCAAGAGCTGACTTAACACAATGAGTTTTGGAGTAAGACCACCTGGGCTGAGTGTTAAGTATGCTTGTTTTGTGATTTTTGCATCAGTTTAAGTTCTCTGAGGCTGGGTTTCTTTATCTGTAAAATGATGTTAATAATGCCTATCTCACAGTTATGATGTGAGGATTAAAGTGGATGACTTTTGTAAAATGCTCAGGGTAGCACTCAACACATGAGAAGAATTCAATAAATGTCATTTCCCTTTCCTTTACTTTCCACCTTGCTGTCCCTGTTGGTAGAGTTATTCAAGTGCATGATTACTTGTTAAAAACCTCATAGAAAGGAATCAGCTGTGAGATTAGGAATTGAATAAAATGATCTTATTAGGTGGACATTTTTAGCCCAAATTTAAGAATTTCTTCTTGAAGAGAATCTAAGATGCTCTTATAACTGATCTTTTTCACAAATGGCAGGTTCCTGTACAGTGATAAACTAGATTTTTAAACTGAGCTAACTAGACCACACTACAACATACCTGGCTTATGAAATGGGAGGGCTGAAGTCTGTAGGGCTGCCCGGAAACTCAGGTAAGAGTTGAAGTTGTAATCTTGAGTCTGAAATTCATAGGGAAGGCCTCCATGCAGGAAACTTGGGCAGGATTTCTATATTACAATATTGAGGCAGAATTCCTTCTTCAAAAACATGTTTTTGCTTTTAAGGCCTTGAGCTGGTGGGATGAGAGCCAGCCATGTTATCCAGGGTACTTTCCCTTTACTTAAAGTCAGCTGATTGTCAATTGTTAATCATCTCTACAAAACCTTCACAGTGCCACCTCGATTAGTATTTGACCAACTAACTAGGCATCATTATGTAGCCAAGCTGACACATAAAAATTAAGCACCCCTAGGTGAAAAGGTACTGCCTGCAGCAGAAGAGGGTGTGAGGGGCACAGAGCCCCCTCCTGGTCATGAAACATTGAAGTCATGCTTCACCTAGTCATGAAGCATTAAAGGTTGTGGCAGCCTTGTTCTCCATGCTTTTTCAGTACATTTGATGTTGTATGGTGGGGGCAGGAGCATATAAGCCAGTGCAAATGGTTTTTGTTGCGGTCTCCATACAGACCAGGGGTCTATTTTTTTTTTTTTTCAAACTTGAAAGAAAAGTAGAACATTTTACTTATACTTAGAGCTAAAAGTGGCTTGTTAGATATCAGAGAGTGTACTGAATTAGAAAAAATGTTCTAATTTGCCACCAACAGAAAAGTTAGGAACATGTTTAACTTGATGGAGTGCTTAATTTAGTGATAGTTTTTGGTGAGCTTTTGGAAAGCTTTACTAGGATTTTAGGAATATGCCTGAGTCTCAGTAAGCTTCTCCTTAGAGAATTGAAGAGTCTCTGCAATTCCACAGAAGGCAGTACTTCCGAAAACCATCAAAAGGATATTATTCTGTAATGCTCGTAAGTTCTGTCTTTAGCCAGTTAAATATGATATCTACTGGATTTTAAATGACTGCCATTTTAAAGAATGTCTTTTAAGAGTTTACTGATTTAAGTCTTTTGATAGGCCTGTCTTATGGCTGTCATCCTGATTTAAAAAAAAAAAAAAAAGCTTTTCAATTGAACTTTCAGGTTGACCACTAGTTATAACTTCTAAAATCTCTATGGATTTGATTTACTGCAAAAGTAATATCATTAATTTTATAAGACTACTTCTAAGCTGTGTTTTCCTTGCTTTTGGATTTTCCCTATGACAAATGGAGAAGGACTGCTAACCAAGTTTTATTGGGGTAAGATCAATTTTATGAAGCCTGATGACTTCTTATTCTAAATTTTACCTGAGCAATGTTCCAGCTTAACTGAACGGTTCATAATATTGAGTGACTCTCTTGTCAGCTCTTTATTGATTAATGACACAGATAAAAAAGATGTACCTTGTCACAGGAGGATTAGAATCAAGGAAACTAGAAGTCTCTCATCTCATCTCAAGACAGATAAAAGTCTATATTTAAGGATGATACGATCCATGAAAGAGAAGGAAAAGTCAGGGTTTAGTTAAGCAATGTGGAGATGAGAGGAGGGATAAGGAAAGAGAAAGCTCATGCAGAGATACTGTTTTGAAGATAACTCGTGGGGAAGAAATGGGCAGTCGTCTGGGCAGCCAGCAAAACCTATTCCATGAACCCTTGGTAAGTAAGTGGCTTTGATGACATAGTGGAAAGATGAGCACTGTTACTGGCTGTCTTGTTGTTTAGCTGTCAGAAAAGATTGTGCTGCTTCCTACATCTGCTCTCACATGCTCCTTCACCTGCTCTGTCTTACTGAGATGGATAAACCTTGTAGTTCAGGACTGTCAAGGGCACTGCAATTAGTACTAAATCATCCTCGCTCTGACAAGTTCTGGCAACAGAAGTTTCTGGCAGATGTGTAAGTGCATTTTCAGTGTTTCCTGAGTGTCTGAAGGCATAGCAGAGCCCTCCATACACTGTGCAACTTAATTCGATAGTGAATTCAATGCAAGTTTAGAACAGGAGAAATATTAGAAATAAAGATGGGCTGTTGTTTTTTGCAAGTCATGATCAACTTTGTTTAATTTTCAATGTATGTATCTTTAATAAGGTAATAGGAAATCCATGTTTCATCTTGAAACTCCAGAAAGGGTTTTTATATATAAATGTTGCTGTACCTCAGATGCTGGTGTACTTCAAATACTTCTTCCCAGAATCGAATTAGCTAGTTTTGGAAGAGCATATAAATAATAGTGATCAAAGAATATACCTAGTAGCTAGAAAATAAGAAATGATCACTGAGAAATTAAAACATTATGGATTTAAAATGTTGGTCTAACATGAAAGACAGCTCTAGAGCAGTGGTTAAAAGCCCTGGCTCTGGGACCAGACTATGTGGAGTTAGATACCTTTGCCTTTATTATTTAAGCACTCCAAACATTTCTTTTTCTGCAACCCAAGGGTAGTAACATACAGGCAAAAGGATTAAATGAGATATTAGGTTAAAAGATGACTGACACAGGTATCTGTCCAGTGCATGTTGGTTGTCTTTATGATGGTGATGAAGATGAGACTTCCATTTTCCATGCTCAAGTAAGTCAAAATGAGTGCAGAAAGCTGGATAAACATAGATTGTTTGTAACCATTTTGGCAAAAAAATCACAGGAGAGTGTGGTAAAAGATTAAAATAAAACCTAAGGAGGTATAAAATGATGAAGGTATTAGAAATCCTATCTCTACAAAAATCGAGGAAATGGAGAAAAGATAATTTGTGGACTTTCAGAATAATTTGTTAGCATTTTCAGTTTTATGCATTTGAATATGGTTTTGGATTTGCAAAACTATTGTCCTGAAACTTTTGAATTAATGTTGTAATTGTGTACTAGTGTTTTATCCTATTTCACAGAAGTCCCATGGACATTAGATAAATGAGATTAATTAGCCTCTTTGTTACCAGTTGTCAGAACTATAAAGAATCCTTTCATGTGTCTGGCCTAACCATGATATTGGATTTGGTCAGGGGTTATGTAGGTGTTTGTTTTCTTAGTTTGGTTCTTTGTGATCTGGCTGTAACCTTAGTCTTAGGCTGCCATAGTAGAAGAGCTCTGTTGTAGGGAGTATTTCCTTTGTTGCTTAAGAGAACCCCACTTACCTGGAGCTGCTGTCTCGACTGTGTCTTCTTTTTGTGATATGGCTAATGTGCGAGAGTCACCCAGTTGCTGTAGAAGTTTTTATTCCCTCTATTATTTTTAACAAAACTCTGATGTTAGTTCTTCAGTTATTATCTGATTCCTCTTGAAAGTAGAGTCTTTAACAAATACAAAAAAAGGAAGCTTCCAGTTAATCAAGATTTAACTGCTTCGTAGAGAAGCTGAGAGCTGTTAAAACAAATGTAGTCGGACATCCCCTGCTACGTGCTACTCTTTAGTTTCTGGTTCATTATGTCACATGTTAGTATTGTTTATATCAGAGCAGGCTTGTGTTCAACAGTGAGAAGTGAGCTAGCTGTTTCAGGGTGTTAAGACAGTTTTGGCTTTTGGGCAGATTAAATAAATGGGATCTTCTAAGTGGCAGAGGGGTGGTGGGAAAAGCACTGGCTCGGAAATCTAGAACTGAGTTCTAGTTCTGGTTTTGTTGGTGACTACCAGCATGTGATATCCACAACTAGAAAATGAGGCGAGGCTGGGCATGGTGGCTCATGCCTATAATCCTAGTGCTTTGGGAGGCCAAGGCAGGAGGATCGCTTGAGGCGAGGAGTTTGATACCAGTTTGGGCAACATGGTGAGACCCCCGTCTCTACAAAAAATAAAAAATTAGCCAGGTGTGGTGGCCTGCAGCTGTTGTCCTAGCTACTCAGGTGGCTGAGCTGGGAGGATCACTTGAGCTTAGGAGATCAAGGCTGCAGTGAGCTGTGATTATACTACTGCAGCCCAGCCTGGGTGACAGAGCGAGCCCCTATCTCTAAAACAAAACAAAACCAAGAAAATAAAGGAGATTGGCTAGATAATATCTCTGGTTGTTTCTATCTTTAATTATTTATCCTGATTTGGTTCTATGATTCAAAAAACCATTTTTTAGGAGATGGAGGGAAGGAGAAATGCCACCAAATGCCTTTTAAAGCATCTTCAGAGATTTCAAACCTGTCTGACCTTCTTTACATTAGGGCACTGAAACACATGGGAGTACCAGGCATTAACAGCATCTCAAACCCACGCAAGCTATATTCCTCACACAGAGGTTCCCATCTTCAGATGGTGGTGGTGCCATCCCGGGGTGGGTTAGCTGGCTGGTTAAAGAAATGTGGCCTACTCACTGGTCTTGAATCAGCATTCCTTGTGTGGTTTGGAAGTCTTTTTATGATCGAGTCCCTGCCTCTTCCTCTCCAGTTGTGCTGGCCTTCTTTTAGTTGCTGGAATGCTGAGTGCTTCCTCCTGACATAAGATCTTCTTTATCCTTGCTACTCTCTTTGCCAGGAATGCTCTTTGCACCTCCCTCAGTCGAATGCTGTTTGTTGTGGCACCTCTCTCAGTTAGCTAACTCCTACTCACTTTCCGGGTCTTCCCTCAAAAGGGCCATTCCCCTGATCTGCCTGACTTGGTCACTTGTCCTTATTATGCACACTCTCAGTGCCATGTAATAATGTCACGTTTGTTTGTGTGGTTACTTGATTAGTCCGTTCCTTCCCCGATATTCTGTAAGCTCCGAGAATGCAGATCACATGCTTTGCTGTCTTTTGTATTTCTTTTTTTCCTTTTCTTTTCCCCCCGAGATGGAGTCTTGCTCTGTCACCCAGGCTGGAGGGCAATGGCGTGATCTCAGCTCACTTCAACCTCCGTCTCCCAGGTTCAAGTGATTCTCCTTCCTCAGCCTCCCAAGTAGCTGGAATTACAGGCACGTGCCACCACACGTGGCTAATTTTTATGTTTTCAGTAGAGATAGGGTTTCACCATGTTGGCTAGGCTGTCTTGAACTCCTGATCTCATGATCTGCCCACCTCGACCCCCCAGTGTGTTGAGATTACAGGCATGAGCCACCACGCCCGGCCTCCCTTTTGTATTTCTGGTGCCTAACTCAGTGACTGGAACCTAATAGGTACTCAGTGTAGATGGGTTGAATGAATAAATAAGCCAGCTACCAAAGCCTCTTGACTTGGAATAAATTATGATAATAATGATAACAACCACCACAATAACAGCAGATATTTATTATGTACTTCCTGTGTGCCAGGCACTATTCTCCTCCTCTCCATCATCATCATTGTTTCCAAAATCACCATTACCACCACTTTTTGAATAGTTACTGTGCAGAGTACTTCATGTGTTATTACATTTAATCTTAACAGTATACTTTAAGGTAGGTACTATTACCGTCCCTCTTTTTCAGATAAGAAAGTTGAGACTCAGAAATTTAATAAATGGCTTATTAACTCAGGAATTCTAGGTCCCTAGTATTTACATCCTTGGCAACTATGTCTTTATAGTTGGGATTATTATAGGAAAAAGTCAGGAGCTTGCTGTAACATTTGCTACTCTGATCATTGTAACACAATGTAATTTCATGTAGGTCCACCACTACAGTAAGAGTGTAGTGGATATCTTATCACTTATTAGATGCTACCCAGCATCTAATTTCCTGGGAAATTCCTATGTGTGGAAATCCCTTCTCCCTTCCGTGAAGACAGAGCCTCCCTTCTATTAAGCTGAAAATGTCAGACACTTGCTTTCTCAGCTTTTCTTGTAGCTAGGGTATGGGCGTATGATGCATTTGCCCCAGTTTCTGAATCAGAAGCTAGTGACACAAAGAAGTTACCAGGGAGAGAATCCATTCTGCTGAAGTTAGGCAGGAGCAGCAGCTATACTGGGTTTCCAGACAGGACTGTCAGACAATCTAGAGGTAGCATCCAGGGCCCAGAGTTAGTGGTACAGACTCTAGGGTTGTGGTTTCTTCACGGAACCTGTTTTAAGGCATGATTTTGGACTTTGTCGCAGATCTGGATGTCCAAAAGGCAGTATAAAGCATGGACTCTCGTGCTAGACTGACTGGGTTCATATCCCAGCTTTTATCTCAGCTCTGCCACTTACCAGTCTTGTAACCGTGCTTGAGGTGGTTAGTTAACCTCTGTGTGCCTCAGGTCCCTCAAATGTAAGAAGGGGAAATAATAGCATGTACCTCATAGGCTTCTTTTGAGGATTAGGTGACTTATTTAAAGTAAAACTCTTAGGACAGAGTCCGGCATACTTATTGTAATGTACATTAGTGCTTTCTATCATTTTTTTTTCTTGATAATGATTCTTTTTTTTTATAATTATACTTATAAGTTCTGGGATACATGTGCAGAACGTGCAGGTTTGTTACATAGGTATACACATATCATGGTGGTTTGCTGCACCCATCAACCTGTCATCTACATTAGGTTTTTCTTCTAATGCTATCCCTCCCCCAGCTCCCCACCCCCTGACAGGCCCCGGTGTGTGATGTTCCCCTCCCTGTGTCCATGTGTTCTCGTTGTTCAGTTCCCACTTATGAGTGAGAACATGAGGTGTTTGGTTTTCTGTTCCTGTGTTAGTTTGTTGAGGATGATGGTTTCCAGCTTCATCCATCTCCCTGCAAAAGACATGAACTTATCCTTTTCTATGGCTGCATACTATTCCATGGTGTATATGTGCCACATTTTCTTTATCAAGTCTATCATTGATGGACATTTGGGTTGGTTCCAAGTCTTTGCTATTGTGAACAGTGCTGCAATAAACATACATGTGCATGTGTCTTTATAGTAGAATGATTTATAATCCTTTGGGTATATACCCAGTAATGGGATCGCTGGGTCAAATGGTATTTGTGATTCTAGATCCATAAGGAATTGCCACACTGTCTTCCACAATGGTTGAACTAATTTACACTCCCACAAACAGTGTAAAAGCGTTCCTATTTCTCCACATCCTCTCCAGCATCTGTTGTTTCCTGACTTTTTAAGGATTGTCATTCTAACTGGTGTGAGATGGTATCCCATTGTGGTTTTGATTTGCATTTCTCTAATGACCAGTGCTGATGAGCTTTTTTCATATGTATGTTGGCTGCATAAATGCCTTCTTTTGAGAAGTGTCTGTTCATATCCTTCGCCCACTTTTTGAAGGGATTGTTTTTTTCTTGTAAATTTGTTTAAGTTCTTTGTAGATTCTGGATATTAGCTGTTTGTCAGATGGATAGATTGCAAACATTTTCTGTCATTCTGTAGGTTGCCTGTTCACTCTGATGATAGTTTCTTTTGCTGTGCAGAAGCTCTTTAGTGTAATTAGATCCCATTTGTTGGCTGGGCGCAGTGGCTCACGCCTGTAATCCCAGCACTTTGGCAGGCTGAGGCAGGCTGATCACCTCAGGTCGGAAGTTAAGAGACCAGCCTGACCAAATGGAGAAACGCTGTCTCTACCTAAAATACAAAATTAGCCAGGCATGGTGGCACACCCGTATAATCCCAGCTACTAGGAGAATCGCTTGAACCTGGGAAGCGGAGGTTGCAGTGAGCCAAGATTGTGCCATTGCACTCCAGCCTGGGCAACAAGAGTGAAACTCCATCTCAAAAAAAAAAAAAAAGAAAAGAAAAAAAGATCCCATTTGTTAGTTTTGGCTTTTGTTGCCATTGCTTTTGTTTCAGTCATGAAGTCTTTGCCCATCATGCCTATGTCCTGAATGGTATTGCCTAGGTTTTCTTCTAGGGTTTTATGGTTTTAGGTCTTATGTTTAAGTCTTTAATCCATCTTGAGTTAATTTTTGTGAAAGGTGTAAGGAAGGGGTCCAGTTTCAGTTTTCTGCATATGGCTGGCTAGTTTTTTCAACACTATTTTTTAAATAGGGAATCCTTTCCCCATTGCTTGTTTTTGTCAGGTTTGTCAAAGCTGAGATGTTTATAGATGTGTGGTGTTATTTGTGAGGCCTCTGTTTTGTTCCATTGATCTATATATCTCTTTTGGTACCAATACCATGCTGTTTTGGTTACTGTAGCCGTATAGTATAGTTTGAAGTCAGGTAGCATGTTGCCTCCAGCTTTGTTCTTTTTGCTTAGGATTGTCTTGGCTGTACAGGCTCTTTTTTGGTTCCATGTGAAATTTAAAGTAGTTTTTTTCTAATTCTGTGAAGAACGTAAACGGTAGCTTGATGAGGATAGCATTGAATATATAAATTACTTTGGGCAGCATGGCCATTTTCATGATATTGATTCTTCATATTCATGAGCATGGAATGTTTTTCCATTTTTTTTGTGTCCTCCTTGAGTTCCTTGAGCAGTGGTTTGTAGTTCTCCTTCAAGAGGTCCTTCACATTCCCTTGGAAGTTGTATTCCTAGGTATTTAATTCTCTTTGTAGCAGTTGTGAATGGAAGTTCACTCATGGTTTGGCTGTTTGTCTGTTATTGGTATATAGGAATGCTTGTGATTTTTGCACATTGATTTTGTATCCTGAGACTTTGCTGAAGTTGCTCATCAGCTTAAGGAGATTTTGGGCTGAGATGATGATGGGATTTTCTAAATATACAATTACGTCATCTGCAAACAGAGGCAATTTGACTACCTCTCTTCCTATTTGAATACCCTTTATTTCTTTCTCTTGCCTGATTTCCCTAGCCAAAACTTCCAATACTATGTTGAATAGGAATGGTGAGGGAAGGCATCCTTGTCTTGCGCCGATTTTCAAAAGGAATGCTTCCAGTTTTTGCCCATTCCGTATGATATTGGCTGTGGGTTTGTCATAAATAGCTCTTATTATTTTGTGATACGTTCCATCAATACCTAGTTTATTGAGAGTTTTTAGTATGAAGAAGTGTTGAATGTTATCGAAAGCCTTTTCTGCATCTATTGAGATAACTGTGTGGTTTTTGTCTTTGGTTCTGTTTATGTGATGGATTACGTTTATTGATTTTCGTGTGTTGAACCAGCCTTGCATCCCAGGGATGAAGCCAAGTTTATTGTGCTGTATAAGGTTTTTGATGTGCTGCTGGATTCGGTTTGCCAGTATTTTATTGAAAATTTTTGCATCGATGTTCATCAGGGATATTAGCCTGAAATTTTCTTTTTTTGTTGTGTCTCTGCCAGGTTTTGGTATCAGGATGATGTTGGCCTCATAATATGGCCCAGGGGTTTGGGGCCCCCGTTCTAAGTACTTACTATTTTTAGCAAATATTTTGTCTGATTAAATTTATTAGTTGGTGTATGTCACTGACAACTTAGAACCCTGACTAATATATACAGCCCATACTTAGTGGATAACTATGTGTGGGATATAGTATAATCATGGGTTTCCTTTTAGGAGGGGATTTATAGAACCATTTCTTCATGTATGTTCAGGGCCAAGGCTAATGTTATTTTTATTAAATGCCCAAGTCATTTGCTCTCTAGTTTATTTCAGGTTGATTTATTTCATTGAAGACCTTAGGCCTTGACTCCAGGCTTGTTGCAATTTTTGTTTGTAAGCCCTGAAACAGAGATTCTATTCTCCCTGAGGGAGAAATGGTTATGAAGAGAGCTTCTCATGTTAGGATGTAGTGGCTGGTGTCAGGCAGTGATTTCCTTATCATCACCGTTGTGATTATCTTGGTATACATATATTGCTGATAATTGATATTCTGTATGAAAAGCCTGTTTAACTCACTTCTCATCCCAAGTGAAGGGCCATCCTGAGCCTGAGTTTCCCTCTGGAACTCTCTTTATGTTGCTGAGAAGCACAGTGCCTCCTGGCAGATTAGCTTTCAGTCTGTGAAAGCAGATACTTTCAAATGGGAAAATGTCATGCAAGGTGAACTTTGGTATTTTCACAGCAGGCAAATTCTTAGCACCCTCAGTATAAAAACACTAGTGAATCACGTTTATGGTTTTGTAACCATTACAATGAGAACAGACAGTGACATTCAAATCTCGGAAAATTGAACCCTTGATATTGATTGTTAATGTGGAAAACTTGAAGAAGCAGGTAGAACACTGTGATCTTACGATGTGAATTCTCTAATCAGAGCATACAGATCAGTCAAATATATGACTTATTGATTTTTGGAGAAACAAGCTAATTTGTATGCAAGATATGAAAATACTAGAAGTTTTCGCCCTTGATTCAGAATAAGCAATGAGAGTCAAGGTCTTATGCAGTAAATTTGAAGTTATGTTAAGTAGTATATACTTTCAATATTTTAACAGAAGGGATCATCAGTTTTCTCATACATGTAGCTACATATTTAAAACAGTATTATTTGCATTTATATTTTAATTTCTGTTTTATCTCATATTAATTTATTAATACAGATGTAATGCTATTAAGAACCAAGCATACTATTCTAAATATCTAAAAGATCTCCACCACACAGAATTATAAACTTCTGCTGCCCACATTTGAACATACTTCTTTTCTGCAGTCTCATCTCTGTAAACTTTGCTCACTTAAAAAACTACTCATTTAGAGCTTTATCTCCAATTTCTAGTACTTTGGAGGCTAAAAATGCAGTTGGCTGAGTTACCCTGACCTGTTAAAGCAGTCTTTCCATTTTAACTTAAGTTCACCTTAAGAAACATAGATTATCGTTGGACAAATGGTGTTGGATGAATTCTGCTTCCTAAAACAATAATGTAAGTAGATTAGTATTTGAGCGTTGTGGCATTTTATCAGAACAATTTAAATTTCCCCCCAATCTCTTCAATCACATCTTACAAATATTTGAAAACAATTATTTCCTCACTCTGGATAACCCTGTTGTACTTGCAGCCTCTCCTCCTTGCGACCTTCTTTTCTCCTTGGTGCTGTGTTCTGCAGCTGGCTCTTCATTTAAATTCCACCACAAATTAGTTGGCTTGGGTTTTTAGTGTTCTGCTTTAAGTAAGAGGGGCCTCTCCCCCTCTCCCCTCTCCCCCTCTCCCCTCTCCCCCTCTCCCCTCTCCCCCTCTCCCCTCTCCCCGTCTCCCTCTCTTTTTTTGGCAAAGAGTAATCTTTAGGCAGTCGTAGCTTCTCCCAAAGCTTAAGACTAGAGCATTGCTGCTTAGGTAGAATAATGTGTAGAGAGAACTGTCATGTTTCAGAATGACTTTGAGAAACCCCAAATCCCAAAATTGTTTTAATCTTTAAATGACGTTGAGATTTTTATATCAAAAGTATTAAATAATTGTATGTAGCCTTTTGTTGGTAGATATTCTAATTTGGTAGGATTAAAACACATTGTCCTTTAAAAGCTTACTAGTTATAGCTAGTTTTAGTTACAGCCTACATCTTGTATTTTCATTTTTATGGTTCAAATAGTGCCTGAATTCTAGATTTGCATGAAAACCATGCTTTCTTCTCAGCGTTTGGCACTTTAGTTGTCCCTCCCTGCCAACTACCCTCTCTACGTACGTATACACTTCAGAGGTTAAATAAGAGGAAGCTAGAATGAGTCCGAATAGTAGATTATAAGGCACAATTACAGTATTAAAATCTCATTCATCTCTGCTCCATTTTTGAAAGAGCATTGGTGGGAAATTATAATTATAGCAATAGCTGAGTTGGCTCCTTGTGACACAGATTTATAATGTTAGATATTAGGGATACTTATTTTTTTTTTTCCATCCAAAGTCTAATTTTCCGAGTCCCTTGGAATTTTAGATCTTGCCTTTCTCCAGGGACCATCTGGTTTGGAAAAGGTACAAAGACTGTGAGCTGTGGTATGGGCATGTGGAAGAGATACTAGCACAAGGCACTAAACAAATAGAGGAGAGAGATGGCTAAGGCAGAAAGAGCAGGAGAGCCAAGGGGAGGGAGTTAATAAGGCAAGAACAATAAAAAAGGGTGGTTGGTGAAGAAGGTGTTGTGGTGAAAAGGAAGAGGAGATTGAGGAGAGAGAATGTAGAGAAAAATAAATGGTGATAAAAGGATGGAGGGAGAATGGATTCAAAGGCAGAAAAATTAGTAATAAAAGAGCAGTTAAAGGAGAGGAGGAAGTAGAGAGTAGAGGAGGGTGAGGAAAGGAAGGTTAGAAAGGTGGTGAGGAAGGAAGAAAGAAATGGATTGACTCCATATCCAGTGTTCTGCTAACATTGGTGGTAGTCACTGCTGTTAGCTACATGGTCTGTTTATATTGAAGGTGAAATCACAGCAGTATAGGGCAGATCAAGTGGCGTTTAATGCTTCACAGTTCCTGGAGGTGAATGGATGAACAATGAATGATTTGCATCTTTTTACTTTTGTAAAGAGTCATGAAGTTAAACAGAATTAAGTGAATCATCAAATCACCTTGTTTTCCTCTGAAAAAAAATGAAGTATATGCTTTGGAAAGAGAATTTATTTGTGTAGCAATAACAGTTTATTAAATACATGAAAAGTTGAATTTTACATATTTCATTCAAGATAGGAGAAAAAAGAAAACTTAAGCTAAACTTTTAAAAGATGAAAGGTATTATAAAGCAGCTTTTGGTGACATTTATTGTGGAGCCCTTGTTTTGAGATACGCGGTTTTTTTTTGAGAACTGTTGTTGCTGACCAGGGAATATTTTAAAACTAGAAACAGGACCTTCATTAACTTGGAGTTATTCAGAAGTCAGCTGCTATTTAGATGATTTTTGATGTAGGGTAGAGGGAGAGACCTCAAGGATATACCTGAAACTGTGCACTTTGGCTGGGCGCGGTGGCTCACGTTTGTAATCCCAGCACTTTGGGAGGCCAAGGTGGGCGGATCACCTGAGGTCAGGAGTTCAAGATCAGCCTGGCCAACACAGTGAAACCCCGTCTCTACTAAAAATACAAAAATTACCTGGGCGTGGTGGTGGGCTCCTGTAATACCAGCTACTCGGGAGGCTGAGGCAGGAGAATCGCTTGAACCCGGTAGGCGGAAGTTGCAGTGAACTGAGATTGCGTGTGTCAAAAAAAAAAAAAAGAAGAGAAAAGAAACTATGCAGTTTGTCAAAACGGGCAAACTGAGTCTCCTAAAGAGGGCCTTTCTGTGTAAAGTGAAGTTCTGCCTAGGATTGGTCCTTCCTGTGTAAGTGAAGGTCTGGTGTGGAGCACTTCAGTTATCACTTGATGGATTCCTAGCTGGCTACACTTGATACTTGTATCTTTAAATTTTTCTTGATTTGTATTTTTGTGTGGGGCAATTTTACCTAATATATTATTCCATTCAGAGAATAGAGGAATTTAATCAGCATGAAATCTTGGAATGTTCATATCTCAGAATAACTAATTAAATATATAATAGGCCATTGTGAAAGTTGGCCTTACTGGTCTATTAGATTGAATATAAAAAGGGACAGCTGAAGAAAAATTATTTTGCTTAAAATAAAAACATTCTTTTAAAAGTTTGCTTTGGAGAGCAGGAAGCAATTGTATTGTAAGTATGTGTAATTATCTGCATTCCTTTCCAACCTCTTGGGGATCAAATTGGTTTTCTCCAGGAAAGGCAATTATATGCAGGAGGCCACTTTTCGTTGAATTAGTGTGTGTTGCATGTGGTGCATCCCACAAACCTGAAATCAGAGATGTACTGCTATGATTTATAATACCCATTAATTACAGCTTTGTATTAAAGGCTCTTAGTTTTCTGCTTCAGTAAACCTAAATTCTCCCTTTGAAGAAGAATTGCTTACATTAGGTCTTATGCTAACTAGTGAATCCTGTCTTTTGGAATCTCATCAAGGGTACTTCATGCAGCAAGAACTTCTCAGTTGGCTTTAAATGGGCTTTGCTGAAGCTGTTTAACATTGTAGGGTGATGAGATAACTGGAAGAGATTCTGGTCTTGTGATGGGGAGGCGGCACACAACATGATTCAAAGCATTAATCAAAAAGTATTTATGCACCAGATGTTTATCGTCCTTATAGCACCATGCCAGACTTTGTACTGTATCTGATGTACACACTTTCCAGCTAGCTCAGTGGTTCTTAACCCCAGCTGTTCTTTAGATTAACCTGGAAAACTTTTTTTAAAAAGTGCTCTGTTTTCACCCCAGAAGAATTAAATACTAGGCATGGATGTTTGTAAAGGGCCCCTTGTTGAATCTAATATGCAGTCAAGACTGAAAACACAAGTCTATTCAGTCCTTCATAGTGGCTTTTTACTTGAAAAGTTAGATTTCCCCTTCCCTTTGTTTTCAGCTTCTTATTCCTTCCAGAAGTAAATGATGTGACCAAGCAAAACAAACGAACAAAACCGGGTTGCATTATTTTTTCCTGAGCTTCTGTGATAGTTTCATTCTATATTTGGGGGACAAATATTTCCCTGGCAACCCTCTTAAGTTTTGTAACTTTACCTTCCACCACCCCTGCGCCCTATCTGAGGAATATCTAGTCTAAGTCTAAGGTCTCTTTGCTAAACTTGAATAACTTTGCCAGAGACCTGCTTTTCAGTGGGGCTCTACTGTTTGTTTGTTTTTTTTTCTCTGTGAATATTTAAAATCACATTTCGACTTAGAAAAGTTTTGAAATTAGGATGATAGTGTTTTTCATTACATCTTTTCTTGTGCAAATTACTCATTAAACTTCATTTTGTTTAGATTTCACATGCTTGAGGAATTTGTAGATATTATCCACCCATTTTTTAAGGAAAGGAAGCATGATTAAGTATAGACTAATCTTCCAAAGCATCAGTTTGTCCATTTGAAAAATGTTTGTGTTTGCTATCTACTTTTTCTGCAATTCTGCTATCTTTTTTTTTTTTTTTTTTTTTTTTTTTTTTGAGCTCTGTCACCCAGGCTGGAGTGCAGTGGCGCCATCTTGGCTCACTGCAAGCTCCGCCTCCCGGGGTTCATGCCATTCTCCTGCCTCAGCCTCTGAGTAGCTGAGACTACAGGCACCTGCCACCATGCCCGGCTAATTTTTTGTTTTTTTAGTAGAGACAGGGTTTCACCTTGTTAGCCAGGATGGTCTCTATCTCCTGACCTCGTGATCTGCCCGCCTCAGCCTCCCAAAGTGCTGGGATTACAGGCGTGAGCCACCGCGCCCAGCTTACTCTGCTATCTTTAAAAACATTTAAAATTTTTTTCATTTTTATGTGTACATAGTAGGTGTATACCTGCCATTTTAAATTTGAATATATTTGGAAATAATACTCTACTTGTGGCGGGTATTCCTAAATGATGTTGCAAGAAGTTAAGCAGGGAGAATACTACTACTGCTGCTGCTGCTGTTTGAATGTGGCCTCTCCCAAATCCAGGTGTTGCCAGTGTGAGACTATTAAGAGGTGGGGGCCTTTAAGAGGTGATTAAAGAGGTGTACTCAGTTTATGATCCCTATTTAATAGGTGAGAAGAAAGTGGAGGCTAGTGTGTGAGAGAGCCCAGGTTTGCCAGACACCAGAGCCAAGCTTTTAACCTATGCTGTTCAGTCTTTTCTCCTACCTCTGTGCACTTCAATGCTGACACTGGCATAGAACTCCTGGTAGCATACTCTTTTTTTCCAGGGGAGCATATTGACTTGATTTGCTTTAGATTCTTTGTTTCTTTCCTCCCAATATTGAGCATTAGGCAATCGGCTGCTCTGGGCATCGTTTATTTGCGTGCAGTGGAATAGGCACTGAGGAATGCAGGCATGCTTTGAGGCTCCGTCATGAAGGGAGAGCCAGAAGGGCCTATGGAGAACAATTAATATGTTTCCTCTCACAGATATAAATACAGTTTGATTGGTGACTGTATTTTCTTTTAGCCTCCTCCCTTCCTCCTCCTACAACTTTTTTGTAATCAGTTTCGAAGTATAACTCACATATCATACAATTACTCATTTAAAGTATATAATTCAATGGTTTTTAAGTGTTCACAGAGTTGTGCAACCATCACTTCAATTTCAAAACATTTTCATCATCCCCAAAAGAAACCCTGTAACTATTAGCTTTCATCCCCAATCTACCCATCCTCCCAGACCTAGACAAACACTAATCTACTTTCCCACTCCATAGATTTGCGTATTTTGGACATTTCATATAAATGGAATCATATGTGGTCTGTTGTGACTGGTTTCTTTCAGGTAGCACGTTTTTAAGGTTCATCCATTTTGTAGCATATGTCAGTACTCCATTCTTTTTTACTGCTGAATGATATTTCATCGTGTGCATATACCAGAATAATGACTGTTTTCTAGCTTGTGCATTTCACTTCTCAAACTCCCAGCATTGTTTTGACTGCCACAGCCAACGTCCTGCCCCTCACTAATACAGGACATAATAGGCCCAGAGCATGTCAAGGATTTTCCAAAGTTGCATAGCTAGACTATGGGTAAAATGGAACTATTCATTCTTTTGCACATTTATCACATTTTTATTGAGTGCCTAACATGCAAAACACTATGTTAGGTTTTATGATATATACAAACGTAAGAGACATGGCACGTTTCCTTAAAGAACTTAGGATCCTCTAGGGATGTTGAAATATGAAGCAATCTGTGTCTGTGCCCTAAGTGTGTCATGGGCAAAGTCAGGTTCAGAAGAAGGAGAGAATTGTTTCTGTTTGTGATTTGTGGCTACCAGTTTTCCTGACTCCTAGGTCAGTGTTGTTGTTGTTGTTGTGGTTTTGTTTGTGTTTTTTTAAAAAAATCATTACCTTACCTCTCTGATGTCGCTTTGGGTGTCCTAGATACACTCTATATTCTACAGGTTTATTCCCATCTCCCTACCCCCTCATGAACTTAAATATTAAACATGAGTCATTATTGGAATTATTGTAGTTTAAAACTAATAAATAGTAAAATTATTGGAATCTTGAAGGTCATGGGTCATAATGGACTTAAAAATTTTAGTGTCAGTACCCAGTTGTCCAGAATTTAGAATTGGTAAAATACGTTCAGCTACCAAAATTGCGCAGTGATATCATCCTGTTTAATTCAGCTGGAATTTAAGTTAATGGCAGATTTAATGGATGGGACACTTTGTAGCTTTTGCAGACCCTGATAAGCTTTACATAAATACCAAGTTGCAGCTACTTGAGTGAACTACAGTTCCACAAGAGAAATTCACTTTAGGATATTTTGAAATACCATTCATCTGCTTCAGTTAGATATTTTAGGTACCATGCCATTCTTTCCTATTTATTAATGTTATATAATATTATACCATGTAAAAAGTATTAGAACGTAACCATCATTGTATTTGCATTATAGCATAATCAGCTGTGAAAGATGAATTTTCAGATGTATACTTATAGTACTCTTTGCTAAAAATTCTGTAGGCCACCCTGACTCATTGGTTATAATATTGTGTAGTATAAGTAATTGCATGATGTGATTATTTTTATATTTATTTATTTATTTTTGAGATGGGGTTCACTCTTGTTGCCCAGGCTGGAGTGCAATGGTGCGATCTCGGCTCACTGCAACCTCCGCCTTCTGGGTTCAAGTGATTCTCCTGCCTCAGCCTCCCAAGTAGGTGGGATTACAGGCATGAGCCACCATGCCCAGCCTCATTATGTGATTTAAAACTTTATAATAAACTGTAAGAAACCAAAAACAGATTTTACTCATGAATTTTATGAATGAGTTGGATTTTAAGAGATTTATTTATTGGGCCTCACTCTGTCACCAAGGCTGGATTGCAGTAGCGTGACCACAGCTCACTCCAGCTTCAACCTCCTGGGCTTCATCGATCCTCCCACTGCAGCCTCCTGAATAGCTGGGACCCCAGGTGCTTGCCACCATGCCCAGCTGATTTTTAATTTTTGTTTTATAGAAACAGAGTCTCCTATGTTGCCCAGGCTGGTCTTGAACTCCTGGGCTCAAGCAGTCCTCCCACCTCAGCCCCCTAAAGTTCTGGGATTATAGGCATGAGCTACTACTGTGCCTGGCCTAGTTTTATGAAATTGAATTCCTAGTTTTTGAAAATGATAAGTTATATATTGCTTACAAATACTACTTAATAGTTACAGTTTGGGGCGTATGTATTCATTTAAAAGTAGTATAAAGGTATTTTTAGAATTAATAACGTCAAATATCGTACAATATTATTCAGCAAAATTAAAATCCATAGAAGATAGCCTTTCTACTACTTTTCACAAGAAACCAGAATGCTTTCCATTTCTATAACATTTGTTGCTTAAAATATTTAAGTGAGCATTTATTTTTATGCCTTGTTGACACATAATTTTTTCATATTCACATATGTCTTAGCTAAATACTACTATTGTTAACAACACTACTCGTAATAGATATTTTAGTTAAATTGATATTTTAGTTGAAGACTATAGATTCTTTATTTAAGGGTAGACTGGTAGACAGGAGGTTATAGTAGTGAGAGTATTGGAGAGGCTGGTAAGGAAAGACTTATTTGTTTAAAACCAGATGATAACCTCTGTGAAGGATAAAGCAAAGTTTGTCTTTGTGATTATAAGCAATATTTTTAAAAAGTATTATAACCCCTATTTGTGTTGTAAGCTGTTTGCATCTTTTATAGCATAGTATTCCCTGTTCATAACGGATCATCTATGTCAGTGATATTGCACAATCATGCACTGCACTAAAATATAAATAAAAATAAATGAAATAACAATAGTAATAGCTAATGTTGATTGTTTTCTGTAAGTCTGATAACGTGTATGTTTAATACCCGTAATACTATGAGGTGTAGAGATTTCTCACTTTACAAATGAAGAAACTAAGGCACAGAAAGGTAAAGCAGTTTGTTAATGATCACTTAAACTTGATTAATCCCCTTATCTGTGTTCTTGACCTGCTATACTGCCTTTTAAAAAAATTACTCTATATTCCTTTTCTCAAACATGAAATACTGTATATTTTTTGTAACAAGTTGAACAAGTAAGAAAGAGGTACGTTGCCACTTAGACTATACATTTCATTTTATTAGTTGTTGTTGTGGTTGTGTTTTTTTTTTGTTTTTTTTTTTTTGAGAGAGATTCTTGTTCTCTCATCCAGACTGGGGTGCTGGGGCATGGTGGCATGATCATAGCTCACTGCAGCCTCGAACTCCTGTGCTCAAGTCTTCCTCCTGCCTCTGCCTCCTGGGTAGCTGGGACTGCAGGCAAGAGTCAGAGTGCCTGGCTGCATGTACATTTTTTGATACATACAAAAACACATATGAGTTTTTTAGAAATTAACATACTCTACTAAAATTATTTAATCTTGACTTTGTATGAAAGTACCTTCTTCTTAGTTGGAAATTTGCAAGTGATTTTAGGTTGGCCTGTGCACTAGAATTTATATTGACTTTGAATTAGACAGACATGGGTTTGAGTCTTGACCTGCCAGCGTACTGTGTTCCCTTAGACAAGCTCTTTAACATCTCTGAGCCTAAGTTTCCTCATCTGTAAAGTAGTTATCATTTTTTCCAGGGTTCTGTTCTTGTCTTAAAGATGAAAGATAATCGATTAAACGATACTCTGGTTAAAGATTTATTACATTCGGCTGGGCGCGGTGGCTCACGCCTGTAATCCCAGCACTTTAGGAGGCCAAGGTGGGCGAATCACCTGAGGTCGGGAGTTCGAGATCAGCCTGACCAACATGGAGAAACCCCATCTCTATTAAAAATACAAAATTAGCCGGGTGTGGTGGCACATGCCTGTAATCCCAGCTACTTGGGAGGCTGAGGCAGGAGAGTTGCTTGAACCTGGGAGATGGAGTTTGCTGTGAGGCGAGATCGTGCCATTGCACTCCAGCCTAGGCATCAAGAACAAAACTCCACCTAAAAAAAGAAAAAAGGATTTATTACAGTCATTCCGTATAATTTTGAGTCACTAAAAACGGAAAGAAACCCCATAAATTAAGAATAGATAATCAGAACTGATTTGTGTGTTGGTTGATAATTCTGAGCATTAACTGACTTTCTTATATAGTAATCCATTTGAAATTGGTTGATTGGCCATAATTACTTGGTTAATGTGTTGTAGACTACTAAAAAAAAAGCATCAAACTTTAAAACAATTCTTTCAAGAATAACAGGAATAGGAAAAGTTACAGGTACACTGCTTTTATTCATAGCCCTTTTATGATTCATCTTGTTTTTCAGGTCTTAACTGAGAGAGAACTAATTATTTTTTTCTGTCTGAGTAGGTGATAGTTTCCAGCTGTTCTTTGCAGATTTTTAAAAGCTACGTTTTTAAGTGCAATTTAATGTTCTTATTACTGTATTACAGAGGGAAAAGGTTTGCTCTCTCTTTCACAGCTGTATATATTATCCCATACACGTGTGGCCTTTAAAGAACATTCAAATGCGCCACTGTCCTCATTATGGAGCTCAGATGGCTGAGGATATAGTGGATAAAGACCTGGCAACATTTTTAAGAGTGTGTATGTGTTGTGGTTTTTTGGTTGTTGTTGTTTGCTTATCTGTAAACTACTTTGCCTTTTGTAAATCCAGCTAATATATATTGCAAGGTCACCAGCCGCGTGGTAGGCAAGATGAAGTCTGAAGGGAAGCTAAAGCAACTAACTATGGTATCAGGCAGAATACGATAATTTACATTACAGAGTAAGTAGTGTTCAGAGGAAAGGAGAGAGAATGTCTGGATGAAGAAACCAAAGAAGGCAATTTGAAAGGGACCTGAGAAATGAGGAAGATTTATCAAGAGATGGGGATGGAGTATAAAGAGGTAGTTAGGCAGATGCTGTAGGTAGAGAGAATCTTGTGGGCTGAGAGTTGGTGTCATAAATGCATGACATGTGTTTAGAGTATGGCAAAGATTCACTTGGAAGTAAGGAGAGGTGAAGAGTGTGGAACAGTGTGAGGAGGTTGAAGTCTGAGTACATTTCTATTTAATTTAGTAAGCAGTGGAAAACTATGACTTTTTAAATTTAGTTTTTCTTCTTCCTTTTTATTATTTGTAAGCTTTTTATCTTGAAACAGTTTTACATACACAGGAAGTTGAAAAAGAAATGTATAGAGGAGTCCAGTGTATCCTTCACCCAGTTCCCCCCAGTGAAAACATCTTGCATAACTTTAGGTATAATAAAAAAAACTAGGAAATTAATGTTAGTACACAGAGCTATTTAGTCTTCATCAGTTTCACATGCACTTGTGTGTGCTTGTGTATGTGAGTATGGAATTTTATCATATTTATGGATTCATGTAACCATCACTACAAGACTTCCCTTTATCTATACTCACTTTCTCCAACTCCCCACCTCCTATGCTTGTCAGACACTAACTTATTCTCCATTTCTCTGATTTTCTTTTCTTCTTCCTTTTTGAGATGGAGTCTCACTCTGTCGCCAGGCTGGAGTGCAATGGTGCGATCTCCGCTCACTGCAACCTCCGCCTCCCAGGTTCAAGCAATTCTCCTTTCTCAGCCTCCCGAGTAGCTGGTACTACAGACGCATGTCACCACGCCCAGCTAGTTTTTGTATTTTTAGTATAGACAGGGTTTCACCATGTTGCCAGGACGGTCTCCATTTCCTGACCTTGTGATCTGCCTGGCTCTGCCTCCCGAAGTGCTGAGATGACAGGCGTGAGCCATCGCACCCGGCCCATTTCTTTAATTTTCTTATTTCAAGAATATTATATAAGTGGAATTATATAACTTTTAACTTTTTAAAAAATTTTGAAATAATCATAGGTTCATAGAAAGTTGCAAATGTAGTACAGAGAGGTCCTTCTCACTTCACTCAGTTTGCCCGAGTGGTTACATCTTACATTAACTATATTATAATATCAAAACCAAGAAGTTTACACTGGTACAATATGTGTTCATATAGTTCTATGCTGTCTTATCATGTGAAAATTTGTGTAGCCATCCCTGCAAGAAAGATACAGAACTATTTAATCATTACAAAGATTTTCCTCATTCTACCCTGTTATAGTCATAGCACCCCATCCTTAATCCCTGGCAACCACTGATGTGTTTTCCATAAATTTTGTCACTCCAGAAATGTTATGTATATATAGACTCATACAGTATGTACATTTTAAGATTGGCTGTTTTGTTGTTGTTGTTCAGGATAATGCCCTGGAGATCCATCCAAGTTGTTGCATATATCAATAGTTTGCTTCTTTATAAATCACTGCATAGTATTTGTTTAACCATTTATCTGTTGAAGGGCATTGAATTATTTCTCGTTTTTGGCTATTACAAATAAAGCTGCTATCAACATTTGTGTACAGGTTTTTGTGCGAACATAGGTTTTTGGGTTTTTTTTTTTCATTTCCTTGTGACAAACGCCCAAGAGTATAAATGTTGGGTCATATGTTAATTGCATATTCCATTTTTAAAGAAACTGCCAAATGGTCCAGAGTGACTATACTATTTCACATTCCCACCAGCAATGTAGGAGTGACTCTGGTTTTGTATTCTTACTGGCATTTGGTGTCATCACTGTTTTATTTTTGCTCTTCTGATAGGTGTCTAGTAGTATCTCATTATGGTCTTGATTTGCCTTTTCCTAATGGCTAATGATGTTGAACTTTCTTTTTCTATTACAGACTTTTTGTGTTAGAAACAGACATGATTCGGGATGATTTTTTTCCTGGCTTACATGAGGAGAGAAATAAGAGATAAGGAGGTTAGGTTAGAAGCTGTTGAACTAGTCTAGTTGGGAACTTCAGAAGGCTTCGTGGGTGGCCAGTGTGAGAACAGAGAGAATGATGGGTAAGTCTGCATGGCTGGGATGGGAAGGATTATGGAAAGAAAAAGTAAGATGAAAATTTGGGTATTGATGCCTGGTGACCAAAGGGTCAAGATATTGTTGACAAAAATAATTTGGATTTTTTTTTTTTTTTGTAATTTAGGGGAAAATGATGAGTTTGGTTTGCAGTATGGTCATTTTGAGTGCAGATAGGTTGTTTAAATTGAGTTGTTCAGAAAGAAGTTATAAATCTGAGTCTGTAGCTTAGAAAGGTTATGGCTAGAATTATTTGAAAATCAAATATAGAGGGACGATAATTTATATTTTTCTTGGGGAAGAGCACTAGTAAGCAAAAGAAATATATAAATCAGAGATTCAGAAGAAAACCTGGTTGGGGGGACCAATTTAATAGACATTGGTGGTCAGCACAGTGACATCCTATGGAAGACTGAGGAATATAAGCACAGAAGAAAGGTGCTGAGGGCAGTTTCAGTTCATTGGTATATGCAAAGGCCAAATCTTAAGGTATTAAGGTGTGTATATGTGAACAATACATTCAGGGATTTTTTCTTTTTTTAAACACAGGAGAAACGTTTATATAAAGAGAAAAGAGGAACCAGTAGTACCGTGAAAGATTGAAGATGCGTGTGAGGGCAAATTATCTCAAAGCTACAGAGCAAAGATGCTTGATAAGAGAAGGAAGATGTGAGGGGCACATTAGGGACAGCATCAAGAGACAGGAGAAAGTATCAGCTTTGTCAAGGAGATTAAATACCTATTTTATAGACTCAAGAGGGAAGTAAAAAGTCTACCAAACACAAGGATTTTTTTGAGGCGAGAGGCTGAGGACCAGCATCAGATGGTCTCCTTGATCCTCTTAGGAAAGTAGATTTTTTTTTGTTGTTGTTAAGATGGAATCTTGCTTTGTCGCACAGGCTGGAGTGCAGTGGTGCCATCTCTGCTCACAGCAGCCTCCGCCTCCTGGGTTCAATCTATTCTCGTGCCTCAGCCTCCAGAGTAGCTGGGATTACAGGTGTGACACCACGCCTGGCTAATTTTTGTATTTTTATTAGAGATGGGGATTCATCATGTTGGCCAGGCTGGTCTCAAACTCCTGACCTCAGGTGATCTACCAGCCTCGGCCTCCCAAAGTGCTGGGATTACAGGCATGAGCCACTGCGCCCGGATGATTTTTTTTTATAAGACATTTTGGATGATTCTAGATTATTTATTTCCAAAACTATGGCTTTGATTAAAGCCTCAGGATATGAGCACAATACAATCTTTCATTAAAATGTTCAAACAGCAGCAGCAGCAAGAAAGGAATGCCAACAGCATTAACAATATGTCTTATAGTCCTACCAGTGGTTGTTACAAAAGGGACACACACATATCTACCCATATATCTTGCCAGAAGGAACTTATCTTTAATAATATTATGGTGAACATGAAAACATACTAGTCATATAAGATACATAGTTTATAAAAAACCCCACCGAAACCAAACTTTATGAGTCTTGGATAACCCAGAAGCTAGTATTTTTCAGTAATGAGGAGTAGATGAAACGGTCACTGGGCAAGGCAATTGCTAATAATGACTGTTAATTCAGTGTAGATTATGAAGTTCTGCAGGCCTGGGGAGCAAAAGAAGGAAAAGACACATGCAGCAGGAAGAGAATGGGAACAGTGAATGAAGAGGCCGTTTCTTGTATTGCATATAGGGTTTTTGATTAGGAGAGGGAGTGGTTGTTAGTGTTGATCATCAATCACTAAGACCTGGTATTTCAAATAACAAAAGTACCTTTGTTGTAAAGTGAAATATTTATTTTCTTTGAAATGTAAGGTTACATAACTTGCAATGAAATGTAAGCCAGTATTGGTCTAAACTAAACAAAACCATGAGAAGACAATTTAATTGTGATGTAGAAGCAGTAAAAAAGGTAAATAAAGTGGCCTGAGTTTGGTCCTAAAATGATTACGATATTAAATAGTTCTCATGCCGTTAAAATAGTACTAGGCCTTACTTCCTTTTATTCATTGATTTAATAATACCACATGCTATTTCGTGTACTTATTTCTATGGGATTTTGGTTACTATGTATAGCTAAAATTTATTTACTTTATTCTGCTTATTCACAAATAGTGTTTCGACCTGGCTTGAGCTTTATAGGCCTAAAAGCTTTAGCACATGGAACATTAAAACCATGCTTTTCACTTGGATGATTGCATAAAGCCTTTTTATAACAGATTCTAAAGCCTGATGCAGGACAGTATTCACACAGATGTTGAAAGAGTAAGTAACAGAGATAGGGATTGTTGTAGGGTTTATGCTGCTGTTAGCTGTTGTCGTCGCTTTCTTTTTTCTTCCAGAGTATAGAATAAGAAGGCATAGACCTAAGTTTCAACTGAACTCAGTTTGCTTGGACTGAGAAGAAACTCATGTGGTTTCTTGTCACACTCAGAGTTTAAAAAAATCCCAACTCCTAACTGTGATCCAAAAGCATGCTCTGGTCCCTGTGTGTCTGCCTAATTTCATTTTTTAAAACTAGGATTTCTTTGTTCTTTTTTAGCCATACCATTTTGTTGTTGTTTCAGGGCCTTAAACTTGGTTTTTCCTTCACTATGGACCATTCCTTTCTGGTTTTTCTGTGACTCTCCAAATACAGGTGCTTTAGGCCCTTTACATTTGCTTTTTCTTCATCCTTCAGTATTTTCCCCCTAGTTCTTTGACCTTTATTCAGGTCTGTTTCCTCAAGTGTCTCCTTCTCAGATAAATTTTTCCTGTCTAAAATAGCCTTTTGGTCCCAACCTTCCCTTATTACTCCCCACTCCCTTACCAGATTGTTTTCATTATAGCAGTTAATTATATCTGACAGTCAATTTTGTATTTGTTTCCACCATTAGAAGACAGGGACTTTGCCTTGTTCATGTCTCTGTCCTTAGCATCTAGAATAGTGACTGTCAGGGAGTAATCTAGTCAAAGTACTCAAAAAAGTACTGTTGAATGGATGCAGGCTTGCCTAATTAAGTTGTAAGGACAAGTTACGATGGAGCCATTATTTAGGAGATATTTGAATATGGGTTAGTTAGGTGGGATGATAAGTAGAGGGGTGAATATCCATGGTAGAGATTGAGATTCCATGAACATGTGACAGACTGGGAAATCATACTTTCACATCCTTCTGGCCACCGTGGTTAGTCTAGGGCAGCTTGACCCAAATTGAACTTAACCCAAATTGAGCTAGGCAGAGTACCTAGCTTTATTCTATGAGGCCCTGCCCTTGCCCTGTTTACCTTAACTCTTCCTTAGATCCTGTAAGCTGCTGCAACCTGGAATCCTTTTGATACTGCTGTTTTCCCCTCTTTGGGTAGTTAGAATTTGGTTTCTATTCTTTGTCCATGTAAGAGTTCTGCCTAATATCAAGGGGTAGAGATAGGTCATGTGAATTAGGTTGGAGTTAGATGTATGTTTGTAACTATTAACATTAGACCTGAGCAAGTATTGGTTTATGCAAAGGGCTGATATATGCAGTACTGCATTTTCTTGTCCTTTTAATTTTAGGTCTCTAAGACAGAGTAGAAGCTATGGGAAAAAAATGTATGTCTATATGTTAGGAGTTCTTAGGTTATAGGAAATCTGAGCATCTGTAGTAGTCCACATATCATTATCAATGGCTAGAGAATCTATCCACTTATCTGGTTGGCATTTAACGAGTGTGTACCATGTGTAGGACATTTTCCTTACATACAAAGGTTAATTAATTCATTTTACAGAGACACTTATTGAATGAAAACTCCATGCTGTGTTTTGCAGGGTCACAGTTAAACAAGCCCTGGCTTCCCCCTTAAAGGAGCTTACAGTCCAAGAGAGTGAGCATGACAAGCAAACAGATTTGTGCAAAGCAGCATAGGAGTGTGTGTTGCAGGGATGCCAAGAAGGGAGTCATCAGTTCTAAGGTTAAGATAGGAGAAATTTCTTGGAAGGTTCTTAAGAGATGGAAAAGTTAAATAGGTGTTTGGCAGAGAGAGGTATTGGGTGTTTGTGGAAGGAGAATTGGAATTCCAAAGAGTAAAGGTGTGGAAGTGCTGGACCAGTGGAGGAGATGTCATTCAGAATGTCTGGAGAGTATAGCCTAAAGGGAAGAAGTGTCAGGTGAGGAATGGGACAGAAGAGGAGGCCGAAAGAGGGAGAACAGGCTAAAGAGTTGGGACTGTATATGGAGGGTAGTAAGGAGTCATTTAACCCATTTATGCATAGTGTTCCATTATTGGAACGTTAAGCTTGTGGGGGTTATTTATATCCTGCTCATGGTCATCGCCAAGGTCTGATTTTTCACAAAACAATTTGCAACCTACGGCATGAATGGGTTAAGAGACTTATTCAAGGAAATAGTGGAACATATTTGTATTTTGGCAGGTTCCCTGCCATGACAAAGTAAAGAATGGGCTGGAGGCAGGAAGACCACGGAAAGCAGATAATCTGAAGCCTTATGTTCTTAGTCACAGATCCGTCCTTAGGGAAAGTGAGGCCTTGCCTGAGCAGAGGCTCTAGATGGGCGGATTGAACTTCATGAGGATGCTGAGCACAGTGAACACATTCCTGATGTGTCCAGTATATATGGCATGTTCAACTCCCCCAACAGTTGTATTATCTTTATAGCTCAGCCAGTCATATTTCGCATTAAACGACAAACCTAGGCATCAGAAATGAGACCTTGGAAAACAGCTAGATAACTAGCATTGACATAGGAATTATTGTGTAACAACTTGGCTTGGTGAGATGGATGTCTGGGGAAAATGGATGAAAATTGAGTAGACACTCAATAAATATTTCTGTGGTTGGTTATTTATATAAAAGCCTTAATCTTTTTTCCCCTTACATAGAGTGTACATTTGATTTCTTCTAGTGTGAATCATAAGGATTTGTTTTTCATATTCAGAAAATAAAGCAGTTGAGAAAATTGTGTGATGAATGGCAAAAGCATTTAATGTTTATTTTTGGTGACTTTTATGTAGCCCTTGAAGTTTTATAGTCATTGTTACATCAGGAAAACAATTTAAAAGATCACTAGTCAAGTTCTAACAATTCCCCTAGAAAGTTACAACAAAAATGACTTCTAATAAGCTTGTTTAATATTAAATTTAATTGGAATAAGCACTCGATTTTGAATTAGTGTCTTCAAGTTTACCATCTTCTATGACATATTCATGTTGTTAAAGATGGACAAGAAGATGGAAACTTCCGTGTTGCCCAGGCTGGAGTGCAGTGGTGTGATCTTGGCTCACTGCAACCCGGGCCTCCCAGGTTCAAGCTATTCTCCTGCTCAGGCTCCTGAGTAGCTGGGACTACAGGTGCATGCCGCCATGCCTGGCTAATTTTTGTATTTTTAGTAGAGATGGGGTTTTACCATGTTGCCCAGGCTGGTCTCAAGCTCCTTGCCTCAAGTGATCCTCCCACCTTGGCTTCCCAAAGTGCTGGGATTACAGGCATGCGCCACTGCCCCTGGCCTGATCAATGAAATTTGGATCTCAAAATTATTTTTATGGTACTACAAGCACTACATTTAGAAATAATTAGAAGCAAACACATTTAACTTGTAGAGGAAACATTTTACTAAAAACCATATGGCAATAAATAATTTGATTTTTTTTTAAAGAAGCAAATTGAACACATTGGGGATTGAAATAATTTGAGAATTCTGTAAATGTACTCTTAAAATAATTGTCTCTAGGGTAAGCATGTTAATTCTGAGTGAAGCTCAGTCAATTAATTCGAAATAGGAGAGGTGATAGTAGTGGTGATGGTGGGAGTTTTAGTAGTGTTTGTTACTAGCAGCAGCTACTAGCTTTTAGCACATAGTCCATTGTTTTATATAATGCATATTTGTTGAATTTATAGTTGAAGGCCTGTTTATATGTTCCCTTCATTTATTAATTTTAGTTAATACAGTATAGTTTACAGTAGCTGTGTAAAATTGGGACTAGTACCCTCATTTACAGATGAGGAAATTGAGGCACTAAGGAATGAATTAAAGGTCATATAGCTAGTAAGGGCTAGCATTTGAACTCAGGCGTGTCTGACCTTCAACTCAGGCTTACATCATTTGTTACTATGTTCTTTCCATCTGACTTCTGAATTCCCCTTTCAGTTTTATTTATATTAAAATCCCTAGTATGTAATCTCTGACTACAATCAGAGCATGCATAATATTGATTTTATATTGAAAGAGATTGGAAAAGGAGAACCCCACTAGAATGAATGGCCAATAAGTTTTCTGGTGGTATTGGTTGGAATCCCAGCAAACCACATTTCCCAGGATTATTGCCTTAGCAACAGCCTGCCCGCCTCATCTTTAATCTGCAAAGTAGTCTACTCCAGGAGCAGTGTTCTTGGGAAAACTTTAGTCTATACACCAGGGTTTCAAAGCTGGGCCTTTTTGGCAGTAGAAACTGTAATTAGTTCAAAAGTAGAATGTAGATTAAGTAGTCACTTGGAATTTTACTGAGAAATGATTCTGAGAATGTTTTTGTACTTACCGAGCAAGTGAGACCTGTTACCACCTTCAGGGGAGGAGTCCCACTGTGTGGAGGACAGCAAGGAGCATAACAACACCTACTGTCAGGAGCAGCAGTCCCAGGATGTCAGCCCACCACATGGTTGCAATTGTTGGATTCCTGAAGAGATACACGACTCACACAGGCTGTGGATGGAACAGTCTTTACTCACATAGAGAAGAGGTGGCAAAGTCAGCTTCAGTAGTGAGTTGGTCCCCATGTCCAGCTGGTCTCACCCTGCAGCCAAGGCAGGGAGGTTGTGGGTGTGCCCTCATCCCCTCGTGCTACAGATGAACAACCCTGTTCTCTCCTTGCCAGATATAGCAGTGAGGTTGGCCAGGTACTATATGATGCACATGCTTAAACAGAACAAAGAAATAAACCTCCAGCCCAGAACAGGGAAAGATAGTCCCTAAGAGATATGCGCAGCACAACTTGTGAGAACTCTTTATCTCTTTATAAGGAAATGCAGGCCCAGGCACATCCTTATGTGGCTGTGCAAGGGGCCACAGGCTGCACATGAGTGGGCTTCCCAAGGGTCCTTAAGCTGTAACTGAAACATCTCATGCTTAGGAGTATAACAGAGTTCTCTGTTTTAAGAATTATTCTTAATTATTGGTTATTAGTCTGGCAACTGTATTTGAGATTTGTTTGCATTTTTAAGAGTATGTGTGGTGTTTTAAAAGTGTTAGATTATTTAGGCCGGGTGCAGTGGCTTACGCCTGTAATCCCAGCACTTTGGGAGGCCAGCGCAGGCAGATCATGAGGTCAGGAGATCGAGACCATCCTAGCTAACACGGTGAAACCCCGTCTTTACTAAAAACACAAAAAACTAAGCTGGGCGTGGTGGTGGGCACCTGTAGTCTCAGCTACTCAGGAGGCTGAGGCAGGAGAATGGCGTGAACCCGGGAGGCGGAGCTTGCATTGAGCCGAGATCGTTCCACTGCACTCCAGCCTGGGCGACAGAGTGAGACCCCCGTCTCCAGAAAAAAGAAAAGGGTTAGATTATTTATACTCAGTGTCATGAACTAATCCTTACAGGTAATTCTATTTTCTAATATTTTACCAGTTTCCTACACTGTAGTACAGGGAGCTGTTCCTTTGTTAACTTATTTGGGATTCTGTCAAGTTGGAGAGTTAATATAGGCTGTTGGCTCCTTCTCCCAAAACTAACCATGGAGAAACTACAGAAGTAAGAGGAAAGCAGAGATCTGAGGAAATACCTAAAATAACTATGAAAAATTATAGGGGTGACTGAGGCTGTTGCAAATTGGTATGTCTGTGTATGTGGTTTCGTGTAGGGCGCAGGGTGTCCTGAGGCATCAATCAGGAGAAGCAAAATTGTTTTAAGTGTTTTTTTTTTTTTTTTGTCTTTGAAGTTTGAGGTTTGATGTGACTTTCTCCAATTGCTTTGAGACAATGATTGCCTGCCCCTTGCCACAGAAGTTGGTGTTAGTTGGGTTATTTCAGGGCAGCACTAAAGGCTGATGGGGTGAGGAGCTGATGAAAACAGGTACAAGCCAACCAGCTGCCCCAGGGCACTGACTCCTCCTGGAGCATGCAGATTATACCCTACTGAGATTGCCTTCTTCCAGTGCTGCTGCTTTCTGGGACTTTAAAGGCTAATCCCTTTAAAAGAGTTACCCTTTAAAGGATTTACATTTTAAAGGAGTTTCCTGGTGGTAGGCAGCAAACTGGAGTGATCAAGAGAGATTTTTGTTGCCAGTGGCTCATCCCCTTCATCCTTCTCAAATTCACCAAAAGGGACAGTACTAGGACTTGTGTTTTGGCCATTTTTTTCATGTATGTTTCTAGACCTAGTAGCTCATAGCTTGTGTTGAATATGATCCCAGAAGCCAAAATAAGTATATGGAGAATACAGCCACTATTGAAAATATGAGGAGATAACAAAAGGAATAGTATAGACTTCATGAAGCAGAATTATCGAACCGAGGGATCAATAATTAAAAATAAACATAATAAATGTATTCAGCAATAAAGGACAATAGTAGCAGTGTTAACAAACAAGAAGTCATAAAAAGAACAGAGTAGGAATATTAGATTGACAAATATAGGACCTGAAGTAAAGAGCTTAATCAGATAAATAGGATGGATATAGATAAAAGTGGATTGTTGAACTTGAATATCATGTTGAGGACCTCTGAAGGCAGAAGGAAAAGCAGAGATAGAAAATATATATTTTTTATTTTTGAAGAGACATCTCACTATGTTGCCCAGGTTGGTCTCAAACTCCTGGGCTCAAGCGATCCTTTCACCTCGGCCTGCCAGAGTGTTGGGATTACAGGTGTGAGTCAATGCATCTGGCCCGGCAGAGACAGAAAATATTGAAGAAAGCTAAGAAACATGGAGGGAGAGAGATAATAGTGCTAGCTTTCAAATAATAGAATTCCCAGAAGGGAGAAAAGAATTTGAAGGAGAGAAAAATATTCAAATAAATAATGATGGTAAATTGTTCAGAATTAAGAAAGAACAAAGACTTCACATTCAAAGGGCTAAAAGAGTATCATGAAAGAAAGACAAGAAAAACCCATATCCTGATAAACTGTAGTGTAGTGAAATTTAGGAATATCAAAACCAAAGAAATCTAAAATATTTTAGAATGATAGCATAGATTATCCATATGGAACATGAGTCAGACCAGATTATCTTTTCAGCCCCTATGTTCTCAGTTACTCTGCATATTTGAGGCGAGGGAAATCACCTATATAACGTATAATTCAAAACTTGCAAAAGAAATTTATGAATTCATATTGCATTTGATAAAGTATTTCTCAACATAATAAGGGATATATTTTCTATATAACCTTCCTGATTGAAAAAGATACAGGGTGGCAGGTCATGATACATAACCTTGTAATTTTTTATAACTATTTGGGAGAAGTGACTAGCATTTTTGTTAAAGAGATACATCTCTTTTTACTTTTGGGAGTGTGTACATGCTGTTTTCTTTGATCTCATATTGCAGTATGTATTTTTTAGAAACGTGCTTTTACAGCCATAGATACAATGAAATAGATGATTTTCTAACAATAACATATAACAGAAATGATTTTTAATCACATTGATGCAGGATTTTTGCTCCTTTAGCTCAGCTAGTTTTGGGTTCTTGTCTCACCACCAGGAACATTTAGGCTCACAGGCACCAGAGATTGAGTGGAGTAGAATTTATTAAGCAAAAGGAAAGCTCTCAGCAAAGAGAGGGGTCCTGAATGCAGGTTGCTGGATGCCCCCTCACAGTTGAATACCAGGGCTTTTATTTAAAAGCTGACGAGGCTGGGTTCCTTATTTGTATAAGATGCCAATTCCTGGCAGCTCCACCCAGTCCTTCCAGTGTGCGTGTGGCCCCTTAGTTTGAGCCGCTCCATATGGATTTATTTCCCCTACTGCGCATGTGTTAAGGAATGGAATTTTCTACTGCGGGCATGTTTAGGCAAGCCCCCTGTGTAAGTTCCCTTACCTGCACAAAACATCTGGTGTAAACACTTGTGGGGCGTGTCAGAGGTTGTCCGGGGACCCTTCCCTTACTGTCTGCCTAAAGCAAGATGGCTAACTCCTTTCAACATGTCCTCATGCTCCTAGATTTTAATTCATTTAAATATCATGTTATTATTGCTTGTGTACCGGACAGAAGTCTGTCCAATAGAAATGTGAACCACATATGTAATTTAAAATTTTCTGATCTCACACCTGTAATCCCAGCACTTTGGGAGGCCGAGGCGGGCAGATCACCTGAGGTCAGGAGTTTGAGACCAGCCTGGCCAACATGGTGAAACCCTATCTCTACTAAAAATACAAAAATTAGCAGGGCATGGTGGTGGGTACCTGTAATCCCAGCTACTCAGGAGGCTGAGGCAGGAGAATTGCTTGAACCCAGGAGGCGGAGGCTGCAGTGAGCCCAGATTATGCCACTGCACTCCAGCCTGGGCGACAGAGGGAGAACTCTCTCTAAAAAAAAAAAATAAATAAATAAATAAAAAGATGAAGTTAATTTTAATTTATTTGATTTAACCCAATATATTGCAAATATTGTCATTTTGATATATAATTAGTATACAAAGTTATTGAGATATTTTACATTCTTTTCTCTATGCTAAGTCTTTGAAATTTTGTGTATATTTTATGGCATATCTCAATTTGGACTAGCCACATTTCAAGAACTCAGTAGCCACATGTGGCTAGTAGCTACTGTATTGTCAGCACATCTTTAAAGCAAATAATTGTTCAATATTCTGAGAATTGTTGAGCAACTTAAGAACTGCCTTTAAGACTTCCATTTTATTAAGAATTTGTAGAACTGGATAGTTCTGTAGCAAGTGATACTTGTATCTATTATAGCTTGTAATAAAAAGGAGCATTAATACAGCAATACATTATATGTTTGCTCTAGTTTTAAGGATAGAAATTATGTCAAAGCACATAAATCTACAAAAAGTTCTGAGATTGATTGATTTCTACAGCTTTATTTTCTTAAGTCCAGATAGTTCCGCCTGGATGCTTAACAGGCAGTTCAGACTTAACATGGACAAAACTGAATCTCTCTTAGTTTTTCTTCCAGATTTATTCTTGCTCCTATTAGTGAGTAGCATCTTCATTCTTGCCTTGCATAGGGGCCAAAAAATCATCTGTCTTGATCTGCAGCTAGAATGTTGGTGAAAAGTCACAGCCTACTGTTGTAAATGTCCTGTTTCCTTAAGTCCTTTGTTGCCCGTATGTTTACTATATGTCTTTAACCAAAAATATTTAGTGTACTTTTAGGTAATGTTAATGTAATTTAAAAAATCAGTGGCAACTTATGGCAAATACATGTGTTTTTTGGTAGTTGACTTTAAAATTATGTGAACTCTTTGATAGTTCACATGAGAGCACTGTTGAAGCATCTTAGTAGGATAGATTTTAGTTCATGCTGGCATTAATTTGCATTTGATTAAACTGAGGGAGAAATAAATCAGGCACAAATAGCAGAACAGGAAAATCAAGCTTTACATTTGGTGCTCTGTGCTTTGTCCAGAGGATCTTGTGACCATTCATTCAAAACATTTTACTAAAGAAAACAAAATTTAACTAAGACATGCAAGATGAAAATCTCTCCCTCCTCCTAGTTTTATAACTGTTGGTGGTTCTTTAATTGCAACAAAGTGCATTTTTATTTAAAGATTGTGGCTGCTTCAAAATAATACTATTTGGGGCTTCCTGTGTGTATTGAGACCTCTTGGAACTAACATTGCCTATGGGTTTTTGTTCCTTTTCCCTTTTCCTAGGATGTGTAATGAAACATGAAGACGTCAAGTATAAAGGATGGCAATTGCTCAGACTTGTCCTTTGCTTGTCTGGTTATCCATCAAACACTATCAGTGTGATTGTGCCAGAAAGTATGAAATAATGTTATTGGAAAGTAGTCAGTCAACTGTATGTCCAAGGTCACTTAAAAGTCTCAGCCAGCTGTTCTGATATCAAAGAGCATTTTACAAATATGATATATTAAAATGATTACTCTTAGGAAGTGTATCCCCAAACATGCTTACTTTACCCCAACTCTTGATTTTATGCCTTGGTACTTTGAGTAGGATAGGGCAGGTACAGATAATAGTATGTCACAGTGGTCTAGAATCTACATCCTTCCTGCTTGCAGTATGGTGTTAGCTAGGGTCCATTCCATCACGAAAGTGGCAGCTCATCATTTTGGGCAGTCAGAAGAATAGGCAGTTGTTATAATAGCTACATTGTTTTTTAAAAAACTTATGCAACCAGGTAAGGGTTTTTTCACTTTTAGACCAGCATCTTTTCTTTACCGTAGAATCTAATTATTGTCTCTAATCTAAAAGGAGATAGAAAAATGTAGTAACCTAAAGGAAACAAAGAATAAGAAAAATATCTACTTTTCGTAAGAAAGGAATTTTGCATGTAATTTGATTTACTAGGTGACCTAAGTTAACAGGGAACTGATTTATATTTTTACTGGTATTAATACATTAAATTCAGGGGTTTCTGTGTTGTTAAAGGAATTCTGTGTCATTTGAAACTTCTATGAATTTAGAAATGAGAAGACATCAGTGATCTAGGTGGCTACTTGTGATGATTCCTAGTTTTGTAAGGAAAATAAAAAGGAGATGGAAAAAGGATTTGGAACAACCCTGATGTGTTTGTTACAACATTTCAAAATATGTCTATTTCATTTTCCTTCCAACATCCTCAATAATATTAAATGAGTTTTGTCTCTAAATTTGTGATGAATTAAACATTTGTGAAATGCATCCTATGTAATGTTGGATCAGAAGGCTGAGGTGAAAATTCCAATTGACATAAATGTGCTTATCACAGTGAAGACATTATACTTTTCTATTTTCATTTCATAATCAATGGTTTGTATTGATTTTTCTGTGTTAGCAATGGAAATTATTTACTTTTCTTGTTCTGTTTTGTTTTAAATATAATTAGGAAAGTTTTATAATTAATCACAAGGCTCTAGTTTTAATAGGCAAAACATGTTTATGTGTAATTGAAGTTAGTCACATAGTTTAAGAAGCTCCCTTTAGAAGGGCTTAAAAATAGAAATCCTTTAGTAGAGCAACAAAATTATGTAATAGTCTCATTTATTTTTAAAGAAAAACTGTAGTATTAGTTTATGAATAAAGAAAATAGCTTAAATTTAAACTAAACCGAATGAGTCCAAAAATAGTGCAATATCTGATTATTTCAGTTAGATAAATAAACTGAGTGAGATGTAGAGGCACACTGGGCTGTTCTATATTTTAAAACATTTTCAACATCTACAAAGGCAAGATATCTATCAAGGAAGACATCATTGTGCTCTAAGAGAGCAGAGAAAATTAAGTCACAGAGGCAAGGAAAAGTAGCTGAAGTACTAACCAAATGAATACTTTCTGCAGCATCTGTTAACATAAACATTAGAGGTATGTTGTTAGCCATCTGGGGCTACCATTCTTGAATTATACATTTGGATCAGTGGTTTGAGGTTCAGCTGTTGGGGAAATGGAAATCTTTATGTATTCTTGTTGATTACTTGCCCTTCAGTTCTTCAAGTGCATTTCCAAGGACTATGTTTTGTTACACAACAGATTACTGTTACTGAGGCATTAGTAATAATCTTGTCCACCTCCTACACTCCACTCCCCATAACCTTGATGTTTCGTTTTGTTTTTGTTTTTGAGACAGGGTCTTGCTTTGTCACCTAGGCTGGAGTGTAGTGGTACAGTCATAGCTAACTGCAGCCTTGATCTCCTCAGCTTAAGCAATCCTTCTACCTCAGCCTCTCAAGTAGCTGGGATTACAGGCACGTGCCACCACACTCAGCTGATTTTTTTTTTATTTTTAGTGGAGATGAAGTCTTGCTATATTCCCAGGCTGGTCTCAAACTCCTGAGCTGAAGCAGTCCTCTTGCCTGGGCCTCCCTAAGTGCTGGGATTACAGACTTGAGCCACTGCGCCCAGCCCACTCTGAATTGTTTTATAGCCATTCCCAAATGTTAATGAAAGTCCAAATTGGGGGAAAAAGAGTTCCTGCAGAAAATGATAGTGTATATTTACATATACATGTCTTTTCTGTGTCTCTTCACTTTGGTAATTAATATAATTGTGGATCTTTGACATTGATTTTAGATTACTTAATAAAGAATGTATTTAAGTGTAGTGCAGAATAGATTATCTTTAATGTTTGCAAAAAGTGGTACACTGTTTAGTAATATTTAGGTAAAATGGTAAGATTGCCAGTGTAATGGGCAGGTTATATGTCTGGAAATAGGCTCAGCAGGAAGTTAAAGGAATCATGGCCTATACTGCTGACAGAAGATACACAACATGCACTATGAAACCCACTATTCAGTCTGGGCCCTCTTTTAAACATTTACTAGAAGCCTGTAGATATGGTTGGTAACTCCAGTGTACATAGTAGAATTTATGTGCGTATTTAGGAATTTCTATGAGAAACTTCCACATAAAAAGATTTTGTGCAAGATTCATGCTTACAATAAACAGTAAAGGAACAGTTTTGGTTCTGGAAAACCTAGATAAGCGTTTATTATCTTACATTAAATAAGAAATTGACAAACGTATGTTTAGGTAAATATGGTATAGATGTTTAGGAGACAAAAATGATGAATGAAAATACAATAATAATAAGGAATTTTAGAACTTCAGTTATTGCCTCACAAATTTATTAAGTGAATGAAAAATCTAGGAATTTAAATGGTTTTTAGAGTCTTTGCATAAAATGATTTTTGGCTGAAAAAAATGTCATCTCTGTCTCTCTGAACAGTGGTAGTCACATGAAATGACACAGTGAAAAGATCCAGAATTGTCTCAGCCAACTCCCAGCCTCAGTTGTACCACCAAAGACTTACCTCACGTGGGCTGTAAGGAGTAAAAATGTAGTAATATGTTTTCTAAAGTAATAAAATGGCCAAATGTATGGGGCTAACTATACTAAGGAATAGATAAAACCATAGGATAACAATGGCACTGTGTTACTCAGTGGTAAAATAATTAAACCTATTTATAGTAAAAGCAAGAACATGTTCTAGAGTCAAACGTAAATTTTGTATACGTTTTTAAGATAACTATATGACATTAAAAGAAGTTGATGGTTAGGGCATAAAGGTTACCTGTTGTTCACCCTCCTTGAATGTTCCAGGTACCTTTGGCTGAACAGTTTGAGAGGCCTTGAGGAGCCTCAGAGATAATATCCAAGGGAGAAAAGTCAGTGATCCATGTACATTTATCACTGCATATCTCTTAATATCTTTTTTCCCCTTGCTCAAGCGATTGTTTTACATTTCTAAATGATGTAGAGCATCAGTAGGGTGCTTAGGTTAGCCTTTGAATAACAAGCTTCTTTTCACACCATAGGTTTCATGATCAAAAATCAGCACTGGGATGTCTGCTTGCACTATTCCCAGGTTTGCTTCCTTGGTTCTTCATATCATCCAGACCCCTGAACTGGAAATATCTTGTTAACTCTGCACTGTTTAATATTCTTTGGAAATTAAACTACTTGGGCATGTTTAGAGCTCAAATGGAATCTATGCATTTTGCTTGACAAGGTCGTTGGTTGCTTTTTAGAGCTTACATATTGAAAATCATGTTTGCAGTCAGCTGATAGAGAAATTTCCGTGTATCAAAGCATTGTTGTGATGAAACCACCTCTGTTGTGAAGATCACCTGAAATAATGTGTGTGAGAGCCCTGTGGAAACCAAAAAGTGCTGTGGGCATTTGAACACTAGACTGTTATGATTAGTGATGAACAGCATCTCAGCCTGCCAAGGGAGAACATGAAACTAGAGAACAAATTTGGTTCCAGGAGCAAGGGGAAATGTAATGTGGAATCTCACAGTTTGGGGTTTGTAATTGGGATCTGTTGCTATTATAAGAAAATGTAGTTCAAAAGACACAGGATTTTCTGTTGTTAAAATCAATGAAGTTAAAAGAGCAGCTGCTTGTAAAAGTTAATTTTATTTGACATCTGCCTTGGTCCCAGTAATAAAAGTGATAGTTCTGTTGAACAACCTGTTCTCTTTAAAGCTATATCTTTTTGTTGCTGTGAGGTCTGTTTAAATAAATTGTTGCCTTTTGATTTTTAAAAAAAATTTTCCTGATCTATAAATTGTTTATCTCTTAGAATACATATATAAGCATAACCTATTCATCTTTAATTTACTAGACAAGTGTTGGCATTCTAGATTTTGAGTTGGCACTCTTGGGAGTTATAAAATGCAGTAGGAGCCATCTCAAATCTTGTATGAAATGAGGAGAATGCAAAGACATTTTGAAAAATATTCCCTATTTATTTTCCATTAAAATAAACGTAAATTTGGTTCTTTGTCATTTTACATAATAAATAATATTTATCTCTTTGTCATTTGTAAGTAATAAATGCCACTGCCCTAATACCACTGTAAGAGAATACTATTCTGGTTCTTTGAATAGGCAATATTAAATGAAAAGAAGGGACCTAAATTGTACTGATTACCTGTCTTGGATTTCTTGATATTGTCATTCCTCTTGAGTTTTTGTAAGGAAGCTGAAGTGAGTGGTAGAGGGTAAAAACACCAGAGAACAAAATTGAGCAATATTTTCCAAGTGAGCATTTTTTTCCTGTCATTTTTATGTGTTTTAATTTCGCCAGTGTTGGGTGAACAGTTCAGAGAAGGGATTCATTATTTTAAAATGAAGCCACCCTCTTGTTCTTCATTTTCAACAGATTGGGCCACCTTTGCTTTTAAAATGTCTGTTGACTCTTTAAGAACCATTTACCATATTTGCTTACGTATTTACCTCCTTGTGTATTCTTGTTCCCTCCCTTCATGCTCATCATTTGAAAAAGAAAATCATGAAAAATATGTTCTTCCTACAGGCCCTTTTCAATCCTTTCAAACAATTCTACTTCAAAATAGCAATTGGCTAACAGCAGAATATCCTTTAGGGGGTTTTAAGAGCAACAGTCAGCTTCATAGCTGGAGGCAGAGGAACATTTTTTCACAAAGTGAAATTCATTTATTCTAGGTGTACAACAAGAGTTATAGGAGCTACTGGTTATGCTTTCTAACTAATCTATAATTGCTTAAAATCAATGTTACACAACTTCAAGTCTATCGGCAAAATTTCTTGTTCCAGCTAAGAATGGCACATGCCCGACAGATATCTCTAATCTCCCATTCCTTATCCAGAGCAGACATTTCAATATGTACTGTTTCCTGGATGTGGCTTGTAACTGATGGCATTTAGGACATACTTCTTGGCATTTGAGGGAACAACAGAAACAAGGTCATTCTCACCTTCTCCTGGCTCCTTCTCTTCTGAAGCAGGCCATAAACCCTAGCCGACCTCCTCCTGAGGTAGGTTATAAAACCTTCATTAGAGATGTGCCCTTCCTAAACCTGTCTTATATCTGAAGACACAGGGACAAAGAGAAGATTCTGAACAAACAGGACTTGCTAAGTTCCCCCCAGTTAATTACCATTAGACTATACCCTTTGGTCCTTCAGTCATACTTCTGCACAACTGTCCATAAAAAACACACGTTTCCCTTTTTCTTTCGGTCTTCATTTCTGAAGGCTCCCATATCACATAAAACTTAAATTTGTATGTTTTACTCTTGTTAATCTGTCTTTTGTTATAGGACTCTCAGTCATGAACCTAGTGATGGGAAAGAAAGATAATACTTTTTCTTCTCTACAGAATGAACCCTCAACAGTGCTCTAATGAGCTACTAGTTAATGACAGTTGGACATCCCTGTTTTATGCATATAATATGGGAAGGTTTAGCCAGTTCATGGCTTTATCTGCTACTTATTTGCTGATAACACTTAAATCTAAATGTAAATCTCTCCTGGTCTCTACATCCATATATATTTAGTTACCTCTTAGTTAGTTGAAAGCACCTCAAATTCAGCATGCCTAAAATGAAACTTACAATTTTCCTTCATTTCCCACCTTCCTCTTCTGTAGCCACTGTCTTGCAGCTGATAGAGCTGTCTACCTATCTGCATGTCCTCTCCATCTTCCCCTTCTCTGATAGTCAGTTCTGTGGAGCATACCTTTACATATTTCTTATGTACATGTCTTCCTTTCTGTCCCTACTGCCTCTGCCATAATTTGGCTCTTCATCTTGGATCCCTAGATCACTGCATGTGCCACCCTTTTGACCTCTTTGCCTCTAGTTTAGTTTGCCCTCCTCCAAGCCGTTCCTCACCCTGCTAGAAAATAAGTCAGTTTTCACTCTCTGCCTCTCTTGAACTATTGCAAACACAAATGTATGCAAAATAGTAGAACATTCGTGTATTTACCTCTAGGAATTAACCAGTGTCAACATATTGTCAACCTAAAATAATCAAAAGGGTCAGAGTCTAGTTGAAAGAAGGTTTACTCAAGCAAAAAGTTTGGACTAGCCATACGGGAAACACAGACTGCAAAGAATGGAAGGCAGTGTTCCAAAGTGTAAAAGCATAGGATTGCTTATATAGACAAAACGTAGGGAAGTTTAACACAATTTCAACATCTTTCTATGTTAGGCTTAATGCATACTTACAATGATTTGATTAGTTAAGGCGGTCTTTTTCTTTCTGGAAAGATATTTAACATTCCACATTGAAGATGTAACTGTCATGGAGTCTTGGGTGCCATCTGGTCTGAGTTAGGTAAGGACAATAAAGAATGCCAGTTAATCTGTAACAAAGGTCAGTGATTGGAAGCAGGGAGGTTTGGTCTCTCCTAGTTATTTACAGAACCAATACAATGAAAAGAGAGATAAGCTAAAGTCTAAGAAACAGAATTGCAAACATGTTAAGTGATTCAGTCTCCAGAGCTTTACTTCTTCCTTGGCATAAATTTAGAGGGTTGTATGTGCTTCAGAACTTTCTTGGATTGAATCCAAGGAAAGGATGAGAATATCTCTGATAAAACCAAAGCTTTCACTGTCCCTAGTCTCCTTTCCTCTTGCTTTTCCTAGGTGCAACCAAAATTGCTTCCTACCCCACTTGTTAAAAAGTGTTATTGAATAGAGAATGTAATTCTAACAATTACCTTTTCCATCCTGATCAAGTTTATTTTTAGCTATATTAAGCAAATCTAATTTAAGAGGGAAGTCTAAAAAGAAAAAATATTTTCTGTTTGCTTTACTCTTGAAAAGATATGACATCCAGATTTTTCTATATTTGAGTGGATTTACCTTATAATTACTATTGGATTTCAGTTTTTTTTTCTTTTTTTGGAGACAGAGTTTTGCTCTTGTCAGCCAGGCTGGACTGCAGTGGTGTGATCTCTGCTCACTACAACCTCTGCCTCCTGGGTTCAAGCGATTATCCTGCCTCAGCCTCCTGAGTAGCTGGGATTACAGGCGCCCGCCACCAAGCCGAGCTAGTTTTTGTATTTTTAGTAGAGACGGGATTTCACCATGTTGTCCAGGCTGGTTTCAAACTCCTGACCTCAGGTGATCCACTCGCCTCAGCCTCCCAAAGTTCTGGGAATACAGGCATGAGCCACTGTGCCTGGCTGGATTTCAGTGTTTTTAAAACTTTATGTCCTTTTTATGTGGGGTGTTTTGAGACAGATATTTTGGACTCTCTTTCAAAATAACTAACCTACCAGGAGCTACAAGTTATTTATTTAGCAATAATATCTTGAAAGGTGTTTAAACACACACTTTTATTTTAGCATTGTGATTTAAATAACAAGGCTATTTCTTTACATTGGTCTGAGTCTTATTTGAATACAGTCATATTTACACTGTCTGTTCCTTAGTTACTTTATATAAATTTTTGAAGCAGTCTCAGTCTTGGCTGGTTAGGTTTTTTTGTTCTTTTAAATGGCTGTTCACTGTAAACGACTTTGAACTTTGTGTGTTTGAAATTTTTAATAATGTTGGGAAAATATATATTCAGCCAATATTTCTGCTTTATTTCTAACAATCAATTGGTGACCCAACCCCCTCCACCAAAAACCAGAGAGACATAGATTAGAAGGAAGGAACTATGTCATGGTCACTCTTTTGGTAGTGACTGTTATAGTATATTTTAAGAAATAAAAGTAAAATTTTAAGCCCCCCAGCCAAGGGAACCCTAGAGAAACCTTGGAAGTTGAGTTCCCAGCCATGATGGAATGGGAGGTCAGACATGCCTCATTATGCCCCATCTCTTGCTAACTGCCATTAGGCTAAACAGAAATGAGCCCTCAGGAAAGACTCATTCCATCCCTGATATCAACCAACCACCTGATGCTCACCCTTCCCTTTGCAGTTTCCACACAACAGTTTACCAACATTCCCTCCTGACAAGAGACTACTAACTACAGAGTGGTTCAGGCCAGTCTATGGAGGATGCGCAGTGAGGGTTTTCATGTTCTCTGCTTCACTATCCGATGCCGGAAAGCTCCACCTTTGGATCATGCTAATGCCGCGATTTTTTTACACGTGACTCATGAAGGGACGTGAACCTTAATTGCATGTGTGCATGCTTCTCCTCTCATAAATATTCATGACTCCTCCTATAGCTTATTAAATATGTGTATTTGGCTACCCTGTTCAGCATAAATTCCTATTTCCTTTGCTCCTCCCTCGAAGTGTCTGTTTCTGGCTTCCGGGCAGAGGCTACACTTCCTAGTCTATCAGAATGGCCATCCGGCAGGCTGCAACCCTTTATGAGAAATAAAGCTTCTCCTTCCAGATTTATGAACCTCATCCTTTTTCAGTTGACAATCCATAATTTGAGTTTTGGACTGCTAGTTTTGGGCTACTTGTTTCTTTTGAACCAGGAGGTCACAGTTTCAACTACATTGCAGGGTAGTGCACTTGCCCTCATTTTAACAGAAGGTCTTGGATATTCCATTTAGCTGGAAATGAAAAGAGAAACGCGTATGACTCCTCTCCTTGATAGGACATATTTACTAATGAAAACAATTAGAAATACAAGACCAAAAGGATCAGTGTCTAGGGCAGACTTTTCTAAACCTATGCCTCTGTTGGAAATATTTCAGATGGGTAAACCTTACATTCACTCTACAAAACTTAGTGAGTACATATTGCATGCCATACCATGTGCTGTTCTAAGCAGTCGGGGGAAAGTGATGACAAGATGGAAGAGGTTCCTGCCCTGACAGAGCCTATATTCTTGTGATGAGAGAAAGACACAGTAAGAAAATTAATCAGATAATTTCAGATAGTGATAAATGTTGTGAGGTACCTGAGTAATGGTTAGAATACCCTGCTGCTTTACGAAGAGTTAGGGAATACCTACTGCTTTACCAAACCTTTGTTGGGAAAGTATAGATTTAGTCAATATTTCTGCTTTATTTCTAACAATCATTTAGTGACCCAGCCCCCTCCACCAAAAATCAGAGAGACATAGATTAGAAGGAAGGAACTATGGCTGGGTGCAGTGGCTCACGTGTACGATCCCAGCACTTTGGGAGGCCAAGGCGGGTGGATCACTTGAGGTCAGAAGTTCGAGACCAGCCTGGACAACATGGTGAAACCCCATCTCTATTAAAAATACAGAAATTAGCTGGGCATGGTGGCACACACCTGTAATCCTAGCTACTCAGGAGGCTGAGGCAGGAGAATTGCTTGAATGCGGGAGGCGGAGGTTGGAGGTTGCAGTGGGCCAAGATCACACCACTGCACTCCAGCCTGGGTGACAAAGCAAGGCTCTGTCTTAAAAAAAAAAAGAAGGAACTATGTTGTGGTCAATCTTTTGGTGGTGCGTGTTATAGTATATCTTGAGAAATAAAATTCTAAACCCTTGGTAAAGCATCAGTTACCCTTTACCAAAGGTTAGGGAAGGCCTCTGTGAGGAGGTGATATTTGAGCCAAATCCCAAATGATGTGAAGAAATTTTCCATGAAAAAATTTGGGAATCTTGAAGACTAAAAATCTGTGAGGTAAAGTGAATCTTGAAAAGTGCTGTCCTGTTTTGAGGGGTGAGGGACTCAAAGGAGACAGAAGTGCTCTGAGATTAGGTGAAGGCTTCTGGCCATGCCAGCAACTAGTTGCTTGTGGCCTGAGGAACCTGCTTTCCTCATGCATAAAATGACAAAGTTGGATCAGGCACCTCCAGACTCCCTTTTGTCTCTTGTACTTTGAACGTATTTGACATTTATTGGCATTTTTCTTTATTTTTATAATTTACAAGGGTACAAGTGTAGTTTTGTTACATGGATATATTGTGTAGTGGTGAAGTCTAGAGTAACCACCTGATTTATTGGCATTTAATGGAGGATTATTAGTTGGTAAAATGCATTATTTTTGTAACCAGATAGATGTCAAAGGGCAAAATTTACCCAGTAATACTAATTTTTAAAATGAGATTTATATAAGAGTTAGTTATCTGTTAACACTTGTCTAAAAACAGTGGAAACTGTATTGGTTAATTCAGTGTGCTAATATAGTTTTAATAATGAAAGGACATCTTAACTCACCCCTAACCTTTCAACGATAATGAGAAATAGGCTATAAGTTATGCCAAATTCTATGATGGTTCCCATGAAATAGCCCAAACTTAAACAACTCGTTTAGGCTTTGCAGATGCAAACTGTGATAGATCTTCCTTCTCTTTCATTCTTGGTGATTTATGTGTCCGGTACATTGTTGTGTTTTCTATAAAAAGAAAAAAAATTAAAACATAGTTGGAAGCCAAAGTCGATTTAACCTGGATAGATATAGCTTTCTAGTTGTAGAGGAAATGCTAAAAATCTCATTGTGACAGTGTATTGCTTTCTTGGAAGGCTTGATAATTGTTACTTAGTTTAGTTTTGATTTATACTTAGTTTTGCTCAAAGCAGGAATTTGAAAAGCTTTATGAAACATAGACATATACTTTCATTTTTATCAATTAATGAAATTACATACTTGCTAAACTAAACATCTGTTGTGTTGCAAGTGCTAGGGATGCAGTTACCACTCACAGTCCAGTGGATGTAAGTAGTAACTACGTTAGCTCAGAGAAAAATTTCAGAAGAAATGGAGCCAACAGTTCCTAAAATGAAGTTTGAATTCTGTCAGCAAAAGGTTAGCAGATGGGTTTGCCACTTTAAAGAGCTTTGGAATAGCTTTATTACTTCATATCCTTAACATGAAGAGATGCATGCTCTTTTTGTAAGCGCTAATTGTTTTAAAAGTTGAAAAGAAAACCTTTGGAAAACTCAAAAATCTTCCTTGAAATAATTTTACTCAGAGCATTGGCCTCTCCCTGGTTTAGGAATCATTCTTGCCAGAGATTCAATCTCGAAAGTAAGTTGGAGGTGGGAAGGGGAGGTTGGGAAAACTCAAATCATCAAGCACATGTGTTCCAGAAAACTGGAGCTATGGAAAATTTCTACCTGATGTGCTGTCATTGTGTTTTGTGGAATTGGCAGAAGCTGTATAGCCAATCATTCTGTGCCTATTGTTTCAGTAATGCCACCTAAAAGGAAAATTTTAAGAAAATGTCTGATGAAAGACTGATGTAATAACTTTACCCTGGGAGCCAGAGGGAATTACTAGATGATTTTAATTAGGGGTGTGGTTAACTTTCATTTTGAAAATTTCACTCTGACCTTGGTATAAATTAGGGAAGGGGCAAGAATGGCAGCAGAAACAACAGTGGAGATGTATTAATAGTTTAGGGAAAAGGAAATGAAGACTGAAATTAAGATGAAGGGGTAGATTTGAAAATCTTTCCTATATGGACTTAACAGATGTCTAGAATATTTTGCTGTTACTGAGTTGTTTTTTGTTTGCCTCTATTAGAAAGCATACTATATAGATTGACAGAAGTGACTGAAAAAGCCCACTCTGTCTGCTCTGTTTTCAGAGAACTGACTTTTGAAATGTCTAGATAAATCATTTAAATCGTTTTAGAACACAGCTTTGGTTCTGAGACATGAAATCTCTTGAACAATGAAAATGGCATTTTGTAACAGGATTTGACATTAACAGATAAAGGATGTATTAAAGTATTAAAGTGTTTTGTTTATAGAATTTGATAACCTTGATAACATCTTATATGTTACATATAGGTTACTTAGTATTTTTTTAATACTTAGTACTTAGTATTTTAATACTTAGTATTTTTCAGGGATACTGAAAGTCTTGATTGTGCTAAAATTGTAGCAGATTAATTGTCTCACTTTATTGTATTTTAAATTAGTAACTGTCGACGTGTTGACTCTTGTACAAAATTGGGAAAGCTTCTCCATTATTATCAGAATATGGCACTTTGGTCAACTTTTTTTCAAAAATATAAAAGATATTTTTAGATGATAGTTTTATTTGCATAATATAAAAATTAGATTTGATGAATTAAATGTCTGTTTTCCATTTTTAGGAAATTGTAATTAATGTTTGAAAAAAATTAAAAAGAGAGGATACACTATATAAACCCAAAGGATATCTTTCAGTTTGTTGCTTGTCTTAAGGTTCTTTTTTGTGAATTGTTAAATGATTGATTAGTAAAATATGAGAACCATTTTGATCATAATTGAATCTTGAAGACATTTATCTTTTATTTTTGTTTTGATGTTTTATTAAGTTTACCTCAAGCTATCTGATTACTTTGAATGAATGTCTTTAATTTCCTTGTGTCAAATTCTTATAAAAAGGTATTCTCTTAAGAACAGAGAAGAAAATAGAGATACATAGATATATAATTAATATTATTGTAATAAAATAGATCATAAATTCATATTTTGATGATATGCTGTCAAGTTGGTACACAGTATTGGCTCTGACTTCTTATTTCCTAGCTCAATTTGAGGTCATATTTCAATATTAAATACTTTGAGTTGCTTCTGTATACTTAAAAGATATCCTTGGTTCCTTATAGTCATGTGGCTGACAGAATAAAGTACATACACTTCTGTATGTAACCAGTTTCACAGTGGCTTAGCTATAAATCAGAATTTATCTTCCCAATTTATTCATCATCTTAGGACTCAGTACTACAAGATTGGTTATTATACAATTTTACATTTAGAAGTTTTTCCATTTTTATTTACAAAGATAATAGTCTCATAAGTGAATGCTTTTTCATGAACTCAGGACACTCCCTTTTACTCTCTGTTTTGCTCACCTTTTTCTTTACTTTTAAACTTAGTGACATACCCTATGTCCTTAGAACCATGTAGCCAGCTTTGATCACGTAATGTGTGAGGTTTTTATATAATTTCTTGATTTGAAAAAAGAGAAATAGAACCTTATATTTTTAAGTATTGCCTCCCTATCTGCCCTTCAGCTCGTTTTACATTTAGTATTCAAATATGTTCGGTGTTCGGCCTTTGCTGTTTTTACTAATTTTCTTCCCTGCTTTTAGTTAACAGCCAGGTCCTTGCCTGCTGTGCAGTCTGATGAAAGACTTCAGCCTCTGCTCAATCACCTCAGGTAATATAAGGGCACAGCCTTGTTATGCTTATAAATCCAAGTGCAGTAAAGTGAATAAAGTATATTAAAGTGGTGAAACCCCTTCAATTACTAAAAACTTATTTTTTTTTTCTTGCTTTCATTCCATTATTCAAATTGAAGTTCTTAATACCATGTACTTGTTACCCTTACTTTATTTAGGGCACTGTAGAAAGCTCTTTTAATTCAACAACAGTGTGCTGAACTGCTTGATAAGTTTAAGTTAAATGAGTAGAGATAATTAACTTTACAGAAAGATCTCAAATGAATGAGCTATTTACGTAAATACAAGGTTAAGGCATACTTTTATTGAGGATAGATGAGTTAGATGGAGTTTGTTTCTAAATACAAAAATAATATAGTCTCATTATTTAAAAAATAAAGTTAGAAAATACAGGAAAGGAAAAGGAAAAACCTATCATTACTACTCAGAAATAATGTTTATCCTTTCTATGTTTTTTAATTTTAATTTTTTATTTTTTGAGATGGAATCTTGCTCTGTCGCCCAGGCTAGAGTGCAGTGGTGCGATCTCCGCTCACTGCAACCTCTGCCTCCCAGATTCAAACAATTCTTGTGCCTCAGCTTCCCAAGTAGCTAGGATTACAGGTGTGGGGCACCTCGCCTGTTTCATTTTTGTTTTTTTAGTAGAGACAGGGTTTCGCCATATTGGCCAGACTGGTCTCGAACTCCTGACCTCAGGTGATCCACCTGCCTCAGCCTCCCAAAGTGCTGGGATTACAGGCATAAGCCACCGCACCCTGCCCTTTCTGTGTTTTTGTTGTTGTTGTCGTTGTTGTTTTTTACTTAGTGTTGAAATTATAGTTTATGTGACTATTTTTTCCATTTTTATAAATATTGTAATATTTTTTCCCTTAGTATTAAAATCTGTCTAAAAACATTATTGTTAGTGACTACATTATATTTTCTTGTATATCTGTACTATAGCATATTTATCTCCCTTTGGGAAGCTTTAGACCATTTCCAGTTTTTTATTCCTTCTATAAAATAATGCTATATGTTAACCTTTATTTGTATTTTAGATCATTTTCTTAGGGTAGGTTTTCAGAATTGGAATTACTTTGTCAAAGGGTGTGAACCATTTTAAAGATTTAAGTGTATATGTATATTTCTTTTTCAAAATCTTATTCTACCTATACACTTATATTTGTATAAGACTGCCATGTAACTATACTCTGAACAAGATAGGGCAGTCAAAACAGTTGCTAATAGGTTAGACATAGAGATACTATTGTGATCCTGTGCATTTTGTTGGTAATAATAATTCATTTTCCTTATTTTTGAGGTGGGATTAACTACCTGTATTCTTTGCTCACTTATTGATAGCATCTCCTGATCTTATTTGCTTTTACATACTTTAAAGGATAGTGACTCTTTGTTGTATTTGTTACATACTTTTTTTCTAAAATTCTAAAATTGTATTAGTCAACATACCTACATTTTCAGGTTTTATGTAGTCAAGCACCAATAGTGTTTTCCTTTATGGTTTTGAAAAATTCTTTTTAAACTTCTCTTTCAGAAGTGTGGATAGATTTTTACTTTCACCAGAAAGTTTTAGTTTTAGTTTTCTTTTTCTTTCTTAGTATTTCTTTATTTTTCCTTTCTTTCTTCCTCCCCTCTCCACTTTCCTTGCCTTTTCTTCCTGCTCTCCAGTAACTGTTCCTTCCCAGACAGCTTTTTAACCTTTGTATAATTGTTTTGTTGGGTTACGAAGAAGTCGTAACCTTTGTGTAATTGTTTTGTTGGGTTGATCAAGTCTAATATTTCAGCAGGGACTGAATAGCATACATTTTTATGTATAACAACATTTATACATGATTGTTAAATTTACTAGAGCTCTGTGTTTGCGAGTTAAGAATCTCAGAAATTATTTTTGAGTCTCTTGCTTAATGCCCACCTGCCGCATTCAACTCTGTTGGCAATTTTATCTCTTGAGTATATCTCTTGCTATCATAGCATCTTGTCTGTTTGCTTTGCCCTTTCTAATATATTTCACATCATTGCCATATGTGTTTATATTATTCACTGGCTTAAGACCCATCTCTGCCTCTCCAATTTCATTCTGGAGGAAGTCCGAACTTCTTAGCCTGGCATAAGAGGTCCTTCTGGAAGAGGCCTGGGCTGTCTGTCTCTTTGGACTCCTGTTTTAACACTGAGATCCTAATTTCACCAAATGCTGTGAAGTTCCTTCAACACAACATGCTTTTTGCTCACTCACCCCTACGGCCTTACAAATATTTTTCCTTCTGCCACTTCTATTTATGTAAATTTGTAGATATATAATATATATAATTTTAGAACATTTTAAATGTATTTAACATAATTTTAATATATTTTAAATGTATTTAATATAATTTTAAAACATTTTAAATATATAATGTAAATATATATTTTAGAAATATATAAAGTATATTGTAGATGTATATACATACGCAAATCTATTTATATTCTCCTCATGCTCCACTTTTATAACAACTTTTGCTTGTCTTTTAAAACTCATCTCAAACATTACCTCTTCTGATAAGTTTTCCCTGACCATTAATTAGTTCACCTCCGTAGTCTGAATTGGAAGTCTTTTATAGATATTTTCATAATATCCCATGCCTTCTTCTGTATTACAGAATTTGTGATATTGTTATTGTTTGTTTACTGTTTGATTTCTCCATTATAGTATGCTTGAAAGCTTGTAAAGTGATGTTCATATTTGTATTTTCAATAGCGGAGACAGTATCTGGTGTATGATAGGTATTATATGTTTTGTTGAATGAATGAATACAAGTTATATTAGTGAAATTTTGTTGTTTTTTTCTGCATAAAGTTTTTATAATTTATAAATCATACTGTCAAAATTTTTTTCCTAGAAAACCACTGGTTCAAAAGGTAAAAACCTAAAGGGTAGAATCTAGCTTTTAGTTAATCTCACAGTTGATTCTGAGAGATAATGATGGATTCTCCTTCCTCCATCTGAGTATGGTAATTGCCAGCTAGAATTTAGATTAACTACTGACACATCTCTTTGAGTCCTTGAAAGTTGCACAAACTGTACATTCATTTAAGGGCTTTTATTCTCTGTGGATTTCACTCATGACGGGTTGCTAGGCAACCAGGACTAGATGCTACATGTAATGTGCACCCACTGCTGTTGCTTTATTATTATTATTATTAAACAAAACGGTTTCTCATTTTATTACCATGTCAGAGACATGTATATGTCGGGTGGCAGCTGATGTGCATAGTTTGACACTTCCTGTTCTACAAGGTAACCTTGTTATAACGCCTTTCAAGAATACTGAATTGTTGCTTTTGCTTGTCTAAATGTAATGTTTTTATTTTATCTTCCTTTTGCTTAGTTCTAAATAGGAAATAATATTATTTGGCTTGAGAGATTTTAATAATAATTTTGTTAGAAAAAAATTGATTTGCATGAACTGTGTAATTTAAATGTTACCTAGAGGCGGATGGACATTAGGAGGTTGATACCGAGATCATTATTAGGTCTAATTTTGTTTATTGCCTCTAATGAGGAAAGAGGAATGATGAGTAGCATTTTAATTAAATTTGCCAATAAAACTAATTTGGGAGATAATACAAATACCTGTAAAAATTGAAGTAGCAATACAGAGAAATTCTCAAATCATTTTACAGGATTTAGAGACTCAAAGAGAATTAAGGTAACACTGCCAATCAAATAATCTAGAATATCGCTTAACAATATATATTATTTTGAGACTGCAGAAGTGATGTGTCCAAACTGTTTTAGTTGAATCCAATTCTCAAGTACAGAAAAACATCGTGCTTCAATATCTTATGGCAGTACAACTGTGTTTTTAATTCATTAGTATTGTCCATTCACTCATTAATTACTTAGTGCCCGTTATGTGCTTAGAATTAAAAGAAAACACACAATCTCTGTTTTCAGGGAGTTGGGTTTGATTTCATTTGAGAGATAGGCACTTGAACAAGTTATAAAATTTGTATCATTTTCTATCAGAATTAAATACAATGTACATAATTTTGTTAATTGAACTGTCTCCCTCGTGGAATTATCTCCTTAAGTAATTGGGCCATAACTTAATTGTTTTGGTTTCCGTGCATTCTAGCACAGTGGCTCACAGTGGGAGCTCAGATTGGACTGAAATTTATTCTTTTTTTGTTGTTTTATTCTTAGTCAGCTTTCTCAGGCTGAATGGACTGAACTGTAATCTCACTTGAGGGATAATATTGTCATTAACTAAGAAGGAGAATAAAGAAAGGAAGACAAGGCAATTAGGGAATGAATATGATTGCTTAGATGGTAATTTCAGTAGTTTCAGACATTTTAAGCTTGAGATACCTGTGGGGACCTATGTGGGGGATGTTTAGTGAGCAGTTGAATACAGACCCACAGTTGAAGAGTGAGGTTTACATCAGGGAGACATTTGCTAATCATCACTGTGCAGGTCTTGGTTAAAATAAAGGGAACGGTTGAGATCACTCAGGAAGAGAGTATAGAGAGACAAGAAAAGGGTGAAGGGTACTGAATCGAACCCACAGAATATCAGTGTTTAAATGACTTGTGATGGGCAGTGCGGGAGTTGGGATATGAGAAACCGGTAAAAATACCAGGGAGGAGCCTTGAACAAAAAAGGATAGTGGTATGATGGGTGCTAATGGTATGGATACAAGTCCAAGTCTTATGAGGATTTGAGGAATAAATAAGAAATGAGGCTGTGGAAATATAGGGAGTAGGCTACTCTTGGTAGAGCTTAATTCTGAGGACATGTAAGGAAAAAGGACTGCATCTGTGAGCTTCATGGTTGAAGAAAGTGTTTTATTTTTTCCTTAAGATTGGTAAGATGAGCATATTTACAGGTTAAGGCAGAAATGAGTAGTATGGGAGTAAGAGGGAATAATTGAAGGGGCAATGTTTTAGGAGGGGTAGAAGGGGATAGGCCAGGAAATCAAACTGACTGGAGTTTAAAAAGTACTTTCCAATCTAGCTTTTTGGTGCATACTCAGAACAATCCAGTGTGGATGGTAGATGGTTATTTATCATAATCCCTATTTTACAGGTTGGTGATGGAGCCTCATGATGTTCTCATTAAGAAAACCTAATTTTTCTTTTTCTTTTCTTTTTTTTTGAGACAAAGTCTCACTCTGTCTGTCGCCCAGGCTGGAGTGCAATGGCATGATCTCAGCTTACTGCAACCTCCTCCTACTGGGTTCAAGCGATTCTTCTGCCTCAGCTTCCTAAGTAGCTGGGACTACAGGCATGTGCCACCACACCCAATAAATTTTTTATTTTTAGTAGGGATGGGGTTTCATCATGTTGGCCAGACTGGTCTCTAACTCCAGACCTCAGGTGTTCTGCCTGCCTCGGCCTCCCAAAGTGTTGGGATTACAGGTGTGAGCCACCGTGCTCACCATGCACCAGCCAAGAAAACCTGATTTTTCTAATGAAAAATACTGCCTTTCCCTCTCCTCAAAAGAGATGAATTAATTATTTCATAAGACTATACCATTTTTCAAAATTGATACCAGGAACTTTTCTATTGGAAGAAATAAACTTACTTAGACTTACAATAATATAAAGTTTAGAGAGAATTTGTATAAATCATTATTTCTGCTTTCACCAAATTGCATATGATTAGATATGTAATCTAAGGAGCCTGCATCTCATTGTGGCTTTACTGTCATTATCATGGTTATATATCACTGCATTTTCTAGGGTGAATTATATCGTTCACTGATTTGGTAGTTTGGAGATACATAAAGGTCTTGGAATATGTTCCCATGAATGTAGAAGTTTATTGTAAATAAGTATCTTTGCTATCCTAATGATGGTACCATGGGATAATATTTATAAAAATGGCATTAGGCTAGCAAGTGTGCATGATAAAGGTGTTTATTTTTATTTATTATCTCACTTATAAATATGAAGTATAAATAGGTACAACTAGAGAGGAAAACTTGCAGCCCATATTATACATGTGATAACTTTTAGTTGTATGATTGAGAATTTTTCCCCCTTAAAAATAACGCCTACAGTGTATGTATCTTCCTCCTTTATCCCTTGACTTCAAGATATGAAGTGCATTGGGGGACAGCATATTATAAGTCACTGTAATAGTTGCTATTATTGGCTGGACGCGGTGGCTTACGCCTGTAAACCCAGCACTTTGGGAGGCTGAGGCAGGCAGATCACTTGAGGCCAGGAGTTCAAGACCAGCCTGTCTCTACTAAAAATACAAAAATTAGCCCACTGTGGTGGCGCGCACCTGTAATCCCAGCTGCTCAGGAGGCTGAGGCAGGAGAATCACTTGAACCTAGGAGGCAGAGGTTGTAGTGAGCCAGGATCATGCCACTGCACTCCAGGCTGGGCAACAATTGCTATTATTTAATGTTTTGTCATTAAAGAATAACTCATTTTTAAAATGCGTATTTGTCACACCACAATTTTGCGAGCATATTTCAGCCCAAGAATGAATTAGAAATCAAACAAAGATAAAGCAAGCTAAAACAAGTATTACTTATAGTAAGTACTTGGACTGCATCATATGGATTAACTTTTAGTGCATACTGATTTTGCAAGCAGATGTTTATACAAACCGTTATTTTAAAATCGTTTAAAGTAATAAAGGCATCTTCCTTCAGTTGGTATTATTACTAGTTTTGTAAAATTCCTTTTCCGAAGGCAGTACATTTTGTTAATATGCACACATTTCTACTTATTTTTCTAAAGAATATGCTTTCACAAATTTTTTATCAGACATGTAATCTCTGTAAGAAAGCTTTTCTTACTATCCAAAGTGGTACAGCTATCATTGTTTTCTTTTTGAATTAGTTCTGATTTTGAAATCAGAAAATTGTGTGGGCATTCATGTGTCTATTGTGGTAAATATGAAAATAAACGCCAGAAAATGGTTTAGTAGATAGGGGCTTCATCAGTTGAGGGCTGAAATGAAAGCCTCATTAGCCTGGTCCACATGCTTCAGTTGTTTGTTAGCTCTTTCTCATCACCTGTTTCCAGTCTCTGGCAGTACCTTGAACATTTATTTCCTTTTCTACATGCAGCAGCACAAGCTTTTATAGTTCACTGATTATAGTGAAGGTTTTCCAGGTGCTGTGTAAGATATTAATAAATTAGAATATATTGTTTTCCATTGTCACCTTTGAATTACAATTTTTTCACATCTGTATGGAAAATGTTAATGCCTTCTTAGAGGTATACTTGTGAATAGTCAGCATTTTGTTAGAATCAGCCCGTTGTGTTAAGGGCACTATAATTGGTACTGATTATGTACAAAAGAACTAATAGATGTGGTCCCTTAACTCAAGAAGCTTATATTTTTAAGGGGAAAGAGGACCAAAATTTATAAACAGTACCCCCCTCCCCACCCACACACATACCCAAAGCTGCACCGGAATAGTTGCTGCAAGTTAAGTAGATAGTAAAGAGAGTGATAGGAAGTTTTATGAGAAGCAGTATCTGCATGTGGATTATGTTACAAATTTAATGTCATTTAATGTTTTTGGTAAAATGTATAGTCACAATATATAAAATCATCTCCCTCCCTAATGCAACCAACACTAAGCTTCTTTTGTGAACTTGATGCATACTTTAATTATAAAGTGGTCAACTTTTAAAATTTTCACTTAATATAACTAGGTAATAAAGTAGAAAATTGATTTTCATGACTCCAATTTTAAGTATCTGCATAATAGTCAATCAAGAATAGATATATCTACTTAGCCATTGCCATTTTATCAGATATGTATAGCTTTTGGGATTGAATAAACCTGTGGCAAAAAATTATAGAATGTGAACAGTTTCTGTGTGTTCAGGCAAAGTAACTGAGAAGAAATACTGTAGTAACTTTATGTAGAAGGAATTGCAACATAGATGTTTTCCAGCAGATCAGATGGAGATAAGAACAAAGAACAGCAGCAGCCTAGGTAGTGTATAGCTTTGAAAATACAGGGAAGTTCATTAGTCTAAAAATGCCATCTTGCCCAAGTGAGAAAGTGGCAGATTTCTTAACAAGTGAACGAGTGACTTGAAAAAGGTGGAATTGAGGAAGCCAAATGTTAAAGCTTATTAGCGTGTGTAGATTAGAGCCTTTATACCCATTTTTTCAAACACTCCTTTAGAATATTTAAAAATCACTCGTGTCATATGTCTGTGTGCGTAAGTACATTGTATATACATTCCCTGATATTTAGCGATGACACTAGCATTTTTATATAAAGAAAATAAAAAGTGACCAGTGTATTAGTTTTCTATTCCAATCTTAACAAATGCCACACATTTAGTGGATTAAAACAATCCCCATTTATTATCTCACAGTCTGTAGGTTAGAAATCGGACATGGGTCTTGCCAGGCTAAAATCAAGGTGTCAGCAAGGCTTTTATATTCCTTACCGGAGGCTCTGGGGAAGAATTTACTTCCAAGGTTATTTAAGTTGTTGGAGATCCTGTTTTTATGCTGGCTGTCAGTTGAAGCCTGGTCTTTCCTCCTAGAGGCTGCCCACATTCCTTCTCATGCTTTCCATGATTTCCTAGAGGCCTCTGAAGTCCTTGCCTGTGGGTCCCATCTCAGAGCCTTCCCATGCTTCAGATCTCTCTAACTTATGCTGCTGTGTCACACTGCCTCCAACCTGAGAAAGTTTTCTGCTTTTAAAGGCCCGTGCGATTAGATCAGACTACAGGGATATCCAGGATAATCTTTTCATCTAAGATCCTTAACCTTAATTACATCTGCAGAGCCCCTTTTACCGTGTAACCTAACACATTCAGAGGATCCAGGAATTAGAGCATATGTGGAGGGTCACTGATTTGGCCTCTTATAGTGAAGGTTTTCTTTTGAGGTGGGAGTATGGAGTGAAAACAGCTTTTTGTATCACTTTTCATCAATTTTACATGTAAGTCACCATTCTTAATTTATGTAGAATACTAACGTTTCCTGGAGTTTTGTAGTTAATTTACTTTACTAGTTTAATATATCTTAAAGTTGAAAAAAGGTATAAGAAATGAGTTCTTAACAGAAATATAAAAAGTTACTGATTTTCTTTTTAATATTGAAAGAAGATAGAAAACTCTTTCCTGTCTTATCAACCAGCTACCTAGAACAAGGCAAATAAACACTGCTGTAAATAGTAGACTTTGTAATGAGGTTACATTATAGTGGCTGAGATGTACTGGTTACTTTGTATGAGAGCTGTTCAGTAATACATGCTCACACACCTTTTAGCATTCTAAGAGTTTGTTTTATGTATTGTTTATTGAACACATATTAAAGGAACTCTTACTGGTTGCCTCATGATGTTAGGTTCTAGGGATACATTTATTTCTGCCTTTGTAGGACTGAATAGTTATCAGTAAAAAGAGAAGTTTAACTAAAGTAATTATAATAAATCATGATGACTCTTGGCATAGTGGAGGTATGTGATTATATGTGAGCACGTAGCATCCTGGAAATAATGAAACTTCGCTTGTCACAGTGGTTTTGTAGCTTATCTCCAACCAGAGATTGTAGATTTCCCTTAGTCCTCTGACTCCAAAGTTTCTCAGGAATTTCTGGATTGTGGATACAGGATACTGGGAGCCTTGTATGTATGCAGTAAGTCAGGAACCAAGATACCGCTGGAAAGTAAAATTTATGATTTCTTATGCTTTTTTAATACTTTTAATATCTGCAGTTGTTAAATTTCCTAGTCTTCACTCATTGGGTTTCTTTAAAACATTGATCGCTCTCTGGTTAAGTTACAAAGAAAATTAGTGATTTTACACTGTGTTAGTCATAAAACACTAACAGTGCAAAATAATAATGATGTTATGGGAAATAATATTCTTAAAAGGCCTGAGAAAGCATTGTGGCAGTATTTGTGATATATTAGCAACAAAAAGCAACTTGTTGAATGCTATGTAATAGAACTTTCTGTGATGATGGAAGTGTTCTATACCTGTACTGTTTAATCCAGTAGCCAATAGCCACTTACGGCTATTGAGCATTTGAAACATGGCTAGTACTACTAAAGAACTGAATTTTAAATTTTATTTAATTTTAATTAATTAAAATTTTAATTTCAGCAACCAATTTTAGTTAATGGTATCTGTATTTGATAGTGTAGTTCCATATTGTATTTGAGATTTATTTAAATAATTACATATTTTTAAAAAATCATAGTAGTGGGGCTTAGAGTTTCAAATCTGAGGTAGCCCTGGAAAAGCTATATGTATGGAGCTGTTATAAGCAATTGTGGTCACTGAGGGTCATGAGGCTCCTAAGTCAGGGCAGCTCTCACATCTACTGGTGGGGATTTTGCCTCTGTACCTGAATGAGCTGTCCACCTGTGCAGGACTGTGGTAAGGATTCCATGGAAGAGGAATACTTGAAGCTGCCCAGCTAGCAAGCTGTGATTCCTGTCCTGGATCTTTTTCCAAGTAAACTGATGCCACAAGGGGTCTATGGCATAGTCTTGTGAGTCTAAATGTTTAGTTAACCTAAGAGCACCCCCTGGCATTCCAGAACCAATTAACCTTTATTTACTCAGAGTAAACACAAAACAAAATTAATAAATTGAGCTGAGGAAAGGCAGACTACCAAGACTCACCAAAAGTTTAATGCACTCTCAATTGTTTCTAATTACTATTTGGAAAGTAGTGCTAGAAAGGATAATACAAGATGAATTTTAAATGCCCACTTTTAGTAGCGGTATCTTGGTTCTTGACTTACTGCATACATACAATCTACCAGGAACAGTCATCAAATGTGTACAGTGGTGGAAACAAACAAAAATGTGTATAGCGGTGCATCTTCTCAGGTCTTACTGAGGTGTGTCCTTAATCATCCAATGTAAAGTCACCCTCACAAGTGCTTTATAATATTTTCTCACTATGTTATGTTTTCTTCTCAGCAACATCACTAGTTGGAATGATCGTTTTAATTTGTTTGCTTGTTCAATATTTTTTTGCCTAGGGTATGAGCTCCATTAGATGAAGGAATTTGGCCATCTTGTGTACCACTATCTCCCCATTACTTATAAGAATGGCATAATAGGACCTCAGTAAACACTTGAATGAATGAATAAATGAATGAATGGATGAGTGAATTATAGAAACTGTCAGGTTAAAAAATTTTACCTTTAATTCCGTTTTCCAAGCTGCTAAATATTGAGACTGAATGAGATGGTAATTTGGACAAAAAGCTGATGGATTTTCTGTTATTTCCAAAGGATAACTATGATAAAGAAATGCTTTTTATCTTTGTAGAAATGTACTGCTGTTTTTATCTTTTGTTTTGGGACATAGGACTCTTCTTTATGCAATCAGGAACTAATCATGGAGGACAGAGAGTACTTTCTATTCCTCTGTGTGACCTCAGAAGTGCTCCCTCTTTTTCTTACCAATGACTTATTATCGGGGAACCTGCCCCGATATTCACGTAGGTTCTTTTCTATTTTCCTTAAGCGTCAGCCAGCTTGAGAAATAAAGGGACAGAGTACAAAAGAGAGAAATTTTAAAGCTGGGTGTCCGGGGGAGACATCACATGTCAGTAGGTTCCGTGATGCCCCACAAGCCACAAAAACCAGCAAGTTTTTATTAGGGATTTTCAAAAGGGGAGGGAGTGTGCGAATAGGTGTGGGTCACAGACATTAAGTACTTTACAAGGTAATAGAATATCACGAGGCAAGTGGAGGCAGGGCGAGATCACAGGACCACAGGACCGAGGTGAAATTAAAATTGCTAATGAAGTTTTGGGCACCATTGTTATTGATAGCATCTTATCAGGAGACGGGTTTTTGAGATCAACTGGTCTGACCAAAATTTATTAGGCAGGAATTTCCTCTTCCTAATAAGCCTGGGAGCGCTATGGGAGACTGGGGTCTATTTCACCCCTGCAGTCTCGACCATAAGAGATGGCTACGCCCAGGGGGGCCGTTCATAGGCCTACCCGCAGGCACGCATTCTCTTTCTCAGGGATGTTCCTTGCTGAGAAAAGGAATTCAGCGACATTTCTTCCATTTGCTTTTGAAAGAAGAGAAATATGGCTCTGTTCCGCCCGGCTCACCAGCGGTCAGAGTTTAAGGTTCTCTCTCTTATTCACTGAACAATTGCTGTTATCTTGTTCTTTTTTCAAGGTGCCCAGATTTCATATTGCTCAAACACACATGCTGTACAATTTGTGCAGTTAATGCAATTATTACAGGGTCCTGAGGCGACATCCTCCTCAGCTGACAGGATTAAGAGATTAAAGTAAAGACAGGCATAGGAAATCACAAGGGTATTGATTGGGGAACTGATAAGTGTCCATGAAATCTTAACAATTTATGCTTAGAGATTGCAGTAAAGACAGGCGTAAGAAATTATAAAAGTATTAATTTGGGGAACTAATAAATGTCCATGAAATCTTCACAATCCACGTTCTTCTGCCATGGCTTCAGCCGGTCCCTCTGTTTGGGGTCCCTGACTTCCCGCAACAACTTATTCAAATGTTGACCACTTGTATTCAAAAACAAAACCAGGAACAAAACTGTTACATACCTTGCTCTTTTGATCTATGAAATGAAACCCTTAAACATTATGAGGCATTGTCAATGGCTATGTGAGACTGAAGTGGCGTATAAGGAAAGGATGTAATGTGACTGTTGGACTGTGACTTTTAATAATAATCCTCATTAACTGTTCCAGCACCCCCTACCAAAGCTCCCAAAACACTGTGGCAGTTATTGGGGAACAAATGTGAGGGGATAATCCTAGAATGCCATAAATGTGTAATAGCTCATCTCAGTAGCATTCCACATTGTGTAAATTATTTGTGGGGGAATGGGAAGATGTTGTCCATCATTTTAACGTATTAATTTTGCTGGATGTTGGAACTTTATTCCCTCGACCTCTCACTTTTTCATGACTAACCTATTATGAATCCTTTCTTTACTGTAGTCATTTGACTATCCTGGACCCAACCCAAAACCAAAACCATCTGTATTTGGGTTCATTATATTACTAGAATATATACTAAGAATATAGAGAGTAAAGGAACATAAAATTTTTACTCATGAAAATAGATATGTTTGTTGGGGGTCTTAAAGTTATATGGTGAAAATACCAATGTAAAGCTGTAGTTTGAATATATGTTACAGGGGTGTATGTGTGTATTTTACTTTTAAAATCAATTTTATTGAGGTACAATTTATACACAAAAAATCCACCCGTTTAAAGGGTATAGTTCAATGTCTTTTGACAAACATACAGATATTTTTATAGAAAAATGAGATGCAACTTTCACTTATCTTGGAGTTCATTGGATTTTGGTTATAACTTGGAATAAATAGGAAAATATGGGCCACATGGGGAAGATGAGGGAAACATAAAATAAAGTAGCAGTTGTACCATTTATAGTTCCTACCTGGTATGGAAACCCGTATGGTCCTGATTTTTATGGATATTTTAGCCTCTTGGAATCATACAATTTCTCCCAGTTATAAAGAAAAATAGATCATTATACTGCATGTTGTCTGATGGTAGTTTTCTGCAGAGACTTTTTAAAAAATAAAGTTGAATAAAATTTATGCTTGTGGAAAAATAATCTACATTCAACCAATTTAAAACAGAATTTTATTGATTGTGTTCTCATTTGGAATAACTGCAGGGAAAATCACCTGGGCTAATACAAGTTGGATATCATTTACTAGGGATTTAGCTGGAGAAAAAAACCCAAACTCATTTCAATTTCAGTGGTGACAGCTGTTGACTGAATTTTCCTGTGATATCCTTCACCGCAGGAAATGATATATTGTAGCTTTGGTTCCTTTGATTTCCTACCCACCCAACAAATCCAAAGTGCAGGGACTGTGCTTTCTAAATGTCTGAGTGGCTTAGTTTATGTGGTTAGGGTTTTTTTTTTTTTTTTTTTTTTTTTTAACACCCTAAGTGGGTAAAATTGTGATTGCAAAAAATAGATATATGGGTAATGTACAGAAACATTTACTTCCTCTTCCTGAAATTGTTTTTCCATTTGTGCTATTATTACACCTGGCTTTATGTGAAAAGGCTGTATTGGAACTTGGTATACTTTTATGGAATGATGTAGGAGATTACAGTTCATTTTGAAAGATGTATTAGCTTACTTTTTAATGGTCCAAATAAATATGTTTCTTTGATGCAGAGATCAGTTTTGATTACTTGTGATGCTTTCTTCACTGCTTTTTTATTTTATTCTAGTTTAAAAAATATGATAAACTATAACCTGCCAGATAGAAAGGAGTAAATGGTGTTAACCTCTTTAGGCTTAAGAATACTGGGAAATGCTTGACAAAGAATGGAAATATGTTTTATATGTTATTGTTTTATGAACGTCAGAAACTCTGTCTGCTGGTGGGGAGGGAGGGCAGAGAAATACCCCCTGAGGATGAGGGAGGAATTCTTTACACTCTGGCTTAGGATTTTGCTGTAAGCCACATTTGCATCCTGTGTATTATGGCTTCTTACAAATGAGAGAAGAATGGACAGTTGCAATTAGGTATTGAGGTTGAGGTTGGCCAAGCAGCCCCAAAGCCTCGCAGATAAACATGTCACAGCTTTCTTTGTCCCCAGAGAAACAATTCAGGTTACCGCCAAGCTAATCAGAATTCAAGATTGCTTCCCTAATAGTATAAATGGCAAACTATGACTTAAATATAAAAACTTGATTCCCAAGTAAAATGTTGTAAAAACAAGCACATTTACAGTAAACTTGAAGCACTTCTTTTAGTTGGCCTAATTACAGCCTGTATTTTGTTTATGACTTGGCAGAGATTGATCTTAGTGTAGCAAATAGAAGTCAGGGCAAGTCATCTGGCTATTCTATAGGTATACCTAGTCCTCCAGAGAACTATTTGATTGTTTTATGTCATTGTGTCCTCACTATACAATAATGCTATCCAGTAGAATCATAATGAGGGCAACAAATGTAAGCCACATATATAATTATATATAATTTTAAATTACTCAGTGAAATTAATTTTGATAACATACCTTATTTAACTCTTTTTCAAAATATCTTTTATTTATTTATTTTTTTAAGAGATGGGGTCTTGCTCTTTTGCCCAGGCTCAGCTACTTGAACTCCTAGGCTCAAGTAATCTTTCTTCCTTAGCTTCCTGAGTAGCTGGGACTACAGATATGTGCCACCACACCCAGCTCAAAATATTTTAATATGTAATCACTATGAAAAATTGTGAATGAAATATTTTACATTTTATGGACTAAGTCTTTGAAATCCAGTGTGTACTTTGTACTTGTTGAACATCTCAATTTAGTTTAAGCTACATTTCAAGTGCTCAATGGTCACATTTGGCTAATGGATACTATATAACAGTAAAGCTTTATAAAAATGGATTTCATTTAAATCTCTACTGTTTAAGTTGAATATTTGTACTTTGGACACTTCCTAAAAATGTGAATATAGACTATAATGATAGACTCACAAAATCTTCCAGATATCAGGTTATTCAAGGACATCTAAATTCTCCTATTAATACTTTGAGGTTAAACATTTTATGTGATAGTATGAAGAAGGTTGGAAGGAAATTATTTTTTCTAGTATTCATAGAAAGAAATTGGCGAACGTTAAGAACAGAGAAAAAAAATCCAAAATGTTTAAGAATAATAAATTTAGGCCGAGATGATGATGATGTTTATTACAATTTAAGTGAAAAATACTGTGATAAACACTCAGACATTTCATTTGTCCTCACAACAACTTTTTGAGAGCAGCACTTTTGTGATCTGTTTTATAATCCCTGTTTTACCAGTGATTAAGATGAAAGCAATTAAGAAATCTTTGCAAAATCACACAGGTAGTGACTGTATGCAAACTTTTGCATGACTCTCGAATTCTGAAACTTACCCTCTTAATCACGCTTCTCTATTTATTGCCTGGTTCTTTTATGCCTCCATGATTGCCTTGGGCAAACTGGACTTGGAGAAATTATACAGATGAAGAGAAGTTGCAGCCAATTCCTAAAGTGTTGCAACTATTCCACTACTTCCTGTTTACTCTGTCAAATTTTCATCAGTAGTCTGAAAAGGAGAAAATGACTGGAGTTGTAATCACCCATGAAAAGCTGACTTTTGCCCTCCCATTTTGTCAGTAATGCCCTGTGGCATTTATGTCACAGTAGTGGAGCTGGTGAATACCACTCTTGGAGCTGAGGTGTGATGATCCATCTTCTGCTAACAGTCAGTGCCACAGCATGAAAAGATTATTATTATTTTTCTTAACCAGCTAATCTTGCCATGAGACCCATAAATCCACTTTCATGTAATTTCTGCTTTTTGTTTTCAACTCTGAGTTTCAACACTCAAAAACAATTCCCTGTTGAGTACCTAAGTGCTCATATTGATATTCGTGGTACATTGAACAGGACTTAAATTTCTGTTGTTTCTACAAAGTCCAGGAGTAGGTCTGCCTTTCACTACAATTCACAGATCAGATGTGTGCAGATGTATCTGTTTCAGATTTATCCTTTTATATATCCATGGTATTTTTGCTCTGTACATTAGACGTTTGTGAGACAGTATTTGGGGGAAACTCTAGTTTAGTGTGGATGTGATTAATTATGCCTTGCTGTCTTGGTCATTCCCCAACCCCTGCATTCTCCAAAATTAGATTGATTTAATTGGATTTAAAATGGGATCATTTAAATTTGGTTGTGTAAATATGTGTTTTGTATGTTTTGAAAGTCTTAACCTTTCTCTTTTCAGCCTATAAATTATTGAAATTCTGTTAGCTTTATAATTTTCTGTTTGCTGTGATTTTAAGCTATATTGGAAAACTAGCCATGCTGGCCTCTTATGTTTAATGAGCGAGATAATATGAGACGGAAAAGTTCCTCAGGTGTGACTGTGTTTTAATTAAGTTTTATGTAAGTTTATTGAACAGATGCAACCATTAAAAGATGCTTTTGGCTGGGCACGGTGGCTCACGCCTGTAATCCCAGCACTTTGGGAGGCCGAGGCGGGCTGATCACCTGAGATCAGGAGTTCAAGACCAACCTGACCAACATGGAGAAATCCCGTCTCTACTAAAAATACAAAATTAGCCAGGCATGGTGGCACGTGCATGTAATCCCAGCTACTCGGGAGGCTGAGGCAGGAGAATCACTTGAACCGGGGAGGCAGAGGTTGCGGTGAGCCGAGATCGTACCATTGCACTCCAGCCTGGGCAACAAGAGCAAAACTCCGTCTCAAATTAAAAAAAAAAAGGATGCTTTTATATATTTTGTGTATCATGAATTCTCTTATAGCAGAATATATAATTTAAGACCATCGCCTCAAAATAAAACAAAAACACCAGATTACTTTTGTGTAGGCAGAGTTTGTTATACACAATTGCAAAATTCTGTTTTCTTAGAAGGCACTATTATATGTACACTTAGGTGTTTAGAAACCTGGAGAAAACCTCAAATTTTCATGAAAACAGAAACTTAGCACTATATTATTACAAAGGAAATAGGACTTAAAGGGGTTTTTAAAATTATATTTTAATGGTCTTTGATTAAAGACCTATCTCAGGACCTGCCTAATTTCCTACCGAATTTCTCCCCCACCCCCTGCCCACCTGCCTTTGCTTGTGTTTTTTCTCTAACCTAACCTCTTCATCTATAAACTACTTTTTAGAAATTTTCTTGGCTTTGCTTCTCCTTTCTGCCCCTCCGTCTGTTATGTGATAACCCTTCAGATCCTAAGAAAAAGACTTTATTATTCCAAAATGCTACGCCCTTATCACATTCTTACTTTAAAACCCCTTCAACAACCTTAATAAACTTTAATCACATACTTTTATGAACCTGGTCAAAATGTCAGAATGTTTTAATATATTTAACGTTGTTAAACTACAAATGATAAAAATATTAAAACAACCAGGCCTTTGACTTTTTTTGTGATTATCACATCCTACTTCTAAACCTCCAAGCTTAAACTATTTTCCAACTACATTCTCTAATTCTTCCACTTTACTCCCTAGTTGCTCATTCCTACTGATTGTCATCTTCCTTTGATCCCAGACTTCTATTTCAGTTCCCCAAGATCACCCCTTCCGCCCATGGCTCAGCAGGCTTCTCTATTCAACCTAGACCTGTTGTCCGGCATTTCAACAACATTCTAATAACATTCTAGGATCCTGTAGTCTGTGTTTCTAAAGCATAACTCTCTCTATTCAGTGCCATTGTATTGCTCAAAAATCTTTAATGCTGCACACATTGCCTACCTTCTCCTCTCACCCTTCATTTAGAAGAGACCTCCTCTCTGCGGGCTTGAGGAACAATTGTTTTGAGCATTGTTGTGGCACTCATCACATTATCCTCCCTGGACTATGTCTGGATCCTTCACTGCTTGGACCCTTCCTTGGTCACAAAGGTGCTTAATAAGTGTATGCTGAGAGATAGGGGGGTTGTACAGGGATTCCTGAAGGTGTGTGTGTGGTGTTTTTTTATTTATTTGTTTGTTTTAGTAATTAGAATCTTTTACATCCAGATCAGGACAACAACTGGGATGTGGAAAAAAAGTGTCTTATAGAGAGAGAATCTGACAATCTAGTGATATTAGAAAAGTAGTTTGTCCTGGGTTTTATGCATTTATATGGTTCTGTTTCGGTAGTGAAGGTGTTTATTTTGCTGTTACAGTGCAGTAATTGTTACATTTTAGCAGAAATACACTATATCCTTTTACAATCCAGTGTCTTCAGATAGATTTCTAATGTAATTGAATATTCACTGAACCACATCTTTATTGTTTTCACTACTTTTCTATAACTTGAGAAAACTGATATTTCACCCTTAATGCCTTTCACCTGATACTTTAGCAAATAAATTATGCATAGGGAGTGTAAGTAAATCACTGCAATTCCTTATCCATTACCACACATATTTATGGATGAAAAAAAGTGATGCATAGCTTGCCTTGTCTTTTTCCTTTTAAACTTGTGGAAAATTAGTGGCTAAACTGAGAATTAAGGAAATCAAATTCAGATTTTTCAAGATTCTCTGATTAATCAAACATTGCCCTTTATATTTGGCAAAATAGTCGTTAATGACATAATTTGAATTTTGTGACCCATTAAAATGTTCTTCGGTCTTCTATATTGAAAAAAATGGTATTTGTGTTATATCTCACTTTATTCTTTTATGAAACATTAGGAGTAGGAAAGCTTTTATGCTTACTGAATCCCTTACTTAAAAAACTATGTTGGTGACAGTGAATGTCTCTCAAAATAAAGCTGTGAGTATTTTAAATGGACAGAAAACTGTTTTCTGCTGGGTTTGCATGTGTTTATAGATGTTGAAGCAATTAGAAATGTTTTTTGCATTTAAAAATGACTTTCTGTGTTTTCCCAATATAATTACTAAGACATGTTCCCTCATAAAATCGATCATTTTCAAATCATGAAAATAAGAATATATTTTGACAATTCATTAATATAGCAGCTTCATTTATTTGGCAGCAGTATGATAGAAAGCTGGCGCTGAGCTCTGAATGGAGAAGGGCACGTCTCTTTCCTGGCTACCTGTTAGGATTCTCCTTTAGAACCATCTTTTGGCACTTCCAGGTAAAAGCCAGTTTCATGAGCCAATGTGAATTGCTTTTAAGGGTTTTTTTATTTTATGGCAGCATTATTTGTTTTTCTTCTACCTTGATTTTTGAGCTTCTGTCAATGTTTCATTATTATGAGGAAAAAACCATTCACCTGGAAACATTGTAAAGATGAGTGAAGAAAATTTATTATCAAAACTTGTATTTTCATAATTTCTTTGTAAGTTTATTCCTGAATTACAGTTTTATTGTTTAGGCTAAATAGTTTTTATCTTGTGGAAAGTGAAATCTTGGCTTGGAAGCACTCAGTCACTCAGGCTAGAAACTGATTTGTTATTCTTGACTTTTCTACCTCCTTCATCAAAGCATATCCATTCTTTTCCAGAAAATTTCCTGAACCCATCTATTGCCTTCCTTTCTCCATCGTTACCACTACTTTACTCAGGCTCTCACCTTTCCTCGCCTGGATGTAACATTGCCTACAGTATTCTTCCAGTTTGTTGCCAGTCCCTCCCCTTTCTAATTATTTCCCCACACTGCTTTGTTTCTCAAGTGTAAACTGGATTATGTCAGTTCTTGCCTCACATCTTTTCATGATTTTTCACTGCCTGCAGAGCATGGGATACAGTCTTCTCACCATCTGCCTTTCTTGTGTTGTATCTAACAATCCCCCTGCCCCCCAGCTATCCTTAACTAGTTCAAATAGGTTTAAGTAGCTGTGATGTTTATTATCACCTCCTCTAATGCAGACATAAGTAAGCCTTTCTGATTATAGATGAGTAGAGGAGAGATGTCATTCCTAATTCTGATACTTAACATCCTCATTTCTATCATATTCATCCCCACCCCCATGGGTTCCATACTTGCCCACACTAGGCTGGTGGCCTTCTTTCTATTACGTGTATGTCTTTTTTATAGAGTTTTTATTTTTTATTTTTGAGACAGGGTCTCAATCCCTCATCCAGGCTGGACTGCAGTGATGTGATCATAAATCACTGCAACCTCAAACTCCTAGGCTCAAGCAATCCTCCCACCTCAGCCTCCTGAGTAGCTGAGACTACAGGTGCGTGCCACCACACCCAGCTAATTTTTTTTTTTTTTTTTATAGCGATGATGTCTTGCTATATGTTGCCCAGGCTGATCTCTAACTCCTGGGCTCAAGCGGTCCTCCTGCCTTGGCTTCCCAAACTGCTGGGAATAGAGGCATGAGCCACTAGGACTGGCCAAAAATATTTTTAGAAGTTTGATGTCTACACAGTTTAAGTCTACTTATATTCTCTCTGTAGGCATTTATACCAATAAAGTCTTTGCATTCATCGTTGCTAGCATTCTCTTGCTTTTTTTCTTTTTTTCCTTGAAATTTAGCCCTTTTGTATATTCTAGTGAGGTGTGGAAGAACAAGCATTTTATACTGTCATTTAGGCAAATGTATATGTCCTCTTTATATGTCTTCTCTTTGTACTTAGTATAGTATGCATTAATCTGGGCTGAGAACAACTTCCTTGTGGCATAGTAATCATTTGGCTTCATTTACTCAATAACTATAATTCTGTTTGTACATCATTTTACCATTTATAGAGGCCTTTCATATTTGTTTATTTGATCTGAACAATCCTGTTACATCATTGTAATCACCACCTTCAGCTGATAGACTAAGAAGCTGAGACTTATAAGGGTCAATGGCATGGCCTAGTACTTCCCAGCTGGATGATGGCTCCTCTACAGGATCATGCTGTTGTCTCTCTTACAATCCTGTTATTTCTGTACTTATTGGTCAAGACTGCAATTGCTGTTTGTGCTGGAGTATGCTTTACTGATTTTAATTAGCACTTTGGATACATTATTTCATTTGATTTCCCCAGTATTTCTGTTAATTAGGCAGGGCTGGCATTATTAGTGCCATTTTACAAATAAGGATGATGCAAATCAGAATGGTTAAGTGACTTGTCCCAGTTTGCAGAACTGGTATTTAAAGAACAAAAACCAGCCGGGCGCAGTGGCTCACGCCTGTAATCCCAGCACTTTGGGAGGCCGAGGTGGGTGGATTACGAGGTCAGGAGATCAACACCATCCTAGCTAACACGGTGAAACCCCGTCACTACTCAAAAATACAAAAATTAGCCGGTCGTGGTGGTGGGCGCCTGTATTCCCAGCTACTTGGGAGGCTGAGGCAGGAGAATGGCGTGAACCCGGGAGGCAGAGCTTGCAGTGAGCGGAGATCGCCCCACTGCACTCCAGCCTGGGCGACAGACAGAGCGAGACTCCGTCTCAAAAAAAAAAAACAAAAAACCAAGAACGTGTCTTCATAATCCTAGCCTACTGCCATTCCCAATGCCCCATGCTGCCTCTTTGCTCTACTGTAAGACATGTTGGAAAAAGAAATAACATTTTTATTCCTGAGATTTCACTGAAACAATTATCTGGTTATGCTGTGTACTAAAGTCTAAAACATTAAAGTTAAATGGCAGCTATCAATTTAACTTTGCATGAGTTTTATATGCCATTGTGCTACTGCAATTAATGGAATGCATAGAATCCAATAACACATTGTCAGAAAGGTGTCACTCAAGGGAAAGATAATTCAAGGCAAGGGAAAATAATACAAGAGGAGATGTGTTTTAGGATATGGTCTCATAGGGGAAGAAGAATAATTTTTTCTTCAAGCCCTATAGGTTGGAAAGGACCCATGTAACAAAAGACAGATTAATAGGAGAAAAACAAACAAGTTTATTAACATTTTGTATCAGTTTTCTGTGCTTATAACAGAATATCTGAAATTGGGTAATTTATAAAGGAAACAAATTTATTTCTTACACTTATGGAGGATGGGAAGTCCAAGGTCCAGAGGGTGTACCTGGTGAGAGCTTTCTTGCTGGTGGGGACTCTCTGAAGAGTCTTGAGGTGGTGTAGGGTATCACATGGCGAGGGGGCTGAGTGTGTTAACATGCCAGCTCAAGTCTCTCTTCCTCATTTTGTAAAGCCACAAGTTTCCTTCCCATGGCAACTCATTAATCTATTAATCCTCTATCCATTAATCCCACCTCTCAATACTGCCACATTAGGGATTAAATTTAAACATGAGTTTTGGAAGGGACAGATATGCAAACCATAGCACATGTGTGTGCTATGGAAGACATATGCATGGAAAACATCCAGAAAGTAAGTGGTTCTCAAAAAAAGGTGCTTTCAATTCAAGTTTACATAGCAAATTCAACTAAGAGCAATAAATTTCTAGAGAAGTGACATGGCAAAGGAAAAGGACTTTGAGTCTCTGGTGGCAGCAACTTGTGAGAAGGCAAATAAATGGGAGATAAAGACCAGTTGGTAAAGCTTGTTCATATAGTTTCCTCTGGGATCATCTCCACATAATAAGAATCTGAAGTTATCTTCACTGATCAACCTTTGTTCTCACTGGGAAAAGGTGGGCAGGATGACTTTTGTCTTTGTGAATCTGTGTTTTGCTTTTAGGCAGATAGAGGGAGGGCGGAGAACTTTCCTGAATCTGCTTCTTCTTAAATTGCCTTCACTCAATAATCCTTCATATTTTGGGGGGTGGCATCTTCTGGTTTCCCTCAGTATTAGTCTACTCATCCTGCTCTCAGAGTAATTCTCAGGTCCTTCTTAGCCTGTAGGAGGAGGACTTGCAGGGAGGGGAAATCTGTACCTTTTTTTTTTTCTTTTTTTTGATACAAGGTCTTACTCTGTCACCCAGGGTGGAGCATGATCTCAGCTCACTGCATCCTACACCTCCTGGGCTCAAGCCATCCTACTGCTTCAGCCTCCTGAGTAGCTGGTACTACAGGCACACACCACCATGCCTGGCCAATTTTTGTATTTTTTGTAGAGACAAGGTTTTGTCATGTTGCTTAGGCTAGTCTTGAACTTCTGGGCTCAAGCCATCTGCCTGCCTCAGCCTCCCAAAGTGCTGGGATGACAGGTGTGAGCCAGCTATATTGTGGTTTTGCTTCATAATCCATACCCATTGTTTAATCAGTAAAATTGATTGATTATGGAAACAACAGCCTGTCTACAGAGCATCTTGAGCGTATATGTGGTTCAGCAGGTAGAATCTGTAACTGAGCAGATAGAAAGTAGTATCTGGATTTTTTGTTTGTTTGTTTGTTTTTTTGAGACAGTCTCGCTCTATAGCCTAGGCTCGAATGCTCAGGCATGATCATGGCTCACTACAGCCTTGATCTCCCTGGCTCAAGCAATCCTCTTACCTCAGCCTCCAGAGTAGCTAGGACTACAGGCATGCCACCATGCCCAGGTTTTTGTTTTTGTTTTAATTTTTATTATTTGTAGAGACAGAGTCTTACTCTGTTGCCCAGGTGGAATTCTTTATGATCATAATGACTCTTCACTCCAGGGTTTCCCTTTAGTTGTGGTATTTGTATAATCTTTGGTTTGATTGTGAATTTCTATGTAATCTAGCAGCTGTTTTTTGCTATGTCACACCTGCATGCACCTGAGTCTGTGTTCATGGAGTTGGGCATGAGTAGTGTGTTGTGTGAAGGAGGTCAAACATTACTGAGGTGGGTGGCTTAAGGTAGTATATACCAAGTTATGTTTCCTAATTTGAAGATAATCATGCAGGAAAATTTATTATAGGGAAGAGGATGATATGGTGCGGTGAAAAAATGGGGAATTAGGAATCAAAAGGTTTGAGTTCCCACTGCACTGCTGACTTGCTTTCTGATCCTAACAAGTTTCTAACTCCTCCAAGCCTCCATTCATCAGATGATATACAGAAACGCTCTTTCAGGGGGTTGCAAGGATCTAATTAGAGGCTATTGAAGACTCTTTGTACACTGTAAAATGCTATTCAGATATTATTTATTTTAATAAACAGTGATTGCTTTATGTCAGGCTCTTTAACAAAAATTCTTACAATTCAGACCTCCTATCAACACTGCAAAGCAGGCATTATTATCGCCATTAGTCAATAAGGCACCTGGCATACAGAGAGTAACTAAGTAACTTGCTCACCTACTACTTTTAAGTGATGATTCCCAATTTAAGTTCCAGCTGCTTTTTTGCTATGTTGTCGTGCTGTTAATAAAGGATAAATGGTAGAGGTTTGAACTTTAACAACAACTTGGATTATGCTTCTAAAAAAATGGAAGTGGTGCTCTAGACTAGGAGTCAGGAGGTTCAGACTGTTACTATATTTTTCTATTATTTTGGGGTAAGTTACTTAAATTAATTTCATTAAATACGTTTAAAACACTTGGCTATGTTTCTGCTAAGGTTTACATGTAAAATGCTTTCTTATTTTAATCATTTTCAGAATTTAAAAAATTTCCTTCGAAGGGATCAAAAGTATTTTATGAATCTGTTTTAATATTTTTTTTTCTTTTTTTAAAGTCATTCCTACACTGGCCAAGATTACAGTACCCAGGGAAATGTTGGGAAGATTTCTTTAGATCAGATTGATTTGGTAAGTAGAACATTATTTTAAACTTAGAACTTTATCAATGGAGGGAACATAGATTTTCTTAAATCAAAGACTTTTGGGTGAGGAGATAGAATATTATTTCACTGCTTGCTGATTAATTTTAAAGAAAATCCCATGTCCCACTTAGATGATTTTAAAAAAAATCATAAGAAAATCATTTAATCAGAAAATTATCTGTACTTTTATGAAAACAGAATTTAATCAACTATTCCAAACAGGAATTCTTTTAAATAGCTAAATGGAGTTTGTGTTTACATTTAAATAGTGTATACATTTAATAAAGGGGAAATGGAAAACACTAAGTGTATTAGTTTGTTAGGGTTGTCATGACAACGGAAATTTATTTTCTCACAGTCTAGAGGCTCGAAATCCAAGATCAAAGGGATAGTAGGTTTGATTTCTTCCAGGGCCTTTCTTGTCTCACAGATAGCTGCCTTCTCCTTGTGTTCTCCTGTGGTTTTCCCACTGCTTGCATACATCCCTGGTGTCTCTTCTTTTTGTAAGGACACTGAGTATGTGAGACCAGGGCCCCACCCCCATGGCCTCCTTTAATCTTAATGAGTTCTTTAAAGGCCCCATCTCTAAATATAGTCACATTTGGAGCTACTAGAGGTCAGGACTTGATATATGAATTTCAGGGGGAGAGGACAATTCATCATCCAGTGTAGGCTACGAGATTAATAGATAGCTTATTTTAGCATCATTTGACTTTGTGGTTCCATAGGGTAGCGTACTTTGCCATACTTGTAGAATTTCTCTTTAATACATAACAGCATTTGCACTCCATACACAAAGGGAAAATAAGCCAGCCATAAATAATCTTGGGTTAGACAACTACCAAATTATTCACAATAAATTAAAAATACACAGGGATTTTAATGCTTGGAAACAAGAACTGTAATAAGACTAGTAGAGAAAGAACGTGAGTTTGGATCAGAATGAATAGGTCGTCTTCCATTTGAAAAATTATAAAAAAGTACTTGCAGTTAATATGTCTAGAAATAACAGTAGGGTTGCCTACTTTACACAGTTGATTTGTTGATTTGAAATTTGTTCTCAAAGATGTCCCATCTTTTAATTTTTTTATTAAACACTTATCTCTAACAGTCCACTTTCTCACTTCCACTCATGTGATTTGTGCTTATATAATGTGAATGGTTGGAGGTTAATTCTGTTCTTAGTTCTAGCTAGATGTTTCCCTATTCACAAGCAAATGTGAATTTCATTGGATACTGTTGGAGTTCATAGAAATATTAATTCATTTAATGGATATGTATTGAGCCCATCAGTTATGTAGCAGCCATTGTGCTGTGGATACAGAAGTGAGGAAAACAGAAAATGTCCCTGCCTTCATGGACCTTACATGAGGGAGAGGGACAACATAATAAATAATAAATGAGCAATATAATGTTAAGTGCTATGATGATGATCCTGTCATGGGTCTGTGCCTGAGACCCCGTGGTGAGTAATACAGATGTATCTTTTTCTGGACTGCCTCCTAACTCTGTATCTATATTGTTTGATCTTCACAACAGCATGTCATTTGCATATCCCTTGGTATTTGCAACTCTTCTCCAAATGTTTTCTTTAGTTTTTTCTTCTAACAAATCTGGCTTTCTCAATGCTGTTTCCGCTGTGGGCCTCTTCAAGTAGAGACAACTTTCCCCCCGAGTTCATATATAGGTATGCGGTGAGTGTCTTTCTTGGTCCGCATTTCTCTGCCTTCCATTGTTACAGCTCCAGCTCCTTTAAAGCCCTTGTGATCTTATTATATCATCTGATACCTCCTTTGTTGCTATTCGACCCCCTCCCCCCACACCTGTATTCGTTGATGATTTGAACACCTAGCTAATGGTCTTGTGTACTGGCGCTATTGTTGTTATTGTTCTTGGCCTCTGCAAGATCCAAGTTGATAATTTATCCCCTATCCTGGACTTATGATTCTTTTGTTTGCTTGTTTTCCATGATCATTTTTCTATCTGTATATAGCCAGACACTATCTTTTTAATTTTTATTATTTGGACTACTGCCCACACCTCTTAAGTATCCCTCCTGCTTCCATTCTTACTCTCATATAGTCTTTTCACTACATAACAGCCAGAGTTCTCTTTGTGTATTGAATCACATCAGTCTTCTGGTCAGAACCCTCTAGTGGGTTTTTATCATATGTAGACTTAAATCCAAACTCATGTTGTGGCCTCTGAAGCCATATGTGCTCATCATTTCTATTTTATCTTCTGCTCCATTCCGGCTCATTCACTTGCTCTGGTCACATGGATCTTATTCTCTCTTTTAGCACACCACATTTATTCCTTCTCAGGATCTTCATTTCACTAGAATCCAACTTACTTTGTCTTACTTGAAATGCCATCTCCTCAAAAAGGCTTCCCTGGCCACCCAAATTGAAGTACCTCTCCCCTAATCACACTTGATTTCATTTCTCTATTTCATTTCCAGTGTTTTGGCATCAGATGTTATCTTTTTAATGTCTGTATTCATTGTCCGTCTCCTCCTATTAAAAATAAGCTCTTCGAGGACAGGGTTTTTGACTTCTTTGTTCACTACTGGTTCCCCAGGGCTGTACACATAGTAAGTGTTAAATAAATATTTGTTGATTGAATGAATAAGAAGTAATCAAGGAATGTGCCAAAAGAAATAGAAATTGAGGTGGGTCTTGAATGATGACTTGGCTTTGGCTACATGGCATGTGCATGAGAAGGGTGCACCAGGCAGGGCTAGCAGAGTGAGAAAAATGAGAAGCTACAGAGCATGACTGCGTGGTCATGGGATATTGAATAATCCAGTGGACTGGAGCCGAGGACTCATTTTGGTGTAGTAATAATATACTGGGCTTTCCCAGGCTCCCTGTCACAGTGCTTCTGTGGTGCTCAAGTTTTGCCCTTGTTGGAGCCCTCATTTTATCATTTATTTCATGTGTTTAACTTACATAGTAGTGAATATAATAATTGTGGTGTCTTTTTCCTTAACTGAATTAAAGGGGACAATTAGGTCCTAGCTTATTTTCCAGAACACTTAATAAATAATTGTTCTGTTATGTATAATTGAAAAGTAGTTATTGGCCAGGCGCAGTGGGTCATGCCATCTGCAATCCTAGCACTTTGAGAGGCCAAGGTGGGAGGATCACCTGAGGTCAGGAGTTCGAGACCAGCGTGGCCAACATGGTGAAACTCTGTCTCTACTACAAATACCAAAATCAGCTGGGCATGTTGGCAGGCACCTGTAATCCCTGCTACTCAGGAGGCTGAAGCAGGAGAATCGCATGAACCTGGGAGGCAGAGGTTATAGTGAGCCGAGATGGCACTGCTGCACTCCAGCCTGGGCAACAGAGTGAGATTCCATCTCAAAAAAATAAAAAAAGAAGAAAAAAAAAGAAAGGTAGTTACCAGATATTGAGGAAACCTTGCATGTTCATACTAAGGATGTTGAATATTGATTGTATGGATTAGAACAATGTTTAGAAAAAAATCAGATATTAATATGAAGGAACAAAAATGGTCTCATGAAAAGGAGCTGAAAGGCTTTCTAGTTAGTTCTAGATATAGAACCAAGGGAGGATATAGGTCTGAATGAACTAGACTGGGGATGGAAAAAATCAGAAGTTGTTACTGTAAAAGAATGAAGAGAAACTAGATGGTCACTAGAGGGAGCAGCAAAGTCAAGCAAAGTGAGACCTGCTCTTTCTTATAGATGAAGTGAACTTGCTAAGGCATATGTGAGGGAGTAAGAATTTAAGTCTTGGGAGGATATTTAAGGAAGTCATAGAGAATGCAATTGAAACCGTAAGTGAAAAATTAAAGTAGGCAATGATATTTCATTTTTGGCACTAAGGCACTAACTACACTTTGTTCCTTTTAACTTGGTTTCTTTAACATATTTATTTGAATTTTCCTTATGAGAAGTTTCTCTTATTTTTGTATTCTGCTTTGTATTTGAGTTATCTTAAAAGTTCATCTGCTATTCAGCAATTGTACTTTTATCTCAGGGAAATGAAATCTTATGTTCACATAAAAACCTCTTCAAGAATGCTTATAATACCTTCATTTGAAATAGCCCAAACTGGAAACAACCCAAGTGTTCTTCAATGAGTGAATAAATAAATTATGATACATTCATACCATGGAAAACTATTAGTAATAAAGAAATGAGCTTATATACAACTTAGATGAATCTTGAGGGAATTCTGCTGAGTAAAAAATGACAATCTCAAAACAATACATATTATATGATTCTATTATACTCTTGAAATGACAAAATTATAGAGATGGAGAACCAGATCAGTGGTTGCCAAAGATTAGGGAGCTGAGGGAGGGGAGCAGGGTGCAAAAGATAGATGGGGGTGGTTATAAAATCATGAGAGATCCTTGTGGTGACAGAACTGTTCTGCATGTTGACTGTGGTGGTGGATGTATGAACCTACATGTGACAAAACTGTATAAAATTTAATACGGAAGTAAGTGCATGAGTACAACTGAGGAAACCTGAATAAGACTAGTGGATTGTATCAATGTCAGTATCCTGTTTGTGATAATCTACTGTAGTTGTATATGATTTTATCTTTGGGGGAATTTGGATATATGCTATCTCTTTGTATTATTTCTTGTAACTGTATGGGAGTCTGTAGTTAACTTCAAAGAAAAAGTTTAATTAAATTAAAAAAACAGGTAAAATAAATTTTAATAGTATGTTATTTAATCCAAAGTATCTAAAATATTATATTAACTTGTAACCAGTAAAAAATGTTAATAAGAAACATCTTATACAGATAAGAGTCATCTGTAACCACAGTAATAAAGTGGCACTTTCTTATGGTGTTTTTTTTTTATTCCAATTAAATTGAATTAGGAACCATAACAAATATTACAGGGGACCTGATAAGTCTTCCACTTAACTTAAAACTCTACTATTTTTTTCTTGTAGCTTTCTACCAAATCCTTCCCACCTTGCATGCGTCAGTTACATAAAGCCTTGCGGGAAAATCACCATCTTCGTCATGGAGGCCGAATGCAGTATGGCCTATTTCTGAAGGGCATTGGTTTAACTTTGGAACAGGCATTGCAGTTCTGGAAGCAAGAATTTATCAAAGGAAAGATGGATCCAGACAAGGTAATTTTGAAAAAAAATATCAGAGTGGTACCTGATATTTTAATTTGGTCTGAAAATGAAACGGTCTATTTTTTTTTTTAAATATGCTCCCTGCAATGTAGTTGAAAATTCTAAAAGGATAAATGTGTTGACAATTCAGTTTAGATAAAAAGAAACTTGCATATTAATCTAATACAAAAGATTGGGGAAGGAATGTTTTCATTTGTAGGTATACTGCCAGTAGTAATTATAAGACTGAAATTGCTTTCAGAGTTATATATCTGTAGGAATGTATGTGTGTCTATACATATGCACATAATGTTTTGAGCACTGGGAGATATCATGAACAAATAAAATGGAACAATTTAAAATATTTTCTATTATGTTATGCAGAATCTTTTATAAACTTTTGTTTTTTTTTTTCGAGACAGGGTCTTCTTCTGTTGCCCAGGCTGGGCTGGAGTGCAATGGTGCAATCATGGCTCACTGCAGCCTCGACCTTTGGGCTCAAGTGATCCTCCCACTTCATTCTTCCCAGTAGCTAGGGCCACAGGTGGACACCATTATGCCTGGCTAATTTTTTTCTTTTTTTAATTTTTTGTAGAGATGGAGTCTCACTATGTTGCCCAGGTTGGTCTCAAACTCTTGGGCTCAAGCTGTTCTCCTGCCTTGGCGTGCTGAAGGGTTGTGATTACAGCTGTGAGCCTGAGTCATCATACCTAGCCTATAGAACATTTTTAGATGGACAATAATTACTATAAACCTGAACAACTTTTTAAAAACCCTATCTGCAGTGCTTATATTCCCAATCCTATGCCTTGTTTCTCTTTAATAGTGCCAGCTAATAACATTTTACTTGGAAATATGATTTCTTGCCCCTTCTATGCCATGACACTGTGGTATGAAGAACATTTTTTACTGTTTATTTCTTGATTTGCTGCCTCCTAAAAGTAAATTATGGAAGAAAGAATATTTACCAGGTACATTTTATAGTACTTTATTATGTTTTATGTTAGTTTGCAAGCATTGCCAAAATAAAATACCGCAGACTGGTTGGCTTAAAAAACGGAAGTTTATTTCCTCACACTTCTGGAGGCTGGAAGTCCAAGATCCAAGTATTGGCAGATTTGGTTTCTCCTGAGGCCTGTCTCCTTGGCTTACATGTGGCCTTCTTCTTGCTTTGTGCTCACATGGCCTTTTCTCTGTGCATGTGCATCCCTGGTGTTTCTTCCTTTTCTTATAAATACACTAGTCTTACGGGATTAGGGCCCCACACTCATCTGATCTCATTTAACCTTAATTATCCCTTTAGAGGCCCTATCTCCAATTACAGTTGGATTTGGAGTTAGGGGTTCAACAAATGACTTTTAGGAGATCACAATTCAGCTCGTGTGTGTAGCTATATACTTTATTAAAAAGCATAGATTTTTAAAAATAACATTATAAAAAGCTGTTATAGTTTTTTCAGATTTGTTTTAAAAACTGTCTTCATCGACAATTATCCATAGAATCTTAATGAAGTCACTTAATAGGATTTTCTTTGAGCAGTTTTGGATAATGTTTTTTATATTTCTTTTAAAGGTAATTTATTCTAATTATAGAAAATATGAAAAATACAGAAAAATTCACCTGTTATCCTCCAATTTGAAATAATTACTGTCAACATTGAAGCCTTTTACTCTAGTCTACAGAACTAAACACCACTGCTTTTCACCATTCTAAAAATTGTCATTATATTATGATTATATTTGCATATTTTTGACCAATCATTGAAAATATCTTAATGAGTTACATAATATATCCTTTGAAAGTGATGTAATTTGTTTAATCATTCTCCTATTGTTGGACATTTGGTTGTGTCTAATTTGACTCTGTTATATATGTTACTAATATAAATAACAGAGTCAAATAGCTAATATCCTGTGGACATAGATAATTGATTATAGTTTTGATTATATTCTTTGTGTGTGTGTGTGTGTGTGTCAATTATAGTTTTGATTATATTCTTTGTGTGTGTGTGTGTGTGTGTGTGTGTGTGTGTGTGTGTGTGTGTATATATATATATATATGCATTCACCAGGAAATAAAATTATAAGAAACTACACACAGCTGGGCAGGTTGGCTCATGCCTGTAATCCTAGCATTTTGGGAGACCGAGGCAGGTGGGTCGCCTGAGGTCAGGAGTTCAAGACCAGCCTGGCCAACATGGTGAAATACCGTCTCTACTAAAACTACAAAAATTAACTGGGCGTGGTGGCAGGTGCCTGCAATCCCAGCTACTGGGGTGGCTGAGTCAGGAGAATCACTTGAACCTGGGAGGTGGAGGTTGCAGTGAGCTGAGATCGCACCACTGCACTCCAGCCTGAGTGACAGAGTGAGACTCCATCTCAAGAAAAAAAAAAAAAGGAAACTACACATAATTTTAAAGTTTTAATGCATGCTGTGAAATGACTGTTCAGAAAGGTTTTAAATTAGACCCTCTTCAAGCGATGTGAGAATTTTGCTCTGCCATTGACATCATGTATTATTAACTTAAAACAGTTTTTGATCTTTTTATTAGGAATTTGATGTCTTAAGTAGGTAGATGTATTAGGGTTCTCCACAGAAATGGAACTGTGTGTCTGTCTGTCTTTCTGTCACTTACACACACATGCACACAGACATACACACACTCACACACACACACAGCGAGAGAGAGAGAGAGAGATGGGGGTTATGGAAGTTGACAAGTCTCAAGATCCGCAGTTGGCAAGTTGAAGACCTGGGAGAGCCAATGTTGTAGTTCTAGTCTGAATCCAAAAGCCTGAAAACCAGAAGAATGATAGTGTACAAGTTGATGCTTGAAATACACAGGTGTGAACTGCATGGGTCCACTTATATGTGGATTTTTTTCAATAAGTATATTGGAAAATTTTCTGGTGATATGCAACAATTTGAAAAAACTTGCAGATGAACCACATAGCCTAGAAATATCGAAAAAGGTAAGAAAAAATTAAGTATATATGAATGTATAAAATATATACTAGTCTTATTTACTAACATGAGATATACAGAAATCTATTGCAAAAAGTTAAAATTTATCAAAACACATGCACACAAATGTACAGACCATACATGGTGCTATTCCCAGTAGAGAGAAATGTAAACAAATGTAAAGATGCAGTATTATAACCTACATAAAATTAACTGTAGCACATTCTGTGCTACTATAGTAATTTAATAGCCCCACCCTGTTGCTACTGTGGTGAGCCTATAAGTGTTGCAAGTATCTGCTTAAAACGCTCTGTGATGCTAATCATCTCAGCGTAAGCAGCTTGCACAGTAAATTGTATATTACAGTAAAGTGATCTCTCACAGTTCTCGGGTATTTTTCATCGTGTTCAGTGCAATATCATAAACCTTGAATAACACCATTGGGCTCATAGGAAGTGTCACTAGTAATGCTGGAAATGCTTCCCCAAACCAGAGAAAAGTAATGATATTACAAGAAACAGTTGAATTGCTTGATATGTAATATAGATTGAGGTCTCCAGCTAAGGTTGAGTGCCATGTCAGACAGATGGTTCATCTTGTAAATAGATAATGTAAACTTACGGTATCGATCAATGTAGTACAGTACTGTAAATGTATTTTCTTATGACTTTCTTTCTCTTTTTGTATTTTTAGTTGAGACGGGGTTTCACCATTTTGGCTAGGCTGGTCTTGAACTCCTGACCTCAGGTGATCTTCCTGCCTCAGCCTCCCAAAGTGCTGGGATTACAGGTGTGAGCTACTGTGCCTGGCCTATTATGACTTTCTTAATTTTTTTTTCTCCAATTTACTTTATTGTGAGGTTACAGTGAATATATATAATACAGTGAATATATGTAATATTCAAAATATGTGTTAATCAGCTGTTTATGTTATCAGTAAGGCTTATGGTCAACAGTAGGGTTTTAGTTGTTAAGTGTTTGGGGAATAAAAAGTTATACATGGATTTTAACTGTATGGGGTGAGGGGTGGAGGTTGTTGCCTATAATCTCTGCATTGTTCAAGGGTCAGCTTTAGTTCCAGCTCAAATGCCAACAGCTTTGAGACCCAGGAAGAGGCAATGTTTCAGTTTAAAAAATGAGGCCCCAGTTTAAGGAAGTCAGACAGAAGGAAATTCCCTCTTACTCACAGGAGGTCAGGCTTTTTGTTCTGTTTAGGCTTTCAACTGATTGGTTGAGAATTATTCACATTAGGTAGGGCAATCTGCTTTACTTTAACTACCAATTCAAATGTTAATCATATCCAGAAACACCCCCTCAGACACCCCCACTGTAATGTTTGACCAAATGTCTGGGCATCTCATGGCCCAGTGAAGAGCTGGGTGGTTGTTGTGTTTTGGTTTTTTTTTTTTTTTTTTTTGAGACAGAGTCTCGCTCTGTCACCCAGGCTGGAGTGCAGTGGCGCAGTCTTAGCTCACTGCAACCTCTGCCTCCCAGGGTTCAAGCAATTCTCCTGCCTCAGCCTCCCAAGTAGCTGGGATTACAGGCATGCACCACCATGCTCAGCTAATTTTGTATTTCTAGTAGAGACGGGGTTTCGCCATGTTGCTCAGGCTAGTCTCGAACTCCTGACCTCAGGTGATCCACCCGCCTTGGCCTGCCAAAGTGCTGGGATTACAAGCGTGAGCTACTGCCACCATGCCCGGCTGGTGAGCTGGGTTGTTTTGAAGTGAAAAGAGAGAAGTTGAGCTAGCATTTTAGCTTGGTTTGTGCTGTAAATTGGGAGAAGAAAAAGGAAAGTAGAGAGGGAAAACCAGCTGCACCAGCCTATGTGGACACTTACCCTGAGTACTAAGTCTTTGGCTTGGACACTTGTTCATTGACCTGCCTTCTTTTATGTACATCTGGAATAGCCTGTGTAGCAATATCATCAGTAGTCTTTTTTTTAACTTGTATGTTTAAATTTTTTTATTATGGAATTTTTATTTTGCAATGCAAACTTTTTTTCAAAAATTCTTATAAAAGAAAATAAATAATTTTTTAGTTTTCTAGATAACATATAGTCTATATTTTTATTAGCTTATTAATTACAGCAAATGTTATTTTGACTAAAGGATTATAAGACACATTTCTGACTTTCTATGACTATTTAGTGTTCTGTTGTTACATAGTCCGTATTGTAAATGTTCATGTTTTTCTCAGCTATATCGTTTACATGTTTTTTCAATGACATGTAATAAACTAAGGCATACTAAATTACAATATTCTCTAATTGAACCATTGTATCTATTTGTTAAGTGATACATACAATTAAAAATATTCTTAAGAGGTATAAAAATTGTTGGCTTAAAATACTGCTTATAGGATTTTTTTTTTTTTTTTTTTGAGACGGAGTCTCGCTGTCGCCCAGGCTGGAGTGCAGTGGCGCAATCTCGGCTCACTGCAGGCTCCGCCCCCTGGGCTTCACGCCATTCTCCTGCCTCAGCCTCCCGAGTAGCTGGGACTACAGGCGCCCGCCACCTCGCCCGGCTAAGTTTTTGTATTTTTAGTAGAGACGGGGTTTCACCGTGTTAGCCAGGATGGTCTCGATCTCCTGACCTCGTGATCCGCCCGCCTCGGCCTCCCAAAGTGCTGGGATTACAGGCGTGAGCCACCGCGCCCGGCCAGGATATTTTTTAGGATGATTATAGAAGATGTTAAACATTTTTTATAGTGCTAATTAAAGGACTTGGGTGTTGAACCCAGCTCGAATGATTTGAAATAACAGCTTCTGTTTGGACAGCTTATGTCCTAACAGTGTAAGAAAAATGATGTGGTAACAGTCAATTTCAACTGGAATTTTTCTGTACTATTGTTTCCCAAATGATCATAATGTCTGATTTCTTTCTCTTAATATTTGTGTCCTCATTGTGACTTATTTGAGATGCATTGCTATGTGAGTCTGAGCAAATATTTTGGGTACTTAGCCAGTACTTTTGAGTCAGCAGAGACTGGTATAATATCTCCAGCAATTTTGAGCTCTAACTCTGCAGCTACAACTACCTTTCCTAGATATACTGCCTGGAACAAAATATTTCTTTACCCTAACTTCTAATGCAGCTCTGTTCTTGAATTGACTGCCTGATCGGTATCTGTCTCTTCCTCCCATCTTTACTTACCTGTGCCTGTTGCAGGCATTTTTTTTTTTAACACTTTGCTTTTAAAACTAATGTTATACTTAATGTTGGAGGGGAATGTGTTGTCTGTATTCTAAAATAATTTACACCTGTATTAGTGTTTGTAACTGTCATCCAAAGTATAAATATTAAAGTATTGTGTCTCTAGATACCTTTTATTAAGGTTAAGCAGTTTTTGTGTTATAATGCACATAATTTCTGTTATAAACATTTTTGAGTAGTAATAATGGATTGTGGAAGCAGCTTAAGGTTCTGATGCCCACTGTTATTTTTTTATTAGGAATTTGATGTTGTAAGAGTTAAAGAAGGAGGAAAGAAACACGAAAAGCAGCTCAACAGTCAAAGACAGGTTTATTTTGGAGAATAAACCTGAGTGGGGCTTCTGGCCGAGTTTGGTCAGTAATGCTGTCTCTTACAGACTGAGAGTATTTATTGGTGAGAGAGCTTGGAATGTTTCTGTGTGGGGGAGAAGTTTATGGCGCGGTTGGAATGTCTCTGGTCGGAGAGGAGATTATGTTGGGGCTGACATCTCTCCAGCTGGAGGGGAGGTTATCTCGGGGCTGGCATGTCTCTGGTCAGGGAGGGGTTTGGCGTGTTTCTGGTCACAGATGTTATTTGTGGTTTATGGTCATGCTGACTTTAGCCATCAAGCTGATGCCCTTTGGATTTAGGAAGTTTTTGATCAACATAAATTTTAAAATGATGGTGCTTGTCCAAGATGGCAATGCTCCTGCTCTGTCAGATGTATTAAGTGAGTCCTATATATGTAAAAATTAGCCATCTGTCTATAAAATGCTTATTCAGAGTTACTAGTTTGGATTATTTTTCTTGCCTTTTGAAACTATTTTCCGGCTAGCATATATATTCCAATAAATGATATTGGTTACTTGCTACCAGATTATGTTCTTTTAATTTTGGGTGCTTATGACTACCTTATATTTATTGCTTATTTATTCATTTATTATCTGTATCCTACAATTAGAATGTAAACTATATAAAAGCAGGTATCTTGTCTTTCTTGTTGCCTGCTGCATGTTCAGGCACCTAGAACAGTGCCTGACTCATAGCAGGCACTCAATAAATGTTTATTGAATAAACTAATACATGGAAATTTCCATATTATTTACATAGAAATAAATTTTCATACATGTTCATAGATATTATTTATTTATATTTTGCTGAATACATGGTAAATTCTACCAAATCTTTAAAGTTTAGCTTTCGATATGAGAAAAAATAATCTTTATCTGTTTTGGTTCTTTTTAGATAGAGCTGTTTCTAACAAGTTATAGAATTTAAGTCATTTTAGTTGCTTTTTTATTTCTAAGAGCAGTAGATCTCAGCATCAGCATCATTTGGGAATATGTTAGAAATATAGATTCCCAGAATCAAATTTGTTGTCGTCCATGTATTTTTCTAAATCAAAATATGGATTGGTAGAATATACAAATATACAAATATTTAACATAGTATCATATTACGATTCTTATAAAAAGTACAGAGAAATATATTTCTGTGTATATGTATATACATAGATACATACATATGTACATATTCCATCTACTTGGCATAGTTCAGCCGATTTTTATTGTGTGTTTATCATGAACATATACCATTCTGAAGATACTGAAATAAAAGAAACAGCCCTTATTTATGAAGACTTTCCAAGACCTTATTTTATTTATTATAATTATTTTTGAGATGGAGTTTCGCTCTTGTTGCCCAGGCTGGAGTGCAGTGGCGTGATCTCAGCTCACCACAACCTCCACCTCCTGGGTTCAAGCTATTCTCCTGCCTCAGCCTTCCAAGTAGCTGGGATTACAGGCATGTGCCACCAGGCCCGGCTAATTTTTTTTGTATTTTTAGTAGAGGTGGGGTTTCTTCATGTTGATCAGGCTGGTCTCGAACTCCCGACCTCAGGTGATCTACCCACCTCGGCCTCCTAAAATGCTGGGATTACATGCATGAGCCACCATGCCTGGCCCCTCCAAGACCTTATTCACGAGAGTCTTCCAAGAGATTTATTTGGAAAAACCAGATAAATACAAATGTACAGACAGAGAAAGAAGGGAATTTCATGTTAAAGGGACAACATTTTAAAGGACCTTAAAGTGTAGTCCATCCTGTAGGTGGTAGGAACCTGAACTGTACCAGTGTAATTGTGGCAAGAGGGGAGTCTGGAGACATAGATCTTTTAGCCTAATTACTAAAGATAGATTGAATTAGTAGGCCAGTAGGAACTGGTCTTGTTGGGTAGGTAGGTGCCAACCAGGATCCTGTCAGCCAGGATAGGGTCAATTGGTAACTGGAATTTAGTCAAATATGTGTAGTTTCACAACTTTGAATATTTACTAAAATAATATAATGAATGTTGGATGCTATGCAGGTTTACTGAAAAGCGGAAAATAGTATGAGTAAAGTTTCCACTTGGTTCAAATTAATTTCGCCTAACTTTGGATTTCTGATTATATAGGCCAACATTGATTTTTAAGAAACTATTTTGCTTTAAAGCAAATTTAAAAATTTTAATCTACTTGGTTATAGTTTAATTGAGAACGAAGGAATTGGAAAACAGTTCCAAAACACGATGGTAAAAAGGAAAGTATTATTAAGGTGATGTGGAGTAAGAAAGTTGTTAGAGTGGATCGTGTTAGAGACCAATCTAGAATTAAGATTTGGAGAAAGTGAATGACATGGGTTAGTCGAGAAAGAAATGAGAGCAAGAATACACAGTGAACAAGGAATGAGGGGAAAGTACACAAAACATCGTTAACTCTTCCATTATTTTCTTTATTTTTATAATTATTTTAATAAAATAATTTTACAGTAATAATTCTTCCATTTATTACTCATTCACTTAGGCTTTTTATTACCTGTTTTTGGGATTGTTGTGGTTTTGACTGTTGTGATTTAAAATTCTCCATTTCCAGACTTTTTGTAATTTACCTTCTCAGTATATTTGAATACTGTTTTATTTAGATGCATATTATACTTGAGGATAGAGATTTCAGTATTAAAACATCAACCATTTCCAAGAGAACATTCCATTGTTGTATGATCTTATAGCAAACCAATTGCTTTTCACAGCATACCTTACTCCAAAAAACATTGGTTTCATAATGTAGGGTTTTTATTCTTAAATTGTTGAATTTGAATATTGATATATTTAAAATGTTAAAATAAAGCTCTTTGAGTTAACGCTTGTCAGTGAAGGATGGAGAAATTTGAAAATTGCACTTAGGTTGCTGAATCAGATTTTTTGGATTTGTGAATGATTCACAAGAAGTATTTAAAGTTTTGAACGTCTTATTCCTTAAATAATTTCCTGTATTTCTGAAATAAATGCACCTATGCTTTATACAAATAAAATTTAATTAGTCAGAGTAAAGTTTTTCATGTTTTTCTTAGTTGTAATTATAATTTACAAGCCTGTCTACCTGAAAAAAGCATCACCCTGGGTGCAAGAGATATAAAATCAAACCTTTATTTATTTATTTTTTATTTTTAAAATTTCAACTTTTATTTTAGATATAGGGGGTACATGTGCAGGTTTGTTACCTGAGTATATTTTGTGCTGCGACGTCATCTCCCAGATAGTGAGCATAGTACCCAATAGGTAGTTTTTCAGTCCATCCTCCCTTCCACTTCTAGTAGTCCTCCGTGTCTATTGGTCCTATCTCTATGTCTGTGGGTGCTCGATGTTTAGCTCCCACTTATACGTGACAGCATGCACAAACCTCTATTTAAAGTATGAATACCATGAAAATATTCTTTTACTTGGCACTTGGATATTAAATCACTTCGGCGACTAGCTTTGTTAAGTATTACATTGAACTGGATAATTCTTCTAATAAATTCAAAGCATGTGTCCTGTCAGATTGCTCATAGTGTTGTTATTCTGAATTGCTTTAAGCTGGTTTTATTGGATATTAAGTACAACATTGATAATGCACATTTTCTGTAGCTGTGGTTTCTGTCCTTGATGACAGCATGCTTAAGGTCTATTATATGTTGTTATAATTGGGTCAAGGAACATTTAGCACTGTTTTCTTCCAGAATCTAGCTTGCGTCAAGACTAAGAACAAACTTGTGTTGTTAAAAATTGACTACTGAAGGATTAAATATTTGGCTGGTGGGATGTGAGTATATGAAACATTTATTGTTAGGATTTTTTATTTCAGAGACCAGTAGATCTCAGCATCAGCATCATTTGGGAATTTGTTAGAAATGTGGAATCTCAGAATCAAGTTCTGGGGTCAGGGCCCACAATTGGTGGTTTAACAAATCATCCAGATGAAATTGATGCACACTAAAGATTCAGAACCACTGTTTTAACTACTACCCTGTCATAGTCCATTTTCTAGTGCTTATCACAGAATATCTGAAAGTGGGTAATTTATAAAGAAGAGAAATTTATTTCTTCTAGTTATGACTGAGGAGTCCCAGGTCATGGGGCTGCATCTGTTGAGAGCCTCCTTACTTGTGGGGACTCTCTGAGAAGTGCCAAAGTTAGAGCAGGAGTGCCAAAAGTTAGAGCAGGAACCAGATTTCCTGGTCTTAGCATACAAGAAAATGGAGGCGATGGGAATAGAGTGTGCGTTTCTAAAGTTTAAGAAGTCAGGAAGGAAAGAAATAGAGCATACTAGGTACAGAGGGTGACTGTGCCAAGCAAGGTTTTCAAGTTGGGGTGGGCAGGAGCAGTAAAACTCATGGAAATGGAGGATGTGCTGAGAATACTTGAGGAAACAAGGCCTGAGGAGATGGAAAGAGAATTTAAAACATTTATCTATTATGTGATTATTATAATATGAACCTCTGTTTCCTATGTGATGTTCCCTGAGTGTAGAATTTGTTTCTTTCTTACTGTGATATACCCAGCACTTGAGATGGTACTGACAGATTGTATATGCTTAGTAAAATTTGTTGAATGACTGAAAGAATTGCATTGGGAGTTTAGTTTATCTCACACCTGATGGATATATGAAAAATTATGAATTGGTAAAGGAGTGTTTAAAAGTAGAAAGAAGAGCTGTGGGAGCTCACATCCACTGCTCATCTTTCCAATAAAGTAGGCAGGGGAATTGCTTACCAGAAGGATTTGGCGTATTTAGGGCTTAAAGAAAGTTGAAGAGTCTAGAATAACACCTTCCATAAGTGTGCTAAGGCATTAACTAATAAAAAAAAAAAAGATTGCTAAGCTACAGAATGGTTACAGTTTGAGTTCCTAGCATATGCTAGGCTCTATAACTAATATTCTACATACACAATTTTATGGAATCCTTAAAACCATCTTAGGAGATAAGTATTATTTATGTCGAGTTTACTAATGAAAAAACAGTACTAGGCTATAAATTTGTAACTGGCTAAGCCAGCACTATTATGTTGCTTTCTCTAGCAGTGTCTTATGGCCTTAGAGCAAAAGCAGAGATGGCATAAGGTAAAATTTATTCAGGTTTAGGGGTTAGCAAAGCAGGCATGCTGCTTTAAATTCTTCCTATGTTTTCTGTTTAATTTAATCTCACACCACCACCATGAGGTAAATATTATCTTCGTTCGATGGAGAGTTTAATGTGTTTTCCTCAGGCAGCAAAGGTGGCACATGATCAAACCTGGGTTAGACCCAGGTCTATTTTATTCCAAACCCTGAACTTCCCCCAGTACTCGCAGAAGGAAGACTAGACTTAGTGTTTAGGTTGACACTGATAATGATAACTATGTAAACTTTAGAGAACACAATTAACAATAGAGATTTTTCAGTTCTTGAGGACAATAGTAATGTCTGCTAAAATATTGCAAAGAATTAAGTATATATGTGAAATACTATGTAATCTATAATGTACTAAAGAAATATTGAATAATTTTAAAATGTTGATAAAGGGGTTATTCTATATCATTCACATTTTCTCAATATATTTGTAAACTTGTTAACTTCTAGACACAAATATTAGTTTTCTAATTGCCTATGTTTTGGTTTTTCTTTCAAAGAAAAGCTTGTTTTGTTTGAATGTTCGTGTTAGTGAGATCCTAGGAAAGTAATTTGAATGTAATGAAAAAAATAGTTTCTTATGGCTCACGCCTGTAATCCCAGCACTTTGGGAGGCCGAGGCGGGCAGATGACCTGAGGTCGGGAGTTTGAGACCAGCCTGACCAACATGGAGAAACCCTGTCTCTACTAAAAAGACAAAATTAGCCAGGTATGCTGGTACATACCTGTAATCCCAGCTACTCGGGAGGCTGAGGCAGGAGAATTGCTTGAACCCAGGAGGTGGAGGTTGTGGTGAGCTGAGATCTCACCATTGCACTCCAGCCTGGGCAACAAGAGCGAAACTCCGTGTCCCCCCTAAACCCCCCTCAAAAAAAAGTTTCTTGCAAAAATAGTCTAATCTTTGTCATTATTATTTTTGGGCAGCAATTTTAAAGGTACTCTTAACAGCTACAAAGTCATCTAAAACATATTTTTGAAGCTTTATTGCAGTGAAATTTGTTATATTCTCTCTTATAAATATTTTGGTGTATAATAAAGATATGTGTATGTTAAGGGTTTAATTCTTCTCTTGATGCTTTCCATAGCATGTGGAATACCAATTCTAGATTATACAGTATAAGAATTAATATTTAAACATTGACTTGAACAGGTTGGGCTTGCTTTCATGAATTGTCAAGAGGCTAGCTAGTCAAAATTCAAATTAAATTATGTATTGGGTTAAGTCTATCATTAGAATAAAACAGGTGTTATTATCCTTCTCCTAACACTATTCTGGCAAAAATTAGCTTTAGTAAATTTAATTGCTCTTGATGTTGTACTCCAAATACTTTTTAATTCTTAAATTATGGAAATAAGATAAAAAATAGAAGACTTCAACTCTGTTATTCATTTATAAATGTCATTTTGCCAGTGATACCTTATGGATTATGCTGATATATTAAAATGAGATTAAAAAAATAAAATGACATTTTATTCAACATTTTAAAAGGTGGGTCAAATTTTTGTTGCTAATATATGTGGTACTCTTAGGGGAAAATGACAATAAAATATGTATCTTCTTAAAAAGATGCCAGTTTAAGATATCAAGAGTATGTTTTAATTGGCCATGTCTCTGGACAAATTGGGTACGTATAAGCTCCAAAATGGGTCAGACTTCTGATACTGAAGGATTTTTCTTTGGAAGATTTATTAATATTAGGAATCTCAGGGGCTTGAAGTGTGGGGCAAGTATATTCTTGGCTTTCTTTAACAACCTGTTGTGTGTTTGTCACCCATCTTTTGCCTGTAAATCTTTGTTGAATTTATTATTTTGTTTTTACTTAAAAAATTACTTTGAACCATCTTTCCAGTTTGTTTACTTCTATGTAAAGTAGGATTTTATTTTATTTAAAAAATAACCAGACAGTTATTTTGCACCTGCCTGTGTGCATTACTCTTTATAGTAAGAGAATATATAAGTTTAAACTGTTGTGGGGACCCAGAGAATGGTTGTGCTTTAATAGTGCGATTGTTGTTGTTGTATGCAGCTCAATCAGAAAAGCAGGAATCCTAATCAGGAAAGGGCTAGAGGGATGTTTACTCAAGGGGAAATCTAGATGGTTACTGTTCTGTATTGATAAGAATGTCACCTGTTAAGTGAAGTCAGCCTTTTAATTCAGAATAAGTTCAGAGAAGGAGACACAAAAACTCAGATTTAAAAAATTTGAATGGTAAGGATGATATTGATTAGGCACCCTAAGAAGTAGATTGCTTTTCGACTTTGATCCCAGAATAAGCTTGTCATTTTCTTTTGTACTATCTCAGACATAACCTGCCTTTTCCTAGGGGACTGTTTAAAGAGTGTATTTTGTTCATCCATTCAACAAACATTGAGTATCTACTATGTCCCAGGTGGTCTTCTAGCTACTAGAGGTATAGCAGCAGTGAACAATATAGAAAAAAAAAAAATTAAAACTCTGGAGCTTACATTCTGGTTGAGGAGAGACAGTAAACAAGTAAGTGAATTATTGATATATTACTTGGTGATTACTGCTATGAAGAAATTTTTTCATGAAGAAGATAGGGAATGCTGTTTAGTGCCTGGATGTGGTTTTAAATAGGGTGGTCATGGAAGGCTTAAACAAAAACATGATGTTTTGCCACAACGTAAGTTTTATGTAAGAACTCTAGGCTTGGCATTTTTCTTGTCATATCTTAGTGGGATATGAATAGCAGGTCTGAGTGTTCACCATTTTACAATGAAGAAACTCGAGGCAAAGAGAACTGTCCAAGTGTACTCAGAATTAACAGACACTGGATCTTAAAACCTTTCGATATGATTTCAGTCTGTGGAGGTTTGAGCTGTAATGCAGCCAGATTTAGCTAAAAAGTCAGTGGGTTCGGGGAAGACCAGCAGGAGGCAGTGGAGCACCAGCACAAGCTGAGGCCAACTCCCATTGGTGAGGCTTGGGCAAATGTAGCTTAAGTCAGGTGAGAAGCACTGGCTTGGTGGCCTGGGCTTACATGAGGCCTACACTAAGCTCACTGCGTCTCTGCTCTCAGTGAGGAAGGTGGTTTCAGACCCTTCATTTTGGAGGGGCTGTCATTTAAAACAAGGTACCAGGCTCTGTCTGTGACTCTAGGACTGATAAGGCAGATTTCCTTGCTCTCAAGTCTTTGATCCCTGTAGCCTACCTACTAGGATTGAGTAAAGCAACACTGTCTTAATCATGCCTAGGCTCAAGGATCTTGTGATTTAGTCAAGTTCTTAGAGAGGGGAAAAGGATTTTCTACTAAAATCTCAAAAGAATTCCTATATTTTAATCCCCCACTGGAAAGATACTCCAGAGGGAAATGAATGATGTCTACCATAAGGTGTGTGAGTCTTGGGCACAATTAATCTTTTTACCTACTATATGCTTTAGTTTGTCTCCACATCTTTGGACCTCAAGGCCTTTTATTTCAACCTCTCATTTCCTTTTCCTTTGCCTTGGTTGAGACATTTTTTTTTAGCTCTCCAGTTGCATTCCTGTATGCCATCCTTACCCTTTGAATTTTCATGTAAGCCTCAAAAAAACAAATATTTCTACATAGTTTCTCTCCACCTATCTTTTCTGCCCCTTCCTTTGGCAGTTTTTAGACTTTTTTTTGTACGAAGAAACCCCTTGTTTTCCGTAGTCTTTCAAAACAACACTGTGATGAACATTCATCTCAGATTTTCTCCACTGTAATATTTAAAAATTGCAAATAAATTGTATTTTATTCTATTAGATTTAGACAGTGTACTCAAAAACAAAATGTTTGTCAGAATGAGTAAATATGAAACAATACCATTGTCACTAGCTTAAATAGTGGTTAAGTGATATTGTTCAGTAAATCCATATGTAAGGATAAAGTCAGAATGGTAAAAGCTTGACATTTCACAGGAAATGTGTGGATTAAAGGGATTTTTATTTGTTTAAATATAGTCGCTTTGTAATTTAGATAGAATAATACTGTTAAACCAATTTGAAGATAAGGTGTGCTTTCTATGTTGATGTTTTTAGGTTATATTATAATTTGATGTCTCTTTACCAACAAAGGAAAGATATACATATATAGATTAATTCTCTTGGATATGAGTTTTATCACAATAATGCTTTTATTTCTACCTTTAGTTTTAAAAATACTTAAAATTGCCTCTTGAAAAATCTATATTTAAAAAAACATGAATCCAGGACATAGTCATTTTAATTAGTGTATTTGAATATAATGTTCACTAATGAGAATGATCTCAAGGTAATTCAAGAAGAGATCATGAAGTCTTTGTTTTTCTAGGAAATTTCCAATTTTTTTCTGTCTTTAAAGGTGGACTTATTTTTAAAGGTGGACTCTTTTTTTTGCCAACATTGCATGCACTTTCGTTGCCCTTCTTGTTTCCTGTTATGCTTGCTGTAACTCACTGTGTAAACCTTGAGGCTCCATTACTTGCTCTGAGGTTTGGTATCCTATTCTTTAGTTATATTGCGACTGCAGAAACACTGCAGTGTGGTCTTTAGAGTTTCAAGGGTGTCATAGTACTTAAGGCTACTTTTTGTCCTCCTTTTTTGCTTCCTTATTCCTTGCAAAGCTTTGCCTTGGCCACATGTGAGTTCAAGTAGTATGTTTCCACAGTTTCTAAATTCTTACTCTAAGGAATTAGGGACAAGATGATTTCCCCAAATCATCCCTATCCCATGTATGGGCCTTCTAGGAATAGTACCATAAAAATCTGTCTTTATTAATAGGTCCTTTCTGACAAATCAACACTTAAACATTATTTTAACACAATTTTATGATGATGATTATCTGCTACAGTTTTACGTATTTTAATCATTAACTTATTGATTGTGCCTTGAGGCCTCTTACATAAAGGATGCAATTTGAATAATGCCTTGGTAAAACCATTTAATCTCTGTTTACAACTATATTATGTTTCATCCCAAACAGTAATGATGACTCCTTTCTATGGATAACATGGCACATATTGTTTACATGTAAATGTTGTTTTAAAAGCTATATTTTGTTAGACTTAGATTTTCACATTCAAGATCATTCCTAAAGCTTTATGTGATTTTTTAAAAGATAATTTTAATCTACCTATAGTGTGTATAAATTTATTACCTAGAGAAAAGGAAGAAATTATACTGTCTGATAGGGGAGAGAATTCTGAATAATTAAGGGGCAACTAGTTGGAATTAATTTTAGTACACTAGGGATGAACTAGATTTAGTTTAAGCCTCTGTTGATAAGAGCTCTAGAATCCTTTCTGTTTATCACAGAAGGCCCAGCCCTGTGTTAATCCTTTCCTGAGCACCTTAGCCAGCAGTGACTAACAACTCTTTCAATCTCCACTAAATTTTAAGTGTCTAAATAGCAGGGATTCTATCTTAAAGTTTTTATGTTCTCCCCACCCATCTCTTGCATAGGAAAGAATGCTCTGCACCTAGTCTTTTCTTAGTATATATTCGTTGGCCGAAAATGGACCTTAAGTGTGTTAAGCCATTAGTTTTCTCTTTGAAAAATTGAAGGATATGCTACTTCATGGTTTTTTCCTTCATATTTAAATCTTGCTGTTGTCGTAAAGACAGACTTTTCATTTAAAAAGTATAATTGCTAAGGAATGTGTTTTCGTTCTTTCAGGGAACCCTTCCAGCCAGATCATTTGCTTTTCTGACTGTTGAGTATAGATAGGCTTGTCCTTAGAGAAAGCAGACTGTGAGTGCCACAGTGAATGCCTTGTATTATTTTCTCTTTACAAAGATAAACCAAAGTTCTAAAAGAGCACATTGTCTGCTTTATTTGTAGGGAAAGAATGTGTATCAAAAGGGGATATAATATTTTGTTGATAGAGACAAATGGACTAAAAAATAATGTTATTTCTCTTTGAAACATTTAACATTTTAAGTGGCTTTTTGAGAAGATGGCTGATTTAAAGTAAACTTGCTATCCTTTGGCATGGTTGAGCCATTTAAAATAATTTGTTAGAGTGGGGAATGCTAACCTTTATTAAGTCCTGCAGTATGTCTGGCACTTTGTGTAAATATTGTATCTATTTATTTATTTGAGACAGAGTCTTGCTCTGTCATCCAGGCGGGAGCGCAGTGACATGATCTTGGCTCACTGCAAGCTCCACCTCCCAGCTATGAGCGATTCTCCTGCTTCAGCCTCCCAAGTACCTGGGACTATAGTTGTGCACCACCACGTCTGGCTAATTTTTGTATTTTTAGTAGAGACAGAGTTTTACTATGTTGGCCAGGCTTGTCTGGAACTCCTGACCTCAAGTGATCCACCCGCCTCGGCCTCCCAAAGTGCTGGGATTATAGGCGTGAGCCACCGTGCCTGGCCTACCTTGTATAAATATTCTTATTTAAGCTTTAGAAATTCACCATATAAAAATAGGTATAATTACCTGGATTTTGCAAAGAAGCACCCTGAAGATCAGTGAGTTTACTGCTAGGTAGAAGCTCTGGGATTCACATGATTTTTCTGTTCATTGGATGGGCCATACCACAAACACTAGATAAGCTTTATGACATTGTCTTCTTCCTTTAGAAAAATGAAAAATAAAAACAAAATATTGAAAGGAACAGAGAACTAGACATTGCTGAACACCTGGCTAAATTAATTATTCTACTTGAGCCCTAACTTTAGCCAAGGGGGATAGAAAAAGTCCGTGATTCTCATTTTTGGAAAGAAATATAATTTTCTTGGACAAGAAGAGCTTTTATTTTCATATTTATTAAACTCTGTCTGTATACTAATGTTTTAAGGACTGTCAGTAATCAGGAACACAATGCCACCATTCACAATTGCCATAATAAGAATAACATACTTAGGAATACAGCTAACAAGAGAGGGGAATGAGCTCTACAATGAGAATTAGAAAATACTGCTCAAAGAAATCAGAGATGACACAAACAAATGGAAAAACATCCCATACTCACAGATAGGAAAAATCAGTATCATTAAAATGGCCATTCTGCCCAAAGTAATTTATAGATTCAATGCTATTCCTATCCAACTACCAATGACATTCTTCACAGAACTAGAAAAACTATTTTAAAATTCGTATGGAACCAAAAAGGCCTTAGTAGCCAAAGCAATCCTAAGCAAAAAGAACAAAGCTGGAGGCATCATGTTATCTGACTTCAAACTATACTACAGGGCTACAGTAACCAAAACAACATGGTACTGGTACAAAAACAGACATAGACCAATGGAACAGAATAGAAAGCCCAGAAATAAGGCTGCACACCTACGACCATCTGATCTTCAACAAAGCCGACAAAAGCAATGGGGAAAAGGACTGCCTATTCAACAAGTAGTGCTGGGATAACTGACTAGCCATATGTAGAAGATTGAAACTGGACCCTTTCCTTACACCATATAAAAAAATCAACTCAAGATGGATTAAAGACTTAAATGTTAAACCCAAAACACTACAAACCCTAGAAGACAACCTAGACAGTACCATCCTGGACATTAGAAATGGACAAAGATTTCATGACAAAGATACCAGAAGCAATTGCAACAAAAGCAAATAGGATCTAATTAAACTTAAGAGCTTCTGCACAGCAAAAGAAACTATCAACAGAGTAAACAGACAACCTACCAAATGGGAGAAAATATTTGCCAACTGTGCATCTGACAAAGGTCTAATATCCAGCATCTATAAGGAACTTAAATTTAAAAGAAAAACAAAAAAAAGTCCATTAAAAAGTAGGCTAAGGACATGAACAGATACTTTTCTAAAGAAGACATACATGTGGCCAACAAGCATAGGAGAAAAAGCTTAGTATCACTGATCATTAGAGAAATGCAAATCAAAACCACAGTGAGATACCATCTCATACCAGTCAGAATGGCTATTATTAAAAAGTCAAAAAATAATAGATGCTGGTGAGGTTGTGGAGAAAAGGGAACACATACACTGTTGGTGGGAGTGTAAATTAGTTCAACCATTGTGGAAAGCAGTATGGCAATTCCTCAAAGAGCTAAATACAGAACTACCATTCGACCCAGCAATGCTATTACCGAGTATAAGAGGAATATAAATCATTCTACCATAAAGACATATGCACGCGAATGTTCATTGCAGCACTATTCACAATAGCAAAGACATGGAATCACCCTAAGTGCCCATCAGTGACAGATTGGGTAAAGACAATGTGGTACACATATACCATGGAATACTCTTCAGCCATAAAAAAGAACAAGATCTTGTCTTTTGCAGGAACATGGATGGAGCTGGAGGCCATTATCCTTAGCAAACTAATGCAGGAACAGAAAATCAAATGCTGCACATTCTCATTTATAAGTGGGAGTTAAATGATGAGAACTCATGAGCATAGAGAAGGGAACAACAGACACTGGAGCTTCCTTGAGGGTGGAGGGTGGGAGGAAGGAGAGGAGCAGAAAAAAATAACTATTGGGTACTAAGCTTAGTACGTGGGTGATGAAATATCTATACACCAAACTGCTATGATGTGAGTTTACCTATATAACAAACCTGCACATATCCCCCAAACTTAAAAGTTAAAAAAAAAAAAGAAAAAGATATGACTTTTGACCTCAGGGAACATAGTCTATACTAGACTGTTATAACTTGTATTTTAATATAACTATTGAATTGCCTTGCAAATAATAATAACCTCTTTGGAGACAGATACCACATTTTGTTAGGTTTAAATTCAAGTAAGTATTGGATATTTAGAAATATTTCACAAAACTTAATAAATAAATAGACATTAGTCTCCTGAGAGGGAAGTTCTCTTGTTTTGGAAGGCACTGTGGTGTGGCGGGGAGAATGTAGACTTTGGAATCAAACCAGAGCCCAGACCTATTTGCCAGTTATTTGCCATGTGACTTTGGTTAAGTCAGCCTCTCTGGACTTAGTTTTCTCATCTTTCAAATAAGGATAGTGATGGGATTGATATGAAGGTTACGTATGATAATAACCCTTAGTATTGTGCTTATTAGCACAGTGTCTGATACATAGCAAATGATCAATAAAATGCCCTCCCCTAAGTTCTTATTTAATATGACGTAGAAAGTAGTAAGCATAGTAGGAGGACAAGCTCAAGAGTAAGATATATCTACCTAGGAGACTCAGAGAGGGCTTCATGGACAAATTGATATTTGAATTGAACCCTGAAGGATGGTAAGATTTGGACATACAGAATTGGGATGCATGAATATTTTATGATCCATGAAGTATTCATATAAAGGTTGTTGGTAACATAATAAAGGACCTTTTAAACCATGGTTTGGCTAAACACATAGAACCATTACTCAAGTGGAGAGTCTTACACTGAACCTTTGTAAAAGCTGAGAGCATGTTATTAAGTTTCAGTTAAAGTATTCCTGCTGGATGCTGAGAAATTACAGGTTGGTTTTATTGCTGTCTTCTGATCTTTATCTTTCTTAATATATATATATAGAAGTTAGAAAATATATATGGCAGTTCCTTGATACACGTGTTTTTATTTCTTTTAAAATGTCAGATGTCCAAAGCAAGTTGGTTGAGGGTGCTGAGCTCTTTTCAGGGTTCAGTTTTCTAATCAATGCCAAGATGCTAACTTTTAGGTAGTCATTAACGAGATACATTTTGGGGCTGGGCACGGTGGCTCACACCTATAATCTCAGTGCTGTGGGTGGCCAAGGTGGGAAGATCACTTGAGCCCAGGAGCTCAAGACCAGCCTAGGCAACACAGCAAGACTCCCTCTCTCCAAAAAAATAAAAAAATTAGCTGGTGATACAGGTGTGGTGATACACACCTGTAGTCTCAGCTATTTGGGAGGCTGAGATGGGATTGAGCCCAGGAGTTCAAGGTTACAGTGAGCCATGAGCATGCCACTTTACTCTAGCCTGGGAGATAGAGTGACACCCTGCGTCTTAAAGAAAAAAAAAAAAAAAGTTTTGGGCTTTGAGGTGATACAAAGATATAAGATCAGTGCCTCTCAAACTTTTTATGTTTGTCATACATTTTTTGAATATTTGAATTTTTGGTAGCATGCTTAAAGTGTCTAAGTTGAATCCATGGAAGTTATTATGGCAGAAATCACTTGGGTCACCCTTCAGCACTGTGTCATCATACAAGCAGAACTGTTGACTGCCCTGACTTCAGTGTTTACCTGTTCTAGTGAATTTTTGCAGTCTTTTTTTGGCTTTACCTTGTACTTCTTATCTGCAGCTAGTTATGCCTTTCTCAAAATTGTATCTAAGGGCCTACTCAGGTCAAGGTTCCATCTGACTGATTTCACAATAAACATCTTTCCTCATTTTCAGCAAAGATAAATTTACTTGCTGATTTAAAATAATTGAAGAATTGGTTTAGAATAGTACATAGGATACTTGACGGGATAGATCCTAGACAACATAGATGTAGGTATTTAACATCGCTAAGGTGGTACTGGCATACCTAGAAGATATTGCAGGTTTTGTTCCAGACCACCACAATAAAATTTAAATAAAGGAAGTCACACAATTTGCTTTCCCAGTGCATATAAAACTCATATGTATACTACACTGCAGTCTATTAAGTGTGCAATAGCATTATATCTAGAAAAACAATGTAGACACCTTTATTTAAAAATACATTTTTTGTTACTAAAAATGGTAATGATCATTTGAGCCTTTGGTGAGTTGTAATCTTTTTGCTGGTGGAGGGTCTTGCCTTGATGTTGATGGCTGCTGACTGATCAAGGTGGTAGTTGCTGAAGATTGGAGTGGCTCTTACAATTTCTTAAAATAAGACAGCCATGAAGTTTGCTGCATTGATTGACGTTTCCTTTCATAAAAGATTTCTTTGTGGCATGCAGTGCTGTTTGATAGCATTTTACCTGTAACAGAACTTCTTTGAGTATTGCAGTCTATCCTCTCAACCCTGATGCTGTTTATAAGTTAAGTGTATGTAATAACCTAAATCTTTTGTTGTCATTTCAACAGTGTTCACAGCATCTTCACCAGGAATAGTTTCCATCAGGAATAGAAACCACCTTCTTTGCTCATCCATGAGAAGCAACTCTTTATCCACTAAAAAGTTTTATCATGATGTTGCAGCAGTCAGCTCATCTTTAGGCTCCACTTCTAATTCTAGTTCTCTTGATATTTCCACTGCATCTGCAGTGACTTCCTTTCCTGAAGTCTTGAACCCCTCAAAGTCATCCGTGAAGGTTGGAAATCAACTTATTCCAAACTCCTGTTAATGTTGATATTTTGATCTCTTCCCAAGAGTCACAAATATTCTTAATGACATTTAGAATGGTGAATTCTTTCCAGGTTTTCCATTTACTTTGCCTAGATCCATCAGAGGAATCACAATCTATGGCAATGATATCCTAATTAAATATATTTTTAAAATAATAAGACTTGGAAGTCAATATTATTCCTTGATCCATGGGCAGCAGAATGGATGTTGTGTTAACAAGCATGAAAACATTAATCTTATCATACATCTCCATCAAAGCACTTGGGTGACTAGGTGCATTGTCATGAAGCAGTAATATTTTGTAAGGAATCCTTTTATCTGAGCACTAAGTCTCAATAGTGGGCTTAACTGTTCAGTAAACTCTGCTATAAACAGATATGCTGTTACCCACATTTTGCTGTTCCATTTAGAGGTCACAGGCAGAGTAGAGTTAGCATAATTCGTAAGGGCCCTAGGATTTTCAGAATGCTAAATTGTCTTTTACTTCAAGCTACCAGTTGCTATAGCCCCTAACAAGAAAGTTAGGGGCTAATTTGAACCCAGGCATTGACTTCTCCTTTCTAGCTATGAAAGTCCTAGATGACATCTTCTTCCAATATAAGGCTGTTTTATTCACATTGAAAATGTGTTGTTTAGTATAGCCACCTTTGTCATCTTAGCTAGTTCTTCTGGATAACTTGCTGCAGCTTCTCCATCAGCTCTTGCCGCTTCACCTTGTACTTTTATATCATGGAGATAGCTTCTTTCCTTAAATCTCATAAACCCACCTGTGCTAGCATCAAACTTTTTTTGGTGTGTGTGTGTGGAGATGGAGTCCCACTCTGTTGCCCAGGCTGGAGTGCAGTGGCGTGATCTGGGCTCACTGGAACCTCTGCCTCCTGGGTGCAAACGATTCTCCTGCCTCAGCCTCCTGAGTAGCTGGGACTACAGGCGCACGCCGCCACACCCGGCTGATTTTTTGTATTTTAGTAGAGACGGGGTTTCACCGTTGTTGCCCAGGCTGGTCTCGAACTCCTGAGCTCAGGCAATCCGTCCTCCTCGGCCTCCCAAAGTGCTAGGATCACAGGCGTGAGCCACTCTGCCCAGCCAATTCGCTCAAACTTTTCTTCTATAGTTCCCTCACCTCTCTCAGCCTTCACAGAATTGAAGAGAGTTACAGCCTTCCTCTGGATTAGGCTTTCACTTAGGGGAATGTTGTGGCTGGTTTAATCTTCCATCTAGACTACTCAATCTTTCTCCACATCAGCACTAAGCCTGTATTGCTTTTTTATCATTCACATATTCACTGGAGAATCACTTTTGATTTCCTTGAAAAACTTTTTTTTTACATTCACAGCTTGGCTGTTTGGCACGAGAAGCTTAGCTTTCGGCCTATCTCACTTAACTTTCTCAAAGAGGCTAGCTGTCAGCCCATCTTTGCTTTGCACATGGCTTCCTCACTAGCCTAATAATTTCTAACTTTTTACTTAAAGTGAGAGATGTGCGAGTCTTTTTTTCACTTGGTCAGAGTCCTTATTAATTGGCCTGATTTCAATATTTTTGTGTTTCTGGGAGTAGAGAGGCCTGAGGAGAGGGAGAGAGACAGGGTTATGGCCAGTTGGTGGAGCAGTCAGAAGACACACAACATTTATCAACTAAGTTTGCTGTCTTAGGTGGGTGTGTTTGTGACACCCCAAAACAATTCCATTAGTAACATCAAAGATCACTGATCACAGATCAGCAAAACAGACATAATAATAAAATATATAGAATGAGATATAATAATGAAAAAGTTTGAAAAATTAAGAGAATTACCAAAATGTGACACACAGACACGAAGTGAGCATATCCTGTTGGAAAAATGGCATGGATAGACATGCTCGATGCAGGGTTCCACAAACCTTCAATATGTAAAAAATGCGCTATCTATGAAGCACAATGAAATGGGCACAATAAGATGAGGAATGTGGGTTTTATATTCTTCTTAGATAGTTTAGCACTCCAGGAAACACCTTAGTTCTTTATATTTACACTCAGGTGATCTCATCCTTTTTTATGGCTTCACATAGATCTATATGCCAATAACTCCTAAGGGCATATTTTCAGCCTAACCACCTCCCTGAGCTCTAGACCCAGATATCCAAGTGCCTGCTTATGATCTATAGATGATCTATGTTCTAGATTATACAAACATCATAATACTTAGGAGGTATCTCAGACTTAAAGTGCTTAAAACTAAGCTGTTGGTATACCATTCTGCCCCAAACCAACTCCTCCTGTCGTCTTTCCAATCTCAGATAATGGCAATCTCATTGTTTTAGTTGCTCAGGTTAAAAACCTTGATGTATATAGTCTTTTACTCCTTTCTCTCATACCGATGCTCTCAGCAAATTCTTCTGGCTCAACCTTGAAAGTATGAAAGTATATCATTATCCAGTTTGTACTGCCACAATATTGGTCCACACCATCACCATCTCTTATCTAATTATTGCAATAGCTTCCTAATTCCTCTTCCAGCTTCTGTCTCAGAAGATTTGATCAGTGTCATTATAAGCAGAGAGTACGAGGGCCACTGTTTGGGCCAATTTTTTTCAAAAGGGGGATTTAAAATTTCTTCAAGTCCTAGGACAGAATCTCTTAATGCCCTATAGAATTTCATGTCCCACGTCTTGAGAGAGGTGATTTTCTCCTCTATGTATAGTAAATTGACCATAATATTAAGAGCTTTCCAGTATAGCCTCTGTGAATATCTGATTTTGGGAATAGCCTTTTGATGGACAGTTGCCCTACATATCCTAAATATGTTACTAATCTTAAAATAATGAGAATATAATGAAGTGTACTCACCACTGAAAGTCTACTGAACATAATCTTTTTAATCATTTAGAATGAACTTCAGGATTTGGAACATGCTTCTGGCTGATCATTAGGAACATCAATTATCATTGTATAGTAGAGGAAGCACTGGTTAGTAGAGATTTCCAGTTGAGTTAGTGTCAGAAAAAGCAGCATTCTGTCTTCTAAAATTAAAAATAGTTTAATTCTTTCTGGTTATTTTCCCCTCTGAAATTTGGGGCATAAGGTTACGTACTGATATTGTGGTAGCAGTGATGGTTGACTGGATTTATATATTACTTAATGGCAGATTGTACTTTAAAAAGGGAAGTTCAGTCATTGAATTTTGCAAACACTTTATCTGACTTGTATATGCCTTAGCTTTTTTATTTATTTATTTGGAGACAGACTCTTGCTTTGTCGCCCAGGTTGGAGTGCAGTGGTGCGATCTTCGCTCACTGCAACCTCCGCCTCCTGGGTTCAAGCAATTCTCCTGTCTCCAAGCAATTCTCCTGTGTCAGCCTCCCGAGTATCTGGGATTACAGGCACACGCCACCATGCCTGGCTAATTTTTGTATTTTTAGTAGAGACAGGGTTTTGCCATATTGGTCAAGCTGTTCTCAAACTCCTGCTCTGGTGATCCACCCTCCTCAGCCTCCCAAAGTGCTGGGATTACAGGCGTGAGCTGATGCGTACAGCCGGCCTTAGCTTTTTAAATTTTATGTGAATTTCCCAACTATGTAGACATGAAGTCCTTTCTGGTTTAGTGGCAAAATAAAAGATACTAATGAGAATGTCTTTGGGACATAATTATGTAGATTTAAAGGAGTGATGTAGTTTTAATTATGCCCTTTAGCTAGTGTACTTACATATTAAGCTCATTCATGTCTCCTTTTCCCTCTGAAACATTGCTTTTCTCAAGCCCTAAATTAGTAATCAGCTCATGGGTATACCTGAAGGTTATGTAAGTTAAGTTGAAGGCTGCCAAAGAATGTGTTTAAACTATTAATCCAAAACATACAGTTTATAGTTAGAAAAAAATGGCCCATGGGTTTACAGTGTTCTTCGCTGGATTGACATGGAGGAAATTCCAGCCTTGTATGTGTATGTGTTCCTTTCTCTTTCCCTCCCCAAATAAAAAACATCCTTTGGTTGGAATGCATTGAAACATGTAATGTATTGTCTCCCTTTGGCTATTTTTATTAAACTCAGGGAACTTGAAGTAAAATAATAATAGTAATATGAAATTATAAGTTTTCTTTCTTTTTTTTACCGTTCTACTTTTTTGGTTTGTTTGTTTACTTTTATTATGGGCTTCTAGATTTAATAGAAAAGTAGCTACCTCGAAGCTATGAAATGATTTATTCACTTTAGGGCAAAACTTATGAGGCTACCAGCCCCTATTTTGTGGATGGTTTTGTTTTTATTTGTGAGAAGGTAGATAGGGAAAATCATTGGTAAATCTTAAAAAGAAAGGCTCTGAAAATGTTTTGAGGCTAAATTTTCTCTTAAATAATAGTAAAAATGTAGAATTTATAATAGGAGTCAGTAAACTTTCTTTAAAGGGCCAGATAGTAAATAAATTTTGCTTTATGAACCATATGGTTTCTGTTGCACTTACTCTGCTGCTGCAGCATGAAAGCAACCATCAACAATGTTTAAACAAATGGATGTAGCTGTGTTACTATCACAAAAACAGGCAGCTGTCTGGATTTGGCCTGTGGACTGGCCATAGTTGGCCATCTCCTAATTTAGAATGTGGATTCCTTAAATTTTTTTCTTTATTCCTTTTTCAAACTGACATTAAAACACCTGACATTAAAACACACTGATATGTGTTTTAGCTACTTTTATATACTTTTTCTCAATGATCATCATAATAGTTTATGAAACAAGTGGAGAAAATACTTTAAAAAAATTTAACATTATCAAAAATTCCAAATGTATACAAATACAAATTCTCACATATCTGTCATCATACTAAACAGTTATCAGTCTTTTCCATATTTTATTTATTTATCCCTTTTTATTCTTTGTGTTTTAGCTATTTTTGAAGCAAGTTTCAGACTAAGTCATATGCCGCTCTCTCTATATAAAGATATTTTTTATGAGGAACTGGCTCATGTGATTATGAAGCCTGAGAAGTTCTATGATCTGCTGTCAGCAAGCTGGAGACTCGGGAAAGCCAGTGGTGTAGTTCAATCTGAGTCCAAAGGCCTGAGAACTGGGGGAGCCAGTAAGTCCCAGTCCAAGGATAGGAGAAGACCAGTGTCTCAGCTCATGTGGTCAGGCAGACAGGAGAATTCTCCCTTCACCTTTTGTTCTATTCAGGCTCTCATCAAATTGGGTGCTGCCCTCCTACATTGGGGAGAGCAGTCTTCTTTACAGAGCCTACTGATTCAAATACCAGTCTCATCTGGAGACAGCAAGACACACTCCAAAATAATGTTTAGCTAAATATCTGGGCACGCTGTGATTTAGTCAAGTTGGCATGTGAAATTAACCATCACAGATACCTATACACAGCAGTATGCACCTCTTAAAAAAAATAGACACTTTCTTACATAATTTTAGTGTTACTGTCTTATGATTTGGCAAAATTAGCAATAATTTTTGGTGACATCAGATATCCAGATCATGTTCCGATTTCTCCAATTGCTTAAAAAATGTTTTGTTTTTGTTTTTACATCTGGTTTGTTTGAACTAGGATTTACATCAGGTCACATGTTAGATTTGGTGTTGTCTCATAAATCTTTTAGTAATCCCTTACCTCTCCTTTTCTCTCTCCTTTTTTGTTTTTGTTTTTTTTTCAGCCCATTAACTTGAAGAAATGAGCCAGTTCTATATGTTTCACATTTTGGGTTTATTTGTTTGCTTTTTTTGTGGTGTCATTTAATTTGTTACTGTATAACCCATTTTTTTTTTTTTTTCTGTAAATGGAATTAGCTCTAAAGACTTACGTAGATTCAGGCGCAACCTTTTTGGCAAGAATCCTTCATAAGTGGTACTTTATTTTTCATATTATGTCACATAGGAAGCATATTGGGTAGCAGTAGTTTGAACCCTCTGTTTTGTTAAGTTCTTCAACAAGTCTTCATCTAATGGTTTGTCTATCGAATGATCTTTCCAAAATCACTTATATTATTTTTATTTCTAAAGTTATTAGCTGGAATTCTTCTGTAAGAACATTTCTAAATCATCTTAAGTGTTTGGCTTCCTCAGAAATAAATAAGGGAGATCATATTTTTATTCCATTCTGCACCTTAGTATTGAGTCTCAAAAAGGTTAAATGAATTGTCCAAACATATAAACTTTGTATCCTATATAGCTCAGAATCAAACCTAAGTTTTTGATACCAATTCTAATTATTTCAGATGCACTGCCAATGGGAGTCAGTCAGTTGACATCGTAACAGGTTCTTCTTTGTTGTTGTACGTATAGCTTTAAAAGTTAAGGGATGAGAAATAGGATGATTTAGGATAAGCCGCTTTCCTGTTTTATTTTCTGCATAAATTCAGGAAAGAATAGGTAATTTCATCTGACAAACTACAGATGTAGTTTTCAGAGCAATTAAGTGCTTGGAAATACAATTACTTGGATTCAAATTCTTGCTCTGCAACTTAGCAGCTGTAACCTGACTTTTGGCAGTTTCCTTAACCTTTCTGTGCTCCAGTTTCTTCATCTGTGAAAAGAGGATCCTAATAGTATCTGTCCTAAAGGGTTGTTGTGAGGACTAAATAAAACTAATACAAAGAAAGTGCTTACAACCGTGCCTTGTACATAGTAAGTACTCAATATCATTTTGCTTTTCAGAAATAAAACTGTCCCATGGCTATACCTTTACTTCTACCAGTCATCCAAACGAAACATTAGAAATATTGTAATTTTGATCAGCATGGGGATTAGAAAAAAAAATATTGTAATAATCATAAACTTGTAGATAGTGGTTGAGAAGATGTATAAAATCTGAATGTTTGTGTTTTAGATTTTTTGTGTTTGAATTTCTTGATGGCTTGACTTAAAATTTTTTTATTTTATGATGTAAAACCATTCTGTTTTTCACTTTTACTGCAGTGTTCAATACATTACATGAGATATTTAATGCTTTTATAAGGTAAGCTTTGTGTTGGATTAGTTTGCCCAACTGTAGGCAAATGTAAGTGTTCTGAGCATGTTTAAAGTAAGCTGTGAGTTTTGGTAGGCTGGGTGTATTAAAATTCATTTTTGACATGATATTTTCAACTTGTGATGGGTTTATCAGGACATAACCCCACCATAAGTCGGGGAAGGTCTCCACTTTTCTTTAGAGTCTTAAAGCTCTTCCCCAAGTGCAGTAGGAAAAGCTATCATAAGTATTGCCTTATATTCACTAGGACATAAAATACGTGATTGTGTAGTATGTGAGAAAGCAAAATGCCCTTTGCCTTTTCCCCCCGTTTTTCATTACCTACTTGCTAGAGTTATAGATAGTATCACTTGATTGAAATTGTGTTTATAATCACATCTTAGTCATGTTGGGGGAGATTTTTTATAGACATATTTTAAAAGATCCTTTTAGCAGGCTATTTTTCATCATTTAAAGAGCAAGCAAAATCATATTTTTCCAGACGTACTGCAGGGAAATCTGCCTGTAACTATAATTCTGCATTATGTTTTCATAGTTGACATCTTAAAATGTGAACGAAGGTATGTATATGCATTTGGTTTGATTTTAAACTGTTTGTTTGTTCATAGGCATTTCTTCTCTGATTTGTTATACAATATTATGAAAAGCTTTTTGCTATATATTTCCTGAGCTGTCAAAAAGTATCTGACTTTTTGAGTATGACTGAAAAAAAAATACTTCAAAAGGACAATTGTGTTCGATAAATATATAGTCCATATTATTTAAAAATTTGCCCAGTATTTGAAAATGCTTTGTATTTGACCACATAAATCAGAGTGGGTATGCCCAGTCCAATTTTCTAGGTGGATAGGTAGGAAAATATGTTTTTCCGTGACCAATAATGTCATTTATTATGTCACCCAAATGCAATGAATAACTTGGTTTTGTTTTACTGTAAAGATCCTAAACCTTCTTTTATTGGTCTTTTCCCCTCATTGTTTATGTGAGATTATGTCACTTAATCTGAGGTAGGAAGAGCTGCCATCTGAAGAACTGTGGGTTTGCAGGCTTCTGTGTCAATATTTTATGGGAAAAACCCCTACTATTTATTATTTATTCCTTGAATCAGCTTTTCAGTATTACTTGTTCACTACATGCCCCAGCATTTCTGTATTTGAGAATGAAACACCATTGTAGAACATTATGATAGAATAGAATAAAATTGGAAGCAGTAATCATGGCTTTTCTATTTCACAGTTTTGATTGTCAAAGGAAAATGTATAGAAAATTCTATTCTTACAAAGATATTAAGGGAATAATAAAAATGGTGAGCAACCATGTGGTTAAATGTGAAGATTGGAGAGCTATCTAAGACTTAAAGGGGGTGTGCCTGTCCAGGTACTTTGCTACAAATACATGCGTTTTCAACTATGCTGGTTAAAGCCTGAGCATTAGAAAGAAAATTGGATCTAAAGGCTGAAGGCCACAGGCCAGGCCCTTGCAACCTCTTTGGGAGCTCTGAAAAGCTTTTTACCCTCTCTGGGCCTCTGTTTTCTCCCCAGCTAAAGGAAAGAAAGAATGCCTGCTTTTTGGTGACGATCAAGACTTAAGTACATTTTCTATAAGTGTAAGTTCTTTCTGAACTTCAGATTGCTATTGCACCAAAGTTAGGATGAGCTATATTGGTTATGAGGGAGTACAGTGATGATTATTTGGGTCTGTTAAGATTTAACTTGGTTCATTTTATCATTCTGGTCAAGATACTTACTTTTCCTAAGGTCTGTCTTATGCTCTCATTTTTATATGGGAATAATAATCTCTATTTTTTGTGGGTTCTTGGGAGGAGCGGGGATAATGTCTGTCAAGTGCCTGACACACTGCTGAGCACATATAGGCACTCTGTACGTTGTAGCTGTTGTTAATTTACTTTAAAAAAATTATTGATAGTTAACAAATACTATTTTATGCATGTTAATTTGAAAGGAAGTAAATGAGCCCTTTTGATAGTAGGAAAAGTTGCAGATATTAACAGTAACTGGCATTTGTGAAGAGCATAATTTTCTAATAATTTTTTAAGTAATTGGATTAGTTAAAAATTAATTGTTGCAAAATTAAGTAAACAATATTGATTTTTCTTAAAACCAAAACACTGATAACTACAAAAAGTAAGGAAGTTCTAAGTCTAGATTTGCTTATGGTCTTTCTTTTCTCCCTGAATGCCATCATCTATGTTCATTACTCAGACTTTTTTGAAAATAGAATTTGAACATAAACTTGTAGAAGTATAATTAAATGAGAAAAATATATATTGAGGTTTATAATCTGCCTATGAATTCTAAGGTGAATTCATCAACCTTCAGTTTTTATTTCAGTTCTTACCCTTTTCTTTTCTTTTTTTTTTTGAGATGGAGTCTTGCTCTGTTGCCAGGCTGGAGTGTAGTGGCACGATCTTGGCTCACTGCAACCTCTGCTTCCCAGGTTCAGGCTATTCTGCCTTAGCCTCCTGAGTAGCTGGGACTACAGGCACGTGCCACCACGCCCAGCTAATTTTTGTATTTTTAGTAGAGACAGGGTTTCACTATGTTAGCCAGGATGGTCTCGATCTCTTGACCTCATGATCCGCCCGCCTTGGCCTCCCAAAGTGCTGGGATTACAGGTGAGCCACCACGCCCTGCCACTTTGTTTAACTTTATTAGTTATTCTTGCCCATTATTTTCTTGTGGATGTGAAAGTGAATTGTATGTACATCAGAAACCATATTTTTAGTTTGTTAACTCATGGCAGCTGCTGAGCCATGGTGAGATCTTTAAGAAAGGTAATAGAAACACTTGTCTAATAAAATGGTAGGAATCTAAGTTAACTGATGTGAAAGAGCTGTGTATACATCTCTTTATTGTGCTGTTTTATATAGGTCTATAATGAAAGCCAAATGCCTTTGTTTCGTCTTTTTGGTTTGATGCCTTGCCAGTATCATAGAGCAGGAAATGAGCTTTATCATTTCTTTTGTGATCACCTAATTAGCAAATGTCTTTAATTTCCTTTTAGAATTAATGAACTTGATTATATTTTCCTATTCACTGTCAGTAATAATCTTGACTATCCCATTTCTCTATATGCTGCTGGCTTTCTCTTCATATCTATGAACAGCACTGTTTTTCTAACATTAAGATAATTTTTCTAATTGTGTTGTCAAATAGGAAATGAACATTGAAAGGATGGATTCTTTTCTGGGGATTCTAATAAAAAAGTATCAAGTGGCTTTCCAGGATGTAAAGCAGCAATAATATAGGTAAAACAGTGCCTAGAACAGAGTAAGCCCTCAATAAATAGCTATTATTATGGTTAGAAAATAACTTTTATTTGCCAAACAGTAAATCACAAATTTTGAACTATGCATTCAAGATTATTGAATTTTGCAGTCACTATTTTATGGCTGATGAGAAGATAAATTTCCACTGGTCATCAGTTTTTAGTGAGAGACTTCAAGAAAGTGTGTAAACTTTCTTCATCTTCAGGTTGTAAAGCTGAGGAGCATTTTTTTTATTAAAGTTACCATGAAATTGGTGTCATCCCTATAATTTTTTTGCCAGCAAGATATGCACAGGGGCAATTTACACATAGAATTTTACTGGAAAAGAAAATCTATTTGATTTACATAATGATAAAACAGTAAAGAATGCTGTGTTCCTCTAGTTCCCTCATATTGAGGTATCTAAAACCCAAATAAAAAATACATGAAAAGCATTTTCTCATCTTTTTTACCTTTTAATCATTTCCCTTTAGAACACCTGTCATTTCTGTCAAAAGATTTTGCATAAACTTACAATTTTATTGCATTATTATTTTGAGCTTTAAGATGGCAAATTAGAAATGGCATATCTTCTTTAAATTATTATCAAAGCAAAAGTTCCTACATATCAGTAAGGTAATGAATAAGAATTATGTTTTTTCCTCATGATCTCCCTATTGTGCCTATTATTATACAGAACAAAAACAACAATGAAGGCTGGGCATGGTGGCTCATGCTTATAATCCCAGCACTTTGGGAGGCCAAGGTGGGCAGATCGCTTGAGGTCAGGAGTTCAAGACCAGCCTGGCCAACATGGTGAGACCCAGTCTCTACTAAAAATACAAAAAATTAGCCGGGCATGGTGGCGTGGCCTGTAATCCCAGCTACTTGGGAGGCTGAGGTGGGAGAATTGCTTCCACCTGGGAGGCGTAGGTTGCAGTGAGCCGAGATAGTGCCACTGCACTCCAGCCTGGGCAACAGAGCAAGAGTCCATCTCAAAAAGAAACCAAAACAAAACAAAAAACAAAAAAACACAACAACAGTGAATGCATTCCCTTCTTACTTAAGAAACACAAGTCAGACTCACAAAACCAAAATTTATTTCTGAGGGTTCCAGCAAATTTGGCAAATTAGTCATTATTAACTGGGTTCATAGCCTCCAAAGACCTAAATTCATAACCCCATTTCTAGTGGATGACAGAAAATGTGCAAGGCACCTGAATTGTTTCAGTCATCAAGGTGGAGCTGTCTTGATTCATGTAAAATCCATGAGAGGAACCTCTAATCACTCCTAGTTCTGCCTCCATGTCAACCCCTGTATGTGTTAAATACTTACCATCTTACTTTGTATTTGTTGAAATGTTTCTCTATATCTGTTTTATCGTTCATGAATATTTTGTATCTCCAACTACAATTTTTAAATCCTAGATTTTTTCTAACTTATGCCTCTTATTTCCTGCCTGCTTCCTCAGTGTCCAGTATAGCACCCTACAGTCTATTTCTTTAAGGGAAGAAAAAGTTTAATTAATGAACAAGATGCTGTCAATGTAGTATAGCAAAAAGGAGAAGAAAAGGCACATTAAAGCTCCCTTTTATTTTGCTTTGTTCAATCCCCAGTTGAATGGAATAGTGTTGAGCGGCAGCCAAAACCATGGAATTTGAGATTACTTGTTTCAATATTGAATGAAGGCTCAGCTCAGAGAGATGGGTTTTAGTGCATTTTTTTTCCCTTAGTGCAATTAAGGTGACTTTCCTTTGCACGTTGTGTCACCTCAATTTAAGAGCTAAACAGCTTGCGCTTGTTGGTTGGGTAACTTAATTTTGCAGGTTTGTGGGATATGATGTTTTCATAACGGAAGGGAAGAGTAGATAATAATCCTCTGAATCTTTAAGGAATTGAGATTTAACAGTACATTATACATTTATATGCAATTTTGTGTGCATACCTGTGGAATTTATAGTTTTTCAAGATCCTCACTGTCAAGCACAGTGGGCATAAGGCAGAGAGATTTAAGGGAATAGAGAGATGTCCCTGCCATTACAGTTCACTGTCCAGATTGGATGAATATAGCTAAGAAAGAGAGACCAAATCACGTGATGGGGGGTACATCCATTGTTTAAACAAGCCAGAGCAGCACATTTTGTGAAAGGTGAATTATTTGGTATTATAAGGTAAAACAAATTCTAGCCTTTTTACAAATCACCTAATGTAGCTGCTTGGGAAAGGGCTCTCATCTGCCACTACTTAAGTTTGAAAAGTAATGTTATGCTTTTCTTTATTTAGTTACTTATTTATTTACTTTTGTTAGAGATAGGTTTTTGCTCTGTCTCCCAGGATAGAATGCAGTGGCACAGTCATAGAGTAACCTCACTGTATGTGAGGTTAACCTCAAGCTCTTGGGCTCAAGCAATCCTTCTGCCTTGGCCTCTCAAATTGCTGGGATTATATGCTTGAGCCACTGCAGCTGCCCTATACTTTCATTTATTTAGAAGCAAGTTAATTTGTCAACTTGTCTTGGGGATTATTATTATTCAACAAATTACTCTTTAAGCTGCACATCAAAATAGTATTATTCCCGTAATTTTACATGTGTTGTGTTTCTCATTATTGTTCTGCTCATTTGTATGCTATATAGGACATCAGAGGCAGCTTTTGAGTTTTAAAGAAAGTTCGTCTACATGTGAAGTGGCTAGTGGAGTTGTGATCCTAGAAGTTGTCCTATCAGAACACCATGCTCAGATTTGCATAGTCATCCTCAGCTTTTTTTTATTACAGTCTATTTAAATGATTAAATTTGAATTAATATATATTAAAGTTCTTCAGGAACAGCATTTCTTTATAAAACAGAATAGAAAATAATTCTTATTTTATGCTCAGTTTATGACATGATAAACCAAAAAGAGAACTATGGAAATTGTATATAGCAGTATGGTAATTTAAAGATCACTCATATAAGCTTTTAAAGATTATATATACGTGTGTGTGTGTTTCAGGAGAAAAGTTGTTTCATGTGATAATCTATTCAGGTAAAGTATCCAGGTAAAATGATAAGCAATTGGATTTGTCTTTGGAAGTTTCTAAATGTGATATAGCATAGGAAAACAAATATGGGCAGAAAAATCCCTTAATGTAATTAAATAGCATAGTAACATCCTTACACACATATATAGAGTTTCCGCGTAGTTGGTGCTAGAGACAAGTTGTAACGAATTAAGCCCAAAATTGAACTTCAGGACTTTTGAGTTTACCTATCTACTCTTCTGCTATGGCTTTGGAGAAATAATCTATTACTCAGAAACTTTAGCTATAAAATGATAACTGTAGTAGTGAGGCAAAAGAATAGGCTCTGAAGGCAGGGAACCTAAGGCCAATTCATGCAAACTTCCTGGAACTAAATTCTAGGACCTTCATTTGCATAAGGTGCCTATTCACACCAGCCTCCGATTGGCCATGAGGCAAACCTGCACTGTGGCCTATGATTGGTCCATTTTAGGACCTTCATTTGCATAAATAAGGTGCCAATCCAGCTTGTCTTTGATTGGCCATGGGCCAGTTCACTTCGGCCTCTAATTGGCATGAGCCAGCCCTTCATTTACATAGGGTGTAACCAATGGGAGACCTCTAGAGGGTACTTAAACCCCAGAAGACTTTGCTACCAAGGCTTTTGAGCCACTTGCTTGGGCCGCTGCCATTCTGTGGAGTGTGCTTTCACTACTATTGCCTCCCACTTCAATAAGTCTACACTTTCCTTGCTTGTTTGTGTGTGCTGTTCAGTTCTGTGTTCAGTGTGCCAAGGACCTGGACAACTCACGATCAGAACCTTCTACCCGGTAACAGTACTGAGAAAAATACTGTAAATTTATTTAAAATCAACTAGTTATATAATTTGCAAGTGGCTACTTTTAATTTTCTAATAATTACCTATAGGAAATATTAGGAAAAGGTAATTTCTGTCATCATCACCACCAACAATATTTAGTGTGCCTGTAATGCACTAGCCAGGAAAGAGGGAGACTGAGACCGTTGGGGTCTGAAAAGGAGCAAGGACCAACTTCAGGATCTTCTACCCACTCTGCTGTACTCTTTTTCCAGTAAGGCAGGAATTCTTTTAGCTCAGATCCAGAGGAGAGACTGTGAAATGAAAAATTACAGGGTATCGTTTATTCAGTAAGTACTAGATAGAATCATATGAAGTTGCTGTTAATATAGATCAAAAATAGTACAATGTCATGGCAGTTTCATGTAGTCCCATCTAATATTTATAGAGCTCTCGGTATGTCCTGGGCATTGTTGTGGGTGCTTAAAGGTATAGAACTTAACAAAATAGACAAAATCCCTGTTTTCCTGGAGTTTGCATTCTCAGAGAACCTCCAGCCAGACTGCTCTTCGTACCCTAGAGTCAGGTATACCCAACTACCTGCTCTGTGTCTCCCCTTGGATGCCAAATAGGCTCCTCAAACATAACATGGCCCAGACCAATCTCCTGGTGGATAAACAATACACTTAGATTTTCTTCCTGCCTTATAGATAGAAATCAGGGCTAGAAGGACCATGAACGACCTAGCCCAAGATCCATCTTTTCTCTCTTTCTCACTGTCGAGTTAATACAGCCAATAAATAAGATAGTAATTTCTATCACACTAAATGGTGATTTTTATCTGCTGAATTGTAAAATGTACCCAGACATGAAAAGGGAGGCTGGTAGACTGCTGAACACAACTATGATGTATTTGCTTTTTCTAATACATTGCGACAAGCTATTCTGTATCCTTCACTACACATTGTAAATAGCTGAGAGGTGTTATGATTCAGTGAATGAGCTCTGCATAGGGAATCAGCAGACCTAGATTGGAGTTTTAGATGTGCTATTGAGGGACTCTGTTACTCAGCTAGCCATCAGCAAATATAAATAAGTTAACTATTCCTACATACTTAAATGATATTGTGAAAATAAATGAGATAATTACCAAGTGGTTGGAAAATTTACTCTTGAGGGGTGATAATTGATATATAAAATATAGGTAGTTTTAATATTCAGTTTAATTAATCTTTTTTTTTCTTGATTAAGGTACTACAGACTTCAAAACTTTGATATGCTTTAAAGTGTATTAAATTGTCTGTTTTTGTTTGTTTGTTTGTTTTGAGATGGAGTTTTGCTTTTGTTGCCCAGGCTGTAGTGCAGTTGTGCGACCTAGACTCACTGCAACCTCCACCTCCTGGGTTCAAGCTATTCTCCTGCCTCAGCCTCCCAGATTGCTGGGATTACAAGCAAACGCCACCACCCCTGGCTAATTTTGTATTTTTAGTAGAGATGGGGTTTCACCATGTTGGCTAGGCTGGTCTCAAACTCCTGACCTCAGGTGATCCACCCACCTCAGCCTCCCAAAGTGCTGGGATTACAGGCGTGAGCCACCATGCCCAGCCTAAATTGTCTGATTTAGTCTGTGCTCAGCTTGTTTTTCCCAACTGTTGTTGGGAAAACATGTTCCCAACATGTTGGGAAGGCATGTTCATGATAATATACTGTTGATATTTTAATTTTTAAGTTAAATTCCTATAAATAAATATGAGAAATTTGTTAGGATATTTAAAGCATCTTCTAACCTTTAAAAATATGTGCTTTTAAAAATTATTAGGTTGTAGAATTGGGAAAAAATGCAATTTGTCTTATCTTTTTCTATTAGCATGTTTCCAGTGTACAGTTCATTCAAAGGGGGGATAGTGTGGCAAAACAAATTCAGTTTCTTAATGATAAATCACAGTGAAGTACAGAAGTAAACAGATAACCTGAAGCCAGACAATGAAGTTTACATAGCCCTTCCTTGGCAGAGCCATCTTTCTGCACTGCAGAGAACACAATCCATCAATAACTTAATTCAGTTACATTTGGTTATGAGAAAGGAACCACTTTGTTTAGGGGCTTTAATTCTGATCCTTTATCGTCATTCACAAAATGAAGTAACCTATCATTACTGTGATGCCTGTAACGTATCACTAAAAGGGAAAAGGGGGAAGCATTTCTCTTCCGTCATGGACATTTTCTCAGATATTTCTATAGGGTTTGATATGCTGCTTCTTTGTATTAAATAATATTTATGTGGTGTTTATGTAGGTAAATGGTTTAATGTTGCAAATTGCAAGGAAAAAAAAAAACACTAAGACATCTGAAAATTCCCCTCTTATCTGTTTTAGGTATCTTTGAACTATATAATAAAACATCTATGCCTATTGAAGTTAAATGACCTGTTACAAAATCATCTTTTTTATACTTCATATTGGGTAGCATAGCAGTATATTGTAATTTGTATAGTTTTATAAGACTTGCTGGATGTCATAGTAAATACAAATGACTTTATTTAAATATATAGTAATTTGCCTTTTTGACAGAAAACCATGTTTCCCCAAAAACTGCATATTTTAAGCAAATTAAAAATTGCCACTAGATTCTGAATATAGCCTCTGCTGCTTTTTTAGCATTGCTGCCACTTTAAAATTTTACTCTAGTTTTAGAAGAGATTACTTGTGTTTCTTGGGTAGGTACAGGCCTGTGCAGATCCTCATAACATGGTAGAAGGAATGGAGACTTTGAACATGTCATAACAAGGTTTCAGTCCTGACACATCTTACTGTGTGCATTTGAACATTTCACTTAATATTTCGAAGTCTCAATTTCCTAGGCTGTAAAATAGGGATATTCACACCACCTTTGCCTAGTTATTAGGAGAATCAAATGAGGTAATCTATGTTGTACTTTTCCATTGCCTGGTATATAAATTTTTTTTTTTTTTTTTTTTGAGACGGAGTGTCACTCTGTCGCCCAGGCTGGAGTGCAGTGGCACGATCTTGGCTCACTGCAACCTCCACCTCTGGGTTCAAGCGATTCTCCTGCCTCAGCCTCCCGAGTAGCTGGGATTACAGGCGCCCACCACCACGTCCAGCTAATTTTTGTGTTTTTAGTAGAGATGGGGTTTCACCATATTGGCCAGACTGGTCTCAAACTCCTGACCTCAGGTGATCCACCCACCTCAGCCTCCCAAAGTGCTGGATTTACAGGCATGAGCCACTGCGCCCAGCCATAAACTTTTTATTTGTGAGAAAAGTTTAGATTAATGGAAAGTTACAAAAACAATACAAAGAGTTCCATATACTCTTCACCAAGCTTCTCCTAATATTAGCATCTTGCACAAATATTATTCAACTATCAGAATCAACAAATTAACATTGGTACAATACTGTAACTAGAGACTTTATTCACATTTTACCAGTTTTCTCACTAATGTCCTTCTGCTGTTCCAAGATCCAGTTCAAGACTCCACGTTGCATTTAGTTCTCATGTCTCCTAATCTCTTCTAGTCTGTGACAATTTCTCAGTCTTTCCTTGTCTTTTCATGACCTTGATACTTTGGAAGGATACTGGTTACTTTGGGTTTGTCTGAAGTTTTCTCGTGATTAGATTGAGGTCATGCATTTTTGGCAGGACAGGCGTGATGTTCGCTTCTCATCGTATCCCTCTAAGGGCATGTGATATCAACACTTATTACTTATTATTAATAATTATAACTTATTGCTGGTGATATTAACCTTGATCACTTGGTTAAAGTGGTATCTGCTGGGTTTCTCCACTGTAGAGTTACTATGTTCTCCTCAGAACATCTTGGGGGACATACTTTTAGACTATGTAAATATCCTGTTTCCCCACTGATTTTTGTCATCCCTCCATGGATCTTGCCTGCAAGTATCATCACTAAGGTGCTCTAAAGGTTATTTTCTATTTCCCCTATTCCATCTACATTTATTATTGGAATGTTTCTATAAGGAAAAACTGTCCTTTCTCCCCGTTTATTTATGTATTCTGTTATTTATGTTGGTGCACATTCATGGATATGTATTTCATTCTATGGGTTATAATCCAGTCTTTGTTGTTGATTTTGTTGTCCAAAATGTTCAGCTTTGGCCACTGGGAGCTCTTTCAGATTGGCTCCTGTGCTTTCTTGACACACCTCCTTCCTTCTTTTGTTTTTTGTTTTTTTTTTTTTTTTTTGAGACGGAGTCTCGCTCTGTCGCCCAGGCTGGAGTGCAGTGGCGCGATCTCGGCTCACTGCAAGCTCCGCCTCCCGGGTTCACGCCATTCTCCTGCCTCAGCCTCCCGAGTAGCTGGGACTACAGGCGCCCGCTACCACGCCCGGCTAATTTTTTGTATTTTTAGTAGAGACGGGGTTTCACCGTGTTAGCCAGGATGGTCTCGATCTCCTGACCTCGTGATCCGCCCGCCTCGGCCTCCCAAAGTGCTGGGATTACAGGCGTGAGCCACCGCGCCCGGCCCACCTCCTTCCTTCTTTTGAGCACATCCTCCCTAGCACCACAAGATGCTTCAGACTCATCTTGTATTTTCCCTGCCTCAGTCCTGAATCAACCACATCTCCAAAAAGTCTTGTAAATTCTCTTAAAAAAATAAATTAGCCATCTGTCAGCTAACATACGTTTTTTCTAATTCTTGATACAGTTTTTTTTTTTTTTGGATACATTTCTCTCTTGATCTCCTTCAGAGGCAGCCCTTAGGGAATTTAGTCTCACCAAGTGTGAACTATTGGCTCCTGACCTTTAGAAAAGAAACAAACCCTCGCCTACAACAGGAGGCTTATAGATCCATGTTTTTTTTGTCCTTGAAATTGTACAGGAACAGTCTGGCTTGTCACAGTAAATTAAAACTTCATCTCATCACATTTGTCATTTCAAGGCACGGTATAGTCTTCTATTATTTATTGCTAGCTTTAAAAATTTTATGTAATTTTGTTCTTTTGGTTGTCTGTTATGTAGTAATGCTTAGATGACTAGAAGATAACATGTAATCTAATAAGTGAAACATCTCAGGATATTGTTGTGACTTTGTGAAAATAATTTAATCCTTCAGCAATTTAGTTTAAGAGTTATTCTGGAGCTAATTTGATAATTAACAGTGTAAGTAGAAGTGTGCTAAAGATCTTGTTTTTTTTGTAAAGGTTGATTAATTTTGACATTGATAGAAAAAGGTATATTTTAATATGCTATGAGTAACCACTAGAGGGTAGCCCTGGGTAACCAATTGCCCATTTGCTGCTTATTTAAGTTGTCCTGACACAGAAAGACTGAAAATAAAGGTGGGCATGGGGAGGGAGGGTGCAGATAAAAGCAAGGGGAATTTAAAAGAAACTTGGAGTGACAATGTTATACAAAATGCAGTACAAGGAGAAAAGTATTAAAATGGACAAAGTTATATTTTTATATGTGATAAAAGGTATAGTCTACTAATATAAGGCAATTCTAAACCTTTATGCACCCAGAAACATATTGAAATATATCAATATATAAAAATATTTAAATGTTTATATAAAAATATTGCTTTTCTTAACATTTGTAGGATTAAGGAGTTATATTTTGCAGTCTTCTTGGTAGCTCTTCAAAACCCTAGACTTTGCTGGGTGCAGTGGCTCATGCCTGTAATCTCAATGAGGCTCAAAGGCCTCATGCCTTTGAGAGGCCCAGGACAGAGGGTTGCTTGAGGCCAGGAATTTGAGACCTGCCCCGGCATCATAGCAAGATCTCCTGTTTACAAAAAATAAAATTAGTTAATTAATTGAAAGTTTTAAAACCTTAGACTCATTGCACATAATAGTTTTACTAGGTTATGAGTAGTGTAGGGGAGAAAAGATTTTTTCTTTACCCATCTTTAGGTTCATGGCTGAGGTCCTATAGCAAAAGACAGATTAATAAGAGAAATGCATACAAATTTATTTCATATGGGTTTTGTATGACATGGGAACCTTCATAAGGATATGAAAACTCAAACAGGAAAAACTTTTTATGCTTAGTTTGATGACAAGTGGTCATAGGGAAGTATGATAAGATAAAAGGGATATAATCTAATAAACTGGGGAGAAGCTTGCAAGGCCTATTTGTTCACATTCTTCTCTGTATCCCTGTGTCTTCAGCGATAAGGACATTTCTTTCCTCCAGGGCATCTCTGGAATGAAGTTCTTACTGAGAAGAGAGGTCAAAGAATTCTTTCAAGGTTTTATAACCTGCTTTAGGGGAGAAGGGTCGAGGGGATAATGAGAGTGATTTTTCTGCTTTTGCTATTTCCTGAAATACCAAAGTGCCATATTTTGGAATAGCATGTTTTGAACCCCATCTGTAGTATCTTTAGACATCTTTTTGATGATCAAGTTAGATTTTTAAAATTCTATCAAAATAGGCAATACTTGAAAATATTCACTGTTGAGTAAAGTGGCCAGATAATGAGTTCTAGAAAAACAACTATGAAAGAAAAAAAAATAAAAGGGAGGTGGGGACAGAAAATAAATCTGGGAAAATAAGTAAATAGGGTGAAACTAATCTAGTAAAAGTGAAATAAATTTGCATTTAATTCCTCAAAACATTTTTAAAAATCATAATTCTTGTTTCTGTGAAGAAAAGGCAGCTTCTCTCTAGATTAGCTCTGATCAGCTAATTGTGCAGTCTCTGAATGCAGTATTGGATGATGTTCTCAGTTTTCTTGTTTCTGTGGAGTGAAAAGACCATTTATTCAAGCTGAGCCAACTATCTGGGACTAGCAAATTCTACATCACTCGGCGTACTCCTGTGGTTTTCTGGTGATACTTGTTTTATGTTGGCTCCTTTTCTGCTACTGAGGTAGAGACTAAATTGACCACCTTTTAAGGATTACTAAATCTAGTCTTTTCGGCTAGAAGTATGTGATTAGTAAATGTTTTACTTCCTAAGTGAAGGGTTGTCTGTGGTTTCTATCTCAAATTTTGGCAAATTATATTTGGAAGTTTAATAAATTTTCATTGCTGTTACATCAGTGGCATTCATATCAATGAATAAAGCAGATTTTTCTAAAACAAGGTGAAAGTTTTATCATTAATATATCGTTAATAGTAGGCATACGTGTCTGAACAGATAGCTGATGAAAATTATCTCCCGTAGAACTCCCCCTGACCGTTTCCTCCAGGTTGAACTGTTGAAGGCCTCTATTTAAATAGTATGTTAAGTTATAGTATTCAGGGGCAGAAACTTACTTGCTAAATCTTTTTTTGGCACTGAAAGTTAACAGAGAAGTATGTCATAAGATTAGCTTTCAGTCCTCTGGTGGGGATGACCCTATGAACATACAGTCCAAAAAAGATTCCTAACAGTTCAGCCAAGTAAACATTCATTGAGCAGCTGCAATTTGCTAGGTTTTGTGCTACACACAGGGTTTAAAGAAGTGAACAAGAGGCGCATGAACTAGGCAACCCAGGGTCTAAGGCCTTCCAGACCAGCATCCCATGTAGCTGGGACTACAGGCATGGGGCAACATGCCTAGCTAATTTTTTAAATTTTTTGTTTCACTATGTTGCCCAGGCTGGTCTCAAACTCCTGGACTCAAGCAGTTCTCCTGCCTCAGCCTCCCAAAGTGCTGGGATTAGAGGTGGGAGCGACCATGCCTGTTAGAAAGGTTTTTTTTCTAACTCACTTAGAAACTGGAACTTAGGGTTAGACCCTCTGTTCCTTGTTTTACTATCAAATAATGGCTGCACTAGGTAAGGTCTGAAGCCTGTTCCAGCTTTTAAATCCTAATTCTAACTGGTAAGAAAACTAAATTTCCTAAGGCTACAGATCAAGTTGCTAGTTTAATAAGCAATGGCGTGTTCTATATCCTTTCCTCTCCATTTGTATACTTCCTTTTCTCTGAATTTGTACTTCAGTTCCTTGTCGTGTCCTCAACTTGATAATTATAGGAAGTTGGAATGTGAAGAAAACTGGCCATTTGAAAGCATACTGAAACACTATTTAATATTTTTTAGTTCAGACTTTTAACTTCAAGTTTGCCATATTTTATTATTCTAAAGTTCTGTTAAATTAGAAACTGGATAAGTAATATGAGTGACTTGTTAGAGTTACTATTTCTTTAAATAGTAGATAACTTTTCTCTGGTTTTCATTGAAATCAGAAACACTTTGTTTAACCGTGGTTCAGTGCGACTTTCAGATGGCCCTTGAAGCAACTGAGTGACAGTGGGGAAGCAGCCTGTAGTTGAATGGATAACTGATAGTTGGTTATCTGTGTTTATTTCTGTTCTCCATTTATAATTTTATAATATTTTCTTTATTATTATTATTATTATTATTATACTTTAAGTTTTAGGGTACATGTGCACAATGTGCAGGTTAGTTACATATGTATACATGTGCCATGCTGGTGTGCTGCACCCATTAACTCGTCATTTAGCATTAGGTATATCTCCCAATGCTATCCCTCCCCCCTCCCCCCACCCCACAACAGTCCCCAGAGTGTGATGTTCCCCTTCCTGTGTCCATGTGTTCTCATTGTTCAATTCCCACCTATGAGTGATAACATGTGGTGTTTGGTTTTTTGTCCTTGCGATGGTTTACTGAGAATGATGATTTCCAATTTCATCCATGTCCCTACAAAGGACATGAACTCATCATTTTTTATGGCTGCATAGTATTCCATGGTGTATATGTGCCACATTTTCTTTTTTTTTAAATTATTATTATTATACTTTAAGTTTTAGGGTACATGTGCACAGTGTGCAGGTTTGTTACATATGTATACATGTGACATGCTGGTGCACTGCACCCACTAACTCGTCATCTAGCATTAGGTATATCTCCCAATGCTATCCCTCCCCCCTCCCCCCACCCCACAACAGTCCCCAGAGTGTGATGTTCCCCTTCCTGTGTCCATGTGTTCTCATTATTCAGTTCCCACCTATGAGTGAGAATATGCGGTTTGTTTTTTGTTCTTGCGATAGTTTACTGAGAATGATGGTTTCCAATTTCATCCATGTCCCCATAAAGGACATGAACTCATCATTTCTTATGGCTGCATAGTATTCCATGGTGTATATGTGCCACATTTTCTTAATCCAGTCTATCATTGTTGGACATTTGGGTTGGTTCCAAGTCTTTGCTATTGTGAATAATGCCGCAATAAACATACGTGTGCATGTGTCTTTATAGCAGCATGATTTATAGTCCTTGGGGTATATACCCAGTAATGGGATGGCTGGGTCAAATGGTATTTCTAGTTCTAGATCCCTGAGGAATCGCCACACTGACTTCTACAATGGTTGAACTAGTTTACAGTCCCATGAATATTATAATTTTATAATATTTTCTAGAATGTAGAAGACTAGGATTTTAATTTCAGGTTTCCCATTAAGTAACTGAAATAACTATCCACTTGACTTCTGGAAACCTTAGTTTCCTCATTTATAAAATACAAATATCTAATTTGCATACCTTACAGTTAGTGAAAAGTCCAGGAAGAATCATCTTGTTAAACACTAAAGATCTGTAGAAATGTAAGCTACTGTTGTTGAAACATCACTAAGTGTTACCCTGGTTTTTTTTGTTTTTGTTTTTGTTTTTCTTTTTGCTAATAACAGTAGTGCATTTGTACTCAATTCCCCATTAGGAATTTAGAAATTTTATTTATTAAATATCTGACTGAATATAATAGATATAGTTAGAATGATGCAAATCACAGAGCCCCAGGTGACAAATAGCCCTCAAATCTTGTTTTCTGAGTCTATTTGGGTATACTGAAAAAGATGAAACAAACCCACTAGCCAGCCTACCTCCAGTATTCCTGAACAGATAGCTCTCCATTTTCCTCTGATGATTATGGCAGAGCCTTTGATACACAGCTGACCTTTCTTTTGATCTATTGACATCACTGAAAATGGTCTGCTTAATGAGTGGCCACATCAGTTTACATAAGGTTATTCTATTTAATACTTATTCTGTGGATTTTTGGCATTTCACTATTTCCATTTTCTGAAAACAATGTGGTCAATGAAAATTTTAAAACTGTGTCTTGACCTTGCCCCATGGGAAATTTGAGAAAGAAATTCTGTATACTATGGAGTCCAGAACTGAAAATGTTCTCCATGACTTCAGGGGAAGAGATTAAGAAATGAAGATGAAGAACATATGTCCTGCTTTTTTGGATGGAACCTTCATAATAGGTGAAATTTTTACAATTTTTAACACCTTTTCAGGGGAACTCCCAGGAGTCTTCAGAGATATATTTGATTATAAAATGAACTATTTTATAAATTTCACCTTTCAAAAATGGCACAAACTAGTTTCTACAAATTTTATACACATAATTGTAGCATATAATACATACTTACAGTTTAGTCTACAAAGAGATTGAGGTAACTTATAATTGCCTAACATAATTCAGCTAGTAGGTGGCAGAGTTAGAACCAAAATCTGTGTTATCTCTGTAACACTTTGCTGCTTCACAAGCCTGTAAACAGTTCTCACCGATGAGAAATGAATTAACTCTTACAGAGCAGAAAAAGGAATATTTAATACACCATAGGAGGTAATTTGCTGAATTAGAGTAACAAAAGCAGTGTTTTCCAGCTGTGTTACAGACTTCAAATTGCTTAACTGATTTTTTTAAGCTCCTATGAGGAGTTAGAGAGAGTAACTAGATGCAGATTTTTCTAATGAAGAAGCTGGAGGCAAAATATAAGTAATTTAAGTGATATTAAACAACACACCGGGTTTGACCTACTCAAGATAGCTTTTCCTAGTTAATAGTAAAACTGACAACCTTGGTAATGTTAGTAACTCTAAAGTATTGAGTGCTTACTATTTTTTAAAGAAAAGTGGAGCTGTACATTACAGTAGTTAAAGTGGTAAAAACAGATTTTATTCAGGAACTACTGTAATAGGGGAAGAGAGACCTTAGTATAGAACAGGGTTCAATTCTGAATACAGCATAGACCAGTGGGGATTTATAGCCAAAGAGCAAGGTGGCATTAATGGATGAAAAATTACGGAGATGAAAGAAACTTAAGGAGTGGGGAGATTGTGGTTAAGCCAACCTAAAATGATTCTTGCTCAAGACAGGCTGAGTGATGAGATACCAAGGCGGGTGTTGGAGAGTGCAGGGATGCGGAATTTGATTAGATACCGAGGGTGATCAAATATTGAAGGTGAACAGATAGTGAGGGTAGGGGGTTCTCTCTAAACTGACTGCAAGATTCTTACTACAACTGTGCTACACAAAATTGAAACCAAAGGTCAAGGCCTGGTTGAGAAGAGGATTCCGAGGAGCCTGACTTAAGTTTGGCCAAGGAGGGCATCTTGTCAGTTGCTCCTTTTGTTCAAGGAAATAAAGCATTATTCTCTTCTCTCAGCAATCTAAGTCCATCTTGTGTTCAGTTCCTTTTCAGTAAAGACGAGCTGAACCATCTGTTGAGACTTCTTAATGTCTTGAGATCATGGGTAGAACTTATGCCCAGTTCGTGTAGCTGTTCTTTCTATCTAAGTCACCACCTGAGTAACCAAGATCACCTACAACAGAACCTATGATGTTCTGGATACCTCTTTTGCTCTCATAGTGAGAGTGAGGTCAACTGGAGGGAGTGGGTGATTGTTTTAGAGATAACTTTAAAAAAGGAGAGAAATTGTGGGGAATCAAGTAGATGAAGGGATTAGTAAGATTAGAGAGGTAGCGAGATCCATTCCAGTTGGCTGGTAACAGCTAATAGGTTTGAGTTCCATAGACTGAATAAGAATCATTGAGCGCTAGCCTGGAGTCATAAGATAATTATCTGATGGCTGAAGGTGACCAAAGAATAAACATTTCGATGATTGAGAAAGGATTTTTTGGAGGTGGTCTGTGTGTGGTTGGGTTGGGTGAGAGAAATTAGGCTGAGAGGGGAAGTGGGGACATTTCCATTCGTATGAGAGATGTCCAGGAACCTGTAGTGGCTTGGAGGCATTATGTTACATTTAATGATGGCTGGAGAAGTGTAATGACAAATACTTGTTCCCAGAAAACAATTGATGGTAAAATTATGATGGGAGTGGACATGACCCTTGCAAGGATAGACTGGAGTATATTCAGAGGTTTTTCTCACAATGGGTATTTGTCTGGTTTAAAATGGTGGAAGAAAAGAGAGGGAAGGTATAGCAAAATAGGAATTCTGATTTCTCACAGGAATCTTGGAAATGCCAGGTGTGCGCACAGGAAAGGAAGCACAGTACCCTCAGTCTGTGGCGTTATGGGAAGTGGTGACTAGTCCAGCCCAGGCTTGCCAAAGGCTCTGTGGATGAATAGTCTTGCTAACAGATAAGGAAAAGGCAGAGCTGGGGGAGAACAAGGAGCTCCTAAATTTAGGGACAGAAAAATGTAAGAGAAGACTAATCTCAGATGAGGAAAAGTCATAGTGAAGGCTGTGAACCTTAAAGGCAATCATCAGTCTATGAGAAATTAGGTATCCACATCCTACAATAGCCCACAAGATCCAAAAACCTCTGTTATTTTGTTTCAGGAAGAGGAAAATGATGAATAGTAGAAGCTCCGCCTGTGAAGATAATTTTACCTGCAGCTGAAATACCATGACCCAGATATTGAACACACAGAATAATTAAACTTTTCGTCTAGAAACTTTGTGGTCTTTTCTTGCCATTGCCTTAAAGTATTCAGTGTCCTAAAGGGAGTTGTCATAAATGAAAGTGCATAGAAAGAGGTCATTTACATATTGGATTACAGTGGAGTCTTCTGGGAATTTTAAGTCCATCATATAGGTTCATGAGAAATATGTAGGGCCTTAGTAAATCGTTGGGGCATAACAGTCCAGGTGTATTGTTTATTTTCCCAGGTGAAGGCAAAGTAGTGAGATTCTTTATGAAGGGGAATATTATAAAAGGCAGAACACAGCCGAGAGCGGTGGCTCATGCCTGTAATTTCAGCACTTTGGGAGGCCGAGGCAGGCTGATCACAAGGTCAGGAGATCGAGACCATCTTGGCTAACATGGTGAAACCCCATCTCTACTAAAAATACAAAAAATTAGCTGGGCGTGGTGGCGGATGCCTGTAGTCACAGCTACTTGGGAGGCTGAGGTAGGAGAAAGGCGTGAACTCGGGAGGCAGAGCTTTCAGTGAGCTGAGATCAAGCCACTGTACTCCAGCCTGGGCAACAAGAGTGAGACTCTGTCTCAAAAAAAAAAAAAAAAAAAAAAAAAAAAAAGGCAGAACACAAATGAATCACCATGAAATATTGCATGTTGGAAGAGATAACAGATAGGATAGTGTTAGGATTAGGCACCAAGGGAAATCTTGATTTGACAGTGTAATTGATAGATCCTAGGAAGGAACTGATATCCTTTCCCACTTGACTTTTTAATAGCCAAATGGAAGTAATGCACGGATTAGAAGTGGGGACTCATGTCTAATAAGCCTCTCATTATCAGGGAGAGCAATCGCTAGTCCTTGTGGTTTTAAATGATATTGGGGAATCCTGGGGAGAGGCTTGGAAGGATCTGTTTCTACCTTATATGGGTTCTGTATCGCATATACCTTAGATAATTTTAATAGTTTGCTTAAATCTTTATTTAAGTGGATAGGTTGAAGTGGGCAAAGGAACTCCCTGCTTGGGGGAAGTCAGACAAAACCATTAGGGGACATAGACATGAAGAGGAAGACTCAGGGGTGGGTAGAAGCAGTCCAGCAGGAATTTTTGTACCTCCATTCATGGGAAGATACTTTCCACACAAGTTTACTGGGGTAGTGGAGCTGAGTAGAAAATTATGTTGACCTTTAAGAGGTCCCATAGAGATATGAGGATGAGCTGGGGGCAAAGCATCAAACCCCACCACTGGTAAAGTTTGGTGACTGTGGGGAAGGGGGCAGGAAGTGAGGTCATGTTGAGGGTAGATTGTGTTGTCCTGGTATCGATGAGAGACGTGGAGACCCTTTAACTTGTAGCATTATTTCTTCATGCAAGTTTAGTAGTAGTTGAGGGCATTGGGACATTTGCTTCTCTGGAGGAAAATAGACAATTCTCTGGTGAGGAGGGGGACTTGGGTTTTTCCCTCCTCTTGAGCACTGGGCAATTCCAGGCCCAGTGTCTTTTTTCCTCATGATATCAGCACATTGTTGAGATCAATGGGAGCCTTCCATTGTGGAGCTTGCTGTGAGTTAAAAATTTCAGGTTTTTCCAGTTGTTTTAACTGCAGTGCCACAAGCTTACATTGTGTATTTTCCAATGTTTTTGAAATACTATTTTCATATTATTGGGCTAATGTCTGGAGCCTAGACGTGTATACATTTTGTTAATTAATATTATTTTTCTGTAATGTGTCTTGGAGGTCTGGCCTGAAACTATTGACAAAGATTGCATGGCCTGAGCAGAGGCTGTTTGGAAAGTCAGTTCCACCCCTGAATTCTCTTTCCATGTTGTCTTTAATTGATGGTGATAGCCACAGTTTCATCAGTTTGTTATTTACAATGTTAGATATGTGACCAATCAATTTTAATGGGAGAGATTTGATGGATGGCTCCTAGTAATTTCTTACTTCCCTTGGGATATCAGGGGTAGCCTGAGACCCTTGAGTGCACCCAAGGAAGGAACTGAGATTCATCAGAAATAGTGGTCCATTTAGTTTTTTCAAAGCAAAGGGAGGCATTTCCAGGCCCAACCAACAGGCAGATAAGTTGATTTAAATCAGGGAATCCCAGAGAGTATGCACCTAGAATGATTCTAAATTGTTCAACAAACCTTTCCCTTTCCTTTCTGTGGTCAGGAAAGTATTTGGTGATAGGATGCAATTCAGGCCTAGACCAAGGTTTAAATGTTCTCTCTTCTATTAGCCTCACTTGGCAACAGGTACTGGCTGATCCTGGGCTTCATCTGAAGGAGATGGAGGCCAGTGAACCTTTTGGTTACAGGGAGGTGAGGGACTGGAGGAGGGGGCAGATGGTGGAAGAGAGTTTGGGAGAGGAGGCTATAAAGGAAAGCTGGGAGGGGAATATGGAGGTGCTGTTGAGAGCTCTAGGAACTTTACTGAGTCAGAAAAATTTTTCTACAGACAGTGTGAAAGAGCCTCAGTAGTTTGACTGAGATTTGAATTATTTAGCTGTTTTTTGGCTTCTTAATACCAAGTGAAATAAGCAGACCGCTGTGCATCCAAAAGCTTTGTTCCTTTTTGCTCTAGGGCTGTTTTTAGATGGACTAATTTAGGGATATACCAGGAGCCCCCACCATAGCCGAAGAGAGTTTTTGGTAAGGCTTTGCCAGTGAGAAAGCAAGCAGACAGTATTAGAACTATAGCGGCAAAGCAGGAGTTTGATAAGGTGAGGTTTCAATTGAGAAGTTCCCATGGGAGAAGCAGGATTAAACAGACAGAAGAGAGAGGCCTCATAAAGAGCAGGGAAAAAATTCCAGCCCAGGCATTGGGGAGTGGATCCCCACTGGAAACAAAGAGCCAGGAGAAGTCTTCATCCCAGGAGACAAAGATCCAGGAAGAATTTTCCAGCCAAGAGCCAGGCTCAGGAGTCAGGGAGTAAATGTCTTCTTGACGCAGTGAGCCCCAGAAAGAAAGACTTCTAGCTGAGTAGATGCCTTTCAAACAAAGAAGTCTGGGCCTCTAATCCAGCTTCAGACAATGTAATCAGAATCTTCATCAAAATCTGTCCTCACTGTGATTCGATGGACATTTATCTGGAGCACTGGATATTGGAATCACTCACCACCAGATACCCAAAAAGCAAGCAGACTGAAGACAAAGTCTTGGTGTGTGCTTAGAGATTGGTTATTGTGTCCAAGAGTCTAATGGTGGTTCAGATCCAGATCTAAATCATGGACCAAAAACTGTTAAAGAAAAATAAGAGATAGTAGTTAAAATGGTAAAAACAGATTTTATTCAGGAAAAGCTGCAATAGAAGAAGGGATTCCAGTATAGAACTGGGCTTAATTCCATATAGAGAGCATGCGCAAGTGGGGATTCCTAATTCCAAATAGCATGGACAAGAGAGCAGGGATGGGGGTCAGTGGATGAAAAATTACTAAGAGGAAATAAACGTCACGGGTAAGGGGATTCTGGTTAAACAGAACTAACAGGATCCTTGCTGCAGGTTGGCCAGGGTGATAAGATACCAAGGGTGGCAGTGAGGAATTTGATCAGATATTGAGGGTGATCTCAATATCTGGGGGGTTCTTTCTCAACTGACTTTGTAAGATTCCTGTTACAACTGGGTGATGTAAAGAGGAATACAGAAATCCAAAGCTCTAGGCCTAGTTGAGATGAGGATTCAGAAGAGCCTGACTAAAGTTTGGTCAAGGAGAGCATTTTATCACTGTGTGCAGGACGCTATACCAAGTACTTTGTGAAAATGAGCTAACTTAATCCCCAAGTCAACCCTATGTGATAGATATAACTCCTTTTTTACATAAAAGAGAATTGTTGCAAAGAAGTTAAGTAAACTGTCCAAGGTCACACAGCTAGCATGTAGTAGAGACAATATTTAAACTTGAGTATCTGACTTCAACCATTAGTATTTACTGCCTCCTGGACTCCTTGGGGCCTCCACATCTCCTTTGGTGTGTTGTTTGGTTAGAATATGTGTGATGTTCTAATGATCTCTAAGAGTTAAACTGTGTTTGAAGTTAAGAGTTAAAGGGAAGTATTTGGATCTATAGGTGACTGATTACAAATTTAGTTTAATAGATAGTAATTGAGTAATTTAGTTACATAAGAATTTAAAAGGGGGCACCATATATTAAATGCCTACAACATCACTCTGGTTATTAAAATTATACATTAGACTTTAAGGTAGTGACTCAAGACAACATAATCAATAGGTCAAAAAATTATCGCAAGAATATGTGCTAAGAAAAGGCCATAAGGTGGTTTCCTGACCTTTTCCTCCTGGCAGATTCACTTATATGTGTGACCCTGATGCTGAGCTTGAGTTTCTGTTAGTACTTATGATAACTAATCTTCATGGGACCTACTTCTAATGATTTTGGTATCCTAAATTCTGGGCACTGGTGAGTAATAATGAGGTCACTTTGTAGTTTAGCAGACTCTCACTTTGTTTCTTTTAATATGTAAATTAGAGTTCCAAGTTCTTGAAGGTAAGAAACACCTGCCACTAAAAAGAAGGTTAAAATGTCCTCCTGAAGAAATGTTGTATCTGGCTGTTATTAAAAAGCAAAAAATTAATGGGTGATGGCGAGATCGTGGAGAAAAGGGAATCCTTACACACTACTGGCGAGAATGCAAATCAGTTCAGCCCCTGAGGAAATCCCCCGTTTGGAGATTTCTCAAACTAAAATAGAATTACCATTCCACCCAGGAATCCCATTACTACGTATATACCCAAAGGAAAATAAATTGTTCTACCAAAAAGACACCTGTACTTTTATGTTTATCACAGCACTCCTCACAATAGCAAAGATATGAAATCAACCCAGGTACCCATCAAACGTGAATTAGATAAAGAAAATATGGTACATATACAACAAGGAATACTACACAGCCATAAAAAGAACAAAATCATGTCCTTTGCATCAGCATGGATGCAGCTGGAGGTCATTAACCTAAGTGAATTAACACAGGAACAGAAAATCAAATACTGCATGTTCTCACTTATAAGTGGGAGCTAAACATTGGGTACGCATGGACATAAATATGGGAATAATAGACACTGAGGACCTAGAGCCAGGAAAGAGGGAAAAGAAGAAGGGTTGAAAAATTACCTATTGGGTACTTTGTTCACTACTTGGGTGATGGGATCATTAAAAGCCCTAACAGCTTCACACAATATAACGGTATAACAAACCTGCATGTGTAATAAATTTAAAAATTAAAAATTTTTAAATGCCATATCCTTATGCTGATTTCTGTGCACATATACATGGCTCTTTTGCCTCATTTAGGTCAAGAAGATGTTCCTTTTTGAATACAAATCTCTCTCTAAAGGATACTTTTTAACCATTCTCACTTTATTGTTCAAGCCGACCTTGCATAATGAAGGTTTTGTTGCTTTGAAAATAGGAGTAGTAGGCCAGGCGTGATGGCTCACGCCTGTAATCTCAGCACTTTGGGAGGCTGAGGTGGGTGGATCACCTGAGGTTAAGAGTTCGAGACCAGCCTGGCCAACATGCAACATGGTCTCTACTAAAAATACAAAAACTAGCTGGGCTGGTGGAGGGCACTTGTAATCCCAGCTACTCAGGAGGCTGAGGCAGGAGAATGGCTTGAACCTGGGAGGCGGAGGTCTCAGTGAACCAAGATCACACCACTGCACTCCAGCTTGGGTGACAGAGTAAGACTCTGTCTCAAAAAAAAAAAAAATAGGAGTAATATTTAGTCTTGTGTTTTTTTCCTTGTAGGAAAGACTTTATTCTAAGGAAGACCGTGCAATGCACTGTCCATGTCAGCAAAGAGATGTTTATACCATAGTGTTTGAATAGATTTGGGCATAAATACTTTAAAAAATATAATAAGGTCACTAGACCCTGGGTGGGCTTGGGATAGAAGACAAAGTTGTGAAAGAGGCTCTGAGAACAGGGTTGGAACTGGATAAAGGTGTGCCTGCTTTACAGTTTTTCTTGAGTTCATCATTTAACATAATGCCTCTGAAAGTAACTTACTGCTGTCTTTAATAGAAATGCATATTGGTATATTGCCAGTGCCACAGCTGGGATGTCTGGACTAATTTGGAAGGTTGCAAACTGCCACGTACCCACCTTCAGACCTGTCTTGACTTTCTGGCCTTTCCCCACACTGAATGAATGGAGTGGGAGGGAAGAGCCTAGACAGAAACATATGTTTTCTATTTACTTCTTCCTACCTCTTTTTTTTTTTTGAGATGGGAGTTTCGCTTTTGTCACCCAGGCTGGAGTGCAATGGCGCAATCTTGGCTCACTGCAACCTCTGCCTCCCGGGTTCAAGTGACTCTCTTGCCTTAGCCTCCTGAGTAGCTGGGATTACAGGCATGCACCACCACACCCAGCTAATTTTTGTATTATTAGTAGAGATGGGGTTTCACCATGTTGGCCAGGCTGGTCTCGAACTCCTGACCTCAAGTGATCCATCCGCCTCGGCCTCCCAAAGTACTGGCGTGAGCCACCGTGCCCGGCCTTCCTACCTCTTTTCATACCCAATGCTTAGAGGTTTTCCTTTGAGTCGTGGATATGAAGACCTAGAAAGTATTTGCTAAAAAATATCTCCAAGTAAATACAGTCTCTGTACAATATTTGTTGAATTTGTAAATTTGAAAACCAGAGATGACAATTTGTTTGGTAAATACATGGATAGTTTGAAAGCTTAGTAAGATCCAAGTTTCATTTATTTTTATTTTTTTCTTGTTTCCAGTAGGCTTGGAAGAGTCCAAATTTTAGACATGTATACAAAGGCAGTAAATGAATTGGAAAGAAGAGGGAAGTTAATACTTTTAGCTTTTCTCTTTTAGAGAGATTAGCTTTCCATTATTTTAACAGAATAGCTTACCAATATGTTCTTTCCCTATTTTGTGATGAACGTAACTGAAATCTTGTATCTAATTAAATTCAATTCTTACCTAAAAGTTTTCACAAAAAAGATTATAGTTCATGTTTGTGACTAAAGAAACAAACAGAAGTTGTTTATAAAATGTTTGGTGGAAATTTTAATGTCTTTGTTTTCACCAGTGAAATTAATGATGACTTGAAAGTCTTTCTTCTTTCTTGAAAGTTTTCTTTTCTTTGAAATGCTATTTGTTTTTCTGGTTATTGGTTACTTGTGGACAGATAGCAGTTGTGAAGACATAAACTACTGATTGTTAAAAATTTCAGCATTCTCTTTTTAAAAGAAATCGGCAAGCCAATTCTAAAATTTATATGGAAATGCAAGGACGTAGAATAGCCAAAATAATCTTGAAAATGAACAAAGTAGGACTCACTTACCTTTGAAAGTTACTCTAAAGCTATTGTAATCAAGACTGTGTTATTGGCAAAAGGACAGACATATAGATCAGTGGGGTCCAGTTGGATCTGATCCAGTCAGATCCAGTTCCAAATATAGACCTACACATATGTGGTCAAATTTGATGAGGATGCTGAAGTGATTTAATGGGAAAAAGAAAGTGTCTTCAACATATGGTGTTCAGAAAGGTGTTTTTCCACATGCAGAATAAAAAAGAACTTTGATTCCTACCTTACACCACAGACAAAAATTAACTTGAGATGAATCAGGACCTAGACTTAAAAGCTAAAACATTACAATTTCTAAAGGACAACATAAAAATATCTTTGCAATTTATCTTAGGACACAGAGAGCACTACCATTAAAAAGTTGATAAATTGGACTTCATCAAAAATAAAAACACCTGCTCATCAGAAGATAACATCAAGTTGATAAGCCTTTGTTACAATTACATTTGACAAAAGGCTTGTGTCCAGAATATATAAAGAATTATTCAATTATGGAATAATTAAAAGAAGGCAATCAGCATTTTTAAATGGGCAAAAGATTTGAACAGACATTTCATAAAATAAGGAATATCACTGGTCAAAAAGCACATGAAAAAGTGCTCATGATCATTAGTCATCAGGGAAATGCAAAGTGAGATACCATTGGCTACCCACCAGAATGGCTAAAATTAGCAATATTGATCATACCAAATGTTGGGGAGAATGTGGAACTGTTAGTGATTGCTGGTGGGGGTATAAAATAGTACAACTACTCTGGAAAATGTTTGGCAGCAATTCCACTTCTATGTATTTATCCCAGAGAAATGAAAATATATACCTACAAAAGTCATATGTAAGAATGTTCATGGCCACTTGATTGAGAATAGCCAAAAACTGTAAAAACCCAGTGTGTATGGTAGGAAAAAACCAATTTTCTCCTACTGTACTCTCAACACAGAGAGTATAGCGACCAGATGTGTGGATTTTTCTCACACTGACCAATTCTCTGATGCTAGCCGGATAGCCTATATTCAATTCACTTCTGACACTAACTAGAGCTCGTGCAGATCTCTCATGGATTAAGAGCTCAGTCTCACAAGACTGTGCCCTACTTCATATACCAATTGCAAGCAGTAGGTTCCCAGGTCACCACAACTTCTGACCAGTTTGGCCACAAGTGGGAGGTTACCACAACCCCCTTCTCAGGTTCAGTAATGTGCTAGAGCAGCTCATAGAACTCAGGGAAACACTTATATTTATCAGTTTATTATAAAGGATGTTTTAAGGGATACAGGTGAACAGCCAAAGAAGTACTCTGGGTAAGATATGTAGGAAGCGGCATGGACCTTCCATGCCCTCTCTGGGTGTTCCACCCTCCTATCATCTCCATGTCTTCAGCATCCCAGATGCTTTCTAAACCCTGTAGTTTAGGGATTTTTATGGAGCCTTCATCATATAGGCTGAGCATTTATTAACTCATTTTTCAGCCCCCTCCTTTTCCTGGAGGATGGCATAGTGTGGCTGAAAGTTCCAGGCTTCTAATTATGGCTTGGTCTTTCTGGTGACCAGCCCCCATCTAGGAGCCCACCAAGAGTCACCTCATTAGAACAAAAGACATTCTTATCAATGCCCAGGGAGTTCCAAGGGATTAGCAACTCTGTTAGAAACTGGGGCCACAGACCAAATATTAGAACAGAAGATGCACCTAGCATCCCTCTTGCTCAGGAAATTACAAGAGTTTTGAGAACTCTCTGCGAGGAACCAGGGTCAGGGATCAAATACACATTTCTTATTGTATCACAATATCACATCCAGGTGCCCATCAGCAAGAGCCTAGACAAGCAATCTGGTATATCCATACAGTAGAACACTGCTCGGCAATAAAAAAGAACAAATTGCTGATACATGTAATGGCAAGGATAAATCTCAGAAGCATTAAAGGACATGAAAGAAGCCAGACACAAAATACTTTATACTGTATGATTCCATTGATATAAAGTTATAGAATAGTTAAAACTAATCTGTGGTAACAAAAATCGGATCAGTAGTTGCTTCTGGTTGTGGAGGGAGGGGAATGTTGACTGAGAAGAAGCAAGAGGGAATTCTACAGGTTGATAGAAATGTTCTATCTTCTGGTAGGGGTGTGGGTTATATAGGTATAGTCACTTACCCAAACTGATCAAACTATAGACTTAAGATATCTGCATTTCACTATATTTAAATTATAACCTCAAATTAAAAAATCTCACACAAAAAATAGCAAGGTATTTTCCTATCTCTTATTCTGTCTCTCTTTCTTATTCTCTTAAAGTATTGGACAGCCCAGTCCCACTATACTGAGGCAATTTTTGAAAGAAAATAAAATTTATTACTTTTATTATCTTTTAATGTATCCACTATACTCTATATAGGGCATCATTTAAACTCTTTCTCAGTCTTTGTTGTTGTTGTTACAGTGAAGAAGAAAAGCTATCCAGAAGAACAAAATAGCACAGCCGTGTAAACTTACAATGATTTGGCAAGTTTTTGAAGTTATTTAATCCTGATAAGTTAAAATCCCTTGAAGCATATTTATACATTCATCTTTCCAAACAGCTACCGCTTATTTGCTCTTTCATTCAAGTGAAGGTTATTGAGCACCTCCTATGAGTAGATGTTTTATCAGATACTGAGTAGGCATGCTACGATGAGTACGCAACCAAGTCCCTGCCCTTAACAGCATTCCTAGTTTAGAAGTGATAAATACAAAAATAAATTCCATTGCAACAAGAAAGGTACAGCACCGTACAAACTGCTGCTGTGCGTTCTTTTGAGGAAGCAATGTCTTCTGCCTTGGGTGCTTGGGAAGATTCCACAGAGGAAGTGACATTTGAGCCAGTTTGTATGAATAGTTAGAGTTGTGGATAGGAGTTGGAAGAAGGGGGACATTTTAAGAAGATGACTAGAAATGTAATTGAATAGTTTAGTGAGTCTTTTATCCTCCTTAAACCTTTAGGTAAAGGTTCTGTTAGTATCTACTGAAATAGAAGTCTTTTGCAGTAGCATAGTCAGTGTTTAAACTAGGACACCAAATATTTTCCATTTTTTCCCTCACCAATAGCAGCTAATATTTATTGAGAACAAAGGATGTGACAGGTACTCTGCTTAATGTTTTAATTTAATTTAATATAATCCCCATAGCAATTTAATGCATTAATATTACTGTCCCTATAGATTAGGATAATTGAGGATTGAAGTAATATCCTTTATAAATGGACAAGCTGGGGATTCTTTCCCAGGTTTCTCTGCCTCCAAAGCCTGGGATCTTTAAAAAGCCTACTCTGTGTGTGTTGCTCTTAGTATGAGCCCAGAGAAAGCAAGCCAAGGGCAACTCTGAAGTGTCTTGCGGTCACTTAAAAGAGGGGGGATTTACCTGTTTTCCAAAATATGGCCTGCCCACCTTTTGTATTTAAGTTTCAGTTCATTGCCAATATGTATAATTATTTATAAACTCAAAATAATCTGTTTTATTTTTATTTCTATCTACATGATACTTTAATTTCATGTATGAAAAATTGCCAAGTAATCATTCTCTAAGCTTTCTACAGTATCCATTTTATAAGTTAAAGAATCATAGGAGTAAAAACTATAAGCTCTTTATAGCCATTTCACTCTAGTTATTAGAGTGAGAACCTTGAAGATTTTGCCCTTTGAAAATGACTTGTTATTTGGGCAATCTGGCTTCTCACTATTTAACAAGTGTTGCTTAAAGTATCGTGTAGGAACATTTGATGTGCTCCACAGCCACTCACAGCTTCTGATAATTCTGTTTGTGCCAGCCTTGAGAGATCACCGAGTGGTAGTTTAAGATTGTGCTCTAGTATAAAAGTGGCAACGTTTGTCTTTTAAACAAACATATTTTTTTCAGAGTAGAAGATAAATTTTTGACTAAATCAGTCATTTGCCATACTCTAAAATTCATTTTAGAAACTTGGTTTTAGTTTTTGCCCAAATGACCACTTAACATGGGACACCCACCCTAACCCCTACCTCTTTCCCAGGAAAGTTAGATTTTTGTCCAAGATTCCACCAGTATTGAATATTTGCTCTTGCCAGATATCTTGTCAAAGGTACATTGTCTGCTTTTGGTTGACCAATGGGGTGTGGGTTGTTATGCCAGATGAGTGTCACCTAGTAGTGGAATTAGAAAATCATCAACCAAGGGCCCGGCATAGTGGCTCACATCTGCAATCCCAGGGCTTTAGGAGGCCAAGGTGGGAGGATTGCTTGAGCCCAGGAGTTTGAGACCAGCCTGGGCAACATAGCAAGACCTTGTCTGGTGACACACACCTGTAGTCCTAGTCACCCAGGAGGCTGAGGTGGGAAGATCACTTGAGCCCAGGAGTTCTATGAGCTGCTCTAGCACATTACTGAACCTGAGAAGGGGGTTGTGGTAACCTCCCACTTGTGGCCAAACTGGTCAGAAGTTGTGGTGACCTGGGAACCTACTGCTTGCAATTGGTATATGAAGTAGGGCACAGTCTTGTGTGACTGAGCTCTTTTTTTTTTTTTTTTTTTTTTTTGAGACGGAGTCTCGCTCTGTCGCCCAGGCTGGAGTGCAGTGGCGCGATCTCGGCTCACTGCAAGCTCCGCCTCCCGGGTTCACGCCATTCTCCTGCCTCAGCCTCCCGAGTAGCTGGGACTACAGGCACCCGCTACCACACCCGGCTAATTTTTTGTATTTTTAGTAGAGACGGGGTTTCACCGTGTTAGCCAGGATGGTCTCGATCTCCTGACCTCGTGATCCGCCCGCCTCGGCCTCCCAAAGTGCTGGGATTACAGGCGTGAGCCACCGCGCCCGGCCTGAGCTCTTAATCCATGAGAGATCTGCACGAGCTCCAGTTAGTGTCAGAAGTGAATTGAATATAGCCCACATTCTTTCCATAATACCACACTTCCTTAGTAATAAGAAATAACAAGATATTTAAAAATAAGAACTTCCAGTTAAATCTTTTTAGGACATAACTTCTCTCTTTCAGACTCCGTTTTAAATGACACTTCATTTTGTGGTCCAAAATCAGAAGTAATCTCTTCTTCCTACATATTTCAATAGCATTTTACCTATACTTATACCTAGACCTCTCTAGAAGATTTATCTTCATAACATATTTGATTTTTATAGCACTTTACTTCTTTTATGACACATTATCATGCTATTTTCTATTAATCACGCATTCACATAGGTGATTAGTTCCTCTAGGACCATAAACTCCTTGAGGTAAGATCTGTCTATTGGATCTTTGCACCCACCTCAGTACCAGCATGCATGAAGAAGAACATGTGAAGTACTCCTTGGTCTACTATAGCATTAGGAAGGCTATCAACCCGTTATTCTGCTTCCATTAAATGTTTTCCAATGCCTGATGGTTAGTGACTTTTTAAATTTAATTTTTAATTTTTTTTAGAGTCAGAATATTGCTCTGTTGCCCTGACTGCAATGCCACGATCATAGCTCACTGCCTCAGGCTCCTGAGTAGCTGAGATGACAGGTGCATGCCACCACACACAGCTAATATTTAATTTTTTTGTAGAGATGGGTTTTGGAATCAGACTTGTCTGTACATGTCTACCATTTAATAACTGTTGTACATCACATTGCTTCATTCTTTGAACTTCAGTTTTCTCAAGTGTAGCATCATAGAGGAGTTGTGATTATCTAAATGATTAAATGGGATTACACTTTTAAAAGCTCCTACAAAATGCCTGGCACCTGGTCACTTTTCATTATATGCTGGTTCCTTTTGTTCTCCTGTCTGACTCAATTCAAAGTCCCTTCTGTCTCATTAGCTTGTTTTATGAACATGGAGGCAAGGATTCTGGGTAGGAGGCAGTTGTAGTACTTCATTCATTAAGCATTTGCTGACTACTTTGTATAGTGGAAATCCAGAGGAAGGGATTATTATTATTATTATTATTATTATTATTATTATATTTTGAGACTGGGTCTCACTATGTTGCCCAGGCTGAAGTACAGTGGCACAATCATGGCTCACTGCAGCCTCAACCCCCCAGCCCAAGTGATAATTCTGCCTCAGGCTCCTGAGTAGCTGAGACGACAGGTGCATGCCACCACACCCAGCTAATATTTAATTTTTTGTAGAGATGGGTCTCACTGTGTTGCCCAGGCTGGTCTTGAACTCCTGGGCTCAAGCGATCCTCTTGTCTAAGCCTCCTGAAGTGCTGGGATTACAGGCATGAGCCACTGCACCTGGCCTAGGATTAACTATTTTAATAGGCATTTAGGAAGTAGAATGGGTAGATATGGGAATTCAGGGAGAATTAGGGGAAGGTGGATAGAAAAGAGGCTAAACTGATTTTCTTCTATAATCTTTGGAATCAAACGAAGAAGGGCAAATCCATTATTCTTCTCAGGAAAAGATTTTCTTTATCTTTAAACGTATAGGTAACATTAGCTATCTTCTACCTGATAAATTTGTTTTCTGTAAGTTTTGTACCTTTTTTTAAAAAAGAAATTATTTGTATCATAAAGGACCTAAATAATATACATGGCATGAATGTACATCTGCCCGTGAATGCTGAGTTTATTCTAGAAAATATCGCTTTGCACTCTTTGATTCTAGCTTGTGTTGCTGACCTCACTAGTATAATTATTGGCTGACTTTGTCTCTTTTTCCATTTCCTCCCAATCAGTTTGATAAAGGTTACTCTTACAACATCCGTCACAGCTTTGGAAAGGAAGGCAAGAGGACAGACTATACACCTTTCAGTTGCCTGAAGATTATTCTGTCCAATCCACCAAGCCAAGGGGATTATCATGGTAAGTGCCTCCACTGGATATGTTGGCCAAGTACAGAAATCCAAGAGCTCTGTTGGAAACACTGAAACAATGTTGTGGCTTTTTGCATTCCTGTCAGGACCTAGTTTGTATCTTATCTCAGTCGTCACTGTCAAGCTAGAGCTCCATTACTCTTAGAACAATTTGTCTTATTACTGAACTAGGTCAGGCAAGAGAAATTCATTCAGCTGCACTTCAGTTTGTGCTGGATTAGGCTTTTCAGTTCTCACTGTCTTCCTTCCCGCTGTTCTCTGTCTCCCTCATCTTCTGCAGTGTTCTGCGAGTGTCTTAGAGGGCGATGTAAGTTTTACAAAGCTTTTTGAAATTAGAATGTTCTAAGTTTGGAATAGTAGATTCATTAATTTTCCAAAGGCTAACTACTAAGGAAAAGTGTGAGGTTTTTTTCTTATCACCATCATCTGATTAACCAACAAAGATTAAGTGGGCAATTTAACATGTCGTGATATCTGCCATAACTATCAGTTTGCCTGAGTTATTTAAAAAGAAAAACAAAACATCTCATTTGTCTGGTATGTCCAAGAATGAATTAATAGTTTATATCAGTAAATTTTCTGGATTATCAAAGCTTACTACAGTATGTGTCAAAACTTATTTTTGTTTTAGAATCTTAAACACTTTTTAAAAGACTGCACACTTTTGGACTGCTAAAGATCAAATAATCATAAACAATATTTTTAGAAAGACATTCTATGTGACCAAATCATTAAAAAATGCCTATACATTCATTAGTTAATAGATGAAGAAGTGGCCAGCACTCGTCATATAGATAGACAGATAAGATAGATCTATATATAAACATAGATTTTTTTTTTTTTTTTGAGACAGAGTTTCATTCTTGTTGCCCAGGCTGGAGTGCAATGGCGCGATCTCGGCTCACTGCAGTCTCCACCTCCTGGGTTCAAGCAATTCTCCTGCCTCAGCCTCCTGTGTAGCTAGGATTACAGGCACCTGCCACCCTGCCCAGCTAATTTTTTGTATTTTTAATAGAGACGAGGTTTCGCCTAGTTGGCCAGGCTGGCGGGCCTCAGGTGATCTGCTCGCCTTGGCCTCCCAAAGTGCTAGGATTACAGGCCTGAGCCACCACACCCAGCCTGGTAATAGATATTGAGTGGTTTTTATCACTTATTTCAGAGTCCCTTGAGGTGCTTTTTTAGGAATGCAGATTCTCAGGGTGCACCCTCAGTCATATAAAATCAGACTTTATTTGCAAGTACACTGGGTGAGTTTTATGTCTTCTAAAGTTTGAAAACCATGGGTCCAGGTACTTCTGTTGAGGAAGCCTGAAGCCTTTTTTAGCCTAGCAGCCATACCAGGCAGTCAACTTATGATTAAGCTTGTGGCCAAGTAAAACTCCCAGGGATTTGTCTGCAAATTTCCAGGTTCTAGCATTTGTCTCTTAATTAGTTGGTTTTCATTAGCTTAAATGCAAAACTTTATTTCTGTTAAGTTGTATCTTGTTATCCCAGTGCTTTATGTTACTATTTTGTTTCTAAGTTCAACTCTGTCAGTCAAGAAATATTATACTTAGCACTCAATGAACTCATTATCTGTTGGAAACATTTACTTATTCTGTTTTTAAAAAGTAATAAACTTAATTTTTTAGAGTTGTTTTAGGTTCACAGCAAAATCGTGTGGGAAGTTCAGAGTTCCCATATACCTCCACGCCCCAACACACGCACAACCTCCGTTGCTGTCAGTATCCCACACCACACTGGTACATGTGTTACAATTGATGAACCTACATTGACAAATCCTTATCATCCAAAGCCCATAGTTTACAAGAGTTCATTGTGTATTTTGCATAACAGTACTTTATCAGATTTGTCTTTTGCAAATGTTTTCTCCCCATCTGTGCTTCTGTTCTTTTCTCTCTTTTTTCACCTTTTGGGATTTCATTTACACGTTATACCTTTTATAGTTGTCCCATAGTTCTTAGGTATTGTATTTTGTTTTGTTTTGTTTTCGTCTTTTTTCTCTTTGCTTTTTAGTTTCAGAAGTTTCTGTTTGTCATATCTACAAGATCCAAGGATTTTCCCCAGTCATGTCCAATCTACTGATGAACCTATTGAAGACATTCTTCATTTCTGTTACAGTGTTTTTGATCGCTAGCATTTCTTTTTTGTTCTTAGAATTTTCATGTCTCTGCTAGCTGGTTATTCCGACACATTTATTGAATAGGAGTCCTTTCTCCATTGCCTATATTTATTGACTTTGTTGAAGGTCAGATAGTTGTAAGTATGCTGTCTTATTTCTGATTCTCTATTCTGTTTCATTAGTCTATGTGTCGGTTTTTGTACCAGTACCATACTGTTTTGGTTACAATAGCCTTATAGTATAGTTTGGAGTTAGGTAGAGTGATGCCTCTGGCTTTGTTCCTTTTGCTTAGGATTGCTTTGGTCATTTAGACTCTTTTTTAGTTCCACATGAATTTTAGAATAGTTGTTTTCTTATTCTGTGAAAAATGACATTGGTAGTTTGATAGAAATAGCATTGAATCTGTACATTACTTAGGGTGGTATGGCCATTTTAATGACATTGATTCTTCCAATCCATGAGCATGGAATGTTTTCCTGTTTGTGTTGTCTCTGATTTCTTTCAGCAGCGTTTTGTAGTTCTTCTTGTAGAGATCTTTCACTTCCTTGCTTAGATGTATTCCTAAATATTTTATTTATTTATTTTTTGGTGGCTACTGTAAACAGAATTGTGTTTTTGATTTGGCTGTCAGCTTGAACATTGTTGGTATGTAGAAATGCTACTGATTTTTAAGGCTGGTTGTGGTGGATCATGCCTGTAATCCCAGCACTTTGGGAGGTCAACACAGGTAGATCACTTGAGGTCAGGAGTTCAAGAGCAGCCTGGCCAACATGGTGAAACCTCATTTCTACTAAAATTAAAAAGCAAAACAAAAATTAGCCAGGCATGGTGGCGTGCACCTGTAATTCCAGCTATTCAGGAGGCAGAGGTTGCAGTTGGCTGAGATGGCACCACTCCACCAGGTGACAGAGTGAGACTCTGTCTCAAAAAAAAGAAATGCTACTGATTTTTGTATATTAATTTTGTATCCTGAAACTTTGCTGAAGTCATTGATTAATTCCAGGAGACTTTTTGGTGCATTCTTTAGGGTTTTCTAGGTATAGAATCATATCATCAGCAAAGAAAGATAGTTTGACTTCTTTTCCTATTTGGATGGCTTTTATTTCTTTCTTTTGCCTGATTGCTCTGGGTAGGACTCCCAGTAGTATTTTGAGTAAGAGTGGTGAGAGTGGGCATCCTTGTCTTGTTCCCATTCTCAAGGGGAATGGTTTGAGCTTTGGCCCATTCAGTATGATGTTGGCTGTGGGTTTCTCTTAGATAGTTCTTATTATTTTGAGGTATATTCCTTTGGTATCTAGTTTTTTGAGGGTTTTTGTCATGAAGGAATATTGGATTTTTTTTTTTTTTTTAAATTTTGAGACAGAGTCTCACTCTGTTTCCCAGGCTGGAATGCAGTGGTGCGATCTGGGCTCACTGCAAGCTCCGCCTCCTGGGTTCATGCCGTTCTCCTGCCTCAGCCTCCTGAGTAGCTGGGACTACAGGTGCCTGCCGCCATGCCCAGCTAATTTTTTGTATTTTTAGTAGAGACAGGGTTTCACTGTGTTAGCCAGGATGATCTTGATCTCCTTACCTCGTGATCCGCCCGCCTCGGCTTTCCAAAGTGCTGGGATTACGGGCGTGAGCCACCGCGCTTGGCCAGGATATTGGATTTTATTGAAAGTTTTTTCTATTGAGATAATATGGTTTTTGTTTTTAATTCTGTTTATGTGGTGAATCACTTTTATTGATTTGCATATGTTGAGTCAGACTTGCATCCCAGAAATAAAGCCTATTTGATCATGGTGAATTAGCTTTTTGATGTGCTGCTGGATTCAGTTTGCTAGTATTTTGTTGAGGATTTTTGATTCTATGGTCATCAGAGATATTGGCCAGAAGTTTTCTTTTTTTCATTGTGTCTCGGCCGGAGTTTGGTATCAGGGTGATGCTGGCTTCATAAATTGAGTTAATGGGGGGAGTCCCCCCTCCTCAGTTTTTTGGAATAGTTTTGGTAGGATTGGTACCAATTCTTCTTTGTACATCTGGTAGAATTTGGCTGTGAATCTACCTGGTCCAGGGCTTTTTCTGGTTGATAGGTTTTTTATTCCAGATTCAATTTCAGACCTCATTATTGGTCTGTTCAGATTTTCACTTTCTTCCTGTTTCAGTCTTGGAAGGTTGTGTGTTTCCTGGAACTTAGTCATTTCCTCTAGATTTTCTAATTTGTGAAAAATGCACAATTATTAACTTACAAATCTGTCATCTGTATGACTGAAAAAAAAGACTTTTCTATATTAAATTTTTAATAAGCATTTTGACTTACCATTGCAGTTTATTAAAATATCTAAAATTTTCTAGATTTTGTCCTAAAACAGCTTTTGTATTTCAAATTCTTCTGTATTCTTATTTATGTGAATATTTCTAGTGGTCTTTCATTTTTTTCATGAAATAACATAGAGATGACACATATCCACCGTAAGTTGTTTTTCTATGAAATAGTTTATTTTTTCATCTCATTTCCATCCATGATTCTTTTACATTTTCATAGATTCTACGCTTTAGGAAATAGGCATATAATTTACATTTGAAAATGATGTTGAATTTTTTTCTTTCTCAGAGTTTGCATGTTTTTCATTTTGTTTATCTATCTTCCTTCTCTCATATGCCTTTTATATAATTTTTAGACTAGAATATAAGAAGATTGTATAAAGTTTTAAAATAAACTATTATGCGGCTATTTTGTGATTATTTGTGCTTGTTAGCAAGGAGCATAATTAAAGCTGTCTTCCTGTTGAATGGACATCTTAGCCTGAGAATGCTGCAATGTTTTATGTAACTCTTGAGCCTGGAGTGCCCTGATAACCATACAGCTAAGTAATCATTTAGATAAAAAGAGGAAAGCAGTTGCACCCATGGGCAATTACCTTTTTTTATTAATAAGCTGTTAGACAATTAAGGGGAGCTTAGATGGTCTCTCGAGTGTGGTGTTGTACTAAGTTGTGGATAAATAACCTTGTTTGTGTGCTGGCTTATTTTTTGTTGTCAGGGTGCCCATTCCGTCACAGTGATCCAGAGCTGCTGAAGCAAAAGTTGCAGTCATACAAGATCTCTCCTGGAGGGATAAGCCAGGTAGGTCATATTCTTCTCTCTGCATCTGCAGTAACGAGGCCTTAGATAGATCTCTCGGTTTTATTTAATGTTCTTGCAGTGATGCTGTGTACTACTTGTCAGGCCTCACACCAGACATCTTATCTTCAAGATGAATTAAGTTAAAACCTTGACTTATCTGGTTTAGACTCTTGGGAAATTCTAGTTCTTCTGTCTGCTAAGCTGCATTTTTATTTTTCCTAGTCATAAAGGAAGCTGGAAACCTTCCCCCACACCTCAGTTTGTTTTACTATCTCAATTGAGGACTACATCTTTAAAAATAAAATTTTTGAGCAATGCATGGAAGCTTATTAATGAAGCCGAAAATTAATGACAGCATATTTCATTTTGGGAAATTGTTTTCTGAGCAGATGATAATGTGGTACACACTGGCTGAATGTTCTGATAGGCATCAGTTATTGCTGTGTTTAATCTACACTTCTGATGGTAGATCAAATAGTTTGTCAAAATACTTTGTCTTATGGACAATGGAAATGCTCAGATTGTACAACCAAATGTTAAACAGTACATTTTTTAGTAAGTCTACCTTTAAAAAATTAATATTGTGACATAGCAAAGACTATTTTCTATAGTGTGCTTTCAAGTTGACTGGAATTTTGAAGGAATAGGGGAAGAGCTTCTGCTTCCTTAGCTTAAAAAGAACATTATATATTTTAGAGTTAGACCATCTAAATCATCATACATCTTTAAATTGTTATTTTTATTTAAAGAAAATTGTTACTCTAGACAACTTTACGGCTGCTTCTGTGTCCAAAGTTCAGATAACAAATCTTACATAGTTTTTTAGTACTTTGAGCAAAGCAGTGTTCAAGGTGCCATAGAGTATGCAAGGAAGAATCAGATATAAATCCTGCTACCACAAAACCAGTGTCTGAAAAAAAAAACATAAACCAAGTGTCATGAGAGGTACACATAGACTGTCTTGGGTCTTCTGATGAGGGAAAGACTATAACCAGCTGAAGAGGTCAAGGAACCCTTTATGGAAGAGATGCCCTTTGAATTAGGCCTTGCACAAAGGTTGGGAATTAGGGAGAGAGAATGCACAAATGAAAGACTATAGGAGTATTAAGATTTCAAGCTTAGGATAATGGTGGCACCAATACATAAATACTAATAGGTAACTTAAAGGAAGTATAGTTGGTTTCGGTTTGAGTGACTTAATTTTAGTGGTTATAAACTGCTGCTAACATATTTGATAAGGAATCTAGAAATAAAGAATTAGTGGCTTTTTTTTAAGCAATCATAAAGGATCACCTTTTTGAAAACAATACAAGTTCTTAACGTATCTATGTTAACATATTATGTCTGCATTTAAATGGTATTAATGTGGATTTAGGGCATTAGATAATTTAGGACTAGAAATCTGATGGTCTTTTCAGTTAGAATTGTAGCATAGGTAGAAAGCCATTCTCTTTTTTGGAGTCCTAGGATGTGACATGCCATGGTGCATAGGTAGGAAGTCAGTGGTAGAACCAAAAATTGAAGCCAGGCTTTCTGACTCTTAAGATTTTTTTTTTTTTCCCTGAACTCCACTCTACTTTAGAGCTTATTGTCATGAGTTTGCTGGAGGGAGAGAAGAGGTAGGGAGTCAAAAGCTGTGTTTGAAAATGTAATCTTGGCTAATCCTTCTCTTTGTCAAGCATTAAAAGGAGGTGGGATCAATGAAGACTGAACAGAAATGGGGAGAGAGAGAGAAAATACATTAAGGTAGTGAAGTATCACAAAAGTCAAGGAGAAAATTTTGAGAAGAGAATAAGTTCCACAGAGTCCCTTGTAGCAGAGATTTCTTTTCATGGAGAGAACTAAGAAAAGGTGGTTGGATATGCTGAGAGGATTATTTTACTTTGACTTGGGTGAGGTGTCAGTAAAATGGTGGAAACCAAAAGCAAGATTATACTTGCTTAAAAAATTAATGAAAGACAGTAAATAACCTTTTCAAAAAAAATGTGTCAGGCCAGGTGCAGTGGCTTGTACCTGTAATGCTAGCACTTAGTAGGGAGGCTGAGGCAGGCAGATTGCTGAGCCCAGGCATTCAAGACCAGCCTGGGAAACATGGCAAAAACCTGTCTCTACAAAAAATTAGCAGGTGTGGTGGCATGCAACTGTAGCCTCAGCTACTCAGGAGGCAGAGGTGGAAGCCCAAGAAGTTGAGGCTCCAGGAAGCCATGATCATGCCACTGCACTCCAGCATTGGCAATGGAGTGAGACCCTGTCTCAAGAAAAAAAAAAAAAAAAAGTGCCAGTAAAGGGGATGCTAGAGTGGTATTAGCTTAAGCATCATAGGATTGTTCATTTCCTGGTTTAAGACCTGAGCCTATCTGTAGAAAGAGGAGGAGAAGAAAGAACTGTCAGAGAGGGTGGGCTTGATGAAGATATAAAAGAAAGAAAATATCTCTCTAACCAAGCAGAATTAAGTTCTCTTTCCTTTATACCATGACTCGATTGTACATGCCTTTGCTCTTAACATTTGTTACACTTGATTGTAATTATTTGTTTACCTGTTCATCTTTCCCAATAGTTTGTGAGTTTCCTGAAAGGAGGACTGGATTTTTACTTAACTTTCTGTCTCATAGTAATCCAATGAGTTACACTTGTTAGGTGCTTTAAAAATGTTGGAAGAGTGAATGGGCATATTTAGGTATGAGGTGGATCCTAGAGTATGCATGGTGGTATGCAGAGAGAGGCAAATAGGAACTCAAAGACAAAAGTGAAAAAGTAACTTATTGGAGGAAGGACGATATGTACTTGAACCAAAGAATGGTGACAGAGAAAGGCATACCCCTCAGCAATGTGGGAACATAGAGGAAATAGCTAAGACACAGCAAAGGGAAGTTGATGGAGTGTATCAACTGGTCTTACTCTTCCTTGTAAATAAAGTAAGGTCATCAGCTGGAGAGTAAAGGGGTTATGAATGATATTCTGGTTATAGAAAAGGTTAGAAACTACCACCAACAAATGTGATAGGGAATCTAGAAGAAATTAGAGGCATTTTTTAGCAGTCATAAAGAATCACCTTTAAAAAAATAATCTTAATATACTAACATTATCTCAAGAAAATTAATGTTTATAGTTAATAGTAATGACCATGTTTGTATACTCTTTGCTTTTGACTCCACTGTATTTCTCCGTTTGCCCTTGATCCATAAGTATACTCCTTACTTAGCTGAAGCTGGTTAGTAATTTTCACATTACCCTTTAGACCTGCATTGTAACCTTTTATCTGAGATGAACACAGATGTATAGTGCATGCCAGCAAGCTGTAAATAATATCTTGCTTTTATTTGATGTCTTTATTGAGTGGATCTCACTAGAGTGAAGCAGCTGGTGGACTGTATTCTAAAGGGCAGAGAGTTAATGGATGAAAATTCCATGTAAAACATTTTGATAAGGTTGAATTTTGCAGGTTGGCCTAAGTGCAGATTAGATCTTGAAAACTCCAAGCGTACATTAAAATATTGAATGAGAGTTAAGAAAAACATCATTAAAATGTATGTAAGGTAGAACTCCATGTGGTTATTTTTATCTCAGAGAAAACTACTTGAAAAAGATACCTTCAACTATAGGAAATCGATGTTTTTTTAAAATTTTTGGAGACAGAGTCTTGCTCTGTCTTCCAGGCTGGAATGCAATGGCGCAATCTCGGCTCACTGCAACCTCCACCTGCCGGCTTCAAGTGATTCTCCCGCCTCAGCATCCCAAGTAGCTGGCATTACAGGCACCCTTCATCATGTCCAGCTAATTTTTGTATTTTTGTAGAGATGGGGTTTCACCATGTTGGCCAGGCCAGTCTTAAACTCCTGACCTTGGGTGGGAGGCCTGCCTCGGCCTCCCACAGTGCTGGGATTATAGGCGTGACCCACCACGCCTGGCCAAGAAATAGATATTTTAAGTAATCAAAATGTTGGTGATCAGAAAAGAGATCATTGTGACTCAGCTGGTGTTGCTGATTTTTTTTATAAAGCATACTTACAGGATCACATTTCATTTTCCTTTTTAATTAACCTTAATATGTTACAAAATCACTGAAAATTAACGAGCTTGGTATCCAGCTTAAGAAACAGCAATTAAACAACAGAATATGGCCAAAGAAAATGGGTACCCCTGCATTTATTCTCCTCTCCTCCCCGAAAAGAGAAATACACAGCAGTCAATTCACCAACACGATATAAAAATTATAAATATTTATGCCCCAACAACATAGCTTCAAAATACATGAATTAATAATAGAGAACTGAAAAGAGAACTAGACAAATCCACAGTTATATTTGGAGACTTCAGCACTCCTCTTAATAATTAACAGAAGAAGCAGGCAGAAAGTCAGGAAGGATATAGAAGCCTTGAACAATACTGTCAACCAACTTTACCTAATTAACATCTGTAGAACATGTTACCCAACAACAGGAGACATGAAATAGTAACCCAGGTAGATCATAGTCTAGGTCTTTAAAATCCATTACAAATGTAAATAATTTGAAATCCTATAAAGTAGGATTTAAAGCAGAGCAATAAAGCAAGAAAAACAAAAGATTGGAAAAGAAGAAAGAAAACCTTTTTCTATTCTCAAAGTGATTATCAATGTAAAAAATCTCAAAGAACCTAGCAAGATGCTACTGTAACTAGTAGGTCGAAGGATACTAACTCAATATACAAAAATCAATTCTATTTCTATTTCTTACAGTGAACAATTGGAAATTAAACATTTCAAAAAGTATTAGTTTGCTGCAAACATAATTGTGGCTTTTACTGCAAATACTTTTGTAGCAACCTAATACCATATACAGCAGTACCAGAAATCCAAAATATACATAAGATCTTTATATGAAAGACTGATGAAAATGAAAAACAAAGTGGAGACACATGTTTCCTGATTTCAAAACTTACTGAAAACTGTTGTAATTAAGATGGTGTGGTATTAGGGAAATGATGAAGACAGATTAATTGGACAGAATAGAGTTCAGAAATAGACCCACATATATATGGGCAACGGATTTTTAAACAAAGGTGCCAGGGCAATTTAATAAGGAAATGGTAATGTGGAGTTCCAGAACAAGTCCAGAGTTCTAGAACAAGTAGATCTAGAACAATTGGATATCTAAATGCAAAAATCCTAGACATATACCTCCAAGCTTATATAAAAATTATTTAAAAATGGATTATAGAACTAAGTAACTGTAAAATGTGAAACTTACAAAAGAAAACAGCATATCTGCAGGACCTTGGGTTTGGTGTGTTCCCTGAAAGAAAATAGTGATAAATTAGACTTTACCAAAATTAAAAATTTTGCTCTGCAAAAGACAGCTTTAAGAGAACAAGATAAGCCACAGACTGGAAGAAAATATTTGCAAATCATAAATTTCATAAAAGATGTGAATCCAAAAGATATAAAGAACTCTCAAAACTCAGTAACTAGAAAACAGTTTTTTAAACAGGCAAAACATTTGAGTAGACAGTTCACCAAAGAAAAAGTGTGAATGGTAAATATAAGCACATGAAAAAATATAGCTCATTAGTGAAATGAAATTTAAAACTACAATGAATACCATGATATGCCAAATAGAATTGGTCTAATTTAAAAAAATCTAGCAATACTAAGTGCTAGTGAGGATGCAGAGTGACTGAAAGTCTCATACAATAGTGGAGGAAATGCAAGTCATAGAGTCACTTTGAAAAGGAGTGTGGCAATTTCTTATAAAGTGAAGCTTACACATGCTATGTGACACAGTGATACCTGTAACTAATATTTATAGAATTGAAATAAAAGCATAAGTCCACATAAAAATCTGTTCCTAAGTGTTTATAGTGTAGGCATTATTGATAATTGCCAAAAACTAGAAACAACCCAGATGTTCTTCAGTGTGTGATTGGATAAACAAATTGTGGTATAGTCATACAATGGAATATTACCTGTCAATAGAAAGGAATAAATTACTGGTATACCCATTAACATGTAAGGTTCTCAAATACATTATACCAAGTGAAAGAAGTCAGACTCAAAAGCACTATAGTGTATAATTCTATTTGTATGACAAATCTGTAGGTACAGAGTGATTGCTGGGAGCAGGAGAGGTGTTATAAAGGACAAGGGAAATATTTTTGGGTAATGGGAATGATCTGTGTTGATTGCAGGGTAATATCAAAACTGAATTTGTCAAATGTTGCAGAACTATGATAAAAGGAAATATATTTTATTTAAAAACTTTTACTTTTTTAGAAAAAACTTAGTCCCTGAGTAAAAAGGGGATATATTTTACTGTGTGGAAATTATACCTTAATTTTTTTCTTTTTTTTCTTTTCGCCTTTTTTTTTTTTTTTTAAATAGACAGGGTCTTGCTCTGTCACGCAGGCTGGAGTGCAGTAGTGTGATCATATCTTATTGCAACCTCGAACTCCTGGGTCTAAGTGATCCTCTTGCCTCAGTCTCCTAAGTAGCTGAGGTTACAGCTGCACATCACCATGCCCAGCTAATTTTTTACTTTTTTGTAGAGATAGAGGTCTTGCTGTGTTGCCTAGGCTGGTCTTGAACTCATGGCTCAAGCAGTCCTGTCACCTTGGCCTCCCAAAGTGCTGGGATTATAGACATGAACCACTTAATTTCTTTTTTTTAATGGGGGGAGAAAGAAAGGGTAGATGGTAAGTAGCATAATGAGCCAAAATATTTACTTTTCATAGTAAAAATGCAGTGGATTAAGTTTATATCAGGAACTTAAAGTATAAACATATAATTTAGAGTGACATAGACAACATCCTATGTAATAAAAAATGGAAATGGTTAAAGTAATTGCCTCTTGGGAACTAACCAAGCAGTGGGAAGAAATGTGATATGAGAACTGTTGATTTTAATAATAAGCCATAATGTACTTCAGTTTTTTTCCTTGGATACATTACTTTGATTAAAAGTTAGAAAGAAAGTATAATGTTATTAATGAAGTTTAAGTTAAATGGTCATGTGCCTAATGGATAGATGGTAATAGCAGTAGTACTAGATGACTGCAAGGTCTTTGGGTATGAAATTCTAACCCTTATCCCTCTGAGCTCCAAGTACCTAGCATAGTATCTGATCCATGTTAGGAACTGTGAAGGATCTGAGATTTTACCCTACTTGCAAGCTAAGAACTTAGCTGCCACACTTTTATGGGATCTGGTGGAAGACATGACAATTCCAGCAATAGCAGTATGTCAGCCTTTTCTGGCATTCGTTCCTTGAGCCCTACTTCCCACAGAGCAACATGAAGGCCAGGTACTACCTGCACATGCAGTGGCTTGTGTTGGAGGAGGGAAACCCTGAATTTAGGGAATCTGAACATTTTATTATGGACAGTAAGTATGTCTACTCTTTTTTTTTATTTATTTTTAATTAACTAATTAATTTTTTGAGACAGAGTTTCGCTCTTGTCACCCAGGCTGGAGTGCAATGGTGCGATCTCTGCTCACTGCAACCTCTGCCTCCTGGGTTCAAGCAATTCTCCTGCCATATGTCTGCTCTTTAATCCAGTGGAAGGAACCATTGTCTTCCAGGGCTGTTCATTATATCAGAGGTCCCCAACCCCTGGGCCACGGACTGGTACTTGTCCATGGCCTGTTAGGAACAGCAGGAGGTGAGCCAGGGCAAGCAAGCATTACTGCCTGAGCCCCACCTCCTGTCAGATCAGTGGCCATGTTAGATTCTCATAGGAGCTCAAACCTTATTGTGAACTGTGCATGCGAGGGATCTAGGTTGTGCGCTCCTTATGAGAATCGAACTAATAATGTCTGATGATCTGAGGTGAAACAGTTTCATCCTGAAACCACCTCTCCACCCTGGCCCGTGGAAAAATTGTCTTCTACGAAACTGGTCCCTGGTTCCAAAAAGGTTGGAGACCATTGTGTTACATGAACATCTTTGAAAAAATGGTCTGAAGTAAAAGCCGTTGTTGCCTCTATTTGCAAAATGTTCAGAAATTTAAGACTATTGGAAAATTATTTCTCAGGAATACATAGCTGATGACCAGTGAATAATATATAGATATACAATCTATATTGGTCATTTCTTATTGGCACCTCAGCTTTTTCTCCTTAAAATATTGGTGTACGTTGGCTGGGTGTGGTGGCTCACACCTATAATCCCAGCACTTTGGGAGGCCGAAGCGGGCAGATCACAAGGTCAGGATATCGAGACCATCCTGGCTAACACGATGAAACCGCGTCTCTACTAATAATACAAAAAATTAGCCGGGCGTGCTAGCGGGCGCCTGTAGTCCCAGCTACTTGGGAGGCTGAGGCAGGAGAATGGTGTGAACCTGGGAGGTGGAGCTTGCAGTGAGCAGAGATCATGCCACTGCACTCCAGCCTGGGCAACAGAGCGAGACTCTGTCTCAAATATATATATATATGTATGTGTGTGTGTGTGTACATTTTAATCTCAATACTTTCATTAATTTCTTTTCAAAATTGGCAGTGAGTTAAAAAATCCTTTCAATGTTTTGTTAGTTTGGGTATTGTATCTATCTATCAATAGTTTCTGCCTAAGTTAGATGTCTGAAGTTTCTAATTATTCTAAAAACACTTTTGTTTTTTAGCTTTTATTTTCCACTTCAGCTTTTCCTTTAAAAACCTGCAATTTTGTGATAGAAATATTTATATTTTGAGATACAGAAATTTTAGAGCTGGGTGCGGTGGCTCATGCCTGAATCCCAGCACTTTGGGAAGCCAAGACCTATGGGTTGCTTGAGCCCAGGAGTTCGAGACCAGCCTGGGTAACTTGGCAAAACCCAGTCTCTACAAAAAAATACAAAAATTAGCCAGGCGTCGAGGCATGCACCTGTAGTGTCAGCTATGCAGGAGGCTGAGGTGGGAGGATTGCTGGATTGCTTGAGCCCATGGGGACTGAGTGAGCCATGATCATGCCACTGCACTCCAGCCTGGGCCACAGAGTGAGATTCTGTCTCAAAAAAAAAAAAAAAAAAAATTGAGAATATGTGTTCAGAATATTGACAGTAAAATCTCTCATTGGCTTTAAATGGTTTGTTTCTCAGAAGAAGTTTTTTCTATTGTGGAAAGATGCATATGAAATTTTCAAATTGTACTTTGTTTCATGGACTTATAATGGTGTGCTATGTCCTATTTTAATAGAAAAATTGGGGCTGGCCACAGTGGCTCACGCCTGTAATCCCAGCACTTTGGAAGGCCGAGGTGAGAGGATTGCTTGAAGCCAGGAGTTGGAGACCACCCTGGGCAACATAGGTAGACCCTGCCTTTAAAAAAGTAATAAAAATAACAGTTGTGGTGATGCACACCTGTAGTTCTAGCTGTTTGGGAGGCTGAAGCAGGAAGCTCGCTTGAGCCTAGTAATTGTTACAGTGAGCTATAATTGTGCCACTGTACTCCATCCTGGAAGATACAGCAAGACTCCATCTCTCCAAAAATTAACAAACAATAAATACATAAAGTTTATAGGAAAATTGTCTTTTTGTTATACTGAATCACTTGTGGCATATCTTTAATTCTCACAGAGCTTAATAAATAAACAATAATTGCTGCCTACAGACTAATCTAAAAGTTGTAGTTCATTGTAATATATGCCACAATGAAGTTAACATCTTTTATTGTAATCTCTGAATGCTATTACTCCTTAATAGTTTTTCTTTCTTATTATGTAGTAATGAGGGGTGTGCTTGATCTGTCTCTGGAAATAGAACAATTTGAAGCCATGGTGGTTTGTTTTATTTTTGGCCTGCTTATGCAAAGCATTGTGATGGAGGCTTTACACAAATAAACTGTATCTCATTTGATTCCCACCACTACATTATCCCTATTTTACAGATGAGAAAGCTGAGGTTTGGAGAAGGCAAGAAACTGCTCAGAACCATAGAACTAATATATGATAAGGCCAGAATTCACACCTATGCCTGACAGTGAAGCTGAAGTTTCTTACAATACATTGTTCTGATTCTCTGTAGTATTTTTCTATTTTAAATCCAGTTGAAATTCTTTTTGGTTTCTTCTTTCATGGAAAGCCATCACTGTGAAGTGAATGGTAATTCTTATGTACCTAAACTTAAGAAAATGTATAATGCATTGTTGAAACACTGACAAATGTGAAATAAAGATGAGAATAATTCAGAAAATGTAAATTATATATGGTAACAGATTTTCAAAAGATCTGATTGCTTTTTTTATTGAGGTGAAAGTCACATAACATACAAATAACTATTTTAAAATGTACAATTCAGTGCATTTAGTACATTCACAATATTTTACAACTACTATTTCTATCAAGTTCCAAACCTTTTCATCACCCCCAAAGAAAACCTTACACCTATTAAACAATCACCTCCTGCCGCCCCTAGAAACCAATAATCTGCTTTCTATCTCTATGGATTTACCTATTCTGAATATTTCATAAAATAGCATCATATACTGTCTGGCTTACTTCATATAGCATGTTTACAAGGTTCATTTGTGTTTTGTTCTTTTGAATGGCTGAATGATACTCCATTGTATGTCTGTACCACATTTTGTTTATCCATTCGTCCTTTGATGGACACTGGGTTGTTTCCACCAACTGGGTGACTTTAAAAATTTATCTCACAGTTTTGGAAGCCAGCAGTCAAGGTGTTGGCAGGTTAATTCCTTCTGAGAGCTGTGAGGGAGAATCTGTTCCCACGTTTTTCCCAGCTTCTGGTGGTTTGTTAGCAATCTTTGACTTGTAGATGCATCACTCCAAACTCTATCTTTATTTTCACATGGCTTCCTCCCTGTATGTCTTCTCACCATCTTTGCTCTGTGCATTCTTTGTCTAGTTTCCTCTTTTTAGGAGGACACCAGTAATATTGGATTAGGGCTTACCTTAATGACCTCATTTTGATTACCTCTGTAAATAACCTATTTCCAAATAAGATCACATTTTTAGGTAGTGGGAGTTAGGACTTCAACATATCTTTATTTGAGGGACACAATTCATTTCATAACACCATCCTTTTAAGTATGCAGTGATATCTCATTGTGGTTTTGATTTGCATTTTTCTAATGAATAATGACGTTGAGCATCTTTTTATATGCTTTTTGGCCATTTGTACATCTTCTTTGAAGAAATGTCTATCCAATTCCTTTGTCTATTTTTGAATTGGGTTGTCTTTTTGTTGAGTTTAAGAGTTCTTAATATATTTTGGATACAAGACTCTTATCAGATAGATATATGATTTGCAAATATGTTCTCCTATTCTGTAGGTTTTCTTGTCAACAACTTCTTAATGTCTATTGGTGGACAAAAGATTTTAATTTTGATGAAGTTTGTTTTCTTTTGTTACTTGTGCTTTTAGTGTCATAATTATCTATAGTCAAATTCAAGGTTGTGAATATTGACATCTATGGCTTTGTATAAAAGTATTATAGCTCTAGCTTTTATATTTAGGTCATTGATCCCTTTTGAGTTAATTTTTGTAGATGGTATGATGTAGGGGTTTATCTTCATTCTTTTGCTTGTGAATATCCAGTTTTCTAACACTATTTCTTGAAGAGACAGTTTCCCCATTGATGGTCTTGCACCCTTGTCAAAACTCATTTGGACATAGATGTATGGGATAATTTCTGGAATCTCAATTTCTACTGTACTGGTCTATATGTCTGTCCTTATGCCAGCCAGTACCACACTGTTTTGATTTCTGTACCTTGTACTGAGCTTTGAAATCAGGAAGCATGGAATCTTCCAATTTTGTTCTTTTTCAATATTATTTTGGCTATCTGGAGCTCCTTGCAATTCCATATGAATTTGAGGATCAACTTTTTTATTTCTGCAAAAACAGCCATTAGAACTTTGATACGGATTGCATTGAATCTGTAGATTGTGTATAAAGAGGGATCATGGCAGATGGGAGGCAGGACTAGATTGCAGCTCCTGACAGAGCAGCATGTGGAGGCTTAAATTGTGAATTTTAGCTCCAGATTGACTGCAAGAACAAACCAGCAATCCTGAGAGGACCCTCAGACTCTCTGAAGGAAGCGGACTGCTCCTGCAGGACCCGGGAGACACCCCAAATACTCTGGGAGGTGAAAGCCTTGGGCAGTTTTCAAGCCTGCCTTCCACCTGGAAACAGATCTGGGTCTGTTGTGGGGGGCATGGTGGGAGTGAGACCAGCCCTTCAGTTTGCATGGGAGCTGGGTGAGGCCTGTGACTGCTGGCTTTCCCCCACTTCTTTGACAACCTGCATGACTCAGCAGAGGCAGCCATAATCCTCCTAGGTGCACAACTCCAGTGACCTGGGAATCTCACCCCGTCCCCCACAGCAGCCACAGCAAGACCCACCCAAGGAGAGTCTTTGCTCAGACACGCATAGCCCCACCCCCACCTGACAGTCCTTCCCTACCCACCCAGGTAGCAGAAGACAAAGGACATATAATCTTGGGAATTCTAGGGCCCCACCCACTGCCGATCCCTCTGCACTGCTACTGCTGATGCTCTCTGGAAAGTGCCACCTCTTGGCAGGAGGCCAACCAGCACAAAAATGGAGCATTAAATCACCAAAACTAAGAACCCTCATGGAGTTCATTGCACCTTCTGCCGCCTCCAATGGAACAGGCGCTGGTATCCGTGGTTGAGAGACCCATAGACGGTTCACATCACAGGACTGTGCAGAAACCCCCAGTACTACCATGGTGCCAGGTAGACTCACTGGATGGTTAAACCCAGAAGAGAGACAACAATTATTGCAGTTCGGCTCACAGAAAGCCACAACCACAGGAAAAGGGGAGAGTACTACATCAAGGGAACACCCTGTGCACTAGAATCTGAACAACAGCATTCAGCCCTAGACCTTCCCTCTGACAGAGCCTACCCAAACGTGATGGAACCAGAAAACCACCCCTGGTAATATGACCAAACAAGGCTCATCAACACCCCCTAAAAATCATACTAGTTCACCAGCAATCGATCCAAACCAAGAAGAAATCCCTGATATAACTGAAAAGGAATTCAGTAGGTTAGTTATTAAGCTAATCAGGGAGAACCAGGGAAAGGCAAAGCCCAATGCAAGGAAATTCAGAAAGTGACACAGGAAGTGAAGAGAGAAAGATTCAATGAAATAGATAGCTAAAAGAAAAAACAATACAAAATTCAGGAAACTTTGGATACACTTTTAGAAATGCAAAATGCTCTGGAAAGTCTCAGCAATAGAATTGAACAAGTAGAAGAAAGAAATTCAGAGCTTGAAGACAAGGTGTTCGAATTAACCCAATCCAACAAAGACAAAGAAAAAAGAATAAGAAAATATGAACAAAGCCTCTAAGAAGTTTGGGATTATGTTAAACTACCAAACCTAAGAGTAATCGGTATTCCTGAGGAAGAAGACAATTCTAAAAGCTTAGAAAACATATTTGGGGGAATAATGGAGGAAAACTTCCCCAGCCTTGCTAGAGACCTAGACATGCAAATATAAGAAGCACAGGGCCAGGTGCGGTGGCTCACACCTGTAATCCCAGCACTTTGGGAGGCTGAGGCAGATGGATCATGAGGTCAGGAGATCGAGACCGTCCTGGCTAACACAGTGAAACCCCATCTCTACTAAAAATGCAAAAAGTTAGCTGGGCGTGGTGACACACAACTGTAGTCCCAGCTACTTGGGAGGCTGAGGCAGGAGAATCGCTTGAACCTGGGAGGCTGAGGTTACAGTGAGCCAAGATCATGCCACTGCACTCCAACTTGGGTGACAGAGTGAGACTCCATCTCAAAAAAAAGACAAAGAACACCCAAGAAATTCATTACAAAAAGATCTTCGCCTAGGCACATTGTCATCAGGTTATCCAAAGTTAAGATGAAGGAACAAATCTTAAGAGCTGTGAGACAGAAGCACCAGGTAACCTATAAAGGAAAACCTAACAGATTAACAACAGATTTCTCAGCAGAAACCCTATAAGCTAGAAGGGATTAGGGCCCTATCTACAGCCTCCTCAAACAAAACAAACATCAGCCAAGAATTTTGTATCCAGTGAAACTAAGCACCACATATGAAGGAAAGATAACAGTCGTTTTCAGACAAACAAATGCTGAGAGAATTCGCCATTACTAAGCCACTACTAGAAGAACTGCTAAAAGGAGCTCTAAATCTTGAAACAAATCCAGGAAACTCATCAAAACAGAATATCTTTAAAGCATAAATCTCACAGGACCTGTAAAATAAAAACACAAGTTAAAAAACAAAAACAAAAAACCAAAGTATGCAGGCAACCAAGAGCATGATGAATGCAAAGGTACCTCACATTTCAATACTAACATTGAATGTAAATGGCCTAAATGCTCCACTTAAAAGGTACAGAACTGCAGAATGCATGAGAACTCATCAACCAACAATCTGCTGCCTTCAGGAGACTAACCTAACACATAAGGACTCACATAAACTTAAAGTAAAGATGTGGAAAAAGGCATTTCATGTAAATGGACACTGAAAGCAAGCAGGGGTAGCTGTTCTTATATCAGATGAAACAAACTTTAAAGCAACAGCATTACAGGCAGGAGCTGCCATGCCAGGCATTTTGCTCATTGCTTTTAATGATGTCATGTCTTTTTTGTCCCTCAGTTTCTCCATTAGTACCTTCTTTTGCATTAAATTTTTTTTGGTAGTGTACTTAGTCTGTTTTGTGCTGCTATAACAGGATACCACAGACCAGCTAATTTATAAGTGAAAGAAATTTATTTCTCACAGTTATAGAGGCTGAGAAGTCCAAGGTTGAGGAGCCTATTTCTGATCTGATGAAGACTTTCTTGTTCAGTCTTCACATTGCAGAAGGACAAGAGAACAAGCTAGCCAAATGCCACCTGAAGCTGCTGCTGCTTTTTTTCTTTATAAGGGCCTTAGTTCTATTAATGAGGAATGAGCCCTCATGGCCTCATGATGTCTTAAAGGTTCCGCCTCTTAATACTAGCAGATTTGCAGCACCTGAACTTTGGAGGGGACACATTCAGACCACAGTACCATAGTACCATTTTTATTCCCATCACTTTTTTTTTTGATGTATTTTTTTCTCATTATTTGCTTAGTGGTTATCCTGGGGACTGTAACCTTTTATATGTATAACAGTTTTTAATATCAACTTAGCATCTATTATATACAAAAACTCCACTTCTGTATAGCTCTGTCCCTCCCCCTCATATTGTTGTCACAAATTACATCTTTATACATTATGTGCCCATTAACTTACAATTACTGTTTTATGCATCTGTCTTTTAAATCATTTGAGAAAAAAGAAGAGTTACAAATCAAAAACACAATAATACTGGATTTTTAATACCTATATAGTTACCTTAGCTCGTGTTCATTCTTTTTGAATGGCTCTGAGTTACTTTGTAGTGATCTTTTCTTTCTACCTGAAGGATTTACTCTAGCATTTCTTGTTGGGCAGGTCTACTAACAACAGACTCCCTCAGCATTTGTTTATCTGGGAATGTCTTACTTTTTCCTTATGAATCTTGGTTGACAGTTTTTTTTTTCTTTCTTTCTTTTTTGAGATGGAGTCTCACTCTGTCGCCCAGGCTGGAGCGCAGTGGCATGACCTCGGCTCACTGCAACCTCTGCCTCCTGGGTTCAAGCAATTTTCCTGCCTAAGCCTCCCAAGTAGCTGGGATTACAGCCAGTTTGTGTTAGCTCCAGTATACCACTGGCTGTAGTAAAATGTACACCAAGTTTCACAGAGTAATAATGGTATCGAAAAAAAGCATTACAAAATATCTCAGTAATATTTTTACATTGATTACATTTTGAAATGACAATATTTTAGATATATTTCTTTGAATAAAATATATTACTGAAAGTAATTGCTTATTTTTACTGTTTTAATTGTGGTTATAGAAAATCTAAAATTACAGATATGTCATATTTCTGTTGAGAGCACTGCTTTAAGTATCGAGCACTTGAGAATGTTGAGTATTCGAGTGATTAGGTTCTGTTTCTACAGTGTATTTTAATGTTTGCTTCTGCTGTAAAATTGTGTTAGACCTATTACAACCAATACTTACTTTTACATGTTGGCCCATAAGTAAGTATACATAAGGCTATTCATTTTTCAAGATTTTGATTGAAATGATACATTATTTACAAATGTATTTCTGCACTAATGTTTTTAAAACTCTTTTTATTTCTCATTTTAGTTTTTTTAATAGAGGAAGGAAATGTGTTTTAGAATTTTCACTCAACTATTAATGATTTTTTAAACAAATCTAATTGGTGCTTCTAAGAAACTTAAGAGTGAATTAAAACCATGAAATATGAAAAAATGTATGCTCTTATTGCTTCTTGAGAGGTTGGTTAACCTCTGTTTTTCACAGTCAAAAATTCTCAAGAAGTTAGTGACTATATTAAATCCAAAACTGGCAAATGCCTTTTAATGAAGAAATCTTTCAAAAGGGACAGTTTAAAAGACTTAAAAGTAACTGTCAAGAAGATTTTATGACAAAGATAAATTTCAATGACTGTTTACTTAATGTTCCTAAAAATCTGAGCTACCTAAAAACTATGATTTTCTTAGGTAAGGGGGACTTACCAGTGGATGATAGTATTCTGTCTGTCTATTACTTTGTGGAAAGTAACTGCTTTTAAGGGCAGCTTTTGTATCTATTTCATCTTCAGGAGTATCTCTTCTGATTTTTGAGAACAGTAGTTTGGTTGCTGCACTTAGCTTTGCTTTTCTTAGTGTTGTAGTTGAAAATGTGTAACGTTCTTGGTAAAACTCAGAACTGCATTAAGGAAAAGATGGGAAGTTGAGCATTAGAATTGGTGTCACCAGGCCATGGTTGTACTTTTGGCTTTAACACTTGATTTCTGTGTATATCCTTCCTTTCTTATAGGCTGAAGATAAATGGTTGCTTGAAGATTTAATGTTCAAGGTGGTTCAAAGAAAAATCACTTTGAAAGTCAAGTAACATATGTTATTGTTAGCTAAGCCTATTAATTAAAACTTATATTCATTAAAATTGCATTCAAATGGAAAACATCCTTTCTTAAAATTTAATACTCTGTTTATATAGTTACACATCTTTCTATATTTATTATGTATTCATTACATGAAAAATCACTGATACCTATGGAAGAATTTTATTCAGTCACATATGATACTGTCACTTGGGATATTTTTGTAAAGTCAAACCTAACTGCCTATAGTCATAAAACTATTCTAACTTAGTTCTATTTCTTGATCAGTTTTATAGAGTACACTCCCAGAGGCACCGGCTTCTTTTGAAGAAGTAAGCTTAAGGTACCCAGAAAGTTAAGTAAATTTATTTCATAAAGCAAGTAGTTTAGATTTTTAGACTGGGTAGCTTTGAGTCATTTCATTCTTCTTGGTGGTGTTTACCATCAATTTGCAATGTATTTCTTGTTAAAGTTTCTATCTCTGAATTTATATGATTATTTTTACTTCTTAATTCTTAAGTGACAGATTTTAACATTAGCTTCTGTTTTCAATAGCATATCCAGGAGATATGATACATCTTTTAATAAACAATCTAAAGTAATTATTAAATCAGTACATGATACATCTTTTAATAAGTATAATCTTCTAAAGTAATTATATAATCAGTATAAATATCTTTCATTATTTTCATAAAGATCATAGAGCATAGTGATTCTGAAGTGGCTTGGTTTTATATTAGGCCAAAAAATAGAATACTCAAAGCACAGTAATAATTAGTAACTGAACCATGGAACTGAGGTTTGACAACATGTTTCTCCGTATCTCTAAGCAGGCTTTACATGTGTCTTCTTGTTTGTCCTCCCTTCCCCCTCATTATCTTTCCTCTCTTCTTCCTTCTCTTTCCTTCCCTCCTTGCTTTCTAAGTTTACTTAGTTGTTAATGTTCCCTAAGAGCTTAAATCCTTTAATCCAAAATGTTGGTATTAATGTGCACTAAGAAAATCAGTATTTTGGGTAGCAGGTTAAATTGCTTCTCAACAATCCTTTTATTGGTACCTAACTACAATAGAGTATGATAAGTGCTTTAATAATTAACTATTATAAAGTATGCTAAATGCTTTTATAAAAATATATTCAGAGTGCCAGAGGGGAAAGATCTTCTGTTGAAGAGGGAGCAGAAGAGAATGCTTCATATAAGAAGTGACATTTTAATTGGGTTTGAAAGTTGAGTAGGAGTTTCCCCTGTGCCTAATGTAAGGCAGATTAGGCAAAAGGAGCAGCATTCATTCAACATCAACAGATAATAATTGAGTGAGGATTGTATTCCATTTACTGTTCAAGACATTGGGAATATAATGATGACTAAAACTAGTGAGACTTCTACCTTCATGGAGCTGATATTCCAGTGGGGAGACAGACTGTATTACTCTGTTTTCATGCTGCTGATAAAGACATGCCCAAGACTTGGCACTTTATAAAGAAAAAAAGGTTTAATGGACTCACAGTTCCATGTGGCATAGGAGGCCTCACAATCATGGTGGAAGGTGAGAGGCACGTCTTACATAGCAGCAGACAAGAGAGACAATGAGATCCAAGTGAAAGGGGTTTCCCCTACAAAACCATCATCAGATCTCGTGAGACTTACTCACTACCATGCGAACAGTATGGGGGAAACCGCCCACATGATTCAATTATCTCCCACCAGGTCCCTCCCATGACACGTGGGAATTATGGGAGCTACAGTTCAAGATGAGATTTGGGTGAGGATAGAGCCAAACCATATATCGCAGATAAACAAGTAAGTGTAGTGAAATAAAACTATGGCAGGATAAGAGAGAAGAATGAGACTTGTGGAGGTGACTCTATTAATTTAAATAAGGTTGTTTGGTGTGTTTTGAGGAACCCTAGTCCTGAGAGATCTATGAAAAATGGATTCTGGGGACAAATTAGTTTGAGAAACGTTACCCTATTAAGTTCTGCTACAAAGAAACTTAGGTAATTGTGGATTAAAGCCAGTTAAACAAGTTATTAGACAAGAAAACCCCCGATCATCACTAGGATTTTGTGAGCTAAAGTTCCAAAGATCACATTGCAGGAGAAGCTGGACCAGAATATGAGGATCCAGTGGCCAGGTAGGACAGGGTAGGAGCCTTTGAATCATGATGAAAAGTTTGTGCCCCAGCCATGCCAGGATTAGATTTGGCTTTTAGAAAAGGTACTCTTGTGGCAATGTGGCAGCTATCTTGAGTGAAGAAAGTATAAATCAAGAAGCTTTCCAATAAAAAAGAGAATGATGAAGGCTTCAAAAATGGAGAGAAAAGGGTAGATTTTAATGACATTTGGAAGTAGAATTGACTCAGATAACTTTGTTTATAGATAATAAAGAGTCAGAAAAATTCTTGACATATAATGTTTTAAAGAAATGAAAGTACATCTTCAATAGAGGGAAACTTGGCCCTGATCTGCCAGTCAGTGAAGGTCACAGCAAGGCAGCAGCAGGCTAAGCTGTGCTGAGTGTATGAGAAATGGGAGCAAAGTCGTATGTTCAAAAATTTGCAAGACTTGGCATCTCCACCACATTTTTCTTTCACCTTTGAAATATGGGAAGGTTAGAAATGGAGTGGAAAAATATCAGCCCAGTCTAGTTTTGAAAGATTGAGTTTTTTAGGAAGAAGCAAGCTTGTTATCACTTTTAAATAAGACAAAACATGACCTTGAATTAGATTAGCCACATATCTAATTGGTGAGTACAGCATACCTAGCTGTACAGTGCTCTGCTCACCAAAGCCAAAGATGGGCAGGTGGCTGCATTCTGCTGCCAGGTAATCATCTGAACCTCGTTGGCAGGCATTGAAGCAAAAGAGAGAGAGGAATTTGCAGCTGGCTGGAAATATTAAGAGTATTAGCAAGAGGGAGGAAGTGTGGCTCAAAGTTATAAAATGTTGTGTGTGTATAAAAAGAAGAGAGTTCTATTTTTGTATATGTATGTGTTATAAATAGACATACCTATAGCATTTCCCACCAGTGTTCTGTATCATCTATGTTCCATCACTGATTAAATTAGAAAAATATCACCTTATTTGCTTTTTGCTCCTCAACTGCAAAGATGTCTTTGGTGAGGTGCTTTACTAGAATTCTCTTACAGAAAAAAAAAATCAGTAATTCATCTTGAGGATGAAATAGTAGATGAAGTATAATTAATGCTTTCAGCAAATACAAATATGAACTTTTTGTGAAGATGAAAACTGCATTGCTTTTTTTTTTTTTTTTTAAAGACAGGGTCTCATTCTGTCACCCAGGCTGGAGTGCAGTGGCATGGTCAGGACTCACTGCAGCCTCGACCTCCCCGACTCAAGCGAACCTCCCGCCTCAGCCCCCCAAGTAGCTGGGACTACAGGCATGTGCCACCATGCCTGGTTAATTTTTTGTATTTTTATTAGAGACAGGGTTTCTCTGTGTTGCCTAGGCTGGTCTTGAACTCCTGGACTTAAGCAATCCACCTGCCCTGGCCTCCCAAAGTGCTGGGATTACAGGTGTGAGCCACCACACCCAGCCTGTTTTTAAAAACTGTAATATTCTTACTGGTGGACTTTATTCAACTGATAGAGAATAGTTAAAAATAAAGAGAGGCCAGGCATGGTGGCTCACACCTCTAATCCTAGCACTTTTGGAGACCGAGGCTGGTGGGTTGCTTGAGGCCAGGAGTTTAAGAACAGTCTGGCCAACATGGCAAAACCCCATCTCTATTAAAAATTCAAAAATTAGCTGGGTGTTATGGTGCGCATCTGTAATCCTGGCTGCTTGAGAGCTGAGGCAGGAGAATCACTTGAACCCGGGAGGTGGAGGTTGTAGTGAGCCGAGATTGCGCCGCTGCCCTCCAGCCTGGGTGACAGAGTGAGACTCTGTCTCAAAAAAAAAAAAAAAAAAAAAAAAAAAAAGTTTAAAAATATATAGAGTTTAAAAATACGAATTACCAAAATATTGTAGTTTGATGTCATTGCTACTCACTTTTTCTTTCTTTGTTTTGTTTTTTTCTGAGATGGAGTCTTGCTCTGTCACCCAGGCTGGAGTGTAGGGTTGCAATCTTGGCTCACTGTAACCTCCACATCCCGGGTTCAAGCGATTCTCCTGCCTCAGCCTCCTGAGTAGCTGGGATTACAGACACGCACCACCACACCCAGCTAATTTTTGCATTTTTAGTAGACATGGGGTTTCCCCATGTTGGCCAGACTGGTCTTGAACTCCTGACCTCATGATCCGCCTGCCTTGGACTCCCAAAGTGCTGGGATTACAGGTGTGAGCCACCGTGCCCGTCCACTACTCACTTTTTCTTAGCCTTTTGATTACTGACGAACTAGATTAGAACAGTAAGTGGATTGTTACACTTGACATTTTGTACTTTATCTGGAAATACTGGCATTAAAAACTAAGTCATACTGCCATTTGTATAATATTCTTAGATCTTTATATGAGTTTTTTCTTCAAATAAAAATTGTGTTTCTAAATGTCTTTGATATGATTGTTCAAAATGTTTGATATTTTTCTAAAACAGATTTGGGAAACTTCTGGCCCCAGCATCAGAATGGACCCTTGATTTGGTTTCCTCTGACCTTTGGAAAACTGTTCTTTGGTATTATTGCAATATGCAAGAGGACCTCATAAGGTGCTCTGGTTCTTTCAGAATGGAACATGAAAACTGGAGAGTTAGTGTCAGTGCTCATTGAAACATCTTTTGTGAGCTGTGGGTTAGACTTTGATACTTACAAGCCACATAAATAGCAAGCCATGGACTCCATTTACTTATCCCATTTCTCTGGCTTTCCACATTTTTCTTCCTATTCTTGTTTTTTGTCTCTTCATTATATTTCTTCCTCTTGATGGGTTTCCACCTCTATGTAGTATGTGTTTTCCTGACCTATTCTATTTCTGACCCTCACTCTGGGCAGTCCTGGCCTGCCATCTTGGGAAGCTATCTTTTTAGGAGCCAAGACCAGCTTGTGAGGATGGAGGTCTGGGCTTTCAGAAGCTATGCTGCAGAAACAAACACAGGCAAAAAGTACTCTTGCCTAACAACATCTTCATTACTTTGTGGAGTATTTCAGTTTTTTCTTAATACGTTTTTAAAAATTTTTATTTTAGATTCAGGGGGGCACATGTGCAGGTTTATTATATGGGTATGTTGCATGATGCTGAGGCTTGGGCTGCTAATGATCCCATTGCCCAAGTAGTGAACATAGTACCTGATAGGTAGCTTTTCAACTCTTGTCTCCCTTCCCCCAGTTTTAGAATCCCCAGTGTTTATTGTTGCCTTTTTTGTGACCATGTATAACCAATGTTTAGCTCCCACTTTAAGTGAGAACATGTGGTATTTGATTTTTTTTTCCTGCATTAATTTGCTTAGGATAATGGCCTTCAGCTGCATCTGTGTTGCCATAAAGGACATGATTTTGTTCTTTTTTTGTGGCTGCATAGTACTCCATGGTGCATAAGTATCTTGTGGAAATTTGACCCTAAATTCTGTTTCACGCAGTGTACCTTAGGCATCTGTTCTTGGATTTTGGTGTTTGCCAGGTTTGTAATTTTGATCCTATATCATAAGCTGAATTTTAGTGTCTTGGTCATACCTTAATGCTTCATTTCCTTCACCTGATTTTTAGTTTGTATTTCCTGCCTTGGAGTCATCCAACCCCCTCAGCAAGTTGTATTAGTATCAACATCAAAATAGAGTTACCTGCAGAATATCTTAATACAGTGCTTAGTGGTGATGTTCATATTGGAAAAATTTAACAAAACAAAGTGCAGAAGAAGTCTCAGGTTGCAGTCCATATACAAATTCTAGAACATCAGAATCACTTGGGAAGATTTTCATGTCAGCAAAGTGTGCATCTAAGAAGTCCTAACTCTAAGAGACATGAGGTATCATACTCCTGTTTCTACACAGAAAATATCTGTTTGTTAATCATATTGTTTAGTGGCTACTGCGTGATATTTTGGGTATTTTACATTTATTTTATATGATAGGTTTGTTTTTCATATTCGCATTTTCCCGAGTTTTAGAACTAGTTATTTAGGAAATCAGTTGGCAGGGGAAGGGGTTGAGTGGTATCTCATGCATTATTTTAAGACATTGGAGGACAGGTTCCTCTTGAGTATTTTCATGCAGAACATCTGATTTTAGAAATATTTTATAGCCATTAAGTGGGAAATGCTCCTGTCTCCAAATCTGACCACTTACCATCGCCACTGATATTGCCACCCTGGTCCATGGATCTACCATCTATTCCCTGAATTCCTGTAATGAGCTCCCTGTTTCTACCTCTCTCCTTTCCAATCTGTTCCCAGCACAGCAGGCAAAAATGAACCCTCTGTAAATGTCAGTTCACTTTAGTCCTGCACATAGAATATTGTATTAGCTCCCCATTTTACTCAGAGAAAAAGTCAAACTTCATTCCTTGGTCCATCTTTTCTTTTCCTATATCTCTGTAATATAGATCATAATCTGAAATGAAACTATATATTCATTAGTTGGATTTTTTGGAGTAATGTTTTATGTTTTCTACCTTAATTTTAAAAGCATGTAAGTTATCTTCCTTTAAAAGAAAGATTATTAATTTGTATGTGATTTTTAAAATTCTTTCTGCGGTTAATGGCCCTCACCCTCAGGAGACAGATACTCCAATTTTAATATATTTCCTCATTTCTGAAGTGAAGATAAAAGTATCTACCAATAATACTTGTTTACCTCAAAAACCTCTATTGCCTTTTTTTCTCATCACACCTTTACTTATTTATAGAAACCTTCATCTATCTCAAATATGCTGGGACATGATTAAAGTTCTTTAAGCTATCCTGATCATAGTTGAATGACTTGTTTATAGATTTGCAAGCAGATTTTAAATAAAAATTCATCCTAATAAAATAAAACAAAAATAAAAGTAAATTATTTTTGTTAAGGAAGAGCCCTCTCTGCGAGTGGGGTCAGGTCAGGGGAAGATTGTAGTGTGATTAATTTAAATTTAATTTTTTTATGGACCCTAAAAATTGAACCTAAAATTTGCAATACATCTGTTTTTCTCACATTCTGTGGCTTTTATGTCAGTTTTCTTTAGTAAGTTTTTTACACGTGTGGATTACCCAACTAAATTTTTTATTAATATGATTTATTATTTCTTCATAGCATGTTTCCCAAACATATACATACTAGATTGTATGTATGTATGTATATCATGTTACATATTTACTTTTTATATGGTTGAGCTTTTTTATTTCTGTGAATCCATTTCTTCTTCAGGTAATTTATGGGATCATCTAAAGCTTAAATTTATGTTTGAAGTCTTTACTTCTCCAAAATTCTAATTCAGATATTAATATATTATTATAGATGTTTGTCAGTAATTATTTGCAAGTTTATCTCATCACAATTTGAAAATCTGTGTGAAGAGCATCAGACAACATGAACTCAGTGTTAGCGTTACTTGGAAAACTTGCAGAATAAATTTAAAAATGAAGAAAGTCTCATTTTAAATTGATTTTTCATATTTTACTCTAATAATTCAAGAAAAGTAGACAGGCCAGATAGTCAGACTGGCAGAAACCTGGCCTCTGTGGTTGGCTGGCATTTACACAGGTCTTTCATATATGATTTAATAAAAGGTGACACGAAATTCAGAAATGTAATCTATAAGACAATCAGAGAAAAACAATTTTTGAAGCACATTCTTGTCAGTATTGTATAATGCCTGTTCTGTAACTAATTTTTTTGTGTGTATCTGTCAAATGACATTAAGCTATATTCAATAATGAGGATAGCAAGAATTTGAGACCCCATGTTCATTTCTTTTTGTGACAGGAAGATCAGCCTTTTAAAACATAAAAAAGGAATAGAAATTAACATTTCTCCAGAATTATGTTTCCATTCATTTGAGGTTATCTCTTAATTCCAGCATTTTACTGCATTTGATAAATAGGCCAATTATGTGTTTTATTTATTTGAGGGCTTGGGGGAGGCAATGAAACTTTACAAATTTCAACTGGCATTGCAGTCTGCTGATAAGGATGGGAGTTTGCACCGCTCTGAAGAGATTACATGAAGTAGAGTTGGAAAGCAAATTGTATTTACAAAAGATAGGATGATGTTCCTAACAGGTGTTCAGAATAGGCTATTCACTCTCATATTCTGCTGAGCTTTGCTAGAAATAACTTCATTTCAAAAAGGACAAATCTGACTGAAGGTAAAAGCATTCCCTCTTCACAGATACTTGTCCAAAAGGGTTTACATTAAATTTTCCTGATGGGCACACAGCAGTATTTTATGCTGTATCTGTATAAACCATTAACGTGGAAAATAAATATCTAAATAGTATACTTGATTGCTTCATGCACCAACCATTAGATTACTAGATTTCTATCTACAGTTTTCGGAGAGATGTTGCAATATGATGTTCTGACAATAACTGTCAAAGTCATCATACCAGGATCCATTTTCATCTTGTTGTTGAGGTAAAGTTATTAAAATGTACAGTTGGTAGGTCAGAAAGATCACTGTCTCTTGTCATCTGTGGTTTAATGCTGACCTAAACCACTACTGTATAATGTCAGAATTATCACAGTGTCCAGGCTGCAGAAGTACAACATGCTACATGATTTATTGCATTTCCTGTCTGGAATGAAGATTATGAAAAGGCCAACAACTGTGAGCTACAGTGGTTTAGAAGAAAACTTAATTTCTAATTTTTATTTCTCTTTTTCCTCATTCATTTTAGATTTTGGATTTAGTAAAGGGGACACATTACCAGGTAGCCTGTCAAAAATACTTTGAGATGATACACAATGTAAGTATTTTTTTTAACTTTATATCCTAATTATTTGTCTTTTGTTACTGTGTCACATTCAGGGTTTTTAGTTGCAGCAATGGAAACCACTCTAGCTATTTTCAGCAGAAAAGGGGATTGCATGGTATTAAGTAACTTACAGCATTTATTGAACGACCAGACAACTAAGCTTGGATGCTGCAGAACCAGGAATATTTTGTAATTAGGAGAAGCTACATCATGAGAAAATCTTTACTACAGTTGTCACCCACCACTCCATATCTAGGGATGAGCCCAAGGGTCAATAAAGTTTTTCTGTAAAGAGCCAGAGTGTAAAAATTGTAGGCTTCATGGTCCATATGGTCTGCGTCACAGCTACTCAACTCTACTGTTGTAGTGCAAAAGCAGCTGTAGAAAATATGCAAATGAACAGGTATGACTGTTGATCCAATAGAACTCTATTGATAAAATTAGGTAGTAGACCCAGTTTGACCCACGGGCCTTGATTTGCCAACCTCTAGACTAGATCTGGAATCTTTGCCACAGCTGCCTAGAAGAACCAAGGCTCTTGCCATCTTCCATGCAGAAAATCTGATCCTTGTACTTGTGGCTGCCACCTGATGTTACTGTAATCCACTTCCCAAGTCTCATACTTATCTGCATGGCAAAACCTAGATTGCATATGGACCCCTAACTATACACGAGTCAGGGAAATGTGTTTGGTTTTTATCTTGCCAGCTTCCTTAGTACAAAAAAGCCTGCTTGATTATTAGAGTAAGAGTGGAATGACCCAGTCTGGCACAGAATAGATTTTGAAGTGTGTAAAGCCAATGTCACAAACTCAGAGGCCTACAGAGATGGGGCATATAGCCCAAAAAAGTGAAGCTGCCTGAGATTAGTACAACAGAGTACGGCAGAATTATGGTGCACTAAACATGTTTGCCCTATTAGAGGCATTCACATTGACAAATTGTGAGGCCCTCTGCAGGCCAACAAAACACATCTCCAAGTCCAATTCAGTCCTCTGGCCCCTAGTTTGCATCCACTGATCCTGAGCCTGGATTTCTAACCTGGGAAAGACATCCAAGAACGGACTTTGGAGATCTTTGTACTTCTTGAAACATTTTGTCTCTAAGTACATATGTGTATTTTTCCAGAGTCCATGTTATTTATTAAAGATCCATGACCCTCCCAAAAAGGAAGTTGCATTTGTTGAAATCATCATCAGCTACCATGCTAAAGTTTTACAATTATTTTTATGTTTTTTATTTGGTTGTTACAAAGTAGTTTTTCTATTATGGTTATATAATTGCAGAATTTCTTACTTGATAAAATATCTCATAGGAAAAAGATATTTTATAATATTACCAATAATAATTGAAATAATAATAGTAATACCAGCCAATATCTATGGAACCCTTAATGCAGCAGTCCCCAACCTTTTTGGCACCAGGGACCAGTTTCATGGAAGACAATTTTTCCATGGTTAAACAGGGGCTGGTGGGAGGGCACATTAGATAATCACGAGAAGCACGCAACCTAGATCCCTTGCATGCGGGGTTCACAATAGGGTTCACACCCGCATGAGAATCTAAGGCCACTGCTGATCTGACAGGAGGTGGAACTCAGGCAGTGATGCAAGTGATGGGGAGTAGCTGTAAATACAGATGAAGCTCCACTCACTCACCCACTGCTCACCTCCTGCTGTGAGGCCCAATTCCTAACGGGCCGTGGACTGGGTTGGGAACCCCTGCCTTAATGTATACCAGGCACAGCACTAAAATTTTTGAACGCATTAGCTCTTTTGATTGACATGACAGCAAGATACTATATGTATATTTCCCTGTCTATGAATAAAACTTAGAGAAGTTAAACAATCTGTGTGGGGTCACACTACTTATAGGGGATAGAACTTAGATTTAAATTCAAGCTGTCTAACTCATCTAAAGCTTGTGAGCATAACTATGACTGTACTGTCCTATGATATTTGGTACTAAATTTGTGATAATGACAGCAGAGGTAATTGGCATTTTCCTGTTTATCTTCATAGCATGGTAAACAGGTAGGGACTCTAACTTGCCTTACATGCTGTAATTGATTAATGGAAGATCTGGAGCTAGAGCCCCAGTCTGTTGTGGGTCCTGTCCTCATTCTTCTATACCTAACTTTTGAAAGTATTGTTCTTATTTAAAAGCTTTTTTTAAAACAAAACTCAAGGAGTAAACATCAAGAAAATAGCAACAACAAAATCTCATTAGTTTTATCACACTAGGAATCTCGCCAGATAAGCCATGTTTGGCAACACCAGGTTTATATGACTCGCTCTCTCGGAGACTGCATTCTTTAATTTGGTTGCTCCGCTTGAGAGTTTTAATTTCCTATTGTTCTTTAATCATTTGTGGATGCTTTTAATTAAGAGGCCTCAGAATTTTCACAAGTGAGGTCTATTATCCAACCTCTTTTTATAAAAATAAGATATGAAAATTAGATTTAAACATTGAGTTTGTGGCATAATCACCAAAAAGTAAGGAGTGGTTTTTATTTCTCAAATCTGCTTTTGTAATATCTCTCCTATTGATTATTCCCTCAAGTATTGCCACTATTGCCAATTTTTAAAACTTGCTTTACATTAATGAAGATTTTGGAAAGACATATATCTAAATCCTTTCACATATAAAAATAGTCTAACTAACTTAAACCACACTTAAATCAACAAAATAAAAAGGCTGTTTGTATTCACTAGATCTCTCACTGTGGACTTTTAGATGTGAATATCCTCCTTCATTTATATTTTTTCTAATTTAATTTAAAAATAGAATCTATTTTTACTGTCAGGTTTCTGCCATCCTACCCCTCCCCAAAATAAAATCCTATGTTTATTTTCCCAAGGCCTCTGTGATCAAACTTACTTAAATGGAAGTTTTGAAAATAAACCAGTTAATTGATACCATTTGCAGCAGCACTATGATAGTTCCATATGGCTTTTTTGGTAATACCAGCTGCCTCATTATAAGCTGTCATTGCAAAACCTCTTGATTAAAACCCAAATATCCCATAGGTAAAACAATATTGCTTTCATTCCTTCAAAATCTACATTTGCAGTGGCAGAAATATGAGACCCATGTTTGTGTGAAGGTCATTGTGTGCAGAATGTGCTGATTCCAAGCAAATGTTTGAGATTCATTTAGTAGATGTTAAAAGCTGGCCTGCTTGAAACCTGTTTTCCTCTGTATTTTTAGGGTCAATGTTTAAAATAATTTTATACTAATAGTATATTCTTTACTTTCTGCATATTCCATGTATAAATGAAAACACTAGGTCATGTGTAGATTCATCACAGAATTTTAATAGAAATTAATGTTTTCAGAGGTAGACCTCTTTGGACACTGAGTAACTGTGGGTACTTATTTTCCAAATGGCTGAGCATAATTTTTCCCCACCATATAAATCTCTAGAGAAATCTTATTAAAACTTATCACACATTTTCCTGCAATCTTAAACAGGATATATGTGATACAATTAAGCCCTTTTATAATAACTCAGGGTCATCATTATGGATATCAGTTAGAATGCTGGACTAGAAGCCACCATCATCTCACTTGGATCACTGCAATAGCTTCCTAACTCGTTTCCCAGCATCTACACATGCCCCATTCCAATTCTTTCTCCTCCACACAGCTGCTGGAGTGACCTTTAAAATAGAGGAATCTGATCATTTCAGGAACCTGCTTTTTAAAATTTTCAGTGGCTTCCTATTTCTCTTAAGATGAAATCTAAAATTTATAATGTATCCTCTAAAGGCCTCCACTCCACCCACCTTCCTCTAGACTCCTAAATTTGTTTCAGATCCTTTACAGGACTTTGGACCTGAAACACTAGGACCAAGCTAGTGTGGTAGAATCCAAATGCTTCACAGAATTTTCCCATCTCAATACATAAAATAATGCACAAAACATAATTTTTTAAATCATCAACCACAAAGAAAAACACTAATAGTAACCAAAAAAGAAAACAGGCAAGGAAAGAAACAAAAGAGTCACAGTAGACAAAGTCATGAAAATGCTCACTTAATATTTCCAAACAGAGTAAAGGAAATAGCTGCTGACTTGAGAAGAAATAAGTAAAATGGAGGATTTAGATGTGGATACCTCTATTTCTCTATTCCTTTTCCTAATTTAATTTGAAAGTGAAGATTTCCATTCTGTTTAGTTTATGCTCTTCCCCTTCCCCCCACATACAAAAAAACCCCTAAGTTTATTTTCCTAAACAAGACAAAAGGAAACAGCCATATACACTTCCCTTAAAAATGAAAGTGAAGGAAACAGAACACAAAGAACCCATCCTAGAAGAAAATAGAATTCTATAAAAAGGAAACTTCATAATTTCATTTTGCTATCAAGCAACTTAGTAGATCACAAAGAGCATCACAAAATGAGTTAAGGACAATTGCAGATCAAGAGAAAGGAGAAACAGCATCACAGAGCCATGGCACAAATCCTCACTTCAAGGCCATTGGCACTGTTTTAGTGGTTAATAAAAAAAGATTAATTATCTCTGAAAAAAAGGCAGTAGCCCCAGTCAGGGGCTTATAGATAAAATCCCCATCTCCCTGGGATGGGGCACATGGGGGAAGGGGCAGCTGTGGATGCAGCTTCAGCAGACTTAAACGTTCTTGCCTGCCAGCTCTAAAGAGAGCAGCAGATCTCCCAGCCTAGCATTCGAGCTCTGTTAAGGGACTGCCTCCTCAAGTGGGTCCCTGACCACCATGTCTCCTGACTGGGAGACACCTCCCAGCAGGGGCCGACAGACATCTCATACAGGAGAGCTCCGGCTGGCATCTGGTGGGTGCCCCTCTGGGACGAAGCTTCCAGAGGAAGGAACAGGGCACAATCTTTGCTGTTCTGCAGCCTCCACTGGTGATACACAGGCAGACAGGGTCTGGAGTGGACCTCCAACAAACTCCAGCAGACCTGCAGCAGAAGGGTCTAACTGTCAGAAGGAAAATTAACAAACAGAAAGGAATACCTTCAACATCAATAAAAAGGAGATCCACTCAGAAACCCCATGCAAAGTTCACCAACATCAAAGACCAAAGGTAGATAAATCACAAAGACTGGGAGAAACCAGCGCAAAAAGGCTGAAAATTCCAAAAATCAGAATATCTCTTCTCCTCCAAAGGATCACAACTCCTCACCAGCAAGGGAATAAAACCGGATGGAGAATGAGTTTGACAAATTGCCAGAAGTAGGCTTCAGAAGGTGGATAATAACAACCTCCTCCGAACTAAAGGAGCATGTTCTAACCCAATGCAAGGAAGCTAAGAACCTTGAAAAAAAGTTAGAGGAAATGCTAACTAGAATAACCAGTTTAGAGAACATAAATGACCTGATGGAACTGAATAACACAGCAAGAGAACTTCATGAAGCATACACAAGTATCTGTAGTCGAATTGACAAGCGGAAGAACAGATATCAGAGATTGAAGATTAACTTAATGAAATAAAGCAAGAAGACGAGATTAGAGAAAAAAGAATGAAAAGGAATGAACAAAGCCTCCAAGAAATAGGGGACTATGTGAAAAGACCAAACCTATGTTTGATTCTCCCTGAAAGTGACCGGGAGAATGGAACTAAGTTGGAAAACACTTCAGGATATAATCCAGGAGAACTTCCCCAACCTAGCAAGACAGGCCAGCATTCAAATTCAGGAAATGCAGAGAACACCACAAAGATACTCCTCAAGAAGAACAACCCCAAGACACATAATTGTCAGATTCATCAAGGTTGAAATGAAGGAAAAAATGTTAAGGGCAGCCAGAGAGAAAGGTCAGGTTACCCACAAAGGGAAACCCATCAGACTAACAGCGGATCTCTCTGCAGAAACCCTACAAGCCAGAATAGAGTGGGAGCCAATATACAACATTCTTAAAGAAAAGAATTTTCAACCCAGAATTTCATATGCAGCCAAACTAACCTTCATAAGCGAAGGAGAAATAAAATCCTTTACAGACAAGCAAATGCTGAGAGATTTTGTCACCACTAGGCCTGCCTTACAAGAGCTCCTAATGGAGGCACTAAATATGGAAAGGAACAACTGGTACCAGCAACTGCAAAAACATATCAAATTCTAAAGACTGTCGACACTATAAAGAAATTGCATCAACTAATGGGCAAAATAACCAGCTAGCATCATAAGGACAGGGTCAGATTCACACATAACAATATTAACTTGAAATGTAAAGAGGCTAAATGCCCCAGTTAAAAGACATAGACTGGCAAATTGGATGAAGAGTCAAGACCCATCGGTGTGCTGTATTCAGGAGACCATTTCACAGGCAAAGACACACATAGGCTCAAAATAAAGGGATGGAGGAATATTTACCAAGCAAACAGAAAGCAAAAAAAAAAAAAAAAAAAAAAAGCAGGGATTGCAATCCTATTCTCTGATAAAACAGACTTAAAACCAACAAAGATCAAAAGAGAGACGGGCATTACATAATGGTAAAGGGATCAATGCAAAAAGAAGAGCTAACTATCCTAAATATATATACACCCAATACAGGAGTGGCCAGATTCATAAAGCGAGTTCTTAGAGATGTACAAAGAGACGTAGACACCCGCACAATAATAGTGGGAGACTTTAACACCCCACTGTCAATATTAGATCAACGAGACAGAAAATTAACAAGGATATTCTGGACTTCAACTCAGCTCTGGACCAAGTGGACCTAATAGACATCTACAGAACTCTCCACCCCAAATCAACAGAATATACATTCTTCTCAGCACCACATTGCACTTATTCTAAAATTGACCACATAATTAGAAGTAAAACACTCCTCAGCATATGCAAAAGAATGGAAATCTTAACAGTCTCTCAGACCACAGTGCAATCAAATTAGAACTCAAGATTAAGAAACTCACTCAAAACTGCACAACTACATGGAAACTGAACAGTCTGCTCCTGAATGACTACAGGGTAAATAATAAAATTAAGGCAGAAATAAATAAGTTCTTGAAACCATTGAGAACAAAGACACAACGTACCAGAATCTCTGGGACATAGCCAAGGCAGTGTTTAGAGGGAAATTTATAGCCCTAAATGCCCACAAGAGAAACCAAGAAAATCTAAAGTCGACACCCTAGCATCACAATTAAAAGAACTAGAGAAGCAAGAGCACACAAATTCAAAAGCTAGCAGATGGCAAGAAATAACTAAGATCTGGGCAGAACTGAAGGAGATAGAGACACAAAAAACCCTTCAAAAAATCAATGTATCCAGAAGCTTGTTTTTTGAAAAGATCAACAAAATTGATAGACTGCTAGCAAGACTAACAAAGAAGAAAAGAGAGAAGAATCAAATAGATGCAATAAAAAATGATAAAGGGGATATCACCACTGATCCCACAGAAATACAAACTACCATCAGAGAATACTGTAAACTAGAAAGTTTAGAAGAAATGGATACATTTCTGGACACATACACCCTCCCAAGACTAAACCAGGAAGAAGTCAAATCCCTGAATAGACTAATAACAGGTTCTGAAACTGAGGCAGTAATAGCCTATCAACCAAAAAAAAAAAGCCCAGAACCAGACAGATTCACAGACAAATTCCACCAGAGGTACAAAGCAGAGCCGGTACCATTCTTTCTGAAACTATTCTAAACAACAGAAAAAGAGGGAGTCCTCTCTAACTCATTTTATGAGGCCAGCATCATCCTGATTCTGAAACCTGGCAGAGACACAACAAAAAAAGAAAATTTCTGGCCAATATCCCTGGTGAACATCGATGCAAAAAATCCTCAATAAAATACTGGCAAACTGAATCCAGCAGCACATCAAAAAGCTTATCTACCATGATCAAGTCAGCTTCATCCCTGGGATGCAAAGCTGGTTCAACATATGCAAATCAATAAACATAATCCAGTGCATAAACAGAACCAATGACAAAAACCACATGATTATCTCAATAGATGCAGAAAAGGCCTTCAACAAAATTCAACATCCCTTCATGCTAAAAACTCTCAATAAACTAGGTATTGATGGCACATATCTCAAAATAGTAAGAGCTATTTTTTGACAAACCCACAGCCAATATCATACTGAATGGGCAAAAACTGGAAGCATTCCCTTTGAAAACTGGCACAAGACAAGGATGCCCTCTCTCACCACTCCTATTCAACACAACATTGGAAGTTCTAGCCAGGGCAATCAGGCAAGAGAAAGAAATAAAGGGTATTCAAATAGGAAGAGAGGGAGTCAAATTGTCTCTGTTTGCAGATGACATGATTTTACATTTAGAAAACCCCATTATCTCAGCCCAAAAACTTCACAAGCTGATCAGCAACTTCAGCAAAGTCTCAGGATACAAAATCTCTGTGCAAAATCACAAGCATTCCTATACACCACTAATAGAGAACCAAATCATGAGTGAACTTCCATTCACAACTGCTACAAAGAGAATAAAATACCTAGCAATACAACTTCCAAGGGATGTGAAGGACCTCTTGAAGGAGAACTACAAACCACTGCTCAAGGAAATAAGAGAAGACACAAACAAATGGGAAAACATTCCATGCTCATGGATAGGAAGAATCAATATCGTGAAAATGGCCGTAATGCGCAAAGTAATTTACAGATTCAGTGCTATCCCTATCAAGCTACCATTGACTTTCTGCGCAGAATTAGAAAAAACTACTTTAAATTTCAAGTGGAACCAAAAAAGAGCCCACATAGCCAAGACAATCCTAAGCAAAAAAACAAAAAAAAAACAACGCTAGAGGCATCACGCTACCTGACTTCAAACTATACTACAAGGCTACAGTAACCACAACAGCATGGTACTGGTACCAAAACAGATATATAGACCAATGGAACAGAACAGAGGCCTCAGAAATAATGCCACAGATCTACAACCTTCTGCTTGTTGACAAACCTGACAAAAACAATCAATGGGGAAAAGATTCTCTATTTAATAAATAGTTTTGAAAAAACTGGCTAGCCATATGCAGAAAACTGAAACTGGACCCCTTCCTTACACCTTATACAAAAATTAACTCAAGTTGGATTAAAGACTTAAACGTAAGACCTAAAACCATAAAAACCCTAGAAGAAAACCTAGGCAAAACCAATCAGGACATAGGCATGGGCAAAGACTTCATGACTAAAACACCAAAAGCAACGGCAACAAAAGCCAAAATTGATAAATGAGATCTAATTAAACTAAAGAGCTTTTGCACCGCAAAAGAAACTATCATCAGAGTGAACAGGCAACCTACAGAATGGGAGAAAATTTTTGCAATCTATCCATCTGACAAAGGGCTAATATCCAGAATCTACAAAGAACTTAAATTTACAAGAAACAAACAATCCCATCAAAAAGTGGGCCTAGGATATGAACAGACACTTCGCAAAAGAAGACATTTATGTGGCCAACAAACATATGAAAAAATGCTCATCATCACTGGTCATCAGAGAAATGCAAATCAAAACTGCAATGAGATACCATCTCATGCCAGTTAGAATGGGGGTCATTAAAAAGTCAGGAAACAACAGATGCTGGAGAGGATGTGGAGAAATAGGAATGCTTTTACACTGTTGGTGGGAGTGTAAATTAGTTCAACCATTGTGGAAGACAGTGTGGCGATTTCTCAAGGATCTAGAACCAGAAATATCATTTGACCCAGCAATCCCATTACTGGGTTGTACCCAAAGGATTATAAATCATGCTACTGTAAAGACACATGCACACGTATGTTTATTGTGGCATTGTTCACAATAGCAAAGACTTGGAACCAACCCAAATGCCCACCAATGATAGACTGGGTAAAGAAAATGTGGCACATATACAACATGGAATACTATGAAGCCATTAAAAAGGATGAGTTCATGTCCTTTGCAGGGACATGGATGAAGCTGGAAACCATCATTCTCAGCAAACTAACACAAGAACAGAAACCAAACACTGCATGTTCTCACTCATAAGTGGGAGTTGAACAATGAGAACACATGGACACAGGGAGGGAAATATCACACACCAGGGCCTGTTTGGGGGGGTTGTGCTAGGGGAGGGATGGCATTAGAAGTCCCTAATGTAGATAACAGGTTGGTGGGCGCAGCAAACCACCATGGCATGTGTATGCCTATGTAACCTGCACGTTCTGCACATGGACTCCAGAACTTTAAGTATAATTTAAAAAATATTAATTAAAATGAGGATTCATTAACGATATGCACATACCTTAAATATTATATCTTTTTTTTTTTTTTTTTTTTTTTTTGAGACGGAGTTTCGCTCTGTCGCCCAGGCTGGAGTGCAGTGGCGCGATCTCGACTCACTGCAAGCTCCGCCTCCCGGGTTCACGCCATTCTCCTGCCTCAGCCTCCCGTGTAGCTGGGACTACAGGCACGCGCCACCATGCCCGGCTAATTTTTGTATTTTTAGTAGAGACGGGGTTTCACCGTGTTAGCCAGGATGGTCTCAATCTCCTGACCTCGTGATCCGCCCGTCTCGGCCTCCCAAAGTGCTGGGATTACAGGCGTGAGCCACCACGCCCAGCCCCTTAAATATTATATCTTAAAGTTAAGTCATTTAAATGCCATTTATTAGTTAGGGCAGGGTCTTTTGAGTATCGTTTAGTGTTTGGAATTTGATTTTATCTTTCTTTTATAAACTATACCCATAATACAGCATCAGCAATTTCCAGTTTGGATTCCTTAAAGTAGAAAAGGAACTTGATATATGCAAAGCAATAGGATCTTTCTCCCTCTCCTTCTGTGACTTTCACCTTTTTTTTAAGTGACTTGCTTTTCTTGACTCTTTAAAAACATTTTATTTAGATTTCATAGAACAATTTTTTTTAACATTCATTTTTATTTACTTTTCCCATGGCAACCCTATGACCTAACACTGTTATCTCCATTTCATAGATGGAGAAAATCAGACTTTAAAAAGATTACCCTATTTTGTGCACATTGAAGTCTAATAAATGTATTGCTAACTGACAACTTGAAGCGAGGTATAGAAAATGCCAAGATATTATTATAGCATAAGATACTAGGTTATTTTTGCATGAAATAGTACAACTATGTTTTTCTAATCTTTGTAGCCAAGTTTATCTCTAGAAATAAAATTTATAATGGAGATATCATTATCAGTATGATTTTGCATACAATCTCTTAAAACAGATTTCAGAGCAACTAATGATCTAGTCAGAAGGCCTGAATTTTAATTCAGACAAAACCAGTTACTAATTCTATGACCTTGAATAAACCATCTATTCTCCTTAGGCCTCTGTACATGGAGGAGATTGAATTTAATGGATTCCCCAAGGTCTTTCTAATCTCTGATTCTCTGTTTACAAACTATTTTACAAACTGTAAAGCCTTCTGATTAAAATGTATTAGACAATAAACATACTTTTTGTGAAACACATTGCAAAATGCAAAATTTATATTGGATTTCCCAGTTTTTAATGAATTGGGTGAAAATTGAATGTAATAAAAAAGTTCACAAATGATTCCATTGTTAATAAAAATTATAAAACATTTCAGAAACATTTTGAAATCAAGCAGCTAAGTTAAAAAAATGAAGCAAAGATAAAAATTTGTTCTTAATGATCTATAACTCTTAAAATCAGTCTGTATACTATCCATCTGTTACACACTGGAATTACTATAAAATTAGCCTAACATGTATTAACAACTAGCAAAAGAGAATCAGAGATTCCTAGGGTGCTTAGATAAGTATTACCAGAAAAGACTCATGTTTCTGTCTGCTGGTCCGTCCACCAGTAGGGTTCATTCTAGACCATGGCAGCAACCCCTTTTTCCCTGGCCAATTCATTTTAATCTACTAAAAGATTATACATAGCTTTAATCACACCACGTCTCTTTTTAAGGGTTTTTGGTGACTCTGTGTTGCCTAGAGAATTAGGTCTTGACCACTTACCCTGATTTTCAAGGCTCTCTCAGGCTGGCCCCTGCCTGTCTTTCCAACCTCATTCCTTATTGTTTCCTTGTATGTGCCTTTCATAGTAGGCTATGTGAACTATTTAATATTTGCTTTCCCAGGACATTCCCTCTTTACCTTGCTCATGTGGTCCTGCTGCAAATATTGCCTTTCCCCTCATCATCCCAGCTTTTCACCCTCTCCATCTTTCCAGACGCAACTCAAATAGCACTCCTCTTACAAAGCCTTCCTTGATCTCCTCAGCCGAAATTTCTCTCTACTGTGGAGTGTAATAGGCCTTTATCTGTGACCCTCATCAGTTCTCCATTCTTGGTAGAGGTTTTTAAGTATATGACTTACTGGGTTGGAAATTTGAGTTAGTCAAATGTATTCCTGTATGCTGAATAGTGAATAGTTTATAACACAGTCTTTTATATAGTAAGGCTTTAATTAAATATGCAAAATTATCACTGGTATACACTATTTCTGGGTTCACTTCACCAAATATTTATTAGATACCTACAGTGTGCAAGTCACTTCAGTACGAAGAGTGAGACGTAAAAGGATTAGTTAATACAAGACAGATGAACAAAAGAAATGGAATAACTTCTCAGTTTCCAAAAACTTGATAAATGAAAATACCACCCAAGAAACCAACAGTCACTCACTCAAGCAAAATGATATTTTTGTTGTCAACTCCAACTGCAGAAGGCGAGAAGGCAGGGATTTGAGACTGTGGAAAGTGAAACTGAATATAAGGAGAGATTACTAGAGTGCATAATTTGAAATGATACTCAAAATTAAAGTTTAATGATAGTATTTGAGAAAAAATAACATAAGTTATGAACCAGGCATGTTTGTATTCAGTCACAGTGAAATTTACAAGAAGAGATTTTCTGTAAAAAGACCAAGGAAAGGCCAAGATTAGAATGAAGAATTACATTGACTTAGGTTGCTTTTTCAGTTTATATCATACTAAATGAGTGCATATGCCAGACTTACAAGTCAGCTCTAAAACACAAGTGGTATCAGGGACCAGTATCAAAATGATCAAAAATGATTTTACGATCACTTAAAAACCCACAAATATTTACTGGCCTACAATGTGGTAGGCCTTTTGCTTGGAACTGGGGATACAATAATGAATCACACAGGTCCCTAACCTGTGCCTCACTAACATACAATGTCATTCACACACACACACACACACACACACACACACACACACACACACACACACATTTGTATTCCAAACATATTTTTATAGTTTTCTAATTTTTTGTTTTGACGTAATTGTCAACCAGAATTGGTAATGTTTTGGGTATTGCCAGAATTGAGGGCTTGGTGTAGATGGGAGGTGGCAGGTGGGAGTTGGGGGCTGGGGAGGTGAGAGAAAGGTGTCTAGTATGCCCCAAGGATGAATGGTGATACCAATCACTGAGAGCAAAGGATGGGGAGAGGGGAAAGGATACGTTTCCTGTTGGGTTTGAGCTGCCTTTGAGCCATCTTAGATGTTGAGTAGGTGTTGGATATGGGACTGAAACTAGATAGGGAACTGGAGCCAAACACAGAGGCTCAGACTAGAAATATAAATGTGGGAGCCATTTAGGTTTGGGTAGTGGTTGAAGCTCTCTTTGAATGAAATGGTGTAAGTAGCTGATTAAGTGTTAGAATGCAAACAGCTAGAATCCATGTTTCAGGTATTAAGTTTTAAACAAGTACTAAAACAGCTTTTGAAACTCATATATTTATAGCTTTGCCATGCATTAATGCAATATAAATTTCCTTCCTTTACAGGTGGATGATTGTGGCTTTTCTTTGAATCATCCTAATCAGTTCTTTTGTGAGAGCCAACGTATTCTAAATGGTGGTAAAGACATAAAGAAGGAACCTATCCAACCAGAAACTCCTCAACCCAAACCAAGTGTCCAGAAAACCAAGGATGCATCATCTGCTCTGGCCTCTTTAAATTCCTCTCTGGAAATGGATATGGAAGGACTAGAAGATTACTTTAGTGAAGATTCTTAGGCAGTTTTATAACCCTTTTTCCTCAATAGCCTGTTTCCTGTTTTTAAGATTTTGCCTTTGTTGTTGAAAAAGGGTTTCACTCTGTCACCAAGGCTTAGTGCAGTGACACAATTACAGCTGATTGCAGCCTTGACCTTCCCAGCTCAAGTGATCCTCCTACCTCAGCCTCCCAAGTAGTTAGGACCACAGGTGTGCACCTCATATCCAGATAATTTTTTTCAATTTTTTTTTGTAGAGGTGGGGGGTCTCCCTATGTTGCCCAGGCAGATCTCAGACTCCTGGGCTCAAGCGATCCTCACACCTCAGCGTCCCAGAGTGCTGGGATTACGGTTGTGAGCCACTGTGCCTGGCCTTTTTTTTTTTTTTAACCTTTTTGTTTAACTTCTCTCTTCACTGCATCCCAATCCATCTACAGGCATGCACACTTATTAGGAAAGGAGGTTTGAGGTAACAACAGAGACTTTCACTATATTTTGCTTTGACAGAAGGAAAGAGGAGGAGTTTCTATTAAAATCTGTCACTTGAGTGATGTCATTTAAGTCCTATTTTAGGAGATAAAAACAGCTTTGGGGACTGGTTAAAGTCCCCCAGAAACTACAATAAAGAACAACTTTTGTTTTAACTCTTAATCACTTTGTAATTTTGACTCAATCCTTTTCTGGACCATTTTTGTTAATAAATATCAAAGTGTACATGACAGTGTCTGCGTATAATTGGGAGAGTCTTATGTCGTAACAGATTGGACATTACTTCAGTTTTAAAATGGTAATTTGGAGTATCCAACACACTGCTGATCACTAATGAAGATTTTAAACTTTTCTTTACCTTTTTTTAAGAGTTGACCTATTTGTGGTTATTCTACATCAGGCACCTTTGAGTGGCACCAGACCCTCCTGAGTGAACTGTGACTTGGGAATTAACATAAAGTATAGCCAGTTATATTTATTAAGGAATAATAGGGATATTTTATTATGTAAAATAATGGCACGTCTTATCTGCTGCCATTACTCTGGGGACAGGTTCATGAAGAATAGACAATTACCAAGCAAGAAGGTTGTACATATAAAATAAAGTGTTTATTTTACCCTCCAACTTCCATACCTTATTACTTCTGTAGTTGCTGTGAATTACCAAATAGATTTGGTAAATTAAATTAATTTACTTGAGCAATGAATAGTGATACTTATAGTAACCCCCTCCTTTCAGTGCCAGCAATAGAATTTAATAAATGTTGTGGATGATTACAAACATACGAGATCAATGCCCTGTTCTCTCTGCCTGCTTTTGTCAAGGGAGTAAGGTGAAGTTGATGATCCCTGGCACGTATGCCTTGTGGAGCAGTGCCATTGTGGATACCCTCATCTAAATAGTGATTTCCTCCTGGGGCTCTACTCACTCACCAATAGGATTTGGGGTGCTCAGGAAACCCTGTTTGAAACATAGTTCTTCCTCATCTATTACCTTGGAATATGTGAAAAGTATTCGTCTATTTCTGTCTTCTTTTCCTGGTAAAGAGGGATACTTTTATCCTTTTGAATCAGATAGTAACTAAATTGAAAAGAGCACATTGTATTCAGAAAACTAGACTGTTAGCAGCACCATATTTTTAATCATGTGATAAACTGCATCATGATGAAAAGGATTAAACAGGATCAGATCATCAGAAACTAAAAATGTCAACTAATTGAGTTTTCATTTTAGGCTTCTGAGTCAAAGATTTCTTGGAATATTTAGCAACATATAATTAAATGAGATACTATCTATCTAAACTTTTACTTGTCTTGGTGAATTATTATTACCTAGTTCAGAAAATAGTATTATTCCACTACAAATTACCCCTATAAATCTCTGCCTTCTGAAACCATCTGCTACTCCCTTCATCATTTGTCGTTCTCAACAGGAATCTGATGATTGCCTACCACTTTATCCATGGACTGCAAAACCACAAGTCCTTCTTTAAAAAAAAAAAAAAAGAACAAGTGCTACCTGGAGCTGTTTTAACCACAGAATTAAGTTAGCTTTAGAAAGCCGAGCATAGAAATGTAGGTCTTCGCTGTGTTAAAAGAAGGGAGATATTAGAAGCACTCTCGCCACTGTAGTTCAATGAGAAATTTTCTGATAGAATGTTTTGTATCTGGCAGCATTTTGCAAGGCTGTCTTTTTCTACTGCTTCATGTTCTCCTTCTTTTATGAAGCCTGTGCTCCCACCAGCTAAAAGGACAGAGTCCTTAACGGCATGGTAGATGCAGCTTACTGGACTGTTTATTTTATACTGGCAGCCCCAGGAATTTGTGTCATCTCACTTGAATGTTTTATATGTGTCTAGTTGAACTCCAAAATAACACTAGTTTAAATATTAGTTGTATTACAGGTTCAATTCAATTTATTCATAATAAGGTTTGATCTCCTGTATTATACAGAAGAATATATAAACATTCTGTGAAATCTATAGATTAGAGGATAGGGGATAGAGGTTTATAAAAGATCAAAATTAATGCTTTTCTGGTGCTTTTTGGAGTTGGAAAAAGCAATTTATTTTTCATGCTTCACAGGTCTTGACAATTTTGATTTGTTTTCTTTGAGAGCAGACCTGTTTGAATTGGGCGATGTAAAGAACCCAAAAGAAAAAATCAAAAGCCAACAGCCTCTTTTCAAAACCGTAGCCAGTGAAAAAGAAAAGAATATGAGTCTTCCAGATCTTTTAACTGTTAGTCTTTTATTATCTCTTCAAGGAAGAGAGGCTGTATGATTGTATCAAAGACAAAAGAAGAAACAGCAAAAGAAAGAAACTAGGTTGGAAATTTGTAGCTGGTTGAAGCAATGACATTGTTAGGAGAAATTCTGTCACATTTCTTTCAAGTTGTTTTTCCATAATGTTTTTCACTCTGTCCATACAGTACAAAACTTAATTGCCATGTGCATGAAAGAACACTAGGAAGGTTTTAAGTAAACTTTTTAGGACTGCTTATAATATTATAGAGTCATAAAAGTAAATAGTTATAGATTTCGAATGAGCTGGGAATGGAATAAAGCAATGGGAAAGATCTTTAATTCACATAGAATTTTAATAAGCTAAGGGATTTCTTCTGTCTCTAAAAGCATGCAGGGTGTTTTGCTTGTTACACTTTGCTGTCTTATTGATACTCAGGGTCTTTGCAAGCAAACTTTGTAATTCTTTACAAAGAAGAGAAGAAAACTTCTGGGATTTAAGCTTGAAGGGTGAAATGAGACAACTCTAAAGTTCTGTTTCAGTTAGAGTCTACTCTGCAAATTTAATCAAGGTCTTCCGCAGGCATCAGCTTGACATTAAATTTAAGTGCCCCTTAAAGTGAGAGTTTGACAGCAGTTCTGAATGTGAAGCTCAGTCTGAGGACATCTTTACAGCTGGAAGGGGAAAAAAAAAAACGTTGAGAAGCCTCAAACCACTGTGGTAATTAGATCCATTTGTTAACTTCTTTTTTAATGTTGGCAAAGGGAGGGAGAGAAAAGGTTGACAGAGGCTGGAATCAGGAAGGCAGTCCAGAGCTCCCTGTAGAAATCGGGTAAGCAGAGTCCTGTATTGCAGAGAATACTGGCAGATATTCCCTCTGACAAATGAGTGAGATGGGGAATTTATTTTATGAACTTCATTCAGTTTGTCTTCCTTTCAATACACAGAGCCATGGTGTGTGGAAGCTGCGTTTTGGATAGGTGTGCTGGTTTGGTTGTAAGGCCCTTTGGAAGACACAGAGCGTTATTTGGGAGTGGACCTCTGGTGGTACGTTGTTGGCCTGAAGAGTTAATGTTTCTCACAAGGGTATCTAACTTATATTCAGGTAATCACTTATTTACCCAAAGCATCTGGTCTTTTCAGTATTGAATTCCTTTTTCACAGGTCGCGATTGCCCTAGTCTAAGGCTTCTCACCATAATTGGCATTGTAGGCAATTAGCTTCATGGAAATCATGTCACCAGTAGGAAATTATCTTCCTACTTCACTGACCTGCCTGCCAAAAATGATACTAGTTCTTGTTATTGGTTTGCTTTCTATCCTGTAAGCTCTTTTTGTTCATTGCTTCATGACATTTTACTTTTTCCAGAATTATCACTGTAGAACCTTATCAAAGGCTAAAGAATATGTCTTTGTATAAAGCTCCTGCATTTCCCTTGAGCTTTCCATTGCAGTACTGTTCTTGAACATTGATGACAAGGTAGTGAAACAACACTGCTAATAAATATATAATGGGTTTTTCAATCTAACCTTGCATTTCTAGGTATTCATTCACCACACTGAAACTATGAGGCTTTTTAAGGTTTTGTTTAGTTTTGCACTGAAAGCACAGGGAAAAGTAAATTCAACAAATACTGCATTTAATTAATACTGACCATCTTGCGAACATTTCCCCGATTACTCCCACACATTTTTTTAGAGATCTTACCTTCTATTTGAGTCATGGGATACCAAGGTTTTCATTACTGATTAAAAATGACATAGTGATACATACTTCTCTTTTCCCTTTCATTGGCAAGAATTAAACTGTGATTTAAACAATGCTCTATCACCCTTAACTCTTGGTTGTCCATAGAGTTCCTGCCTGGTTCTCTTCTTACTTCATGAGTCTCCTGGAGTGAACTCATTCACCCCTATGGTATTTTTTTCTATCCATATGCAAATAATCCCCAAATGTGTATCTCCAGCTGAGAATTCTCTGAGCACAGATCCATCTATACAGCTATCTCTTGGATCTCTTTTTAGGATATCCCACAAGTATCTCAAATTTAATTTGTTCAAAAATCAAACCTGTTCTCTCATCTATTTCTCACCTATTTTGTCAATACAGAAACCCTACAGTTAACCTTGACTGTGATTTTCCACCTTCTCCATACATCCAAATCCAATCGATTCTATTTTAATACCAGTGTGTCTAAACCAGTAGATCTCAAATGGGGGTAATTTTGCCATGCAGGAGACATTTTTGGTGATCACAACTGGAGGAGGGCCTGCTCTTGGCATCTAGTGGATGGAGGCTGAGGATGCTACTAAACATCCTACAGTGCCCCTACAGTGCCCAGGACAGCCCTTCACCACAAAGAAATATGTGGCCCGAAATGTGCAGAAACCCTGTTCTAAACGGTTTCCTCTCCTCCCTTCCTTCCTTGTACTACATTAGATTGCCCTCTCATCATTCTAAGTGAAGTGGTCTCAACTTACTAGCCTAGTCTCCATTTGCCCACCCTGAACCCCATCCCATATCCTTCTTCAAAATCTAATCCAAATACTTTTCCCCTGGGTGTGTGTCTTGATCATGGCTCTCCATTACCTATATGAGGAAGTCTAAACACCTATTATTTTGTGCATGAGGCCCTCCATGACCTGGTTCTGTCTACCTCTCCAGTTCCATCTATTGCCATTCAGCTCCCTACTCTATAATCCAATCCAGTGATTTAGCCATTCTGCACAAACTTTCCCTGCACATTCAACTACACACTCCCTCTTTCCTCATATTACCCTCCCTGCCTGGAATGCCCTTCCATTCCCCACCATGCTAACTACTGTTTCTCCTCTAAGGCTCAGGTTAGGTACATTCCTTCAGCCTTCTCTGTTGACCCCAGTATAGACTCATTGTCCCTTTCAGTTCATCTAACATATGCTATGGATGTTATACTTAATAGCTATATGACAGTACTTATACTTACAATCATCCATTTACTTGTGTTTCCCTTATGTTTGTTTTATAGTACCCATTTACTTATGTTTCCCTTCCTTACACTATAAAGTCCTTGAGGACAGAAACTAGATCACTTTCATATTTGAATCCCTAATAATTAGCATTGTCTCTAGTTCTTAGCATCGTGCATGACATTCTTGGGTACTCAGTAAACATGGGTAGAGTGCAGGAATGGTTACTTGCTTATTAGGAATCTCAAATTCATTGTTTTTAAGACCTACAAACAAGGGGTGGAATGGATTCTGGGCCCCAGATTGGAGGCATCACTTACAATCAAAACTTGGGCAAGCTCTTTAATTTTCCATGCTTCATTTGCTTCATATGACAAGGGGATAATGATTACACCTACTTCAAGATGATTCTGTTAGCTGCTATTACATCTACAACAGTCAGAATTCTGTCTGTCACATGGAAACACTTGTGTTGTTTGATAATCAACCCTTCCAACAAATGTTATACTACTACGTGGATTCTCCCTATTTCAGGGGCATTCATTCTGAATATCCCTTACCTGGAGTAATCCTCTTATATCCACTATAATGTGGTAGACTGTGGGAGCTAGGGGAACCCACCAAACAAAGTTTTAGCAAAAAGCACACATGTCAATGGATCTATGACTGCCACACCTTTGACACCTTTGTAGCCAGGCAGGGTAGATGGAGAATTGCCAACTATGAAACTGGAGGATTTCCTATGTATGGGATATACTGTGGTATGAAAAGTTGCTCACAGGGTGTCACAGAGTACTGCTTGTTCTTAAAAAGGAAGAACTGAGGCAACTTGAGCTTTGGAATATAGAAATGTCCGTGGGTTTACATATGATTCCCAGTGAAAGTGATACCTGTGGGGTACCTAGTCTCCAAGCACTTAAAAAAGTACTTTTAGGTAGATCAAATCAGGTGCCACCATGGCACTTCTGGAAGTGGATAAGAATAGTAATCATCTGCATTTTCCCTAAAAATGACTCTGAGAGGCCTGGCATGGTGGCTCACACCTGTCACCGTCACTTCAGGAGGTCAAGGTGGGAAGATCACGTGAGGCCAAGAGCCTGAGACTAGCCTGGGCAACACAGTAAGACTGTCTCTACAAAAAATAAACTAGCCAGGTATGGTGGCACTCATAGACCCAGCTACTCAGGAGGCTGAGGCAGGAGGATCGCTTGAACCTAGGAGTTCGAGGCTGCAGTGAGCTATATCTAGCCACTGTGCTCCAGGCTAGGTGACAGAGTGAGACCCTGTCTCTAGGGGGGAAAAATAGATTAAATTCCCTGAGCTGGCTCACAGGTTCTCTGATCAAATCAGGCACGGTGACTTCTTGGCCTGTGCACTTCCTTCTTCATCATGGTTTTCTCACCAAGGGCCTTAGGACCAGCTCCCATGACTGAGCAGCCCAAACTGCAGGCCGCAACTAAACCAACTCATTTCTATTATGTGGCAAGTTAATTAATCCTCCTGCTTCAGTTTCTCTGTCTGTAAAATTGGGATAATAGCATTACCTACATCACAGAATTTGTATGAGATGAAATGAGATAGCCAGTGTCAAATGCTTTGTGAACAGTCTGACACATGGTAAGCTCTAAATAATTGTTAGCTATTATTATACAAAAGTTCTACTAAATTTTGTTTGAAATAGGGTTATCCAAATAAAGTTTGGGAACTATAATAAACTTTTGTGCATCAAAGGGTAAGAATGCTATGGAATACAAATTCTAAAACCCTTAGCCCTTCAGATAAAAAAATAAACTACAGACTCTCAGAATTATAATTTCTACTACCAGGATTTCTCCTGTGTTTTGCTTGGCATCATGGAATAATCCATGCAAAGTAGAGCCAGGATTCCTCAAGGATCTAGAACTAGAAATACCATTTGATCCAGCAATCCCATTACTGGGTATATACCCAAAGGATTATAAATCATGCTACTCTAAAGACACATGCACACATATGTTTATTGCGGCACTATTCACAATAGCAAAGACTTGGAATCAACCCACATGCCCATCAATGATAGACTGGATTAAGAAAATGTGGCACATATACACCATGGAATACTATGCAGCCATAAAAATGGATGAGCTCATGTCCTTTGCAGGGACATGGATGAAGCTGGAAACCATCATTCTCAGCAAAATATTACAAAGACAGAAAACTAAACACTGCATGTTCTCACTCATAGGTGGAAATTGAACAATGAGAACACTTTGACACAGGGAGGGGAACATCAGACACTGGGGCCTGTTGGGGAGTGGGGGGCTGGGGGAGGGATAACATTAGGAGAAATACCTAATGTAAATGACGAATTGATGGGTGCAGCAAACCAGCATGACACACGTATACCTATGTATCAAACCTACACGTTTTGCACATGTACCCTAGAACTTAAAGTATAATAAATATTTAAAAAAAGAAAAAAAAAGAGTTTCCGGGACAAGTCCTCACCCTATAGTTGTTCACATTCAAAGCTTTTTAGAGAGGCTAAATATAAAGCAGGGTGTGTCTCAAAAGAAAACACATAAGGGAATGGACTACCCTCAATTTCCTTCTCTAAACTGAGGACTTGTTTTTGAAGACTGAAAAAAGAAATTCCTCTTGCAATCTCAAATGGTAATATAATAATTTCAAAAGTTACTCAGAAGCTGTTGGTTTTTGATAGTAAAATGAAAAGTTAAAATTGTAAAATTGTAAGCATCAAAAATCAATCAGTATCTTTCTTATTTGAACCTTGATATTAAATTATATAGGTATTCATTTTACTTGTCCCTTCCTTCTTTTGCTTTAAATGCAAAAATGACAGAAAATTCTTACTCAGCTAAAGATTATTTTTATATTCCAGCTTGTCTTGTGATGCTTCTTGCACCCATATTAGGAAACAAAGTCTTGAAGTTCTTTGTAATGTTATATGTTACTTCAATTAAGTATGTACAAATGTCATTTTTTAATTTTTAAACTACAAAACAAGATAAATTTTTTGAATTGCTAGCCACTTAGACTTATTTTTACAATTTGCCTCTTTATTCAGTCATATTGTCTGTCATTTCCTTTCTTTTATATTTGGTAAAAATTTTCATAGACAAAAATTTTCCCATTATGATCTAATGATTTTTAAATTCTCCACATTCCTATAATTCTGATTAAACAATCTCAAGGCATTTTTCAATTTGAAGCTCAAATCAAGCATAATTCAGGTTCATGAACATATGGAGATAGTGATGGCTTAGAAAATTTGCCATGACCAAACTGCTGCTTTTGCTGCCTTGAAGCTCTGTGGCTATTTGCTTTGTAAATTTATCCCCACTGTGGTTTCAGATACCTTGGTGAAAACAGACTCCTAGGCATACGAGGAGGACAGGATGGTAGTGGGAATGTAGAAGGACAAAGGTTCTACTCTATTGCTCTGGTTCTACACCCTTCAATTATATTACAGGGGGTCAACACTGAGGTGGCACTTCTAATTCTCAGAACTTTGTTAAGAACATCTCTACCTTCTAATGGTCTTTTTGTTGATTCCTTTGTTTGTTTTACTAATAATTATTGTATTTTAACTATTATAGCTTTTATACCATTTAAATTGTTTTTCTGATAATTTTACCCCAATTTACGTCTGTCCTACTATGTAGGTGTCATGCTTTGATGTGCTTCCTTTTTTCATATAATATACTTTTTAATTGAAGATAAAATATATACAGAAAAGTGCAGGAAACATTAATGTACAAACTTTTACAAATTGAACTCACCCTATAACAATGCAGATTAAGAAACTGAATCTCAACAGCACTCCCGAAGGCCCCCCTCATACCAGCTTCTAGTCACTAGCCCCTTTCTCTTCAAAGGTAATCACCTATTCTAACTTTTAGCACCACAGGTGCCCTGCTCTGTCCAGGTCTGAGAGTTAACAAAGGCTAAAGTCACCTTCAGGAGTATGGCCATCCTTGGTGGATTGACACCTATGGCTGTGCTCCATTGCATCTGTTCCCATGCCAAATCTGGGCTCTTCACAGGCTGGAGTGCTGTCTGTTTCAACTCTCTGGGTGGTTCTCTCTGCCAGCTCAGATGTCCATGGGGGTGTGGGGTCTCCTGCAGCTTAGGATTCTGGAGGTTGATGGAGAGAGTGGGCCACTCCATGTCTACTTCACTCGCTCCTTCCCTAGGGACTGCTCAGGGCCAAGAACAAGTCCTGAGGCTCAGCAACCCCATGCAGGGTTCCCAACTTCCTTCCCTTTCTTTTTCAAGTTTTTTTGTTTTGTTTTGTTTTATTTTTTCCTGAGACGGAGTTTCACTCTTGTTGCCCAGGCTGGAGTGCAATGGTACGATCTTGGCTCATTGCAACCTCCGTCTCCTGGGTTCAAGCAATTCTCCTGCTTCAGCCTCCTGAATAGACGGATTACAGACATGCCCCACTAATCCTCCCTCCCCTTTCACTCTGCAGTCTGCGTCCTCTTTCTGTTCACTCTCAATGCCCTCTTTCCAAATAGTGTGCCAGTTTACTTGATGGTCTTGTTGGGAGACCAAAATGGGCTCTCTTCGTGGGAGAAGCTTTTCTTGGCTGTGTCTAGTCAGCCGTCTTGGCTCTTACCCCTTTCTTGTCTTCTTAAAGTCTACTTTGTCAGATATTTATACAGCTACATGTTTGTTTTGTATTGTAACTATTATATTAATACATATTTTAATTATTTTACTATACATATTTTAATTATTATAGCTTTTATACCATTTTGGTTGTTTCTGTGGGATATATTTTTCTGTAATTTTATTTTTAAACTTTCTATATCATTATACTTAAAGTCATCTCCTCTAAGCAGCATATAGTTTAGGCTTTGCTTTTGTATACAATCTGGTAATCTTTGTCTTTATTTGCACATTGGGTCCGTTTACGTCTAATGTAATCACTGATATATTTGGTTTTAAATCTACCACTTATGTTTTGTTTTCTATTTGTTTCATCTGTTCTATGGTGTTCCTTTTCTCTCCTTTCTGGATTTCTTTAAAAAATTTTGTTTTGCTCTTACATTTGCTTGTTAATTATATAGTATTTTACTATTCTTTTACTGTTTAACCTAGAATATATAACAGGAATCCTTAACTTATTAAAATCTAATATAAATTAGTACTTATGTTTACTATTTCAAGATAATGCAAGCACTTTTATTTCCATTTATCTTTCTCCTGCCTTATATGTTAACATTTCATTATATATTTTAAACCCTTAATTCTCTCTGTATTTTAAGCAATACATTGTTTTATACAGTTATTGTTTATTTAGCTCTATCTACATATTTATTTACCCTTTTCATTACTCTTTATTCTTTCCTGAATTTTCACCTGGAATTATTTTCCTTCTAACTGAATAATTCCTTTTAGTATTTTCTTTAGTATGGGTAAGCTGATGACAAATTCTCTTAGTTCTTGTTTGGTAATTTCTTTATTTAACATTCCCTTTTGAAGGATATTTTTACAATGTATAAAATTCTAGGTTTGAATCCAAGTATACATTAATAGATAAATAGTTTAAAAATGTTATTTATGTATATACAATAGAATGTCGTTCACCCTTTAAACAGAAGAAAATTGACACATGTTGCAACATAGATGAATTTTGAGGACGTTGTGCTAAGTGAAATATACCAGTCACAAAAAGACAAATAGTACATGATTACACTTACATGAGATATCTAAGGCAGTCAAATACATAGAAACAGAAAGTAGAATGGTGATTGCCAGATCACTGGGGGGAGGAGAAAGAAGAAAAGGGGTTGTTTAATTATATGTACTGAATGTTATGTTCACCCCAAATCCATGTTAACACCCTAATTCCCATTGTGCTGGTAGTTGGAAGTGGGACCTTTGGGAGGTAGTTAGGTCACAAAGGTAGAGCTCTCATGAGTAGTACCAGTGTGCCCTTTATAAGAGGAGACATAAGAAAGATGATTTCTCTCTCACCACCATGTGAGGATGCAGCAAGAAGGCAGCTATTTGCAAACCAAGAGGACTCACACCAGACACCAAATCTGCTGGCACTCTAATCTTGGTCTTCTTAACCTCCAGAACTGTGAGAAATACATGTTTGTAGTTTAAGCCACCCAGTCTATGATATCTTGCTATTGCAGCCTGAATTAAAACAAATAGGGGTAGAGTTTCTGTTTTGCAACACAAACAATTTCTAGAGATTGGTTACACAATAATGTAAATATATTTAATACTGCCTAACTATACTCTTAAAATGGTTTAAATGGTAAATTTTATGTTATGTGTATCTTCTCACAACTTTTTTTTAAAGTCTAGATTTGCAGTTGTTTCTGTACCACTTTAAACATTATTTTTTTTTGTCTTTTGGTTTCCATTGTTTCTGTTGAGAAGTTAGCTGTCAGTCCTAAAATTGCTCCTTTGTAGGTAATACATCTTTTGTTTCGCACTGCTTTTATGTTGTTCTCTTTGTCTTTAGTTTTCAGTAGTTTATTATATACATAGGGTATTTTTTTCTAGTTCTGTAGGTGATGTGTGATACTTCTGAAATCTGAAATTTGATGTCTTCAGTTTTAGAAGATTTCCTGCCATTGTCTCTTCAAATATTGCTTTTTCTCTTTCATTTCTACAGACTATCTTTTTACTTTCTGTTTTTTAGTTCATATATTTTTATTGAGGGACAATTCTCCATGACATTTCTATATATTTTGTAGATCTTTTCAAGGATGTTTGTATAGCAAACCAAGATAGAAGTAGTGTTTCCTTCTAGGGTGGAGGGTAACTTTGTTTCATCAGCATCATAAAGATAATGTTCTCCTCTGAGGCAAAGATTGGTCAGGTTTGCTAGAAGTCCCGCATAAGATTGGGGATTTCCTAAGCCTGAGATTCCTCAGCAGTGACACAGATCTATTATGTCCACAGACTCTACTTAGACTCACCTCTGTATCACTCCCATGGGATTGGAGATGGGGAGTGGGTTACAGGGGAACTAAAGCCTTGAGTAGTATCTTTGTCTCTGACACAGCAGTCTGATGCTTTCTTTCAGCATCGGTGAAATTGTGACAGCCTAACTTAGCTTGCAAGTAGGCTAAAATCTCAGAACCCTCAGAGTCCATGACAATTTTCTACTGAGGTATATTTTAGTTCACTAATGCTCTCTTTATTGTTGTGTCTAATCCACTGTTAAATATATTGAGATTTTAATTTCTCTTACTGTATTTTTTTAGTTCTAGAATATCCATTTGATTCTTTTGTGTAGCTTCTAGTTCTCTGTTAGGATTCTGAATCTAATTCTCGATTTTTTAAAAAACATAACTTTCACAGGTATTTTTAAGCCCCAGTTTGTTAACTCCAGTGTCTGGATTGCCTGTGAATTTATTTATGTTGTTTGATTTTTTTCTGATGGGCTTATCTCTACATTTGCCTTATAATTTTTGATTGAATGTTGGAATAGTGTTTGAAAAATTATAGAAATAATTTGAGGATGTGAATGATGTTATCTTCTTTCAGAAATAATTTACTTCTGTTTCTGTAAGGCAGTTAGGCAGTAGCATATCACTCCAATCCAATCAGGAGCTGGAGTGACTTGAGGCATGGTTTTAGTCTTTATGAGAGCTGGTCTATTTTTCACTTTGCACATCTTCCTGATTGTAGTTTTTCAGGAGTCCCAGCCAGAAGCCTTGGGTTTTTATCAAGGCTAGTATTCCTTGGAAATCCCAGGACTCCAATTTCTATCTTCCCCAACTCCATGAATCTGCTGTAAGGTGTGCTCACTTTTCAGCCTTCCAGGCTGCAGTTTAGGCTAGAAGCAGACTACTGCAATCCGAATAGGGATAGATGTTATTTAAGACTAGGTTTCAGCCTTCGTGACGACAAAGACTGTATATAGCTTTTGAGGGGTCCAAAATGAAAGCTCAGGGTATTAAGGAGGACTCATCTTGCTAGGCTTTGAAAGATTGACAAAATTCTTCCAGTTTATCTAAGACTTTCCCAATTGTAGTACTAAAAGCCTCAAATCCTGAGAAACCCCTCAGTCCCATGAAAACTGGACAGTCATCCTAGTTTTGAACTCCAATTTTTTAAATCTCAATCTTTATTTCAGAAGGCTAAAAACTCCAATTAGCTTTTCAGTTTTTTGACTGGTCATTGTGAATCAGCAAATATCTAACGTGTTGAAAGGATGCCATGTCCCCATATAAACCAAGCTCATTTCCATTGTTCGGCCTTTAAACTTGCTTTTCCTTTGTCTGACATGGTCTTCTACTAGATTTTCTTGCAACTGTCATTATTCATGGCTCAGCTCAAGCATCATCTCTTAAGAACAACTTATGTAAAGCAGCCCCATTCTCAGTGTACTTTCTATCCCAATGCTCCATTATATGTTCTTCATAACTCCTCACTATCTTGAATTACTCACTTGTTAGATTACATTTTTATTACCTGTCTTACCCTCATCTAAGTATATATTCTGGGAAATAAACTCCATAAGAGCAAGTACCTTGTTTATCTTGTTTATTTCCATATACACAGCATCTAGAACAGTCCTAGAACTTAATAGGGGCTCAATAAATACTTACTGAATAAATAAATAAATGTCTTCTGCTGATTCGTATTTTCCAAAATTTCTCAAAACCTTAAGGCTGCCTAAATGCAAGTTGCACCACAGTTAATAATTCCTTACCTATTTGAGTCCTCTCTCAAGTAGATTGAAATTGAGTTGTTTTATAGGGCTCGTTTTCCCAATTGTTTTTGCAGTTAACCAATGCTATGGTTGAATGTCCCTTCCAAAACCCATGTTGAAATTTCATTGCCATATGATAGTATAAAAGGTAAAACCTTTAAGAGGGGATTAAAGGTAATCCATTATCACCCCTGTGATTAATACTATTATTACAGGCATGGATTAGTTATCATAGGAAGTGAGTTCCTGATAAAAAGGAGTTCTGCCCAATTTCTCTCTTGTGCAAGTGCTTCTCATTGTGTGATGCCTTCTGCCATGTTATGATGGCAGAAAGAAGACCCTCACCAGATGCAGCCCCTCAACCTTGGACTTCCCAGCCTCCAGACCTTTTCTGTATAAGTTACCCAGTCTGCAGTACTCTGTTATAGAGAGAAAATGTGCTAAGACAACCAAAGATCACACTGCAAGACCTAGAAGTTTAACTTAGAATAATTTAAATTCTCTGAGAAATTCACAGCTTAACAGCCCATGAACATCTTCATATGTCCTTCAGAAAGTCATGCAGGAGTGGCTTTATATTAATGATCAATCTGTCAAAGCAAAATGCAAATGATGATGAGTCACTTTGTCAAGTGGGTGTACTAGTGCTGTGGACTATTGAGCTCAAAGGAAGAGGTCGTGCACTAGGGAACTCACACTGTGACAAAGATTGTCATTAGTGTTATTACTCTAAGACCTCTTATCAGCCAATAAGGCTCAAAAGGAAAAATAAAGAAAACCAGAACTGGGGGCTGACATTGGGAAAATAATTATGCTGCTATTGTGATATTGCTTATGAAGTACACCCTCAAAAATAAATGACAAAATGCCTAAAATACAATTTCCTTGGGATACATTACTCAGTAAGATGAAGAGTATCTTATCCATGGAGCAGTGGTATGAGGATCTGATGATGGGCAAAACATTTTTATTGCATGCTTACAGAAGCCAGGTTAAGAAAGTAAGATGTATAAATATAATTAAACATCATACTCATAGCTACCATTTGTTGGGAGAACCAGCATCCTTGGCACCATCTTCAAAACCATTCTTCCTCTCCTGCAAACCTTGTTGCTTCTAAAATCAAACATATCCACAACATGACCATATCCCACCACCTCACTGTTGTATCCTGTTCAAAAGTGTTATCACTTCTTGCCCAAATTATTGTAGTAAACTTTAACTGATATAATCCGTTTCTAAATTGCTTGAACACCTAATGATGGCTCAGCAAAAACTAACATTTTAAAATGTATTCATGAATAGTAAGGTACACCAAACTGAAACAGCTGTTTTTCTAAGCCTTTGCAAAGAAGGGGGAAAGCTATTGGGTGTGGAGGTGGGACAGAGGAAAACTATAGCCAGAGGGCCAAATCTCACCTGTTTCCTATCTTTGTAAATAAAATTGTATTGGAGCACAACCATACCTATTTATTTATGTGCTATGGCTGTTTGTACTACAATGGCAGGGTTGAGTAGTCCAAACAGAGATGTATGACCATCAAAGCTTATCATATTTACTATTTGACCTTTAAAGAAAGAAACTTGTCAGTTCCTGAACTTAGGATATAGCTCATGTTCTTGTAGAACCATTAGAATAGATCATACTATGTTTATTTTCCTTAAGTGTAGCTAGGAAGTATCTGTATACATTATTCTTAAACTTCCAGAATATTTCTGTAAAGAAATTTCGTCAAAAGTCAAACCTAAACAAAGCTGCCTTCCTGACACAACCTTAGTGTTTCCAAGAAGTATGTAGCTCAGTTCCACTCATCTAAAAACTAATGTTCTGTCCATCGAAGGAATTAAAGTCTTCAGTCCACCACCATTTAAAATTAGTGCTCTGGCCAAACCGCCACAAATGCTCTATGTGACTCCATTTTCTATTGTGTTTCCTTGTCAGATTTGATTCTTTATTTCACTGAAATGGACCAATTTTTGGAAGAACATTATTCCATTCTGAAAACTTCCTATAAGGCATGCGTTTATTACATGGCATGAGGTGCTTGAATTAATGCACTACCTATATTCTCAAGGCTTTGAATACCATATGTCAAGTATATATTCTTATAGATTTGAACTTAAAGCATTCCTTCTGCTCACTTGACATTTCCCTGCATCTTCTATCTGTCCAAAACTAAACTCTCAATCTAACCCCTTCCCCTGCCCAGACCTGCTTACTTCAGCCATCTCCATCTAGTTACAGCAGCTCCATCCTTCTTGTCACTTAGGCTAAACAACTTGAGTTCGTCCTTAGTTTGGATATACAATGTGTGGGAGAGAAGTCTAACAGACAGTCTGTGATGGTTAAAACTGAGTGTCAACTTGACTGGATTGAAGGATGTATAGGTGTGTCTGTGAGGGTGTTGCCAAAGGAGATTAACATTTGAGTCAGTGGGCTGGGGAAGGCAGACCCACCCTTAATCTGGTAGGCACAATCTAATCAGCTGCCAGCAAAAATAAAGCAGGCAGAAAAACGTGAAAAGGCGAGACTGGCCTAGCCTCCCAGCCTACATCTTTCTCCTGTGCTGGATGCTTCCTGCCCTGAAACATCAGACTCCATGTTCTTCAGTTTTGAGACTTGGACTAGCTCTCCTTGCCCCTCAAGCTTACAGACAGCCTATTGTGGGACCTTGTGATTTATGAACTCATATATACATATATATACACACACAGACATGTATACACACATGTACACACATATATGTATATATACACATATATATGTATACACATATGTATATGTGTATACACATATATGTATATATACACATATTTATATATGTATACACATGTATGTATATACACACATTTATATATACATAGATACACGTGTGTGTATACACGTATACACAAATATACGTGTATACGTGTATACACATACATATGTGTAAACACGTACACATATACACACACATACATGTATATACACATACACATACACACATACATGCATATACACATAAATACATGTATATACATACACATGTATACACACATACATGTATATACATACACACATGTATATACACATACATGCATACACATACACACATGTATATACACATACATGTATATACATACATACATGTATATACATAGATATCTACACGTATGCATGTATATGTGTATGTGCACATGCATACATACATGTATACGTGTATACCTATGTATATATACATGTATACACACGAGCACATACATATATACATGTATATATACATGTATGCATGCATGCGCATATACATGTACACATGCATGCACACACATGTGCACATACACATATACATATGCATACATGTAAGTGTATATACACGCATGCATACATGTAAGCACATGCATACATGTATGCGTGTACACATGTATACATGCGTGCACACATGCATGCATGTATGCATATATACATGTATACATGTGTGTATATACACATATACATGAATACTTGTGTATATATACATGTATGTGTGTGTATATACATACATATATGCATGTATACATGTGTACATATACATACATATATGCATGTATACATTTGTATTATACATACATATATACTGTATAAGTGTATATATACATATATAGACGTATACATACATATATGGGGAATTCCCTATGATCAGTTGACAGAGGAAGAGAAGACTAGGGCCTGGTTCACTGATGGTTCTGCACAATATGCAGGCACCACCCAAAAGTGGACAGCTGCAGCATGACAGCCCCTTTCTAGGGCATCTCTGAAGGACAGCAGTGAAGAGAAATCTTTCCAGTGGGCAGAACTTCAAACAGTGCATCTGGTTGTACACTTTGCATGGAAGGAGAAATGGCCAGATGTGCGATTATATATTGATTCGTGGGCTGTAGCCAATGGTTTGGCTGGATGGTCATGGACTTGGAAGAAGTATGATTGGAAAATTGGTGACAAAGAAATTTGGGGAAGAGGTATGTTGATGGACCTCTCTGAGTAGTCAAAAACTGTGAAGATATTTGTATCGCATGTGAGTGCTCACCAACAGGTGACCTTGGCAGAGGAGGATTTTAATAATCAAGTGGAGAGGATGACCTGTTCTATGGACACCACTCAGCCTCTTTCCCCAGCCACCCCTGTCATTGCCGAACAGGCCCATGAACAAAGTGGTAATGGTGGCAGGGATGGAGGTTGTGCATGGGCTCAGCAACATGGACTTCCACTCACCAAGGACGACCTGGCTATGGCCACTGCTGAGTGCCCAATTTGCCAGCAGCAGAAAGCAACACTGAGCCCTCGATATGACACCATTCCTTGGGGTGATCAGCCAGTGTCCTGGTGGCAGGTTGATTATATTGGAACTCTTCCATCATGGAAAGGGCAGAGGTTTGTCCTCATTGGAATAGACACTTACTCTGAATATGGGTTTCCCTATCCTGCCTGCAGTGCTTCTGGCAAGACTACCATCCGTGGACTCACAGAATGCCTTATCTACCATCATGGTATTCCACACGGCATTGCCTCTGACCAAGGCACTCACTTTATGGCTAAATAAGTGAAGCAGTGAGCTCATGCTCATGGAATTCACTGGTCCTACCATGTTCCCTATCACTCTGAAGCAGCTGGATTAATAGAATGGTTGAATGGCCTTTTGAAGTCACAATTAAAATGCCAACTAGGTGACAATACTTTGCAGGGCTGGGACAAAGTTCTCCAGAAGGCTGTGTATGCTCTGAATCAGAGTCCAATATATCATACTGTTTCTCCCATAGCCAGGATTTATGGGTCCGGGAATCACGGGGTGAAAGTGGAAGTGGCACCACTCACCATCATGCCTAGTGATCCACTAGCAAAATTTTTGCTTCCTGTACCCGCGACATTACGTTCTGCTGGCCTAGAGGTCTTAGTTCCAGAGGAAGGAACACTGCCACCAGGAGGCACAACAACAATTCCATTAAACTGGAAGTTAAGATAGCCACCTTGGGATCCTCCTACCTTTATGTCAACAGGCTAAGAGGAGAGTTACAGTGTTTGCTGAGGTGACTGACCCAGACTATCAAGATGAAATCAGTCTACTACTTCATAATGAAGGTAAGGAGCAGTATGTATGGAATACAGAAGATCCATCAGGCTGTCTCATAGTATTACCATGCCCTGTGATTAAGGTCAATGGGAAACTACAACAGCCCAAGCCAGGCAGGACTACAAATGGTCCAGACTCCTCAGAAATGAAGATTTGGTTCACTCCACCAGGAAAAAATCTGCTACCTGCTGAGGTGCTTTCTAAAGGCAAAGGGAATACAGAATGGGTAGTAGAAGAAGGTAGTCATCAATACCAGCTGGGACCACGTGACCAGCTGCAGAAACAAGGATGGTAACTGTCATGAGTATTTTCTCCTTTAGTTAATAACATATTTGTGCATTATACACTTCTACTAATAAAATATCTTCATTTCCTTTTCCTTTATCATGTGACATGAGATTTATTGACTTCCTATCAGCATTTAAGTATTGTTAACTTTATGTAATAGTATTTGGGTTGGGTGTTGGTGTGTTTCCAGTTGTATGAAGGATGGTTGTATTATGTTAGTGTAGTTATGACCTCATTATTGTCTTTCTTTGAGATTGTGTATGATCTCAGGAGATGTGTATGGGTTCAAGTTAACAAGGGGTGGACTTGTGATGGTTAATACTTAGTGTCAACTTGATTGGATTGAAGGATGCAAAGTATTGATCCTAGGCGTGTCTGTGAGGATGTTGCAAAAGGAGATTAACATTTGAGTCAGTGGGCTGGAGAAGGCAGATCCACCCTTAATCTGGTGGGCACAATCTATTCAGCTGCCAATGAATATAAAGCAGGCAGAAAAACGTGAAAAGGTGAGACTGGCCTAGCACCCCCAGCCTACATCTTTCTCCCGTGCTGGATGCTTCCTGCCCTCAAACATTGGACTCCAAGTTCTTCAGTTTTGGGACTAGGATTGGCTCTCCTTGCTCCTCAAGCTTGCAGATGGCCTATTGTGGGACCTTGTGATTTATTAAGACTTAATAAACTCATATATATATTTATATATAAAAAAATATATATTTATATATAAAAAATATATATATATTTATATATAAAAATATATAAATATATATATTTATATATGTGTAAAAATATATAAATATATTTATATATAAATATATATTTATATCTATTTATTTATATATAAAATTATATATTTATTTATATATTATATATTTATATAAATTTTATATAAAATATATTTACATATATAAATATATTTATAAAATATATTATATATAAAATATATTATATATAATATATATTTATATATTATATATAAATACATATGTAAATATAAATATATATATTTATAAATATATATATAAATATATGTAGGATCTCAAGAGATGTCTGTGGGTTCAAGTTGACAAGGGGTGGACTTGTGATGGTTAATACTGAGTGTCAACTTGATTGGATTGAAGGATGCAAAGTATTGATGCAAAGTATTGATCCGATATATATATATATATATATATATATATATATATATATATATATATATATCCTATTAGTTCAGTCCCTCTAGGGAACCCTAATACACGGTCTTATCACCTTCTAAATAGATTCAGAACCTTCTTACTTCAAACTGTCTCCACAGCCACGCCCCTAGCTCAAGCCACTATTGTCTCCACCTGGATGATTGCAGAAGCCTCCCTGCTGGTTTCCCTGCTCCTGTCCCTTACAATCTGTTCTGAACAGAGCAGCCAGAGTGATCCCATCAAAACTTAAGTCTGATCATATCCATTCCTCTGCTCAAAACCCTCTGATGGCATCCTGACTTGCTCAGGATAAAATTGGAAGTTTCTACGGTGATCTACAGGGTCTAGGTACCTATGACCTCTCTGGCTTCATTTCCTTATTATCTCCCTTGCTTATTCTGAGTAGTTACATAGGCCTCTTTATTATTCTTGGAACATGATAGACAAACCCCTCCTTTGCACTTGCTCTTCCCTTTGTCTGGAACTGGCTTTCTCCCAGGTAATCCACACAGCTTCCTCCCTCACTTACTTAAAGTCTTTGCTCAAATTCACTCCATCAAAAAAGCCTTTGCTGAACACTCTGTAAGTCAGCATCCCTGCCTAGAATATCCTTATCCTTTATTCTAGCAGCTATCACCATCATTTCATTTTCAGGGTCTCAGAACAGAGACTTTGCTTTGTTCACTACTGTAAGCCCAGTACCTAGTATAGTGCTTAATCTAGGAGATTTTTTTTTTTTTTTTTTTTTTTTTTTTGAGATGGAGTCTTGCCCTGTCACCCAGGCTGGAGTGCAGTGAGTGGTGTGATCTCAGCTCACTGCAAACTCCGCCTCCCGGGTCCAAGCAATTTTCTTCCTCAGCCTCCCAAGTAGCTGGGATTACAGGTGCCTGCCACCAGGCATGGCTAATTTTTGTATTTTTAGTAGAGACAGGGTTTCACCATCTTGGCCAGGCTGGTCTTGAACTCCTGACCCTTGTGATCCACTCACTTTGGCCTCCCAAAGTGCTGGGATTACAGGTGTGAATGCCCGGCCAGTACCTAGGAGATTCTTAATACATATTTCCTGAATGAATGAATGGGCACTTAACTATGTTCCAGGCTCTGTGTTAAATTCCTTACATACATTTTCTCATTGAACCCTCAGAACAAAAAAATTGGCCTGTGTTGTTACATACTTTTAATGCTGAGGAGTAACTCTCTCCAAGTCACACAGACTGGAAGTACATCAAGATATGCTGGCTCTGAATCACTAAGCTTTATCACCATCTCTCCTACTTCTTATGAGAAGCTTATAAGGAACTTACAAAAAGATGACTAATGTTAGAGGGGCAGAAATAAGTTTCCTGACCTTTAGCTGTTCTTTCACAGTGAGGGAGGAAAAGGGAGGTGCCTAAATTGGCCAAGGGGTTGAAGCTTAAAGGAGGGGTTTCTTTAGAGAGATTTGGTGCCTGCCTTAGTAGGGATAAAGAAAATTTCCCTCAAGGTTAATGTGAGAGTTTAATAAAAGGAGTGTTTACAAAACTGTAGGAAGAGTGGAGGGAAACCATAAAGCATGCTTCTGTACCCTGGAACTCATATAAGCTGAGTGCTCCTAGGACTGGAAGAGTCACCGGGGTGGAGAATGGAGCTGGACAGGTGACGGCAAGATATCCAGCAGAGCAAAGGAAGGAGGGACCTTGGGTTTCCCAAGTATCCACACAGATTCAATTTGCCATGCCACATAAGATCTTGTGGTGGACACTCTTGCTGCAAGTATTGGTGACTCTCCTAAGGGGTTTTTCTGGCCTCAGGAGGAAGCCTGGGCATTTGCACAGCAGATTGAAAGTGCCACGTGAATGAACACCCCAGGAGGCATCCTCACAAATGACAAACATAAGTTGGTAGACAGTTATCCAAACTTCCTCTCTTTTTGAGTAGGACCGCACTGTAGCTGGTTCATGACCATCTCCCAGAGCCTCCTGGCAGGATTGAGTTCCAGTTGCCTCCAGCAGTAATTTGCTTACCAACACACAACATGGCTTCTTTCCCTTTCCTGTTTCACTCCATCCCTCTCTCACTAGGTGTTTCTTGGGATCACCCCCCAAACAAATGGCTCTCAAATCTTAGTCTTAAGGCAAGGTGCATGGCTCATGCTTGTAATCCCAGCACTTTGGGAGGCCAAAGTGGGCAGATCACTTGAGGTCAGGAGTTTGAGACCAGCCTGGCCAACATAGTGAAACCCCATCTCTACTAAAAGTACACAAATTAGCCGGGTGTGGTGGCATGCACCTGTAATCCCAGCTACTTGGGAGGCTGAGGCAGGAGAATCCCTTGAACCTGGGAGGCAGAGGTTGCAGTGAGCTGAGATTACGCCACTGCACTCCAGCCTAGGAGACAGAGTGAGACTCTGTCTCAAAAACAACAACAACAGCAAAAAACCAAAATAAACAACCTTAGTCTTAGGATCCACTTTTGGAGAACTCAACCTAACAGAGAACTTGACAAAAACCTATGACAAACTGGAGTTTAGGAATAGTAAACATTCAAACAGATTTTCAAGTTAGGCCACTGGTATAATTTTGGAGGCTACAGGGCAAATTTTCCTATTGATCTGCAAAAAGCAATGGAAACCATAGGCTTTATGTCCTTGGATTCTTTGAGTGATATTGGGAGGCAGAAGAAGGAGGGTAAGAAATGGTTATTAATCCCGGGTTTGCCAAATACATTGTCAGGCTGGGCAACTTGCAAATGGTCTTGCCTGTTGTCTGGGAGGAGTGACTGAACAGCGTTCTCCCAGGCTGTCTGTGTTCTCAGTCAACTGAGTGAGGCTAAGACACGAGAAATGAAGAGCTCCAACTTTGTTTGGGTGGAATTCAGTCATTCATCCATTCAATGAATATGGACTAAACATGACAAAATGCCATGTAAGATGCTAATTATTATGCAAGTTACATTCACTAACACCACCTTAGAAAATAAACTCATGAGAATAATTAAGTTCAAATACAATAGACTAGAAAATAATCAAATTTAACCATTTATTTTCTAGGATGTTTTCTACAAGATATTATTTAGGCAAACTTTTGACTGCTAAGGCCATTCTACACATTGTAAATGAAAACAATTTTATTGTTATAGATGTTATAAATATACATACTTAAGAAGTTAAATTTTCTCTTTACTAAAATTCTATTAGTCTGTAAAACCATTTTGTAAGGACCAAAAATATATTTATATATCACAATTTTAGTTCCACTTCATCAAATTCCTATTCATCTGTATAAGTAACATATCTTTTTTCATCTTAATATTTTATCCTCTGGTTAAAAAAACAAACAAACCAAACTTTTCAGCTTAGCTCTTTAAATTACAAACCATCTTTCTTTTTTAACTATAGCATATATGGTTCAGTAAACTCATATTGTACCTCTCTTAGTAGGTAAACTTTATGTACAGACTGTTTCTAAAATATATTTTACCATTTCTTAAGTTTCCATTTGTAAGTGTAAGGTGTTTGCCTAATTTGAAGAAATTAGCTTTTCTCTCCAAAATTTATTATCTGAGCTCCCTATAATTTTTCAACATAACATCTTTTATTTTAGACATACATTTAAAGCACAGATTTCATCATAATTACAGAATTAAAACAACCTTTAAATATATAGACATGCTTTTTTTCTCCTCATAGAAAGTCCACTTCTATGGTATTAACTTTTTTATATTTAGTATCATGAGGTGAACTATTGAATTTCATGTTAGATTTTCACTGGGCTGACTGATACCAAAGCTATTGTAGTTTATATCTTGAATCTCATTGTTTTACATATACACTATATGTAAATATGTCTTTTATACACACATACACATATACAGACACGCAATGTGTTTAACTTCATTTTCAATTGTTTCTTTTTATCTCTCTGATGTTCATTCTTCGGAAGTCCTCTCTTTCCTTATCTTGTAGGTATGCTTTATTTATGAGTTTGTCTCAGGGGTAGGTATGCTTTATTTACGAGTTTGACTGTTTTGGTTAGCATTTGTAGTGCTGATGTGTAATGTGTTATGTTAATCTACTTAGGTAAAAATTGTGTCACGTCCTTCCTGGGAAAGTCAATTGGAGCTCAGTGGAGAAGATGCGGGAATGTGTGAGAGGTGGCAGCGGCCTACATGCTCATTCTCCTTCTGAAATGTAATTTACTCTGGTTTTGGGTAAGTTACATCAGCTTTTCTTGAAAATACAAAGCTGCTTGATCATAGTTGAGGGCAAATAACTGAGTGGAATTTGTAGTTTTGCCACTGGAATTAACCTTGGGCAGGCAACAGAAGCACATCTCTCCACTTTGTTTTGGCAGCGTGAGGAATGAGAATAATAATGCTGCCTACTTTACGAGGAGAGGCTTAATGCATTGTACTTCTGTAGAACATTGTGAGATCCTGCCGCAAGGGGTGCTGGGAGGGCCTGGATGCTATAGAAATCTAAATGCCATTATTCTTGGTATTTCAAAGCTGTTCTCTCAGGGTTATAGCAGTCTCTCACCAGTGGGCTATTGAATTATTGTTATGAATAAGAACTGGAATCTAGTTAGAAGAAACTGGAAATCTTAAGTTTTTATTGTTGCCCCAGATCTGAGCTTTTTGTATACATATGTGATTCTCTAAATTAATTAGCTTAGTTGTTCCACATAAAAACAAAAACAGACTGGAAATGATTTCTGCTGCATCTCTAACAAAACAGGATATCAGCACCCAGACATCCAGAATGCAGACAAGGCCAGCAGGAGAGGGAAGAGGATGATGATGGCAAGATGGACATCCAGCCCCATTCTGGGAGATTTCATTATGGATGTGGGTTGTAACAGGAACAGTAGTATATGATGAATGTCAGTCATAAATCAGGCTGTTTGAAGATTGTCACTGTTGGCCTGGAGAGTCAGATTATTCTCATTGGGACTCCTGGAAAGTCTTTCTGTACTTCTGTATCTACTGCTGATCAAATTAGAAGGAAGTAGTACAACGGATGTATAAATATAATTCAGCCTCCCACCTCTACCTCCAAACGGTTATTTGCTCTGCAGGAGCCTCTTCTCCGCTTTCCCTACTGCCAGCCTTTCTCAGGTTCTTCCATCCGCCATGCTACTGCCAGAACATTTTTCTCCTGGGAACAAAATCGGAATTTCTCTCTCTCTCTTGCTTGAAAACCTCTCAATTCCCAGATGTTGCCCACAAGACTCATTCCAAATTCCTCTGGCAGGAATATAAGGCCAGTTACAATTTGGCCTCAAGCTGACTCATTCCTTTTATTCCTGGCCACTGTAATCCTATGCTTTAAATTCCAGCTTCAGTAAATTTTTTAGCACTTCTTTAAACAACAGGGCCCTTTGGTCTGCCTTTACCCAAACTGTTCCCTTCACCTGAAAACTCTGTCTGCCCGAAGCCACCTTGTGGACACTCATCCTTCTGCATTCTGCTCAAAGGCTGTGTACCCTTCCTTGGAACCTCTCTCTCTCTGGTCTCCCCAGCCCTGAGTACATCCCCTCTCTACCAACCATAGAGTTAAAGTTACCTCTGGTTTTGTGAGGGTAAGGACTATGCTTTTCACTTTTTTTTTTTTTTGAGGCACATTCTCGCTTTGCCACCCAGGCTGTAGTATAGTGGCATGATTACAGCTTACTGTAGCCTCAATCTCCCAGTCTCAAGCAATCTTCCCACCTCAACCTCCTGAGTAGTTGGGACTATAGGCACATGCCACCACGCTTGGCCAATTTTTGTATTTTTTATAGAGATGGGCTTTTGCCATATTGCCCAGGCTGGATTCAAACTCCTGGGCTCAAGTGATCCTCCTGCCTGGGCCTCCCAGTGTGCTGGGATTATAGGTGTGAGCCACTGTGCCCAGCGCTTTTCACCATCTTACCCCCACCTCTTAATCCTAGAGATTGGCATTTGTATTTCTGAATGAGTGGACTATATCTCAGGTTTTCCTTTTATAGGCATACTGTAAAGCGGCATTCTAAAGCCTTATGGGAGATGTACCTTCTAAAACTGAGCTTGAGCATATTTTTGTCTTAGGTGATGAGATTAGTGGAGATGCTGGGCTCTCGTGTAGTCCTGCCACACACAGACAGGGTCCCAGTGGACTCATGTCTTGTCTCACTGAATCTCATGCAAGGCAGGGCTACGTTAAGGCAAGGCTCTGATCAGGAGATGCTTAACCAGTGTCGTCACAGGGTGCTAGAGGTGGAAGGGCCTCATAGAGGTCACCAGTCTCACCTTAGTTTACTAGAAAAAGAGACCGAAGCTAAAAAAGATTGGGCAATGCTCAAGGAAACACAACAAGCTATTATCATAACTGAAATTTGCACCTGAGTGCCCCCACACTCCAGTGGCAGTCCATTGCTCTTTATGTCCAGCCCTGCCTCTGCTGTGGTATTTTCTCAGCCACTCAGCAACCACAGGGGGGCAGGCAGAGGCCAACAAGCTAAGACTCTCTTACTCCAAATGGGAACAAGTGGATATGGAAACCTGACCATGGTATTTTTTTCTAAACTGTGGCTCTGTCACAGCAGGCTGACACCTCTTCCTCTTCTCCTTTTGGTTAGCTGCTCTGACCTACTTAGACCAAAGGAATCTGAGTCTTTCCTTTGTCCCTACTCTTCTGTCTACCCCTGGGGTCTTACATATGCTTTCTCTAGTTTGGTTTTGCCTCTTCTCCATCTCACTACTCCTTGCTGCCTTAGCATTTGGGTATCTCAGGAACAAGGATTTAATATGTGTGTGTATGTGCACGTGTGTGTATATATGTGTATTTCCTAATGCTTATTCAGGAAAGGTCATTACATTAAAGGTTTAAGGAGGCAAAGTACAAAGGAAATCCAATAATCTATAATAAACATCCTGTGTAACTTTCACATTGGATATTCATGTATGCATTTGTATATGTATAGAAATTTTGAATACGGGTATTTATGCCAACAAATGGGTAAATGAGGTATGAAGTAAGATTGGGAGTGGAGGGAGATGTTGAACTGGAAGATACCTAACAATGTTTTCAGGAAAAAATTTTGTGATTCTTTTAAGTGATGGAATCCAGCAGGAAAAAACCTAAAAGTTTTCACTAGAGCTGTTTGATGGTTTTTCTTTTGGTTAAAATGGAAATAAAAACTAGGCCAAACACTTTTTTTGTGGGAGTGGGGTGGTACTTGAGCTTGGGGTGTTTATCAGTTTTATTCATCGCAGTGACAGGTTCCCTCTCCTCTCTTATAAACACTCCCTATACTAATTTATTAGCATAACATAAAGGACCTCCAGTGAAAGCTTGCCCTTTGGTCTCTGACATAGAGAGATCGTCACAGCACTCCTCCACACAGAGGGAACATTTAATACACACTGAGATCCTTGATTGTCTTCCTTGGTCCTCATCAGGGTCCAGCATTAAAGGCAATTGAACACATTTCCAGAGTGTGCCTTCCAGTGTCCAAAATTAGTGTCACAACTAAGTTTACATTTGTGACAAGATCAAATGTTATAGGATTTATAATAATTCATTATAATTACGTATAGCTAATATCTTCAGACAAATTGGCTAAGACGTGTTTAAAGGGTTCAAAAGGAAAACAGAAAAAACCCAACTTTAAGAACCTAAAATAGTCCCATAATTTACACAAGATTACAAAATTGATAAATGCTTAATAGAAATTAGAAATGTCCTTTGAATATTAAAATATTCTTTAAAAGTTTAATTATAGCCCTATAAGAGAACATATATGATAATTGTTAAAAAAACCTTAAAATTTTAGAGATAGGCAAAAATGCAAACAGAGCTTAAGAACAGTTCTAAAGACATTAAAAAAGGCACTAAGAGTTCAACAATCTGATTATTTGATTTGAGCATCAAGTGAATGGGTTTTAGGAGGAAAGGCAAGACTGAAAAACTCTCTCAAGTGTACAGATGAAAAGCCACGAATGTAATGCTACTTACATTTGACATTTCTTCTTTTCTTTTCTTTTTTTTTTTTTTTAGATGGTGTCTTGCTCTGTCACCCAGGCTAGAGTGCAGTGGTGCGATCTCAGCTTACTGCAGCCTCCTCCTCCCGGGTTCAAGTGATTCTCGTGCTTCAGCCTCCCGAGTAGCTAGGATTACAGCGTGTGCCACCATGCCTGGCTAATTTTTGTATTTGTAGTAGAGATGGGGTTTTCATCATGTTGGCCAGGCTGGTCTGGAACTCCTGACCTCAGATGATCTGTCTCCTTGGCCGCCCAAAGTGCTGGGATTACAGGCATGAGCCACTGCGTCTGGGTATATTTGACATTTCTTTTGATAATTCTTTTGCTTGTCTTCCATCTGTCCCCCCTTTCATTCTTGACAGGCGATATCAAACCTTCAACATCCTCTATGCCTCTACCAACTTCCAGTGGTTGTAGTAGGAAAAAAAAATGGCCCCCTAAAAATGTCCACATTATAATCCCTGATCATGTGAATGTGTTAGGTTATGTTATAGCAAAAGGGAATTAAAGTTGTAGATAGAATTAAGGCTGCTAATCACGTGACTTTGAAAAGGGGAGACTGATCCTTATAAGTGGAAGAGGGAGGCACATGAGACAAAACCACAGAGACGGCAATATGAGAAGGCCTTGGCCTCATGCTACTGGCTGCGAAGATGGAGAAATGGGGTCATGAGTCAAGAAATATGAGTAGCTCTGAAGTTGGAAAGGCAAGAACACAGATTCTGTCCCAGATCCCCAATGAAGAGATTCAGACTTGCCAACACCTTGCTTTAAACCCAGTGAGCTCCATGACAAATTTCTCACCTATAGAGCTGTAGGATAATAAATGTATTGTTTCAAGTCACTATGTTTGTGGCAACTTGTTAGAGTAGCAAAAGGAAATAAATATAGTGGTCTTCAAATATTTTTGCTAAGACAATGCAAAAAAATTTTTGTTTTTTGAGACAGGGTCTTGCTCTGTCACCCAGGCTGGTATGCAGTGGTGCAATTTTGGCTTGCTGCAACCTCCACATCCTGCTCCAGCGACCCTCCCACCTTAGCCTCTTGAGTAGCTGCAATTACAGGTGTGCACCACCATGTCTGGCTTTTTTTTTTTTTTTGTAGAGATGAGGTTTTACCATGTTGCCCAGGCATCAAAGAAATTTTGAACAAACACATACCTCTTCAAGTTTTCATGCAAATATCTAAAATTTTTTCAACGTAAGTTTAAATAGTTGAAAAGGATGTGATTTTGGTGCATAGATATATTGTGTTTAAAACCTAAACCTAAAAGAAAAAGAATAAGAAGGAGTAAAAAAGCCTTACAAGATTTATAAGCCAGCATCAAAGGAACAAATATTTGAGCTACAGGAATTAAAGAAGGAGAAGAGAGAAACAAAGGGTTAGAAAACTTATTTAAAGGAATAATAGCAGAACACATTTCAAACTTGGAGATATAAATATCTAGGAACAGGAAGGTCAAAAATGTCCAATCAGGCCGGGCATGGTGTCTCACTCCTGTAATCCCAGCACTTTGGGAGGCCAAGGTGGGTGGATCACGAGGTCAGGAGATCAAGACCATCCTGGCTAACATGGTGAAACCCCGTCTCTACTAAAAATACAAAAAATTAGCCGGGTGTGGTGGTGGGCACCTGTAGTTCCAGCTACTCAGGAGGCTGAGGCAGGAGAATGGCTTGAACCTGGGAGGCGGAGCTTGCAGTTGAGCCAAGATCGCACCATTGCACTCCAGCCTGGGTGACAGAGAGAGACTCCATCTCAAAAAAAAAAAAAAAGTCCAATCAGATTTAATCCAATTCCAAGACCACAACAAGATATATTAAAATTGAATTGTAAAATATCAAAGACAAAAGAGAGGATCCTGAAAGCAGCAAGAGAAAACAAGCAAGTCACTTATAAAGGAGGTCCAATAAAGCTAGCAACAGACTTCTCAACAGGAGCCTTACAAGCCAGGATAGAGGAGGATGATATATTCTGAGTGCTTAAGAAAAAAAGAAAAAAACCTGTCAACCAAGAATAATGTATCCGGCAAAGCTATCCTTCAGAAATGAAGGATAAAAGCCTTTCTCAGACAGACAAAAGCTGAGGGAGTTCATCACCCCAGACCAGTCTTAAGAAATGTTAAAGTGGCTAATTAGCATCCCTTTCTTCCAGTTTAAAGAATACGAGAATAGTAAGTCCTTACCTGCCAATAATTACCTGGCATATCCAATCAAAAGACACAGAGTGACTTAGTAGATTAAAAAAAGGACCCAACTATATGCTACTTACAACAGACTCACTTCAACCTTAAGTGCACACATAGATTGAAGCAAAGGGATAGAAAAAGATATTCTATGCAAATAGAAACCAAAAGAGAGCAGGAGTAGTTATTCACATATCAGATAAAATAGAGAGTTAAAAGCTGTAAAAAGAAACAAAGGAGGTTATTATATAATGATAAAGGAGTCAATTCAGGAAGAGGGTATAACAATTATAAATATATATACACCCAACATCAGAACACCTAAATATATAAAGCAAATATTAATAGATCTGAAGGGAGAGAGATATTTTTATAAAATAGTAACAGACATCAACAACCCACTTTCAGCAATAAATAGATTATCCAGCCACAAGAAATTAATATAGAAACATTGAAAGTAAATGACCCTATAGACCAAATGGACCTAAAAGACATATACAGAACACTGCATCCAACAGCTGCAGAATACACATTCTTCTTAATTGGCATGGCACATTCTCCAGGATAGATCAGATAGATCATATGGTAGGACACAAAATAAGTCTTAATAAATTTAAAGATTGAAATTGTATCAAACATCTTTTCTGACCACACTGGTATAAAACTAGAAATAGTAACAGAAGTTTTGGAAAATTCAAAAATTAATCAATATGCTCCTGAATAACCAATGGGTCAAAGAAGAAATTGAAAGGGAAATTAAAAAACATCTTGAGACAAGTGAAAATAAATGAACAATATATAAAAGCTTCTGAAATACAGCAAAAGCAGTTCTGAAAGGGAAGTCTATCGCAATGAATGCCTACATCAAAAAAGAAGAAAAATCTCCAAAAAACTACACTACACCTCAAGGAACGAGAAAAAGGAGAACAAACTAAGCCCCAGAATTAGTCAAAGGAAGGAAATAATGATCAGAGCAGAAATAAATAAAATAGAGACTAGAAAAACAATAGAAAAGATCAATGAAGATAAAAGTTAATTTTTTAATCCTTTCCCCATCTGCCTCAAGAAAATTTCCCAGTGGCACTTGCAGCTGCAGAGTTTATCCAGAGATAACTGCCATGACATATCTTGCTTTTATTATTATTTTTGCATTACTCTAGTATATCAACTTTGGAAACAAAAGACATCATTCTATTTTAGCAGTGATTTTCCATTTACAAAATATGGTAATGCTCAATTGCTGAAAATGTCTAATCCTAGAAAACATAGCATTACTATACATGATGTTAGGGTCATTTTCAGTTTTTATTTCATGAATCAGATTTTTCTAAAATAGATGATTCTGATGATTCAGAAAGTTCTGATGTTAGTTCTGTTTAGAAATAACTCCAAGAAAAGTTTTTGTATTTCATTTTCACATTGAAAATTAGTCAGATTTACTTCAGCTTCAAAGAGGGTACTTATGTAAAATTAAATGAGTGCTGGCAGCAAGTGGTACTTTTTTTTCCTAATTGAGCAAAGGGTTAAAAAGAGAAGCAAAATTGACAAATCTTTAGCTAGATTAAGAAAAAAAAAAAACCTGAGGACTCAAAATGAGTAAGAGGGAGAGATCACAACTGATATCACAGAAATACAAAAAATTATAAAAGACTACTCTGTATAATTATATCTCAACAGATTAGATAGCCTAAAAGGAATGAATAAATTCTTACACATATTCAACCTACCATGAAATAGAAAATCTGAACAGATCAATAACAAGTAAGACTGAATCAGTAATAGAAAGTGTTCCCTCAATGAAAAGCCCATACCTTGATGGATTCCTAACTGAATTCTGACAATCACTTGAAGAAAACCTAATTCCAATCCTTCTCAAAATCTTCCAAAATATTGAAGAAGAGGAAATATTTCCAAACTTTTTACAAGGCCAGCATTACCCTGATACTAAGGCCAGACAAGGATACTACAAACAATAAAATTACACGTCAATATCTCTGATGAACATAAATGTGAACATTCTTAACAAAATACTAGCAAATCATATTCAACAGCACATTAAAAGGTTCATTCACCTTGAGCAACTGAGATTTATCCTAGGAATATAAGGATGGTTCAACACATGCAAATAATAAATATGGCACATCAGGAGAGCTGGCAAGATGGCCAAATAGGAACAGTTCTGGTCTGCAGCTCCCAGCGAGATTGATGCAGAAGGTGGGTGATTTCTGCATTTCCAACTGAGGTATCCAGTTCATCTCACTGGGACTGGTGGGACAGTGGGTGCAGCCCACGGAGGGCAAGCTGAAGCAGGGTGGGGTGTGGCCTCACCCGGGAAGCTCAAGGGGTTGGGGGATTTCCCTTCCCTAGTCAAGGGAACTTGTGAGAGACTGTATCAGGAGGAATGGTACAATGTGGCCCAGATACTGTGCTTTTCCCATGGTCTTCGCAACCAGCAGACCAGGAGATTCCCTCTGGTGCCTGGCTTGGTGGGCACCACCCTCACAGAGCCTAGCAAGCTAAGATCCACTGGCTTGAAATTCTTGCTGCTAGCACAGCAGTCTGAGGTGGAACTGGGATGCTCAAGCTTGGTGGGGGGAGGGGCACCTGCCAATGCTGAAGCTTGAGTAGGCTGTTTTACCCTCACAGTGTAAACAAAGCTGCTGGGAAGTTCGAACTAGGTGGAGACCACTGAAGCTCAGCAAGACCAACAGCCTCTCTAGATTCCTCCTCTCTAGGCAGGGCATCTCTGAAAAAAAGGCAGCAGCCCCAGTGAGGGACTTATAGATAAAACCCCTATCTCCCTGGGACAGAGCAAATGGGGGAAGGAGCGGCTGTGGGCACAGCTTCAGCAGACTTAAACATCCCTGCCTGACAGCTCTGAAGAGAGCAGTGGATCTCCCAGCACAGCGTTCAAGCTCTGATAAGGAACAGACTGCGTCCTCAAGTGAGTCCCTGACCCCTGTGTATCCTGACTGGGAGACACTTCCTAGTAGGGACCAAAAGATCCCATATAGAGGAGACTTCCGGCTGGCATCTAGCAGGTGCCCCTCTGGGATGAAGCTTCCAGAGGAAGGAACAGGCAGCAATCTTTGCTGTTCTTCAGGCTCTGCTGGTGATATGTAGGCAAAGAGGGTCTGAAATGGACCCCCAGCAGACTCCAGCAGACCTGCAGCAGAGGGGCCTGACTGTTAGAAGGAAAACTAACAGAAGGGAATAGTAACATAAACATCAACAAAAAGTATGTCCACTCAGAGACCCCATAAAATGTCACCAATATCAAAGACCAAAGTTAGGTAAATCCATGAAGATGGGGAGAAACCAGTGCAAAAAAGCTGAAAATTCCAAAAACCAGAATGCCTTTTCTCCTCCAAAGGATCACAACTTGCCAGCAAGGGAACAAAACTGGATGGAGAATGAGTTTGACAAATTGCCAGAAGTAGGATTCAGAAGGTGGGTAATAACAACCTCCTCCAAGCTAAAGGAGCATGTTCTAACCCAAAGCAAGGAAGCTAAGCACCTTGAAAAAAAGGTTAGAGGAATCGCTAACTAGAATAACCAGTTTAGAGAAGAACATAAATGACCTGACGGAGCTGAAAAACACAGCATTAGAACTTCGTGAAGCATACACAAGTATCAATAGCTGAATTGATCAAGTGGAAGAAAGGATATCAGAGAGTGAAGATCAACTCAATGAAATAAAGTGAGAAGACAGGATTAGAGAAAAAAAGAGTGAAAAGAAATGAACAGAGCCTCCAAGAAATAAGGTCTATGTGAAAAGACCAAATCTACATTTGATTGGTGTTCCTGAAAGTGATGGGGAGAATGGAACCAAGTTGGAAAACACACTTCAGGATATTATCCAGGAGAACTTCCCCAACCTAGTAAGGCAGGCCAACATTCGAATTCAGGAAATACAGAGAACACCACAAAGATACTCCTTGAGAAAAGCAACCCCAAGACACATAATTGTCAGATTCACCAAGGTTGAAATGAAGGAAAAAATGGTAAGGGCAGTCAGAGAGAAAGGTCAGGTTACCCACAAAGGGAAGCCCATTAGACTAACAGTGGATATCTCAGCAGCAACCCTACAATCCAGAAGACAGTGGGGGCAATATTCAACATTCTTAAAGAAAAGAATTTTCAACCCAGATTTTCAACCCAGCCAAACTAATCTTCATAAGCAAAGAAGAAATAAAATCCTTAACAGACAAGCAAATGCTGAGAGATTTTGTCACCACCAGGGCTGCCTTACAAGAGCTCCTGAAGGATGCACTAAACATGGAAAGGAACAACTGGTACCAGCCACTGCAAAAACATACCAAATTGTAAAGACCATCAACACCATGAAGAAACTGCATCAACTAATGGGCAAAATAACCAGCTAGCATCATGATGACAGGATCAAATTCACACATAACAGTATTAATCTGAAATGTAAAGGGGCTAAATGCCCCAATTAAAAGACAAAGACTGGCAAATTGGATAAACAGTCAAGACTCCTCGGTGTGCTGTATTCAGGAGACGCATCTCATATGCAAAGACACACATAGGCTTAAAATAAAGGGATGGAGGAATATTTACCAAGTAAATGGAAAGAAAAAAAAAAGCAGGGGTTGTAATCCTAGTCTCTGATAAAACAGACTTTAAACCAACAAAGACAAAAAAAGCCCAAGAAGGGCATTACATAATGGTACAGTGATCAATGCAACAAGAAGAGCTAACTATCCTAAATATATATGCACCCAATACAGGAGCACCCAGATTCATAAAGCAAGTTCTTAGAGATCTACAAAAAGACTTAGACTCCTACACAATAATAGTGGGAGACTTTGACATCCCACTGTCAATATTAGACAGATCAATGAGACAGAAAATTAATAAGGATATCCAGGACTTGAACTTAGCTCTGGACCAAGTGGACCTAACAGACATCTACAGAACTCTCCACCCCAACTCAACAGAATATACATTCTTCTCAGCACTACATTGCACTTATTCTAAAATTGACCACATAATTGGAAGTAAAACACTCCTCAGCAAATGCAAAAGAATGGAAATCATAACAAACAGTCTCTCAGACCACAGTGCAATTAAATTAGAACTCAGGATTAAGAAACTCACTCAAAACCACACAACTACATGGAAACTGAACAACCTGCTCCTGAATGACTATTGGGTAAATAACAAAATTAAGGCAGAAATAAAGATGTTTTTCAAAACCAATGAGAACAAAGACACAACATACCAGAATCTCTGGGACACAGCTAAAGCAGTGTGCAGAGGGAAATTAATGGCACTGAATGCCCACAAGAGAAAGCAGCAAAGATCTAAAATTGACATCCTAGCATTAAAATTGAAAGAACTAGAGAAGCAAGAGCAAACAAATTCAAAAGCTAGCAGAAGACAAGAAATAACTAAGATCAGAGCAGAACTGAAGGAGATAGAGACACAAAAACCCCTTCAAAAAAATCAATAAACTAGGAGCTGGTTTTTTGAAAAGATCAACAAAATAGATAGACTGCTAGCCAGACTAAGAAGAAAAGAGAGAAGAATCAAATATCAAATAGATGCAATAAAAAATGATAAAGGGGATATCACCACTGATCCCACAAAAATACAAGGTACCATCAGAATACATAAATACCTCTACACAAATAAACTAGAAAATGTAGAAAAAATGAGTAAATTCCTGGACACATACACCCTCCCAAGAATATACCAGGAAGAAGTCAAATCCCTGAATAAACCAATAACAAGTTCTGAAATTGAGGCAGCAATTAATAGCCTACCAACCAAAAAAAAGTCCAGGACCAGACGGATTCATAGCTGAATTCTACCGGAGGTACAAACAAGAGCTGGTACCATTACTTCTGAAACTATTCCAAACAATAGAAAAAGAGGGAATCCTCCCTAACTCATTTTATGAGGCCAGCATCATCCGATAACAAAACCTGGCAGAGACACAACAAAAAAAGAAAATTGTATGCCAATATCAGTGATGAACATCGATGTGAAAATCCTCAAGAAAATGCTGGCAAACTGAATGCAGCAGCACATCAAAAACCTTATCCACCACGATCAAGTCGGCTTCATCCCTGGGATGCAAGTCTGGTTCAACATACACAAATCAATAAACATAATCCATCACATAAACAGAACCAACTACAAAAACCACATGATTATCTCAATAGATGCAGAAAAAGCCTTCAATAAAATTCAACACCAATTCATGCTAGAAACTCTCAATAAACTAGGTATTGATGAAACATATCTCAAAATAATAAGAGACATTTATGACCAACCGACAGCCGATATCATACTGAATGGGCAAAGACTGGAAGCATTCCCTTTGAAAACTGGCACAAGACAGGGATGCCCTCTCTCACCACTCCTATTCAACATAGTACTGGAAGTTCTGGCCGGGGCAATGAGGAAAGATAAAAAAATAAAGGGCATTCAATTTGGAAAAGAGGAAGTAAAATTGTCTCTGCAGATGACCTGATTGTATATTTAGAAAACCCCATCGTCTCAGCCCAAAATCTTAAGCTGATAAGCAACTTCAGCAAAGCCTCAGGATACAAAATCAATGTGCAAAAATCACAAGCATTCCTATATGCCAATAATAGATAAACAGAAGGCCAAATCATGAGTGAACTCCCATTCACAATTGCTACAAAGAAAATAAAATACCTAGGAGTACAACTTACAAGGGACGTGAAGGACCTCATCCAGGAGAATAACAAACCACTGCTCAAGGAAATAAGAGGACACAAACAAATGGAAAAACATTACATGCTCATGGATAGGAAGAATCAATATCGTGAAAATGGCCATGCTGTCCAAAGTAATTTATAGATTCAATGCTGTTCCCATCAAGCTACCATTGACTTTCTAAACAGAACTAGAAAAAACTACTTTAAATTTCATATGGAACCAAAAAAGAGCCCACATAGCCAAGACAATCCTAAGCAAAAAGAACAAAGCGGAGGCATCATGCTACCTGACTTCAAACTATACTACAATGCTACAGTAACCAAAACAGCATGGTACTTGAACAAAAAGAGATATACAGACCTATGGAACAGAATAGAGGCCTCAGAAATAACACCACACATCTACACCCATCTGATCTTTGACAAACCTGACAAAAACAAGCAATGGGGAAAGGATTCCCTATTTAATAAATGGTGTTGGGAAAACTGGCTACCTGTATGCAGAAAGCTAAAACTGAATCCCTTCCTTATGCCTTGTACAAAAATTAACTCAAGATGGATTAAAGACTTCAATGTAACACCTAAAACCATAAAAACCCTAGAAGAAAACCTAGGCAATACATTTTAGGAGATAGGCATGGGCAAAGACTTCATGACTAAAACACCAAATGGCAACAATGGCAGCAATGGCAACAAAAGCCAAAATAGACAAATGGGATTTAATTAAACTAAAGAGCTTCTGCACAGCAAAGAAACTATCATCAGAGTGAACAGGCAACCTACAGAAGGGAGAAAATTTTTGCAATCCATCCATCTGACAAAGGGCTAATATCCAGAATCTACAAAGAACTTAAACAAATTTACAAGAAAAAACCACCCCATCAAAAAATAGGTGAAGTATATGAACAGACACTTCAAGAGAGTTATGCAACCAACAAACATATGAAAAAATGCTCATCATCACTGGTCATTAGAGAAATGCAAATCAAAACCACAATGAGATACCATCCCATGCCGGTTAGAATGGCGATCATTAAAAAGTCAGGAAACAACAGATGCTGGAGAGGATGTGGAGAAATAGGAATGCTTTTACACTGTTGGTGGGAGTGTAAATTAGTTCAACCATTGTGGAAGACAGTGTGGTGATTCCTCAATGATCTAGAACTAGAAATACCATTTGACCCAGTAATCTCATTACTGGGTATATACCCAAAGGATTGTAAATTATGCTACTATAAAGACACATGCATATTTATGTTTAATGTAGAAATATTCACAATAGCAAAGACATGGAACCAACCCCAATGCCCATCAATGTTATACTGGATAAAGAAAACGTGGCATATATACACCATGGAATACTAAGCAGCCATAAAAAAGAATGAGTTCATGTTTTTTACAGGAACAGGGATGGAGCTGGAAACCATCATTCTCAGCAAACTAACACAGGAATAGAAAACCAAACACTGCTTGTTCTCACTCATAAGTGGGAGTTGAACAATGAGAATACATGTGCACCAGGAGGGGAACATCTCAAACCGGGGCCTGTCGGGGGAAGGCGGGCAAGGGGAGGGATAGCATTAGGAGAAATACCTAATGTAGATGATGGGTTGATGGTTGCAGCAAACCACTGTGGCCCATGTATACCTGTGTAACAAAACTGAACATTCTGCACATGTACCCCAGAACTTAAAGAATTAAAAAAAAAGAAAAAAGTATAATAAAAAAGAAATAATATACTTTATAATAAAGTATAATAAAAAAAGAAAAAATATTGTACATCACATTAACAGAACAGAATGAAGGTCAAAAAATATAATCTATAAAATATAGTAGATGCAGCAAAAGCATTTGAAAAAATTCAACACCCTTTCATGGTAACTTTTAACAAAAACTTTTAACAAGTTTAGAAGGAATGCACCTCAACACAATAAACACCACATTTGACAAGCCCATTGCAAACATTATACTCATTGGTGAAAAGTTGAAATCTTTTCCTTTAAGATCAGGAACAAGACAAGGATCCCTCTCATCATCTCTTTTCAACATACTATTGAACTTCTAGCCAGAGAAATTAGAGAAGAGAAAGAAATAAAAGCATTCAAATTGGAAAAAAAGAAGGTAAATTGGATCTGTTTGCCAATGAGATGATTTTATATATAGAGAACCCTAAGAATTCCCTTAAAAACTAATTAGTTAGAATAAATTCAGTAAAGTTGCAGAATAGAAAAATCAACATACAAAGAATCAGTAGCATTTCTATACATTAGGAATGATCAATCCAAAAAAAAAAAAAAAAAAAAGGAAAAAGAAAAAAATCCTATTTGCGGTAGCTACCAAGAATTAAATACGTAGAAATAAATTTACCCAAGGAGGTGAAAGACATGTATACTGAAAACTCTAAAATACTGGTGAAATAAATGATGAATACATAAATAAATGAAAAGCTATCCCATGTTCATGGAATTGAAGAATATTGTTAAAACATTCATACTATCCAAAGTGACCTGCAGAGTCAATGCAAATGCTATCACATAATAACATTTTTCACAGAAATAGAAATAAATCCTAAAAGTTATATGAAACCAGAAAAGACTCCTAATAATCAAAGTAATGTTGAGCAAAAAGAACAAAGCTTGACGTATTGTACTGTACTATCTGACTTGAGACTATACCACAAAGCCACAGTAATCAAAACAACATGGCACTGGCATAAAAACAGATACATAGACCAATGGAACGCAACAGCAGGCACAGAAATATAACTACACATTTACAGTCAATGGATTTTCAATAAAGGTGCCAAGAAGAAACAATGGGGAAACATAATATTTTCAATGAATGGTCTTAGAAAAACTGTATTTTCACATGCAGAAATATTTACAGTCAATGGATTTTTAATAAAGGTGCCAAGAAGAAACAATGGGGAAACATAATATTTTCAATGAATGGTCTTAGAAAAACTGTATTTCCACATGCAGAATAATTAAATTAGAAAAAAATATTACAGGCCCTATCTCATACCATATATTTTTTCCTCCAAGATGAAAGATGAGGCTTTTAGTGAGCCTCAACCACTTGGAAATAACAAGGTAGTGCATAAAGTACAACTCTGTGAAAAATAACTGCATTTTTGATAAGGAAAATGGGAATCCACTGGAATTGTGAAGAACACTACAGACCCAGGGGAGGAGAATGTGGGCAAACAGCTCCTGTGATGGTGTCCAGCTGATAAAAGTGAGTAAATTTCCATTAAGTGAGAGAGAAAGAGTGCCTCTCTCTGTGACTCACCCTTCCACTGAGAATCCAAGCAACCCAGAGGCTTGGAAGTGCTGAGAGGGAAAGACTTGGAAAAGCTGCAGGCATTTTCCTGTATCTGTGACTGAGAGCAAAATGCCATTTTTTTTTTTTTTTTAAGATTTAGTCTTGCTCTGTTGCCCAGGCTGGAGTGCAATGGTGCGATCTTGGCTCACTGCAATCTCTACCTCCCAGGTTCAAGCGATTCTCCTGCCTCAGCCTCCTGAGTAACTGGGACTACAGGTGCCCACCACCACGCCTGGCTAATTCTTGTATTTTTTCGTAGAGACAGGGTTTCACCATGTTAGCCATGCTTGTCTCAAACTTTAGACCACAACTGATCTGCCCCCACTCAGCCTCCCAAAGTGCTGGGGTTACAGGCATGATCCACCACACCTGGCCCAAGATGCCATTTTTAATCTGAGTACACACAAAGTTGACCATTCTTTGGCAACCTGGCAGCATGGCCATGCAGGCATTATAGTCTCAGGCCAAAGACTGAGGTGCTTATTCTGGAGCCAGGTAGGTGCCTCCACAGCCAGAAATGTGGAAATCATCTCAGCAGAAGGTGCTGGAATTGTGTTCTCCCTGGTCACAGTCCTGGGGTGGGAGGACAGCTGCTATGGCTACAGTTTCTCCCAGGTGATGAGACTTGCAGCTATAGCCAGCATGGAGATCAAAACTGGTCATGTGTGTCATTGCTGGGTGCCCAGCCTGCTTCCCTGAGATCATGGTGGAGTGGGACCCTGTACTAGTCTGTTCTTACGCTGCTATAAAGAAATACTTTATAAAATACCCAGCCAACTTGGTAACTCATGAAGAAAAGAGGTTTAATTGGCTCACAGTTCTGCAGGCTGTACAGAAAACGGCTGGGAAGGCCTCAGAAAACTTACAATCATAGCAGAAGGCAAAGAGGAAGCAGATCTGTATTACATGACTGGAGCAGGAGGAAGGAAGGGAGGGGAGGCGCTACACAGTTTTAAGCAACCAGATCTCGTGATAACTTACTATCATGAGTACAGCCCCAAAGGGGAAATATGTTCTCATGATCCAATCACCTCCCACCAGGTGCCTACTCTAATGTTGGTATTATAATTTGACATGCGATTTGGGTGGAGACACAGACCCGAACCATATTATTCCATCCCTAGCCCCTCCAATATCCCATGTCCTTCTCACATTTTAAAATACAATAATGCCTTCCAAACGCTACCCCAAAGTCTTAACTCATTCCAGCATTAACTCAAAAGTCCAAAGTCCAAAGCCTCATCTAATACAAGGCTAGTCCCTTCCACCTATGAGCCTGTAAAATAAAAAACAAATTAGTTACTTCACGGATACAATGAGGGTACAGGCATTGGGTAAATACTCCCTTTCCAGATGGGAGAAACTGGGGAGAAGAAAGGGCTACAGGCCCTATGCAAATCTGAAACCCAGCAGGGCAGTTATTAAATCTTAAAGCTCCAAAATAATCTCTTTTGACTCTATGTCTCACACTCAGGGCACACTGGTGTGAAGGGTAGGCTCCCAAGGCCTTGGGCAGCTCCACCCGAGGCTCTACAGGGTACAGTCCCTGAGGCTGCTTTCAGGGGTGGCATTTAGTGCCTGTGTCTTTTCCAGGTGCAGGGTACAAGCTGTCAGTGTATCTAGCCCTCTTCTCACAGGTCCAGTAGGCAGAGTCCCATTGGGGACTCTGTGTGGAGGCTTCTGCTTGGTGTTCCAGGCTTTTCCATACATCTTCTGAAATCTAGGCAGAGGCTCCCAAGCCTCAACTTTTACACTCTGTGCAGCTGCAGGCTTAACACCACGTAAAAGCTGCTAAGGTTTGTGGCTTGAATCCTCAGAAGCAGCAGCCTGAGATGTACCTAGGATCCTTTGAGCCACAGCTGGAACTGGAGCAGCCAGGATGCAGGGAGCAGTGTTTTGAGGCTGCACAGGAAAGCAGGGCCCTGTGTCTGGCTCATGAAACCATTCTTTCTTCTTAGGCTTTGGGGCCTGTGATTGGAGGGGCTGCTGTGAGGTCTCTGATGTGTCTTCAAGGGCTTTTTTTCCCCATTGTCTTGGCTACTAGTTCTTGCCTTCCTTTTAGTTAAGCAAATTTCTTCAGCTGGCTTGAATTTCTTCCCAGAAAATGGGTTTTTCTTTTCTACTGCATGGCCAGGCTGCAAGGTTTTCAAACGTTTATGATCTGCTTCCCTTTTACATATAAGTTCCAGTTTCAGGTCATTTCTTTGCTCATGCATATGAGCATAGGCTTTTAGAAGCAGCCAGGATTTAGCAGTTCAGGTTTACCTTGAACACTTTGCTGCTTAGAAATGTCTTCCACCAGGTACTCTAAATCATCTCTCTCAATTTCAAAATTCTACAGATCCCTAGAGCTGGGGCACAATGCCACCAATCTCTGCTAAAGCACATCAAGAGTGACCTTTACTCCAGTTCCCAATAAGTTTCTCATTTCCATCTGAGACCTCCTCAACCTAGACTTCACCATCCATATCACTATCTGCATTTTGGTCACAACCATTCAGCAAGTCTCTAGGAATTCCAAACTTTCCCTCATCTTCCTGTCTTCTTCTGAGTCCTTCGAACTGTTCAAACTTCTGCCCATTACCCAGTTCCAAAGCCATTTCCACCATATTTTCAGGTATCTTTATAGCAATGCCCCATTCCTGGTACCAATTTTCTATATTACTCTGTTCTTGCATTGCTATAAAGAAATACCAGAGACTGGGTAATTTACAATGTAAAGAGGTTTAATTGATTCACAGTTCTGCAGGCTGTAGAGGAAACATTTCTGGGAAGGCCTCAGTAAACTTACAATCATAGTGGAAGGTGAAGGGGAGGCAGGCATGTTTTACATGGCTGAAGCAGGAGGAAGAGAGAGAGAGGGGAGGTGTCGCACACTTTTAAACAACCAAATCTCGAGATAACTCACTCACTGTCATGAGAAGAGCACCAAATGGGAAATATGCCTCCAAGATTTAATTACCTCCCACCGAGCTCCACCTCCAACATTGGGGATTACAGTTTGACTTGAGATTTGGGTGGGAACACAGACCCAAACCATATTAGAACCTGGTGTGCTCCACCCCCAGGTAAATCTCCAGACATTTGAAGTACTCCTTCACCTGGATCAGCAGGTGGATCTTCTTGTGTGTAGATCATGATGCAGTAGGGCCCTCTCTACTCCACACCTAGACATTTTGGACATTATCCAAATCACCAGGCATTTGAAGCACTTGCTCAAATGAACTAGCAGCTTCAGCCATGCTGCCCTTCCTGTGCAAAGATCCTGGTGCAGGGGAGGCCTTTGTGCTTCATACTGAGGCAGATCTTCAGGCATTTGGAACACTTGCTCAACTGGGTGGCAACCCAAGTCACCCCATCCATTCTGTGCAGAGATGAATAAAACTGGACTCCTACCTCTCACTATATACAAAAATTAACCCAAGAAGGATTAAATATTTAAATGTAAGGCCTCAAAGTATAAGGATCCTAGCAGAAAATCTAGGAATACCATTTTAGTTATGAGCCTTGGGATAGAATTTATGACTGAGTCCTTGAAAGCAATTCCAACAAAACCAAAAATTGCTAAGTTGAACCTAATTAAACTAAAAGTCTTCTGAATAGCAAAAGAAAACTCTCAACAGTAAATAGACAACCTACAGAATGAAAAAAAATATTTGCAAACTATGTGTGTGACAAAGTTCTAATATCCAGAATCCATAGAGAACTTAAACTGTTGAAAAAGCAACAAGAGCAAAACTCCATCTCAAAAAAATATGTAGGCAAAAGACATGGACACTTCTCAAAAGAAGACATACAAGTGGCCAGCAGACATATGAAAAAATGCTCATCACTAAACGTCAGAGAGAAATGCAAGTTGAAACCACAATGAGATATTATTTCACACCAGTTAGAATGGCTATTATTAAAAAGTGAAAAAACAAGATTCTGGGAAAGGCTATGGAGAAAATAAAATGTTTATACATTGTTGGTGGAAATATAAATTAGTTCAGCCACCGCAGAAAGCAGTTTGGACATTTCTCAAAGAACTAAAAACAACTACCATTCCACCCAGGTTTATATCCAAAAGAAAATAAATCATTCTACCAAAAAGACACACATACTCTTATGCTCATGGAATCAACCTAGATGCCCATCCACAGTGGATTGGACAAAAAAAAAATGTTGTACATATATACCATGGAATACCATGCAGCCATAAAAAATGAAATCATGTTCTTTGCAGCAATGTGGATGCAGCTGGAGGCCATTATCCTAAGTGAATTAACACAGGAACAGAAAACCAAATACCACATGTTCTCACTTATAAATGGGAGCTAAACACTTGGTAATTATGGATATAAAGATGGCAACAATAGACATGGGGGATTTCTAGTGGAGAGATGGAAGGAGTGGTCAAGGGCTGAAAAACTATCTATTGGGTACTATGCTCAGTACCTGGGTGAAAAGATCATTCATACCCCAAACCTCAGCATCACACAATATACCCAGGTAACAAACCTGCACATATACCCCCTGAATCTAAAATAAAATATAAAATTATTTAAAAATATATAGCTCAGGAAAAAATCAACTCAAAATAGGTTAAGGAATTGAATGTAAACACAGAAATTATAAAACTACCAGAAGAAATCATAGGCAAAATCTTCATGACATTGGTCTTGGTGATGTTTTTTTTTTTTTTACAGACTCCAAAGGCACAGGTAACAAAAGCACAGTTAGACAAATGGCATTACACAAACTAAAAAGCGTCTGCACAGCCAAGGAAATATTCAACATGTGAAGAGACCACCTAGCAAATGAGAGAAAATATTTGACACATGAGAAGGGGTTAATATCCAAAATATATAAGTAACTCTAACAATTCAATAGCAGGAAAACAATCTGATTTTAAAATGGGCAAAGGACTTGAACAGACATTTCTCAAAAGACCACATACAGTCAATAGGTACATGAAAAAATGCTGAACATTACTAATCAATTATAAAATGCAAATTAAAACCACAATGATCACCTTACACATATTAGAGTAGGTATTATTGAAAAGAAAAAAGATAAATGTTGGCAAGAATGCAGATTAAAGGGAATTCTTGTACACTTGGTGGGAATGTAAATTAGTTAGAGTCATGAAAAACAGCATGGTAGATCCTCGAGAACAATATACATATGTAACTACCATATGATCCAGCTATCCCACTACTGGATACATATTCAGAGGACATGAAATCAGTATGCTGAAGAGATCAGCACTCTCATATTCATTGCACCATTATTCACAATAGCTAAGATATGGAATCAACCTAAGTGTTCATTAACGGATGAATGGATTAAAAAGAGTCATATATATATATACACAATGGAATATTATTCAGTCATAAAAAAGAAAGAAATTCTGTCATTTGTGGAAACATTAATAGAACTGGAGGTCATTATATTAAATTAAATAAGCCAGGCATAAAAAGACAAATACTGCATGACCTCACTTATATGTGGAATCTAAAAAAGTTGAACTCATAGAAACAGAGAGCAGAATGGTGGTTACCAGTAAGGTTACCAGGAGGAAGTTAGGGAGATGTTGGTCAGAGGATACAAAATTTCAGTGAAGAGGAGTAAATTCAGGAGATCTACCTGGTGTACAACCTGGTGACTGCAGTTAATATGAACACATTATATTCTCAAAAATCACTGAGATTTTAAATATTCCCACCACAAAAAAGGATATGTGAGGTAATGCATATGTTATATTTATTTACCCTATGACATATACACATTTCAGAACCTTAGATTGAACACAAATATATGCAATATTTTTGTCAATTAAAAAAATAAATGGTTGGGGGGGGGGGTGGGCAAAACAATCCCAAAACTGTTACATTGCTCTTTAAATGTAAATAAGGAAATTAAATGTTATAAAAAATTTGACATTTACCATCATCTGTTAAAAATATCAATATATATTGGAGTTCTTTAAATAGCTGAAAAATCTCCATTGTTACCTTTTCTTCTTGAAATCATATTTTTATTTCATTTTCCCTCTGAATTTTATTCCAATGTATTATTTTATGCTTAAATATATTATATATCATTCTACAAACTTCTCTGCAATAAAAATATGTATATGAATGAAAATAATATTTTCTCAAAGACTGCATGTTTTAGTGTAAGTTATAGTAGGTTATTAATATAAATGTTATTGATAATTATCAAACCTAGAAATTGAAATTTTATGACAAGACATTGCCTTGTCAGATAGTTTTCTTTTTGTCTACTTGAATAATGTATCCATAGATAAATAGGACTTACTGATAGAATGAGACAGGATTCAGCATTAACTATATTCTTTTTTATATAGTAAATGAGAAATATTTATTTACATAGTAAATAAAGAATATAATTTTTTATAACATCACTCAATTCTTAGAAATTCATCCAAGTCATACACTCAAATTCATAGTGATATGTTATCAAAAATTATATTTAAAAATCTAGCTATTGACCACTGTTATACCTCCCTTTAATTTTGTTGAAGACAAAAAACAGAAAAGTGCTGACTTAAAAGGATTCTTCAACCTGGCCCTTAGAATAACTTTCTCATTTCCTGGGAAATACATCAAGAAGGCTTTATCAAGGCTTATCAATGCCTTTTTTTTTTTTTTTTGAGATAGGGTTGCTCAGGCTGGAATGCAGTGGTGGGATCATGGCTCATGGCAAACTTGACCTCTCAGGCTCAAGCAATCCTCTCTCCTGAGATGAAAGGCCTCTTATACCAACTATACTTTCACTTATAGGCAACTTGTTTATGGAGCTAACATTAGATGGCCATTGGGTAAAACCACTCCCTGCCAAAAAAAAAAAAAAAAAAAAAAAAGAAACCCTGGAAATTGTGCATTTTAGGACTTTTCCCATTGACTGTGAATCCAGACCTACATATTCATCTAAATTACAATTTTCCAGGTAATCTCAAAGTACCTTGGAAAGATGTGAGGTTAGAAAGAGTCATGTTCTTGAGTATTTTTATACATAGCTAGATTGGTAGTTTCATTTTATAGTTTAAGACAACTGCTCACACATTTGAAAGAATTGAACAGCGTATCTGCTTTGGAGAGGGAGAAAAAACACTGATAGAGTGAGTTTTCTAAACTTCAAGGCATTATATCCTAGATTGCTCTGGAAACATTTTATCCTATTTCCATACACAAGGAAATGTTTTGCTTTAAAGGTACATTTTAACTGCTTTGTGGAAATTTATAGCAAGAAACAAATGAAAGACAAAAAAAAAAAAAAAGAGAAGGTATTGGGCCACCAGTAAATGTAGAACTTACAAGAAGTGAATTGACAATTTTAAACTATGTATAATAAAATCAATAACATATTTCTATTAAGTTAACCTAAATCTAATAAACACATAATAGAAATGAATGAGCAGAGAAATGACAAGAGGCAGCAAGCAGGAGGTTTCAAGTTGCTTAAATATTTTAGTAATGAGTTAATAAAATTGTTTCTTTTACATGTCTGAATAAATGTTTAATATAAAATGCTAACTTACCTTCAATATGTGTTCCTTTTATTTGAAGCTGTAACACTGGCTGACTGAGGAGTTTTTCACCTCATCCTTGAAATCATGAACGCATACACCTGTGCCCTAGATGAAGCAGCAGCTGAATTGAGTTCTTCTCACGCTCTTTTCATTAAAAAAAAAAAAATTGCAGAGGGTTGAACCTCATACTCGACTGGATTTCCCAAAATGCCTACCGCATATCTCAAATAGTCTATTCTCGGGCAAATAGAAGGGTACTCCACAGAGCCTTGCCTTGAGTTTGTTGCTTGGGTAAAATAAGGCACTGAAGCTTCCACGTTTTCCTGTATTCTCTCTCATTGCTTTGCTCTCATAGCATTCTCCTTAACGTGATGTGTTCCTTGGTAGTAGTCCAGAGATGGAAGAGGGGAAGTTGGTAAATGAAATCACCCTCATTTCTTCTGCCCCATCCTACAAAACATCTGAATTCAGAACATCTTAACTCTCTTTTCCTGGGTTCTCCCATAGCAGAGCCTAAAACAAATGCTTGCCTATAGGGAGGAGTGACACAGGTGAGTGAAGGAGGAAGCAGAAGAGCCAATAAAGGAAGCTTTATTCAGCTGGCTACTATTATAGGAGATTGGCTGCGGGATAACAGTGGATCATCAGAGAATCCTAATGAAATGTGTCTCAGGATTGTCTCTTGGTGAACAGAGGGGGAAGACTTTAACTACCTACTGCCATGGTTCAAGGATTACTCTACAGAATAACTTCCCACACAGTTGGGTTGCATTTGTGTGAGTTCCCACTGGTATCCACATCAGAGAAACTGAAGCCAGAAGCTTCTAGGTTGTACCTGCATGAAGCTGGTCAAAGCCTTTGAAGAACTGGACATGGGAATAAGAGGTGAGATGAAAAGGAGTGAAAACGGTCACAAAAGGAGATGGATACAGAACATAGGCTTCTAGAGCCAGGCTGTGCCCTTAACAGAAATGTGTAAGGGAAAAACGTAGGCCCATCATATGTTTTTGGTGCCTTAATCAATTCAAGAGGACTTTGCTCAAGGCTAAAATCTTGATGTGTTTCTTTGACCTGTTGGAGGTTTTTATATTCTAAGGAAATTTATCTGATTACCATTAGGGATAGATGAGGAGAATGCCTTTCTTTTGTGAAGGGGAAAGATGGTGACTGCTAACGGAGAAGTGAGAAAGGAGAATTTTTTCAGTGCCTGAACCCAAAGTGTGTAGGTCAGTTTTAGGAAGGTTCATATGGAATTTTAGGATATGGAAATTGATCCCCTTAAGACTTTTCTTGGCAGCAGATCAATATTCTACATGGGTTTACACATTCACTTTTGAAGTTATTTAAAGCTCAGGTGGAGAAATTACCTTCAGGATGAGGAGGCATTTCTCAATCATTTTTAGTACAAGAGAGGGCAGAGGGTTTGCGCTGTGATTCTAGCACTCAGGCTTAATGTCATGAAGCTGCCTTCCATGATCTCTGCACTCTTCTGCCACATTTCCACCAATTTATGCTCAGCCTTCTGTGTGGAATTCTCTTCACTGTGTCTCATTCAATGTGGTGGTGATTCCAGATTCTGTCCTTGGTTCTCTTCTCTCCTTAATCTCCAGTCTCTATACTATCCCAGGAGATCTCCTTCATTTTCATGGTTTTAACTGCCAGCTATACATGGATGAAGACCAAATATTTATCTTTATGAATTTTCTCCTAAAGCTGCAGATCTACTCATCCACATGCCTCATGGATATCCTCCTCAGGAATGTCTCAATTGAGACTGGAATTCAACATGCATTAATTCTTTATCTTCCCTGCCACGGCCAAATCTGCACTTCCTTCCCCTTACTCCCCATTCCAGTGAGCACAATCATTATCCACTCATTCCAACAGGCTAGAAAACTGAAAGGCACCCTGGACTTCCTTCTGCACTTTGCACATCAGATTCCTGTTGAGTTTATTTCTCCTTCTTCCTTCCTTCTTCCTTCTTCTTCTTCTTTTTTTTTTTGAGATGGAGTCTCACTCTGTCACCCAGGCTGGAGTGCAGTGGCTCAATCTCAGCTCACTGCAACCTTCGCCTCCCAAGTTCAAGTGATTCCCCCACCTCAGCCTACCGAGTAGCTGGGATTACAGGTGTTTGCCACCATGTCTGTGTAATTTTTATATTTTTACTAGAGACAAGGCCATGTTGGCCAGGCTGGTCTTGAACTCCTGACCTCAAGTGATCCACCCACCTTGGCCTCCCAAAGTGCTGGGATTACAGGCATGAACCACCGTGCCTGGCCTGATTTTACTTCTTAAACACTTTTACATTCATCTACTTTTCTCCATCATCAGTGCCACTTACTCCAGGACTCCCTTATATCTTGCATGGATCATTGTAAAAGCCTCCAAACTGGTCTTACTAGTTCCATTCATTTTAACCCTCCATTCTATTCCCCAAATTGCTCCCCAAGAGTGATCTCAATAAAATTTAAATCAAATCATGTTACTCCCTTGCTTAAAATTCAATGACTTTCAAGTGCCAACAGGATAAAATTCGAACTGCTTATTATGACTTACAAGATCCTTCATGATTTAACTCTATCAGTGTTACCCAAAATAAGCAGTTATGCAAATACAGTTTTTCCACCTGGAATGCCCTTGTAAACATAATTGAATCTCACTAATGCCACACCGTGTTGAGGGAACTGTTTATCTGGTTATCCTCAATTTTGGGGGAATGGAGTATTTTTTTAATTATGAAATATTTCAAGCACATAGGAAAGCAAAGAGAAATACTGAAAAATACCACCAAGTTTTGTCAGATCTTAAAACCTTGACATATTCCTGTAGATATATGTTCTTTTCAAGAAATAAGTCACCGCAGATACAGTCAAAGCCCCTCATTACCTCTTTCCCTTCCTATTGTGTCTCCCACTGAAGACAGTGGGGTGAGGCAGTCACTCTACTGAAATTGGTGTTTATCATTTTATACTCTTACTATGTTTCTTATATATCCACAAGTTACATATAGTATTGTGTTACACATTTTAAGTTTATGTATATGATATGGTATATATCCTGCAACTTGTTCAGATGCTCAATCAATGCTTTTGAGATTTATCCAGGCTCTAATTCTGAAGTACCAATTAATATTCTACTGTATGAATCTACCATAGTGCATTTATCCATTTTCCCGTTGATGGATATTTAGATTGTTTCCAATTTTCCTCTATTATGAATAATGCTGCAGTGAACATTTTATGTGTATCTCTTCTGTGCATATGTGAGAGGATTTTCTTAGGTTACATACCTAGGATGAAATTGCTAGTAGAAGGACATGCACAAATTAAACTTTAGTACTTATATTTCTCCAAAAGTTCTTAAAGAAAAATTTTAGTATAAATTTTTCTCCAAAGGCAGTAGAATCTGGACCCTACTAGTCAGGTAAAGTTCGAGTATGAATCTAGTCCAAATATTTAACTCTACTTAAGAAGATGTTTTTTTCTATAGCTTCTTTTGTGCTACAATGGCAGAGCTGAGTAGTTGAACAGAGATCATATGGAACAGAGATCAAAAAGCTTAAACTATTTACTATCTTGTGTTCACTATAGAAAATGTTTGCCAACTAAGAAGAGGTTCTTAAATTAGCAACTTTGTGAAGTTTATAAGAGGGCCTTACAGTGATTGAGTCTATATTTGGTTATGAGAATTTCAGTGCGTACTATGTGTCTGTGCATGTATGAGTGCATGTGCATGTGTTTTGTTTATATAAGCAAGAAAGGAATGATGTGTTTTTGACATCAATCTCTAGCTGCTTCTTTCTGAACTGGCTTTCTTCTGAGTGTTCAGGTGCTAGGAGCCTTTTCTTTTCTTTCTCTTTTCTTTTTTCTTTTCTTTTCTTTTCCTTCTTTCTTTCTTTCTTTTTTTTTTTTGAGACAGAGTCTCACTCTATTGCTCAGGCTGGAGTGCAGTGGCATGATTTCTGCTCACTGCAACCTCTGCCTCCTGGGTTCAGTGATCCTCCTGCCTCAGCCTCCTGAGTAGCTGGGATTACAGGCATGCACCACCATGCCCGGCTAATTTTGTATTTTTAGTAGAGATGGGGTTTCGTCATGTTGGTCATGCTGGTCTTGAAGTCTTGACCTCAGGTGATCCGCCCACTCAGCCTCCCAAAGTGCTGGGATTACGGGTGTGAGCCGCCACAGCTGGCCTCCATTTCTTTTCATTCATGCAGTCAGTCAATAAATATTTATTGGGTGCCTATTGTACAACTGGCACTATTGTAGGTGCTGGGGGTACACCAGTGAACACAGCAGATAATGTTCTGGCCCTCAAGAACTTATATTCTGATGGGGGTAGACAGACAAATAAATATACACATATATCATGTGGCAATTTTGCAATTTAGAAAAAGCAGGGAAAGGGGAATAGAAAATGTTAGAGTCAGGGGGGAGAGTTGCTGTTTTATAAAAAGTGTTCCTTGAAGACATTATTGCACAGGTGTATTTTAAATATAAAGAAAGTCAGGAAGGGAACCATGTGATTCCATGAGGTAAGACCTTTTGAAGCAGAGGAAATGGTAAGTGCAAAGGTCCTGAAGTGGGGGAGCGCTTGGCACTTTTGAGGACTAGCAATGAGGTCAACATGGCTGAGGCAGAGCCAGCAGAGAGTAGGCAAATGTGATAGCAGGTGAGGTCAGGATAGTGCTGGGAGGGAACTGTTGATTTTACTCTGACTCAGGTAGGAAGTCAATGGACAGATCTGAGCAGAGGAATGCCATAATCTGATTGACAGTTTTGAACAACCATTCTGATAACAGGAATAGATAGAAGCAGGGAGGCCCATTGTGGAGGCTATTACAATATTCCCAATGAGAGATTATTGCCCTATGGACCAGGATTTTTGCAATAGAAATTCTGAGAAAGGGTGAGATTCTGGATGTATTTTGGAAGAAGAGTCAATAAGATTTGGTGCTGAGGTTGAATATGGGATGTGAGTGAAAAAGAAGACTCATGGGTGACCAAGATTTCTGACATGAATAATAAAAAATGGAGATGCTATTACTTAGGTGGGGAAGATCTAAGTAATAGCAACCTGTAGGAACAGGTTGAGGAGGGAGTAAGGAGTTTCTTTTGAGATATGTTAAGGCTGAGATTTCTATGAGACTTAAAAGTAGAATTCTTTAGTAGGCTGTGAGATATATGGACTTGAAATTCGTGGTTGAGATCCAGACCAGAGGTTTGAATTTTGGAGTCATCAACATGCAGATGCTTTTTAAAAGTATGAGACTGGGTGAGATCTCTTAGGAAGTTAATTTGGATAGATTAAAGAAGAAAGAGGACTGAGGGCCTTGTTCTGAGGCCCTCCAACATTTAGAGTGCAAAGAAATGAGGGAGAAACTGCAAAGGAGACCTAAGGAGTGGTCTTAGAGATTGGAGGAGAAGCAAAAGATTGTGCTGTCCCAGAAGCCAAAGGAAGAAAGTGTTTCCAAAAAGAGTATGTAGTATATTCTATTAAATGTTGCCAGTAGATGAAATTGTAAGGATTGAAAATCAATTTTGAATTCAGCAACAGAATGATTATTGGTGACCTTGGCATAATGTATTTTAGTGAAGCGGTAGCATCAAATGACTGTTTGGAGTAGGTTCAAGAGAAAATATGAGGGTGGAGCCAAGATGGCCAAATAGGAACAGCTCCAGTCTATGGCTCCCAGCATGAGCAATGCAGAAGATGAATGATTTCTGCATTTCCAACTGAGGTACCGGGTGCATCTCACTGGGGATTGTCAGACAGGGGGTGCCGTGCACCGAGCCTGAGCCAAAGCAGGGCGAGGCATCGCCTCACCAGGGAAGTGCAAGGGGTCAGGGAATTCCCTTTCCTAGCCAAGGAAAGGGGTGATGGACTGCACCTGGAAAATCGGGTCACTCCCACCCTAATACTGCACTTTTCCAACAGTCTTAGCAAAGGGCACACCAGGAGATTATATTGTGTGCCTGGCTCAGAGGGTCCTACACCCATGGAGCCTTGCTCATTGCTAGCACAGTAGTCTGAGATCAAACTGCTAGGTGGCAGCGAGGCTAGGGGAGGGGCACTCGCCATTGCTCAGGCTTGAGTAGGTAAACAAAGCAGCTGGGAAGCTCGAACTGGGTGGAGCCCACCGCAGCTCAAGGAGGCCTACCTGCCTCTATAGACTCCACCTCTGGGGACAAGGTATAGCCAAACAAAAGACAGCAGAAACCTCTGCAGACTTCAATGTCCCTGTCTGACAGCTTTGAAGAGAGTAGTGGTTCTCCCAGCACGCAGCTTGAGATCCGAGAATGGACAGACTGCCTCCTCAAGTGGGTCTCTGACCCCCAAGTAGCCTAACTGGGAGGCACCCCCCAGTAGGGGCAGACTGACACCTCACATGGCCGGGTACTCCTCTGACACAAAACGTCCCGAGGAATGATCAGGCAGCAACATTTGCTGTTCACCAATATCCGCTGTTCTGCAGCCTCCACTGCTGATACCCAGGCAAACAGGGTCTGGAGTGGACCTCCAGCAAACTCCAACAGACCTGCAGCTGAGGGTCCTGACTGTTAGAAGGAAAACTAACAAACAGAAAGAATATACACACCAAAACCCCATCTGTAGGTCAACATCATCAAGGACCAAAGGTAGATAAAACCACAAAGATGGGGAAAAAAACAGCAGAAAAACTGAAAAATCTAAAAATCAGAGCACCTCTCCTCCTCCAAAGGAACACAGCTCCTCACCAGCAATGGAACAAAGCTGGATGGAGAATGACTTTGATGAGTTGAGAGAAGAAGGCTTCAGATGATCAAACTACTCTGAGCTAAAGGAGGAATTTTGAACCCATGGCAAAGAAGTTAAAAACCTTGAAAAAAGATTAGACGAATGGCTAACTAGAATAACCAATGCAGAAAAGTCCTTAAAGACCCTGATAGAGCTGAAAACCATGGCACGAGAACTACGTGATGAATGCACAAGCCTCAGTAGCCTATTCAATCAACTGGAAGAAAGGGTATCAGTGATGGAAGATCAAATGAATGAAATGAAGCAAGAAGAGAGTTTAGAGAAAAAAGAATAAAAAGAAATTAACAAAGCCTCCAAGAAATATGGGACTATGTGAAAAGACCAAATCTACGTCTGACTGGTGTACCTGAAAGTGATGGGGAGAATGGAACCAAGCTGGAAAACACTCTGCAGGATATTATCCAGGAGAACTTCCCCAATCTAGCAAGGCAGGCCAACATTCAAATTCAGGAAATACAGAGAACACCAGAAAGATACTCCTTGAGAAGAGCAACTCCAAGACACATAATTGTCAGATTCACCAAAGTTGAAATGAAGGAAAAAGTGTTAAGGGCAGCCAGAGAGAAAGGTTGGGTTACCCACAAAGGGAAGCCCATCAGACTAACAGCTGATCTCTCAGCAGAAACTCTACAAGCCAGAAGAGAGTGGGGGCCAATATTCAACATTCTTAAAGACAAGAATTTTCAACCCAGAATTTCATATCCAGCCAGACTAAGCTTCATAAGTGAAGGAGAAATAAAATCCTTTACAGACAAGCAAATGCTGAGAGATTTTGTCACCACCAGGCCTGCTCTAAAAGAGCTCCTGAAGGAAGCACTAAACATGGAAAGGAACAACCAGTACCAGCCACTGCCAAAACATGCCAAATTGTAAAGATCATCAAGGCTAGGAAGAAAGTGCATCAACTAACGAGCAAAATAACCAGCTAACATCATAATGACAGGATCAAATTCACACATAACGATATGAACTTTAAATGTAAATGGGCTAAATGCTCCAATTAAAAGACACAGACTGGCAAATTGGATAAAGAGTCAAGACCCATCAGTGTGCTGTATTCAGGAAACCCATTTCATGTGCAAAGACACACATAGGCTCAAAATAAAGGGATGGAGGAAGATCTACCAAGCAAATGGAAAAGAAAAAAAGGCAGGGGTTGCAATCCTAGTCTCTGATAAAAACAGACTTTAAACCAACAAAGATTAAAAGAGACAAAGAAGGCCATTACATAATGGTAAAGGGATCAATTCAACAAGAAGAGCTAACCATCCTAAATATATATGCACCCAATACAGGAGCACCCAGATTCATAAAGCAAGTCCTTAGAGACCAATAAAGAGACTTAGACTCCCACACAATAATAATGGGAGACTTTAACACCCCACTGTCAACATTAGACAGATCAATGAGAGAGAAAGTTAACAAGGATATCCAGGAATTGAACTCAGCTCTGCACCAAGTGGGCCTAATAGACTTCTACAGAACTATCCACCCCAAATCAATAGAATATACATTCTTTTCAGCACCACACCTCACCTATTCCAAAATTGACCGCATAGTTGGAAGTAAAGCACTCCTCAGCAAATGTAAAAGAATAGAAATTATAACAAACTGTCTCTCAGACCACAGTACAATCAAACTAGGACTCAGGATTAAGAAACTCACTCAAAACCACTCAACGACATGGAAACCGAACAATCTGCTCCTGAATAACTACTGGGTACATAACAAAATAAAGGCAGATATAAAGATGATCTTTGAAACCAATGAGAACAAAGACACAACATACCAGAATCTCTGGGACACATTCAAAGCAGTGTGTAGAGGGAAATTTATAGCACTAAATGCCCACATGACAAAGCAGAAAAGATCTAAAATGGACACCCTAACATCACAATTAAAAGAACTAGAGAAGCAAGAGCAAATACCTTCAAACACTAGCAGAAGACAAGAAATAACTATAATCAGAGCAGAACTGAAGGAAATAGAGACACAAAAATCCCTTCAAAAAATCAATGAATCCAGGAGCTGGTTTTTTGAAAAGATCAACAAAATTGATAGACCACTAGCAAGACTAATAAAGAAGATAAGAGAGAAGAATCAAATAGATGCAATAAAAAATGATAAAGGGGATATCACAACCAATCCCACAGAAATACAAACTACCATCAGAGAATACAATAAACACCTCTATGCAAATAAACTAGAAAATCTGGAAGAAATGGATAAATTACTTGACACATACACTCTCCAAAGACTAAACCAGGAAGAAGTTGAATCTCTGAATACACCAATAACAGGTTCTGAAATTGAGGCAATAATTAATAGCTTACCAACCAAAAGAAGTCCAGGACCAGATGGATTCACAGCCAAATTCTACCACAGGTACAAGGAGGAGCTGGTACCATTCCTTCTGAAACTATTCCAATCAATAGAAAAAGAGGGAATCCTCCCTAACTCATTTTATGAGGCCAGTATCATCCTGATACCAAAGCCTGGCAGAGACACAACAAAAAAAGAGAATTTTAGACCAATATCCCTGATGAACATCGATGCAAAAATCCTCAATAAAATACTGGCAAACCAAATCCAGCAGCACATCAAAAAGCTTATCCACCATGATCAAGTGGGCTTCATCCCTGGGATGCAAGGCTGGTTCAACATACACAAATCAGTAAATGTAATCCACCATATAAATAGAACCAATGACAAAAACCACATGATTATCTCAATAGATGCAGAAAAGGCCTTTGACAAAATTCAACAATGCTTCAGGCTAAAAACTCTCAATAAATTAGATATTGATGGGACGTATCTCAGAATAATAAGAGCTATGTATGACAAACTCACAGTCAATATCATACTGAATGGGCCAAAACTGGAAGCATTCCCTTTGAAAACATGCACAAGACAGGGATGCCCTCTCTCACCACTCCTATTCAACATAGTGTTGGAAGTTCTGGCCAGGGCACTCAGGCAGGAGAAAGAAATAAAGGGCATTCAATTAGGAAAAGAGGAAGTCAAATTGTCCCTGTTTGCAGATGACATGATTGTTTATCTAGAAAACCCCATCATCTCAGACCAAAATCTCCTTAAGCTGATAAGCAACTTCAGCAAAGCCTCAGGATACAAAATCAATGTACAAAAATCACAAGCATTCTTGTACACCAATAGCAGACAAACAGAGAGCCAAGGCATGAGTGAACTCCCATTCACACTTGCTTCAAAGAGAATAAAATACCTAGGAATCCAAACAAGGGATGTGAAGGACCTCTTCAAAGAGAACTACAAACCACTACTCAATGAAATAAAAGAGGATACAAACAAATGGAAGAACATTCCATGCTCGTGGGTAGGAAGAATTAATATCATGAAAATGGCCATACTGCCCAAGGTAATTTATAGATTCAATGCCATCCCCATCAAGCTACCAATGACTTTCTTCACAGAATTGGAAAAAACTACTTTAAAGCTCATATGGAACCAAAAAAGAGCCCACATTGCCAAGTCAATCCTAAGCCAAAAGAACAAAGCTGGAGGCATCAAGCTACCTGACTTCAAACTATACTATAAGGCTACAGTAACCAAAACAGCATGGTACTGGTACCAAAACAGAGATATAGACCAATGGAACAGAACAGAGACCTCAGAAATAATGCCACATATCTACAACTATCTGATCTTTGACAAACCTGACAAAAACAAGAAATGAGGAAAGGATTCCCTATTTAATTAATGGTGCTGGGAAAACTGGGTAGTCATATGTAGAAAGCTGAAACTAGATCCCTTCCTTACACCTTATACTAAAATTAATTCAAGATGGATTAAAGATTTGAATGTTAGACCTAAAACCATAAATGGTATTGCCTAGAAGAAAACCTAGGCAATACCATTCAGGACATAGGCATGGGCAAGGACTTCATGTCTAAAACACCAAAAGCAATGGCAACCAAAGCCAAAATTGACAAATGGGATCTAATTAAACTAAAGAGCTTCTGCACAGCAAAAGAAGCTACCATCAGAGTGAACAGGCAACCTACAGAATGGGAGAAAATTTTTGCAATCTACTTATCTGACAAAGGGCTAATATCCAGAATCTACAATGAACTCAAACAAATTTACAAGAAAAAAACAAACAACCCTATCAACAAGTGGGTGAAGGATATGAACAGACACTTCTCAAAAGAAGACATTTATGCAGCCAAAAGACACATGAAAAAATGCTGGCCATCAGAGAAATGCAAATCAAAACACAATGAGATACCATCTCACACCAGTTAGAATGGCGATCATTAGAAAGTCAGGAAACAACAGGTGCTGGAGAGGATGTGGAGAAATAGGAACACTTTTACACTGTTGGTGGGACTGTAAACTAGTTCAACCATTGTGGAAGTCGGTGTGGCAATTCCTCAGGGATCTAGAACTAGAAATACCATTTGACCCAGCCATCCAATTACTGGGTGTATATACCCAAAGGCTTATAAATCATGCTGCTATGAAGACACATGCACACTTACGTTTATTGCGGCACTATTCACAATAGCAAAGACTTGGAACCAACCCAAATAGACTGGATTAAGAAAATGTGGCCCATATACACCATGGAATACTATGCAGCCATAAAAAATGATGAGTTCACGTCCTTTGTAGGGACATGGTTGAAGCTGGAAACCATCATTCTCAGCAAACTATTGCAAGGACAAAAAACCAAACACCACATGTTCTCACTCATAGGTGGGAATTGAACAATGAAAACACATGGACGCAGGAAGGGGAACATCACACACCGGGGCCTGTTGTGGGGTTGGGGGAGGGGGGAGGGATAGCATTAGGAGATATACCTAATGTTAAATGACGAGTTAATGGGTGCAGCACACCAACATGGCACATGTATATACATGTAACAAACCTCCACGTTGTGCACATGTACCCTAAAACTTAAAGTATAATTAAAAAAAACACAAAAAACAAATTCTAGGGATTACGCCCTTAAAAAAAAAGAAAATGTGAAGAGAGGAATTGGAGAAAAAGAAAATAGTTCCTTGGCAATAGTGGTTCTGGATATTCACTCCAATTATAATACTTCATTCTTAGGGCCAGGTCGGTATGTCCTTTCCTGACCCTTCTGCATAGTGAATTCATATTCACACTTCAAGCCCATGCTTACCATATCTGCATGTGTGGATTCTTTTTGGTTTTTCAGATAGAACAAATCATTTTCGGCTTTATATGTGTTTTTAGCATAAACAGATTGTAGTACATAATTTATTCTCCACCAGGCAGTAACTTCATGACAGCAAGTGGTGTGATTTTCTAGAATTCTCAGTGCTAAGTATAGTGTCTGCCTATCATTTAATAATGTTCAGTTAATGTTTGTTGAACTAAACTGAATTATCTTAAAGAAATGTAGGGTCCATGTTTTCCCTTCCATTTCCAAAGGCATAATTGTGTGCCCTGCACCATGCCTTCTCCCTCACCCCCCACTCTCCCGTCCACCCACCGGGAGCCTCAAACAGGATTCTTGTGGGAAGTTTGGCAAAGCCCTTGTTTTCATTTTTACTTTTATTATCATAAGTTCTTCCAGTTGAAGTCAGAGGGGCCCTCGCTGATGCATACAGCTAAGGAGTCTGCTTGGTGTCTTTGATGTGTTCCATCATGTTGATTTGTGGTGGCATGAAGTGGGTGACCCCATAATGTTCCTTTTTTCTGTACATCATTAGGCCCAGCTAAGGGCTTTGTGAGTTTTCTACTCAGGCAACTGTGTTTTCCTAATATGCCTTCACCAAATGTTGACATCATTTCATCTCCAGAATCATTTCAGTTACATTACAAACAGTCTTTTATTGCACTTTGGAAGCATTTTGAGATGACAAATTATTTATTTCTATATTCAATTGGCTGTTCTTTTCTTTCTCTGGTTCTTCAATTACAGCTGTTGAACCACAGCTGTAATTTGGAGTCTTAGCTCAAAGTGACTGCTCTGTGTTTTTCTCAAGGGTCAGAAAATCGAATCTGTATTCTGCTAGTCAGGCACACTGTAAAGAGTGCCACCTTCACCTGGGTTGTTTGGAAGGCCCATAGGTCTTGGTAACTTGGTGGATTTTGATGCACAGCCATGAGTTCCACAGGGCATTAATTCTGCTCCATTGCCTGTCCATTTGAACTAAAAAGTGCCAGTGAATACATTATACTTGGGGACCTCCAAATCCCACTTTAGTTCTTGAGGTCACTGATGTTTGCTATCTTTCGGTATCCAGAGCACATTTGAAGTGTGTTGCTATTGTGTCCTTTTTCATTTATCTTTGACAAATGCATCAGCTCTTGCTCTTGAGGAAATTAACATTTCCTTTGGTTCACAAAGCAAGATTATTTGGAAAGGTCAATGTATGTGGCACAGCACTCTGTTATGTTTCTACAGAGACACGTGTCTGGTATATTTCAGTGATGTCTCAGCTTAAAGGCTAGCTTATTTATACTGAATAGCCACATAGAAATGATCACTATAAATTCATTTGTTATTTGAAAGAAACTGCTTTCATGTAGATTTTATGAGGGAATCCATTAAAAGAAATATTATCAAACCTGAGCTTAAGGAGCCATTTCTGTCCTGTTTAAACCAGATTCTAAGTAACAGATGTATTTCTCCCTTCTAACATGACAGTGATTCAGAATGTGTCATAGAGTAGAGCAAGAAAGAGAAACCCATAAAAGACTGACCATAGAGACTTCAGGAGTTTGTCAATCCTGAAGAGAAAAAGCCTATAGAAAAAAAAGCAAAAGTTGAACACAGAAAGGAGCAGTCAGGATGGCAACACAGAGATAAAAGAAGCCACCTTTTCTCTCCTTTCAAGACATGGAACCATGCACAAGATTGAATTGCCTCTGGACTATGGAAGATCTGAAATGCTTCCCTAAGGAGAGGCCAGAGGATTTCCTCAGCCCAGTGGGTAAAGTAAAAATCTATCAATTGGATTTTGATGGCAGGGAGTGGGAATTTATTCACTTTATATTCTTTTTATGACTTTCACTGTTCATTATATTTCTTTTAAATTAACTGGTAGAAAACATGCCTGACCTCTGTGCCAGATACTTTCAGGAGGGCCAGTTGGAGATTGGAAATGGGGTAGGGATTTGAAGGGTGAGATTAGACAGCCAGTTTCAAAAATGTTGGCATTTTTTAAGCAATAAAGTATTTTAAATAAAGTCATGTACAGTGTTATTTTAGACACAATGCCATTGCACACACACATACACATCTCTTTATATATATAGTCTATATATATATATGTGCTTTGTCTGTATATACATATATACACATATACAGGCATAGCACAGATATAATGTGGGTTCAGTTCCAGACTAGTATACTAAAGCAAACATTGCATGGTTTCGCAGTGCATATGTGCATATAAAAGTGATTTTGACACTATACTATAGTCTATTAACTGTGCAATAGCATTGTGTCTTAAATAACACCATACATACCTTTATTTAAAATACTTTATTGCTTAAAAATGCTATTCTAAGGCTTCAGAAAGTCTTATTGATGGTGGAAGGTCTTGTGTCAAGTTGATGGCTGCTGACTGATCAGGGTGGTGTGCTAAAGGTTCAGATGGCTTTGGCAATTAAAAAAAAACAACAATAAGGAAGTTTGCCATACCAATTGAATCTTTCTTTCAGGAAATATTTCTCTGTAGCTTCTGATGCTGTTTGATCGCATTTTTATCCACAGTCAGACTTCTTTCAAAATTGAGGTCAATCCTCTCAAACTCTACCGCTGCTTTATTAACTAAGTTTATGTAATATCTTAAATTGTTTTTGTAATTTCAACAATGTTCACAGCATCTTCACCAGAGGTAGATTTCAATGCAAGAAACTGCTTTCTTTGCCATCCATAAGAAGCAAATTTTTCATCCTTTAGTTTTATTAGGAGATTGAAGGAATTCAGTCACATCTTCAGGCTTTACCTCTAACTAGAGTTCTCTTGCTATTTCTACCACATCTGCAATTACTTTCTCCATTGAAGTCCTGAACACTCAAAGTCATTCAAAAGGGTTGGAATGTACTTCTTCCAAACTCTGGTTAATATTTGTATTTTGACCTCTTCCGATGAGTCAAGAATGTTCTTACTGGCATCCAGAATGGTGAATACTTTCCAGAAGGTTTTCAATTTGCTTTGCCCACATCCAAGAAAAGAATCACTATTTATGGCAGCTATAGCCTTACAAAATGTATCTTTAAGTAATAAGACTCAAAAGTCAAAATTACTCTTTGATCCATGAGCTGCAGAATGGATGTTATGTTAGCAGGCATAAACAACCTTAATCTCTTTATAGATCTCCGAGAGAGCTCTTGGGTGACCAGGTGCCTTGTCAATGAGCAGTAATATTTTGAAGGAGCCTTATTTTTTCCTGAGCAGTAGATCTTAAGAGTGGGCTTAAAATATCCAGTTAACCATGCTGTAAACAGATGTGCTGTCATGCAAACTTTGTAGTACAATTTGTTGGGCACAGGCAGAGTAGATATAATGTAATTCTTAAGGAACCTAAAATTTTCAGAATAGTCAACGAGCTTTGGCTTTAACTTCAAGTTACCAGCTGCATCATCCTCTAACAGGAAAGTCAGCCTGTCTTTTGAAGCTTTGAAGCCAGACATTGATTCTGTAGCTATGAAGGTAGCCATGTAGATGGCATCATATTCTGTAGTTATGAAGGTAGCCATGTAGACAGAATCATAAACCAATAGAAAGCTGTTTTCTCTACATTGAAAATCTATTAGGTTAGCCATCTTCATCAATGAACTTAGCTAGAACTTCTGGATAATCTGCTGCAGCCTCTACATTAGCCCTTGCTGCTTCCTCTTGCATTTTTATGTTACAGATATGACTTCTTGCCTTAAACTTCATAAACCAATCTCTGCCAGCTTCCAACGTGTCTTCTGCAGGTTCCTCACCTCTCTCAGCCCTCACAGAATTGGAGAGAGTTTGGGCCTTGCTCTGGATTAGGCTTTGGCTTAAAAGAATGTTGCGCTGGTTTGCTGCTTTTTTTACAGACTACTGAAACTTTCTCCATATGAGCAACAATGCTGTTTCACTTTCTTATCATTTATGTGTTCACTGCAGTAGTACTTTTAATTTTTTCAAGAACTTTTCCTTTGCATTTACATTTTGGTTAACTGTTCTGTGCAAGAGGCCTAGCTTTCAGCCTATCTTGGTTTTCAACAAGGCATCCTCACCAAACTTAATCATTCCTAGCTTTTGATTCAAAGTGAGAAAGATGTGACTTCCTTTTATTTGCATATTTAGAGGCCATTGTAAGGCTATTTATTGGCCTAATTTCAATATTGTTGTGTCTTAGGGAATAGGAGGGCTTGATGAGAGGGAAAGAGACAGGGGATGAGCTGGTCAGTGGAGCAGTCAAAACCCAGACAACTTTTATCAACACGTTCACTGTGTTATATGGGTGTGGTTTGTGATGCCTCAAAATAATTACAATAGAAATATCAAAGATCACTGATGAAAGGTCACCCAAACCAATATAATAATAATGTAAAAGTTTGAAATATTGTGAGAATTACCAAAATGTGACAGAAAGACACAAAGTAGGTACATATGATTGGTAAAATGGCTCTGATAGACTTGTTTGATGCAAGGATACTACAGACCTTCCATTCGTAAGAAAACAAAAAAGAAAAAAAATCTGCAAAGTGCAATAAAGTGAAACACAATAAAATGGGGTATACCTGTGTTTAGAATCTAATCTACTATGTATTCTTACACGAATAGTCCATGATTTGTAGGCAGCAGTCTAAATCAGAAGATGATAGGGCTGGTGAAGATGCTGTAGCGTTAACAAACATCTCTTAACAGGACTTTTGTGTTGGTGGTAAACATTTCTGCACATACGAAAAATCGAGGCAAAACAATACTGTGCATTATCTAAAATGGTCATAAAATTATTTCTGCTGTTCTCTCTGTTGAGGGCAACACATTAGGCCCATTTACCAAAGGTCCTTGATGTTGAGGGCTTTCAGTTCTAGAAAAGGTCATTTTTTTCCCCAAGAATTTCTTCAGAATGACTATAATTTGCCTTGGCCAAATTGTATTGTAAGCTCACAGATTTACAATTGCTGAGGACTTCCAATGGTCTCTGACATTATTTGTTATCTAAAATCTTCATCTTTATCGATTAGTGTTTCAGAAGATTAAGCCTTAATGATATGAATTGTATTATATAAGTTCCTAAAAGATACGAAATTTTGAAGGGTAATTTCAGTGTCAGTCTAATTACACTTTTAATTCTCGTGTATTTCCAGGCAATTAAATTTAATTTTTAAAGTTCTGCTTCTTTGGTCACTTTGTATGTAATGTAAAAATCTTTGTAAATTAAATTGAAAGTTTTAACTGGAAACCATTTAACTGGAAACCTAATATTCAAATAAAATAATGCATGAGTAGAGCACAATCCACTTTATTTGATAACAGTTGCATTTAGCAAATGCATTTATGAAAATAATGCAAGCTTTAACAGTATATACAGTAAAATAAGATAAAATAAGCTTTAGTGTACACATTGCCCAACCTCAACAGCTCATTGTCAGTCTTGTTTCTACTATGTTCTCATTTTCTTCCCAACCTACAAGATTCATTTTGGAAGAAATCCCAGGCATATCTTTTCATTTAAAAATATTCAGAATACATCTCTAAATTACTATAATTCTTTAAAATAACTAAAATGTTATTAACCTTGATTTTAAAAGTAACTGTAACTGCATCAATGGTCAGTGTTCAAATTTTCTTATCTCTCTCGTAATTTTTTTATTCATATTACAATACAAACAAGTCTATACTTTGCAGGTGGATGATATTTGTACATCTTTTTCTCCGTCACCTCTGTTTCCCTCTAGTTATGAATACAAATTAAAACACAACATACTAAAACATGGAATGCGGCAGAGATGCTCCTCAGAAGTAAATTTATAGTAGTGAATGCCTACATTAAAGAACATACAGGTTTCAAATAAATACTTAATCTTATACAATAAACAACTAGATTATCAGGAAAAAAAATGAGACCCAAACCTCCCAGAAGGAATGAAATAATAAAGTTTAAAAATGTATTCAAATGAAATATAGAATGGAAAAACAATAGAGAAAATCAATGAAAACAAATGTATATTTTTTTGAAGAGACCAACAAAATTGACAAATTTTTGGCTAGATTGACAAAAAAAGAGAAGATTCAAATAACAAATTGGTAACAAAAGAGGGGACATTACTATTGACGTTACAGAAATTTTTAAATATTTTAGAAAGTTCCATATATAATTTTATATGTCAAAAATTAGGTAAACTAGATGAAATGGACAAATTCCTAGAAACAAATAAATTACCAAATTGACTCAAGAAGTGGAAAATCTGAACACATTTAGAATAAGCAAAGAAATTGAATCAATATTAGAAAACCTCTTAACAAATGAAAGTTCATGACCAGATGGTTTCAATTTGTTAACTTTACTAAACATATAAAGAAAGCTACTACCAATCCTTCTCAAACTCTTTGATAAAAGACAGAACCCTTTCTAACTCATTCTATGAGACCAGCTTTACCCAAGCACTACAGCCAGATAAAGACTTCATAAGAAAGGAAAACTAACAGACCAACATCACTTATGAATGTAGATATAAACATTCTCAAATACTAGTAAACCAAATATAACAGCATATTATATAGATTATATACTGCAGCCAATTGGGATTTATCTCAGGGATGCAAATTTGATTCAACATGAGAAAACCAATCAGTGTAATACACCACATTCATTGAATAATAAAAACAACAATTGATTATCTCAACTTATCCTGAACAAAAAATCCTATACTCTTCCATAATAAAAACATTAAATAAGCAGAAATAGAAAGTAACTTCCTCAACATGATCAAGCCCATATTTTAAAAATCCACAGCTAATACAATTGTTGTGGTGAAAATCTGAAAGCTTCCCCTAAAATCAGGAAAAAGACAGGGATGCACACTTTCACCACTGCACTAGAATTTCTACCCAGGGAAATTTAAAAAGAAAAAGAAATAAATGTCATTCAAATTGGGAAGAATATAGTACAACTTTTTCTACTGGCAGATGGCATGATCCTAAATACAGGAAATCTAAAAAAATACATAAAAAAGCTACTAGAATTAATAAATAAAATCATCAGCATTGCAGGATACAAGATCAACAAGCAAAAATCAGTAGTGTTTCAAAATATACCAGAAATTAAAAATTTAAATTTAAAATTAAAAATCTATGATAGTGGCATCCAAAACAATGAAATAACTAGAAATAAATTTGGTTATGTCTAGTGGGGTGTGTGATGGTGGTCATTAAAGATTTGTATACTGAATTTTTTTAATTGCTAAAAGAAATTAAAGAAAATCCAAATAAGTAGGAAAAATATCTTGGGTTCATTGATGTGAGACTTCATATTTTATTAAGATGTCATTACAACCAAAAGTGATCTACAGAGTCAATGTAATCTCTATCAAAATTCCAATGGCCTTTTTTTGCAAAATGTAAAAATCAAATATCAAATTCATATGGAATTGCAAGAGGCACAAGATAAACAAAACAATCTTTAAAAAAAATTGAGGACTCACACTTCCCTGTATCAAAACTTACTATAAAACTATAGTAATCAAAGCAATGTAGTGCTGGCCTAAGGACAGACATACCAATGTAATAGAATTGGGAGTCCAGGAATAATTCCATATGTTTAAGGTCAGCTGATTCAAAAATCAAGAGGGCCAAATGACTAAATGGGAAAAGGAAAGTCTCTTCAAAAATAATGTTTAGACAACTGAATATCTACATGCAAAAGAATAAAACTGGAATCCTACCTCACACCATATAAAAAATTAACTGAACATGGATCATTGGCATAAATATAAGCACTAAAACCATGAAAGCCATAGAAGAAAACATGATTAAATCCAAATGACCTTAGATTTGTCAATGAATTCTTTAGCTATAAGACCAACAAAATTAAGCAATAAAAGAAAAAAAACCAGATAGTTGTATTTCATCAAAATTGAAACCCTTTGGACATTAAAAAAAAAACATGTATTGTTTTTCTAGGTTTCCTAAGACAAAATGCTACAGACTGGGTAGCTTAAACAATATAAATTATTTTCTTATAGTTTTGGAAACAGGAAGTCCAAGGTCAAGGTGTCTGCAGGTTTAGTTTCTCCTGGGGCCTCTCTTTTTGGCTTTCAGATGGTCACTTTCTCATTGTCTTCACACAGGTATTCCCCTATGAGTACATCCATGGCTCTTCTTCCTCTTCTTATAAGGACACCATTCCTATCAAAGATCCCACAGGTATAACCTCATTTAACCTTAAATTCCCTAACTTCAAATACAGTAACATTCTGGGTTAGGGTTTCAACATACACATATAGAGTAACACATTTCACATTATCAAGAAAATGATAACCTAGAGAAGAGGAGAAAATGTTTGCAAATCATATTTCTAATAAGTGCCTCATACCCAGAATATACAAAGAATATGTACAATCAACACCAAAAAGACAAACAACCCAATTTAAATAAATAAATCATGGACATGGGTAGACATTTCTCCAAAGATATATAAATGGCCAATAAACACATGAAAAGATGTTCAGTGTCATTAGTTATTAGACAAATGCCAATCAAAACCACACAAAGTTACTACTATCACACCTGCAAAAGTGGCTATAATTAAAAACATGCAAAATAATTATTGATGTAGATCTGAAGAAATTGGAGCCCTCCTTAATCGCTGGTGGTAATGTAAATCATTCAGCCTCTGTGAAAATCAGTCTGAAATTCCTCAAAAAGATGAACATAGGAGTAACCATATGACCCTCACAATTCCACTCCTAGAATAGAAAACTATGTGCACACTCATGTTCACGGTAGTGCTATTCACAATAGCCAGTGGTGAAAACAGTCCAAATGCCCATCAATGGTTAAATAGACAAAATGTGATATACACATAAAATGGAATATTATTTGGGATATTATTCACCCATGAAAAAGACATTAATTACTGAGACATGTATAACATGGATGTACTGCCAAAACATGTTAATTAAAAGAAGCTATAGAAAAAAGGACATATGTGAGTATATTTACATAAAATATCCTAAAATCCATAGAGAAAGTGTTCAGATTGGTGGCTGTCAAGGAGTGAGTAGGATGAGAAACTGCTTAATGGTTGTTTTAAAATTTCACCTGATGGAATTGTTTTGGAACTAGATAGAGGTGGTGGTTGCACAACACTGTAAATGTACCAAATGCCACTGAATCACTCACTTAAAATGGTGAATTATATGTTATAAAATTTTCACCTGAATAAGTTATTTTTTAAAAAAGCAGTGAGATTTCTTCTAATTAACCATTTTATGGAAAATATAAATGAGAAGTATCTCTATTCACATATTGCTCCTGAATCCCAAAGGAAAACCAAGTGCTAAAATACAATAAATAGTTTGTGAAAAGTAATCTGTGCAGACTCATATTTATAAATTCACTAAAAACCATCACAGGAACAAAATTCATATTTCATTTTAAAAAATCAATACTTCTCAAAATTTAGAAAAAAGAGGAACTCTTTCTAATCTCAGTGGAAAAGGAGCTCTACACAACCACACTCAATCAGAAAATACATTCAGGAAGTAAAGTGACTTGTGATCCTGGAATTAGATGAAAATGGACTCTGGATCAATGTTAGAATTGTGTTGTCTTCATGCAAAGGACTCTTCTATAATTTCGCAAAGCTAGTTTCTAGCATGATTTACCTGGAGCTTTTTTGTATATTTTGCTAGTGAGAGGCCTTATGTTTAGAGAGTATTGTTACCAGTTTATGGTCATTTACAAAATTAAGAGAACTTTTTTTCTGGAATTCAATTTTCTGTCCCTAGGATGTGCATCTCTTCATCATCAGACAAATAGACTTAAAGCCAACTCATTGTTACTCTCGTCATCAATAAAGGAAGAAGAAGTAAAGAAGGTAAAGGTAAAGAGGATGTAAAAGTTATCACTTCAGGACCTTTTCCAAAAGTTTTCACATAACGCCATTGTTTACATCTGACTTGCCATTATGTGGACACATGAACACATCTAGTTGTAAAGAAATCCTATTATTTGTCATTGTCACCATTACATGTGCCCATGTACCTAGGAAGAAATCAATGTCCAAATGTAGGGGGATTGGCACTGGGATAGGCAAACAGCAGCCTTTACCCATAGTCTGCTCCTTTGGTTATCAATATATCCATGGATATCCATTTTCCTGTATATAGAACACATTTGTCTGCTCCCCAAGGAGAAGAGTTGGTATGCCATCCATTACTCACATCTATTTGCAGCCAAGTGTTCACAATCACTGAGTAACATGCAGTTCTTTCTACTAGATGCAGATAAGAGATTGCAGTATCCTGAAACCAGATGCAGATGAGAGGTTGCAGTATCCTGAAGCCTACAAACTGAGACACTAGTTACTTGCACCATACACATGTAATAAAATGATGATATAAGAATACATATTTCATTGAGAAAACCTGGGAAACACATTAGCTGATAGCCAGTTGGAATTAGCAAATAATGTTCGGCATAAAAAATAGAGACTCTACTTCAGGAGTAGAGCAAGTTTTCTGTTTAGACTACACTCTAAGCTTTTGATTCTTCTCTTTGGGAGGATATCCTTTCTCTATTGTACTTTGTGACCTCTTCATCATGTGTTATACATTTGCCTTTGGGTGCACATTCTTGAGGGACATAGAGATTTCATAGCACATTTCATGCTGATGAAATTTGGACATGCTATAACATGGATGTACCGTCATGGGGATTCCTTAAGGCTTTTAATGTTGGGTCCAATAATTGGGTCCAATTCAGATTTATTTTTCAATAAAATTTCTTGAAAAATGTAGTAAATTTCTATTTGCTTCTAGTCAATTATATACGCAAATAATCACAATCACAGTCTTTGTCTAAACAGATTTTTAAGTGTGAAATCTTCCTAAATGCTTATTTTAGCCTCTTGGCTCTGGCCATCCTCCTTGTAATGTGGATGCCATCTTTATTACCAAGCTCATAATCTTTACAGAGGGGGATGCAAGTCTACTAAATTTGTGGCTATGCAGACACTCTCTCTTTAGTTACAAGTTGAGATAACAGTGAAGTTAGATATTTCAACCCTGAAAGTTTTAAAATCTCCTATTGTAGATTTCAGGCAGAAAGGCTCCTTTAGCAAAGCTCTGTTTTCTTTCTCTCTTTGTATTCCATCTAACCTAGGCATCAATCACTCAATCATTTGTAGGATTTTTCTAATAGATTCAAGAAATAGCACCAATAAAATTTCAAAACTAAGAAATTATTTTTCCTAATACTATATCCTAAGTTAATATGCAATTTGTCTTCCAAGGTGAAAAGTTAACTTATTCAATAAAACATGACAAGGGTCACCTGCTTTCCTACCTGTGATATACATGCTCCTACCTCCCACCACCCTACTAATTACACAAACCAATTACATGGCTTAGTTTTCTTGAAAAATAGCTCTACTGGTACCATATTCTACAACTGTATGTGTTATATTTGGCTGTGAATAATAGAAACACAATAATAGTGGCTTAAAATCTAGAAGTTTATTTCACTCTTACAGTAATATTCACATGTAAGCAATCAAGTCAGCCATGAATCAAGCTACTTTCTACTTCCTTCTCTATCGTGGCCATCATAGATCTCACCCTCATGATCCAACATGAACCTCCAGCCATCACATTGGCTAATTGCAAACAGCAGTGTAGATGATGCAGCAATACACTTCGGGAACTCTGTAGAAAATTTCTCAGGAGGAATTGTTATGTAATAGTTCTACTTTCATCCTTTTAGTCATATGCCGCTACTCAATGCAAAGATGAGAAATGTATCTTTCATTTCAGTTGGCCGTGACATCAATTAGAAATTAGTGGTGTTGTTTGGAGGAAAATTCCATAGGGAAGACAGCTGGCAGTCTCTGCATAGATTTCTTCATTGTTCTTTAAATCCGCCGTATTATACAATCATTTTAACAATTAATGAAATAACCTTGATATTAGGAGGCTGTAAAAGGAACTTGACCCACCTGACTTTGTGCTTTTTGAAATGTATTTCTATTTTATAACTTTTATCCATCACCGCGCCCTGTTTCTTGTGATATTTCATGGGTCTGACCTCAAACATAAGGATAATATTAATCAAATGATCTTGATTATTCAGTTGGCAAATATTAAAGGCAGATGTAACATAGATTGAAAAAAATGAATTTTTATATGAACAAATGGAGACTGAGTTATTTAACTAGATCTTTGCTGATGTGATGTAAAACAAAGAAAACAGAGATAAAAACAATGTTTAATATACAATTTAATTATTCTTTAACCAGCAAGAAATAAAAATTAACTTCTCAATATGTAAGTGCAAATTGACAATTTTCTGTGGTTCTTTAGAATATATATGTATGTTATAAACAGTGAGATTATTGGCAGATAGAACTTAACTTTCTCTTGAGTTAAGCATTTATTGCATATGCAATCTGTGACAAATGCTATAATAGGTAGCAGAGCTCATAAGGACCAACATATACATGTGCCTGCCTTTTACCATCATTTTTACATGTGGTTCAAGGTACGCTTTTTGATTCTATGTCCCCAACATGCTGCCTCCAAACAGTTTCTTAAAAAGTTCTGTTACTATTAAATTGCATGAAATCTTAGAACTTCATATAGTGCTTCCATGAGGGAATCCCTCTCTTGCATTAACGAGGAAACTAATCTTCTTCCAAATCTTCAATCCTGAAAATATGAGTCCAGAAATTTGAAAAGTATAAAAAATTATTGTAAGCTTAGCTATCAATATAGAGAGGTTGATGGACCAAGAAATTCACTGACATCAAATAAAAAGCAAAAACAGGAAGTCTAACAGGCAGGACTAACAGGCTAAGCTCACCCTTTCTGGGAAGCTGGAAAGGATCACCTAACAGAGACGCAGTCAGAATCTAGTCAGTTTTGCTTGCAGCCTTTGCACTATTACAAGAGTGTGATCCAGGCCTGCTTTGCTGCTAAAAGTGAGTCAATTTTGTGTGTGTGTGAATAAAACCAATAGTAATAGATTTGTGCAGGTAGCATTCTTTATAAAAACCTATGAGTGGTGTTCCAAGAAATAAGTTTTGGAAGCAAAATATGACCTTAATTAGGCAATTCTGCATACGAGTATGTGTAGGAGGCTAATGCTGCTAAGAGATGCCAATGTTGCAATAATCAAACACTATCTTGAGTGTTTCCTGGAACTTTCAAGAATTTGGGTATTACCTGTAGACTATAATTTTTGTAGCTACTATTAAATATAATTTATTAAGCATTCTTGATATCCATATTAATGAGTAGAATATAAAGAACACTGAAAATATTTAAGAATAATTTATGATTTTGTGATTCTCTGATAATTTGGGAATTCTGATATCTCCTCCATGAATCCTGAAAATTAGTATCTGTCAGGAATTTGAGACACCATGAACTCCTTTGTAATTTCTGTTAGACTATAATTCTGGTAGACTGCAGTTATCATTTGTTTGCAGCCTTCCCGATCTCTTCTCTAATTTGAATAACTCTATTTTCCATTTAAGAAATGGCCCTTTTGCCATTGCACATGGTCTTCACCTGATTAACTGTCATTTCTCATTTCTGCGACCACAGAGGATAGGTCAATGCCCCACATGTGGCAGATCATGCCTGACTCAAGCATGATCTATCATGCCTTTCCCTGGATGCCGAACTTAGCATCAAGTTCCTTCCAGAGCTAATATTGAGACAATACCAATAGAAATAAAAGTTTCAAACTAGAGGAACGACTGGGCTGAGTATACAGATTTTGCCTTCTTGAGAGATAGCAGCTACAGCAATGAGCATACTGTCTTGTTTCCCACACTCTCCCGAGGCCCATGAGTGAAAACCTCAATACTCCATAGCACCAATAGTGTTCTGCTAGTTGAGTGAATGAGGGAGAGAGTATAATGATTGGCAAGATGATGACCAAGAACATATCCTTGAGAAACTGTATTATGAACCCAATTTAAGATTGATATTGGTGTAATCTCTCATTTATAACATAAAAATATTTCCATAGCAAGTAAAATAAAATTTTGTCTGTGTGTATATTCATTTTCTTTCCACTTGCTGGAAATGAAATCAAGTCCAAGAAAGAATAATATTGAAGCTAAATTGATTATTGCATATATAAAGTTATTCCAATTGCTAAAAGTAATTTCAGGAGTATGTTTGAGTAATGAATGTCTCTCTTTTTAGCCTGACTATATCCATAATAAAATATCACTAAACATATCTCTATTAATGCATTTTCTTCTTAAAAGATTGAGGAATTAAACTGGATGTGGTTAATGAAACTTACTTTAATCCATCTTGTAAAACACGCTGATAAAAATCTGTTAAATTCCTCATTTAAAATATCACACATATTTCATTTAGCTACTACGCTCCTGAACTTTTTATTCACAAACTAAATTAAAAGTAATAATAAATTAAACTAGTCTATAGCTTTAAAAGAAGAAAACTAATATTATTTTTTGTTCAGTTCCCATATGTTCTTAAGTATTGCCGTTTGTCATAAATTTCATGTTTTCCTTAATTAACTCTATAAATAACATATTAAAGTGAAATACTTGATGAAAATTAAAACTAAAGACTTGTAAAAGCTATACCTGTCTAAGGGTTTGTCAGCTAAATTATACCTTCCACCATAGGTGTCAGTATGATGCCTCAGTTGTGTTTCAAAATTAGAAAAACAAAAGACTAAAAAGACTAAAATCTCTTTTTTTTTGAGATGGAGTCTCCCTCTATTGCCCAGGCTGGAGTGCAGTGGTGCAACCTCGGCTCACTGCAACCTCCACTTACCAGGGCTCAAGCAATTATCCTTCCCTAGCTTCCCGAGTAACTGGGGCTACAGGCACCCACTTGGCTAGTTTTTGTATCTTTAGTAGAGACAGGGTTTCACCATGTTGGCCAAGCTGGTCTGCAACTCCCAAACTCAAGTGCCGCCTTGGCCTCCCAAAGTACTGGGATTATAGACGTGAGCCACCATAGCTGGCCTAAAAACACTCTTTTTAAGAGAAATGCTATAGATTAATACTTCGGTCATGTTACTTCGTCTTTTCTCTTTATAAGTCATATACACCTTTAAAGAAATATTTGAAGCCTGACTTCACCTATGACTCTAGGCCTTATTTTCATCTTACTAGTAGTGCCACATAACAGAGTTTGCTTCCGAAATTATAAATTATTTTTTAATTTTTCCTCTTTGTAGCTCTCCAATTATATTCCCAACTATTTGAAGACACTGACTTAGGTAAATATTATTTAAGAATCTCTATTGTGTCTGATATAAAACATAAAAATATACTTCTTAAAATAGAAGTATTATAGAAATACTATAGTAAAATAAAAGTATAATATAGACTACGTTATGGGTGATTTTAAATAATGTTGAAACAGGAAAATTATTTTTCAATATTAGAAAATCCCAGAAGTCATGAAGATTCATAATTTTATCTATATAACATTTTTAAATCCCTCATTTGGAAAAAATTATAAATAATTAGAATAAAGTATAAATGATGGTTTGGAAAAATATTTGCAATTATCTCAGAAACCAAAGGGCAACTTTCCATAATACAGATTTTTAAAAATGTTATACATTACTGAGAAAAAGAATAAATTTACCAATTACAAAATTGGTGAAGGGAAAAAAATAATTGGGCCTTTAGTAAATAAAAATGACATTTATGATCACTCCTAATAAAATAGATGCAAATAAAAACTATAGTAAAATATAGCTATTTTAAGAAGTAAATGATTAGCAAAGACAGAAAAACGTGGTAACAGATAACAAAGTTTAACACAATTTAAAATAGTAAACTTTCCCTCAGCTGCTCTTCACATGCCAATTTAAAAGAAAAATTTACTCCATAGCACCTATCAACATCGAACATACTCTGCAGTCTATTTAAATAAGCTGCACATAACAAGTGTCACATGGCCTACATAAGCAGTTTTTCAACTTTGAGGCTCCACCTTTCTCTAGATTAGTCATGAACTTCAGGCCCTGGGGCCAGGAATGACAGTGCTTCTATGCCAGGCCTTCTCCTCCTCCTTCACTCCCTTCCTCCTTCTTTTCTCTGTCTTCTTTTTCCTGTTCATCTTCAACTTTATCTCCTTCCTCTTTCTTATGCACATCTGCTTTGCATAAAACTCTTTTGTCAAACTGGTGAGAAACAAAGCTTCCTTGAAAAAATTATCCACAAAATGCAAAGCTCATTGATAATGTAAAAAGTTAAATTCTAAAACTCTGTTTGTGTTGAGGTGAGACACAGATTTTCATTTTCTTTTATTGTTTTATGGCATAAAATAATTCTATCTGGGGAGGAAGAAGATAGATGGCTGCTGTAGTTGTGCTGGTATAATCTGGACTAGAACTCAATAGTTTATAAATGTTAAGTTAACTTACAAGCAACATTCTAGTGAGTCTGCTGTCAGTAGAACTCATGGTAACTCTGATAATTTTAATGATCATAAAACTGAGGTAGGAAACAAATATGACCATTGTGTTTAGAAACCATGATCCTTCAAAACTTGTATTTCTTCCTAAATAAATACTAATAGGGACTAAAAAATTAAAATTGGTAGTGAAGTCTTTACCAATTTATGTGATCAGTGGTATTCTCTTAATATTAACATAAATCTTTATTGATTCATTAGATATTTTTAGTTTTAAATAAAATGATCAGAAATGTCAGCAAGGGCTATGGGAAAAAAGGGCTGGGTAAGAAAATTTGAAGTCTCACCTGACTGGAATGTAGCAATTGCAGATAGATTGGTTGGGATTTATTTTATATGAAATACAAAATATATAAAGGCCACTCTGGTCTCTTACATAAAATACTCAGCAGAAGCCCTACCACTTTATAATAATTCAGTAAGTGTTAACATCTTATAACTAAGGTATCATTCAATTCTAAAATCATTTAAGGAACTTTTGAAATGGATGTAGTGTGTATATTTCCAGGTTAAAAATGAAGCATTTTTAAGAAAATTACTTTTATTTATTTTAACTCCTTTGAAGCACTCTTTGAAAACAATAGAAGTAAGGAAGAAATTTTGGGATAGAACAGAAAGGAATAACCAACCAACGGAGTTACTGGAAAGAGTTCACCTGTAACCAGATAAGGTCCGCTCTCAGACCAAAAACTTGCTGTGTTCTACCTCCCTCTCAACTCTTTCTAGGTGCTCTTCTGTTCTGTTTTCATAATCTCACCTTCAGTATTATCAAATATTGACACAGAATGGCTGGACTCTCAGCTCAACTCCACCCTCTAACCTAGAACCTCGGCCCTAAGTGAAAACAGCTGACCCCATTTTTCCGCCCAAATGATTGCCCTTTTGGCCTGCCCCGCCCCCTATCTTGTGAGTATAAAAAGACTGCAGCTGGCCAAGCAATAGAAGCGGCTGGTGCAACAGGTTGGGGATGCAGGCTGCTGAGTGTTGAGGATACAAGCGGCTGAGCATCTCAGACTACAGACAGACGCAGCTAACTTCAGAGGGTGCGGCTTCAGGGAAAGATCACCTTCTTCCCGCACCATCCCCTTTCCAACTCCCCATTCCACTGAGAACCACATCCATTGCCCAATAAAATCCTCTGCATACACTACCCTTCAATTAGTGACCTGATTCTTTCTGGACCCCGAACAAGAAATGGGTGCCAAGAGGGCAGGGGATTGGATGCTGCTGTGGAACGCATAGAGCCTGCTCCTACCAGAGAGAAGCAGCTAGCTGATTCCAGTGTTCCTTTCTTCTGGTTCCTGCACTTGCTTGCTCGCAGACTCCCTCTTGCAAGGAGTGGCCAGCAGCAGGCTAAGGGTAACAAGCCACTCCACTTCCCGCCCATGAAGGGAGGTCAGGGGAACAATCCTGTCTCAATATGAAATCTAATTTCAATAGAGGATTAAGTAGCTACCAAAAAATGATAGATTAGATAGATACATAGAGACACAGATATAGATAATATTGATAGATATAGATATAGATATAGATATACTGCATCCATCTGGTGATAGATTTCTGTCTTCAGAGGTGGAAATAGCAGGCGAGATGGGGGTACTAGATCACAGAGATCTCAATTGTTTAACTCCTCAGTTTGCACACCATGATAATAAAGGACAGAGGCTGTATTTTCCATAACATATTCAATGACTTTATTTTGCAAAATCTCATTTCTTATCATTGATCATTTTCCAACATCAGATGTTAACTTTTTCTCTTTGACCAAAAAAAAATATGTTATCATGTGTTCTTTTCATAAATGTTTCTTTATTTCAGTAAAAAAAAAAAAAACTATTAATTTCAATGATGAAAACAAGGTAACACATTAAATTATGGAATGCCATACAAAGGGGGTATTATTTGTCAGTTTCAATATTATATATGCGTTTCTAGGAGACAGAAATATTTCTGCTTTAGTTATGTTTATTTTACTGCACTGTTCCATACAAGAACACATTGCAGGGTTAACAGTTTTTAAAGTGACTCATAATTTTGTGCACATCTCTGCTATATTATCGCAATCTGCATTCTGTTTAAGTTTTAAATTTAAAAATAATTGCTTCTTATTAAAATCTCCCACATTGCATTATTGCTGGTCATGCAGAAAATTACTTTGCTGCAGGAAACAAAACTATCCAATATAATCTTTTCTCCTTATAGCAGAGGAGATAATTGGATTAATCACAAGTCAAAATCTTGGAAGTAGAGTGCTTGGTTGGCTAAACTGAGCCATGCCTGTTGGCGATGATAGATGATAGAGATTCGATAACGCTAGATAATCAAGTGAAGCTAGTCACCATGATAATGATTATTTTTTAAAATACTGGAATTTGTTAATTATCCACCAAATATGAGGAGAAGCTGGACTTGCCCTTTGAGGGAACTAGTTGCCTTGTTAAGACATCATCATATATCCACGTCCACTTAGGCAACTTGCTCCTCTGCTTATCTAGAACTATTGTGTCCATGTTGAAAGCTTGTGATGAAGTAGGGGTCTCTCATATTGTGAATCTTAGCCATGATTACTGCAAATGTTAATTTTTTTGCTAAATTTTTCTTTTTTCTCTTCTATTAAGCCAATTCAAAGTGTGATATATTTCTTGAAACTGTCTTACAGCTCTTTTAATATTCTCTTTTGTTTTGTTCTTTTCATTTTTTTTTTTCTCTTCTCATTTCAGTTTGGAAATTTTCTATGGGCTTACCTACAGCTCACTCATTCTTTCTTCAGTCATGGAAGTTGATTAATAAACCCATCGATGGGCCTATTCTTTTTTCTCCCTTAGCATTTTCTTTTGTTGTTTTCTTAGTTTTTTTTCTTTTTTCATTTCTCTGTTTATATTACACATCCCTATTTTTTTTTTCTGTTAAGAGTCCTTAACATAGTAATCACAATTATTTTAATTTCTCTGAATGATGATCCTAACAGTTGTGTTGTACCTAGGTATGGTTCTGATTCTTGTTTTGTGAAGTAAAAGTAAAGGAGTGACTTGATGAAAAATTACAACTGCAAATGCTTATATTAAAAAAGAAGAAAAAAGAATTAAAAAATTAATGATTTCAGCTCCCACCAAAAGAAGCTAGGGAAAGAGGAGCTTGATTATTAAGTAAAAGTAAAAAATAGATAAATAAATAGAAAAGACATCTCTGAAAGAAAAAACAAACTAATGACAAAGTAAACAAACAAATGTTATTTTAAATAAATTATTAAAAACAATTTTTAAAACTAGATTGCTTAAACAAAAGCAATGAAAGAGTAGGTTGCACTATATTTGTAACACACAATGGCTAAGAGAATATTATCTTAACAACTTTATGCTACCAAGTCTGGAAACTTAAAGAAAAGTGGCAAATAGCTTGAAAAACACAAGTTATCAAAACTAGTTTAAAAAGTAACTGAAAATCTAAGTAGTCCTATTTCTGGTAAAGATATATAACTGATGATTAAAATCCTTTATACAAAGAAAGAAAAAAAGAACAAAAAATAAACAGCCTTATGTAAATGTACTGGTAAATTTTATTAAATATTTAATGAATGAAGCATATAACTCTTAGTTGATAAAGTACAGTAGGAAATGTTAACTTATTTAATTATGATTACCATAATACCAAAATTAGAAATTCAAATAAATATTTAATGGATGAATCATATAAATCTTAGTTGATGAAATAGAGTAGGAAATGTTTTGAGGTGGGAAATTAAAGAAATAAGGAAAAATAAAATTAAAAAGAGAAAGAAATAAGCTTTCCTGTATTAGGCTGACTGGTCCCAGAGGCAGCAACAGGCACAGCCCAGACCCAGGAAAAGGCTTGATAAACACTATCTAAGAAGCTAGGACACAAAGGAATGTGCTCTGGAGACTCTCTCAGCACTCCTTCAACATATGGAGATGAAAAACAAATTTTCCTTTGCTTTATGGTATTAGTTTATAGATTCTTGTTTTCTGTAACTGGTAACTTCAAGTATTCTGTTTTATCTAAGAAGTACAGTGAAGGTCATGAGAAGCCTGAGCAGGCCTGAACTACAGCTGTCTGGGCACCATAGTGAAGTTATGAGATAAACCAGTGCAAGACTCTTTAGAGCAAAACCTGGATAACAGACAAATGGGTTGCTTGGCAATGGTCATGAGTAATCCGGAGTTATGAACCTGTCACAATTTAATTAATTGTTCTGCCTCTGTATCCTTGCTTTTGCACCACTGTAACTGAAAGCCTGCTTCAAGGTAGTCCACCCCTTTGTGAAGCGTGTATGAAAGTCAAATGCTGTCTTTGTTCTGGACCCAGTCTTTGGATGTTGAGTCTGCTGGGTCTGAGTGCACTCAATAAAGATATCCTCCTGTATACACCCCAAGGTCTCTCTCTGGTCCTCCTGATTCCACAATATTTCACTTATTTAATTATGATTACCATAATACCAAAATCAGAAAAATTATAAAAGAAAACACAGATGTAAAAATTGATACATACATAGATGCAAAATTTTAAAACCAGAAAAGCTTTAGCAAAATATTAGCTAATTGAAATCAGAAATATTGGTTTAATATTGGAACATCTATTGCTGTATTTCACCATTATACTAGAGATTCTAGCATGTGCATTAGAGCAAGGGAAAAATATGTAAATTAAGAGTAAAGCTGCAAAACACTATTTGCATTTGACATTATTGATTTGGTAGGAAATTATAAGGAATCTACAAAAAATGTTATTAATATTTAAAGAACATAGTGGGTTCAGGCCAGGTGCGGTGGCTCACGCCTGTAATCCTAGGACTTTGGGAGGCTGAGGCGGGTGGATCATGAGGTCAGGAGATCGAGACCATCCTGGCTAAAACGGTGAAACCCCGTCTCTACTAAAAATACAAGAAAAAAAAAATTAGCCAGGTGTCGTGGCGGGCGCCTGTAGTCCCAGCTACTCGGGAGGCTGAGACAGGAGAATGGCGTGAACCTGAGAGGCGGATCTTGCAGTAAGCCGAGATCTCACCACTGCACTTCAGCCTGGGCGACAGAATGAGACTCCGAAAAAGAAAAAAGAAAAAATAAAAGAATGTAGTGGGTTCATAGGAAACCTGGCCATCATACAAAAATCTGTCTTTCCATGTCCTACAATTACAATTAAAATACAGAGTAAATTACAATTTACATTAGCATCCAATACAGAAAATACTTGGAGACACATTTAATGTAATATTTGTAAAAGCTCTAAAGTGAAAACTGTGATACATATCTGAGAAAAGTGAAAGAAAACATGAGATGGAGTGATGTATCATATTCATTGACTGTAAGACTCATTGTAAGATGTCACAAATCTATAAATTAAATGAAGTTTGGATCAGAGTCCTGGGAGGCTTTTTTTGTAGATTGTCAAGCTGATTCTAAAATGTATGTAGACATTCAAAGAACCTAGGAGCGCCAAAATGCTTGCACAGGAAGAACAGATTTGAAGGTCTTTTACCGTGTGATTTCAAGCCTTAGTATAAAGTTACAAGTACTGGGTGATATCGCTGTGAGGGCAGACATAAAAATAAATGAAACAGCATAGAGATTCCAGAAATCGGGCCATGGATATTTGTTGAGCTGACTTTCAAAAAAGGTGTCAAGTCAATTCAATGGGGGAAAATAAAATCTTTTCAACAAATGTTGCTGGGACAAGTGGACATGGAAGAAAAGAAAAGTTTAAAGTCATGACATATACGACATTACTTAAATTAATTCAGAAAAATATCTATGAATTAAGTGTTAAGCTGTAAAATGTCTAAAAATTATTTTTGTGAGTTTTGAATAGGCAAAGATTTCTTACACAATTATTATAAATGTGAAAAATAAAAGAAAAAAACAAATTGAACTTTGTCAAACTTGCATGGAAATTATACTTGTCTAAAGGTGATTTAAAAAATTAATCCAGTGATAGTACTGCAAATTATGAGAGAAAAAGAAATACATAATGTGACTGAAAATACCCTAATAGAGAAATGATGAAGTTTCCCTGTGAGAATATCTGAAAGAAAACATAAACTGCAAAGACAATTACCCAGTTGAAAAAATAAAATAAAACGAGATTGGAGGCAGAAATTTAAAACAGCTTTTAAAAATGCATGAGACAAAAAATGTGGAACAAGGGTTTAGCCCTAGCAATAATTTTGAACTATATTTTTTAAAAACAAAGCAAAACAAAACTTGTATATCTGAATAATTTGTGTAACAGACCCATCAAGAAATGTTTCTTGTGGAAAAGCAAGGCGTGTTCTTATTAAGAACTTTCCCTAAAGCAATACTTTGAACAAAGCAAACTTTCTCTACACAAAATGGGTGAGTTCTACAGCTGATGAATCATTTTTAGTTCAGCATTATGCTTATAACTCAAAATCTGTTACTATTCATGGCCCATGGACTCATGCATGACTCTCTTAGAGGGGAAGCTACAAATTTTGATTAACAAAAATAACAGGAGAGTTTTGCCACAATTTCTCTGTAAGTTACTAAAGCACTATTAAACCTACTTGATAGAATGTGCAACGGACAAATGCACAAGTGAGGGAGGAAGCCAGTTCCTACTCTAGATTTCTTTTGGTGTACACTGAAACATGGTAATAGCATGGTTTCTAAGGATATGGTGGTGGTTGGCAATTGGCAGACATGGCAACTAGTTTATACTCTCAAATGGACATTCATTCTTTGAGCGTGTACAAAATCTGTTTTCCCAGCTTGTCTCTTTCTCTAGAATGCAGGGCCTTGTCTAAGTACAATAATGTGCTTCAAAGAGGCCTTGCTTCATAGCAAAGGCACAATCTCAGCAGGACCAGGGTATGTATCAAAATAGGACACATGTGCTATCTGGTATTATTCATGTAATTTTCAGGAGGTTTTACCTGACGGTATATATTAGGTTGCCATGCAAATTATTACCTCCAAACCTGATTAAGGCACCCATCATACAGTCAAATCATTGCCTTATATCAAACACTATCTGCTGATTTTTACAGAGGAGTCCTTTTTCTATCAATGAATCTTCTCAAGTCCTAAGAGGAAACCCCTCCTCTGTTTCTTGCATCAGTAGATTGTTCAGCCTTTACCCAAGAAATCTAACTGTTCCCTACGTTTTTTTGTCATTTCACTTACTATGACTGCAGACTTCTGAGTTCTGGTCATCTTGGAGTTTCTTCAATTTTTTATGCCATCGGCAACACAATGGTGTGCTCTGTGTGTTCAATTCTAAGACTGCATATAGCCATTGGAATATACTTAGTGAGATCTGCTAGATTATAATACAGTCATAATTAGGTTCACGTATTTGGGGAATAAGAAATATCTTCGACATGAACAGGGTACTGGTTAGTTCTGTACCAATGTAATTCTACGTGGGTTGTCAGATCTAGGACAAATATAATTTATTGGCTGTTCTCTTCTTTTGACACCAGCCACTGGAGGTCGTTCTCTACCTCTAGCCTCAGAAGCTTATGTTCTTTTCAAAAAAAAAAAAAAATCCAGAATCTGAATCCCATTGCTACAGAAACTGATTTGTCAATGCATTCTGAAACTGTGCAAAAGGGACAAAGGAAATACAAAATACAACTCCCACTCTATGTTTCTGTATTTCTTTTTTATTCCCCTCAGAATTGAATTTGCAGGATTTACTGGCTGGATGCCAGTCCCATCCTAAGGCACTTAAAAATGCTCGTGACCATGCTGTTCATTCATTATGCGAATACAAAAACTGTGCAAAAAAAAGCCTGGAACTCAGCTCACGGATAATTGCTTCTTTATTTTCCTGAACGCTTCTTTGCTAGAATAGCCAAATTTAACATCCTGGTTTCTCTTTAGCTGGTTACAATCTAACTGTTCCCTGAACAGTGTCTTTCTAGCTGTACCCAGGAAATGTAGACTTTGCCACTTCAACTCCATTGGACTAGCACTGCCATGCAAGAATAGTTTAATTTTAATAATTTCTTTTGATTATTTTGATGCTTTCCTTATGAAACCAAATATTTCTTTTTTTATTATATACTTTAAGTTCTAGGGTACATGTGCACAACGTGCAGGTTTGATACATAGGTATACATGTACCATGTTGGTTTGCTGCACCCATTAGCTCATCATTTACATTAGGTATTTCTCCTAATGCTATTCCTCCCCTTGCCCCTCATCCCCCAACAGGCCCTGAGTGTGATGTTCCCTGCCCTGTGTCCAAGTGTTCTCAGTGTTCAATTCCCACCTATGAGTGAGAACATGCGGTGTTTAAAAGCAAATATTTCTATTAGAGGTCTATCACTTTCTGTAGAATTGATGAATCTTCATAGAAAATGTATTTTTAAAGAAAAATCTGTTAAGTCGGTTTTCCATTTTGGGTGTATATATATATTTAAAACATTCTTATTTACTTTCCCTATTTCGTTGATATTTTGCACATAATTATTTCCATCAGGATATTGAAAATTAAAATATAATACTTGACTCTTCTATTAATTTTACTCAATATAACATTTCGACAATTTTACATAAGTTGTTATGGGTTAGCTGTTCTAGATGTTATTCTGTCAAGGCTCATTGTCCCAGGTAAAAACATTTGCAGATGTATATTTTGTAAAAATATTTTATTCTATCATCAGTTTTGAAAAATAAAAACAATTCCAAATGCAATATTAAACCTTTTCATTTGTATTTATTCTTTGGATATGATAATCTCTGTTTTCTCAGATAACCAGAATGACAACTACATCCTTTATCTTCAAAACGTTGCCATATACCCACCACAATCTGCTGAGTTTTAAGAATGCTCTTTTCCTATACTGCTCAGTTGCATTTGTATCTTTTTTGACATTTTCAAGCCACATGTTCTTCAAGTAGTTTGTTACGATCATAGTTACTAATTATTGTTGCATCTATATTTTAGTAATGGATAATGCTATTTGTGATGATGTAGTCCAGCAGTACTTTTCACTATGAATTCAATAAGAAATTATTATTTCTTACATATTACATAAGAACTATTTTATGTTTTTCTCATAAGATAGAATTTTTTTAACTCACTTATTTTGGTGCCCATTTAAGTCATCAGTATAGATGTGATTATTTTATATACTTTGTTTTAATGAGTCATACAACTACCAGCAGAAGAAAGATAAAATTGTTAGTGTCAAACATGGTGACTAAATGTCCTTTGGGTGAAAATATGAATGTTAAAATATTAATTGTGATCTGAAGCCATAAAACTTTCTACTAACAACGGAGTTTGTCAATTTATGTGCTTTATTAGGAGTATTTTGAAGCAAAAGGTATGACTCAAAAGACATTTTATAGTTTTGGATTTGTTGAAGATGCTATCTTAAAATCTTTTAAATTTATGTGAGAAAGCTATCCACTAGTTTTTATTCAAGAACTCTTCAAGACAAACGTTAATTAACATGTTTGAAACTTGTTGAGAACATGATTGGAAAATGCTGTCTCTGAACCAAAGGGCCTTGGGGCATTGGCTCTGTGATAATCCTTCCTTCTACGAAAAATGGAATGAAACTTGTCACTCTTTTTTCTGATACAAGATGCTGCAAATATCTCTAGACAATTCAACCCTGGAGAGATAATTTGTACATGTTTCAATAAAGTAGAGTGAATGAAAATTTATTATTCTTGGTGACATTCTTACAATATATTTGTTCTGACCTGAATAACCATATTTGATACTTTGATGTTTCTAATTTTTAATAGCAAAAAAACTCAGTGACTTGAATAAGGAAAATGTATTATAATTATATAGCATCACTGTCCATAATGTCTGCCCCAGTGTAAGTGATTAAAAATAGAATACTTCTTTCCTTTGAAGCTGTCATCATATTCTGCTTCACTAGGTCGGGGAGGAAGATGTCTTTTTATTGGGCACCTTAACTCAATTCTAAGGATATAAGATGTTTCTTATCTGCTAGTTCTAGTTTTTAAGGTTTTTTTTTTTTTTTTTTTTTTTTTTTTTTTTACCTAGACAATCCCTTATTACTCCAATCCTCTGTTAGAGTTAATTATTTTAAATATAAAATTCTCCCTGTGAAAACTATTTTATGGTTTCACTCTGCTGATAGGACCTTTATTGATAGAGTAGAACATCATAATTTATTGAAAGGAAGAACTGCAATCAGTAACAATATTGGATAGCAGGTATTTGATACAGAGGTAAGTAGTCTCTAAATATGGCAGCCAACAATTCGTTCTATCCTGGTTCACTCATGCCCTTCCTCAGGTAACAGATGAGTTTACTTATATTATGCTTTATTTTGGAAGAAATTATGTCTGGATTTGATAGATATAATGTGACAGAAGAGTGCACTGTCATGGAACCCAGAAGACATGCCGTTTGGAAGCCAGGCTAGACTATTGAACAATTAAAGACTATATGGAGAGAGACGGAGAGTGAAAAACCATCTCCCAAACAGTCTTTCAGTCTAGTGGAATTATGTAAAAGACTCCAAGTGAGACCAGCAGAACTTCAAAACTGACCCTGGGAAACTCAAAGAATCATAATTAATAGTAAGTTACTATACTGGATTGTTTTGTAAAACAGAAACAAATGACTCAAACAGTAACCTAGAAATCATGGGTAAATGTGGATATTACTATTCTCAGAGACTTGAACAGGCAGGAACGAGACAACCAGCCTTCTCACAGACCAGACCCTCACCCTTCTTTCTTCAAGAAATATCTGTCTTAGGCAGGAAATGTGTAAAAGTTTATGTAAACACCCAGAATCCTACAATAATTTCTATTACTCACCTGGTACACCAATAATTAGTTAAAATATACTGCCAGTTTCCTGTAGGCATGGCAGGTGGCATGCTAATCTGCTGGTTATAAAATTAAACAAGATACACAGATAAACTGAATAGGGTTGAATTAGGGGCTTTGGAAGACCTCAGTAAGGATGCTCCCACCATGGCAATACAGCTCATTAAGAGATTAAGTGCCCAAGGCTGGTTATAATGAGTAGTGAAACAGCAAGAACACAATGTCCCAATTTGTAAATGTAATGGTGCTGTGTCTATGGAAAACCTTTAATATTTTAGAAAGTTAATGAAAGAAATCCCTATGCTATATCCATCACCTTGATTCGCTTATTAAATGCCCGAGATGGTTCATATCTCACTGAAATTGAAATAGATTTGTTTTCTTAAATACACCTTCCTGGCACCTTTTAAAGAAGGCAAAGCTAAAGCTGAGAAAGTTCACAGGAATTGGGTAATGAAGAATTTGCTCACTTAGCGTGACAGTCACATAGTCTAGATGGAGACAAGTGTCTGCTCAGGAGTCATTAGTTTAGGAACTCCAGGCATCAGTTCTTGATTGGCACATGTGATCACTTCTGCTTACAACAGCAGCTATAGTGGAGTAGCCTGCAGGGGCCACAACAGCCACATTGGTGATTACTCCTCCTAAAGCAAGATGCCAAAGGGAAGAAAATAAAAGAGGTTGCGATGTGTTCAATTGTGTCCCTAAGAACAAGATATGTTCTAGTCGTAACCCTAAGTACCTCAAAATGTGAACACACTTGGAAATAAGATCTTTGCAGATGCAATGAGTTAAATTAGAATGAGGTCATGTTGAAGTAGGCTAGTGTCCTAATCCTAGAAGCCTGGTGTCTTTAAAGAAGGCAGAGACACAGGCTCTGTGAAGACTGAGGATTGGAGTGATGACTCTACAAATTGTGGAATGTCAAATAGTGCCAGCCAACTACCAGAAGCCAGGTAGAGCCAGGAAAAGATTCCCTTATGTTTCAGTGTGAGCATGACCCTGCAGATACTTTGATTTCGGACTTCTAGTATCCTGAACTGCTAGACAATAAATTTTTTTTTAAGCCACCTAGTTTGTATTACTTGGTTACAGCAGCCCTAGGGAACTTAATACAAAGGTCAATCTCTGCCTGTACAACATAAACAAGAATAATTACAATCCCCAGGCCCCCAATCCACACACACACACACACACACACACACACACACACACACTCCCTACAGAACAAGAACAGTAGCAACAACAACAAAAATGAAATGTACCTTCTTTTGATTTATCCTCATGTCTATTCCTCGAGAACAATCACATAAAAATATTTTCACAGAATCTGTAACTCTATGTCCAAGTCCAAATGACCCTAAGAAACATTAATATACCAAAAATTGAGGAGCTTTTGAAAGTAGTGATTATATAAATAATAAAGAATCTTGAGGAGAAAGAAGTTGAAGCTACAGAATTTTATCAAGTGTCCAGGTTAGACATAAAGAACTAAGGCAATGAAGCTTTCCCCATTCCTTCAACTCCTACTGATAATTTGTTTTTTATAATTCTAGGGAAAGGATTCTTAAAAGGACAAAAAGAAGCAGTTCAGGAACTTCATTATAAATCATAATCATGAAATTATAATGCAATATTTTAAGGAAGATATATAATGTTTTAATTCTAATATGGAAATCACAGGGGTAGGTTATATACAATGCCAATAATCATCCCAATTATGGTCTCAGTTTGGCTGGTACAAAAGTCAGATGGGTTCTGGCAATTATTTGTAGAATATAAATAGAATTATTTATAAATTTTAAAAAAGGTTGCAGCAATTAGATGAAAACTGTGACCACATTTCTACATTGAAAGATGATTTTTAATTTCTGATTGGTATGCAGCCATTGATTTGGCTTATGTGATCTTACGAGTCACTGTTAATGCTGGATATCAAGAGCAATTTGTTTTTCTCTTTTATGGCCAGAAGTTTGATTTAGTGTTTTCCGAGCCACCTGGATATTTAAATTATCTGGCATGATATCATAATCCACTAAGATGAGCTTTAAACAGATGGCCTCAACCTAACTCAAATGCTAAAGTTGCTCATTACATTGGTGCCGTATTAACCGCAGTAATTGTGAAAAAATTGTGTGATGCTCTGTCTTTATTGATTTTATTGCAAAAAAGGGTGTGTTATTACATAGAAAATCATATACATGGCTTCCCAGACAGTATAGTCCCAGTTATCAGGGACAAATATGCTCAAGACTAGACAGAAACTATTATCCTTGAGCCCCCTAAATACCAAAACTAATACTTAGAAAGAAACTTTCTAATATATTTTTAGGAGCAGCATTTATCACATCTAGTATGATCATGCCTCTTAATATGGTTGCTTTAAAATTTTTAAAAAAAATTTTTAGATATTATCTCATTCTATCACCGAGGCTGGTCTGAAGTGGTGCAATCATGGCTCACTGAAGCCACAACCTCCTAGACTTAAGCGATCCTCCCACCTCAGCCTCCTGAGTAGCTGGGACTAAAGGCACATGCCACCATACCCAGCTAATTATTTAAATTTTTTATAGAGCTGGCGTCTTCCTATGTTGCCCAGGCTAGTCTTGAACTCCTGGGAACAAGCGATCCTCTCGTCTCGGCCTCCCAAAGAGCTGGGATTACAGGCCTTTTTATAAGATTAATAAAATGTGTCAAAAGCATTTCAGTTATGAGCTATGTGGGGTTTTAAGATAACAAGATGCCTCCCAACTTTTGTGTTCACTTACTCATGTATTCAACAAGTATAAGCACTTACTTAATGCAAGTGCTGGTCTAGAAACCAGGATCATAATAATGAACAATTAAAAAGATATCCTCAAGGAGGTTATATTCCATTTGAAGACAGACAATACATTTTTAAAAGTATAAATGCATTACATATCATAGGATAATGAACACCAAAGATAAAAATAAAGCAAGAGACAGAATTAGGATGTAATAAGAAAGATACATTGCTTACTAATAGAGAATTGTCAGGAATGGTTGCACTTACAAGTGGTATTTAAGTAGAGATACCACAGTGGCCAGAAAGGCTACGATGGAATGGAATGAATGGGGTGGCCAGAAAATGAAAACTTCAATATGAATAGATGTGGAACACGCAGGATAGGACAAAGCGTGGATCCACAACTTGCCATTACTTCCCTTGATATTGGCTAGTCTCCCAGTACAGCACTGGCAGGGATCATTATTGCTACCTCTTGATATCCTAGGAACTTTGTAGTCATCCTCAGAAATGTTGCCAAGCTCATGGATTGCTTTGCTAATATTGCTTCCCAGATCTTTGCAAATGACGAATCAGCCTTGTAGGGGAACAAAGAATTGAAAATCATTTTCATAGCATGTATACACATCCTAAAGTGTTAAAATTATTGAAACATATCCCTAGTCAGGAGCCAATGGATTGTACTATTGTTCTGGTCATTGGCCTTTCAAAAACTGGAATTATCTATCTAAATCTCTGTGAACAGCTCCTTCTAGGCTCACTTGGCTGACATGTGCGACGAAGTTGAAACCCTTGGTTCCTATGTAGATTTTGTGGGTGAAATTTCATATTAAATCAACACTTGATGCTCTGACAAAGCCAAAAGCTTTTTATGAACAGTCAGATCCACAGATACAGTCCAAAGAATGCATAAGTGGGTTGCCCATGGATGAAGAACTGCTATTCAGTATCTATAAAACCCAATTTAGAAGTTTCTGCATGTATCAAAAAAACAGTTTCAAGGTACCAAAGATGGCAACAGAACTGATTGTCTTCTATGGGTCTATAGTTGGTTTAGTGCCTGGGACCCATGTCTTTATAGGGGCATTTTAGGAAAGGTATTAATATTACATAAATATATACAATAATCTGGTTGATTTTCCTATTTATAATTTAGATATTTATTTTCAGACAGCTTGCTGCTACTTCTCAAAGTATAAATAAGCATGTGAGGTGTTGCATAAACATTAAATACCTTAATTTCACCATGCCATAATATACACATATGTCAAGACGTCATGTCACACATCATAAATATATACAATTTTTGCTGGTAAATTAAAACTATTTTAAATCAACTGTATGGTTTTATTCATGTTCGTGGCTATTTCTCTTAGACCTAATAAGGCTTTTAGCAAACATTTGTTGAATGCATGGCTAGAACAAAAACATAATTAATGATTGCATTCATTTTCTACTTTTTCTTTATGTAGTACATTGCTTTGTTTTATTTTCCTGTGACTTCCCTTCATATCTCTTGGCAGAGAAACCTCAAAACTTTGTCTCCGGTAATCATTGTCCTGAAGTCCAATACTATATTTCTAATAGCCCATTTGACAAATATAATACATTTCTCTATGAAATGCAGAAAGCAATTGCAACAAAATCAAAAATTGACAAATGGGATCTGATTAAAGAGGTTATGAATAGCAAAAGAAACAATCAACAGAGCCAACTTACAGAATGGGGGAAAATTTTTGCAAACTATGCATCTAACAAAGGTCTAATATCCAGTATCTATAAGGAACTTAAAGAAATTTACAAGAAAAGACAAACAACTCCATTAAAAAGTAGACAAAGGACATGAACAGATAATTTTCAAAAGAAGACATGCATGAAGCCAACAGTCATATGAAAAAAAAAGCTCAAGATCACTAATCATTAGAGAAATGCAAATCTCACAGCAGTCAGAATGGCTATTATTAAAAAGTCAAAAAATAACAGATCCTGTCGATGTTGTGGAGAAAAAGGAATGCTTATACACTTTTGGTGGGAGTGTAACTTAGGTCAACCATTGTGGAAGACACTGTGGCAATTCCTCAGAGACCTAAAGGCAGAAATACCATTCGACCCAGCAATCCCATTACTAGGTATGTACCCAAAGGAATATAAATTGTTCCGTTATAAAGACACATGCACTTGTATGTTCATTGCAGTCCTATTCACAATAGCAAAGACACGGAATCAACATAATGCCCATCAGTGATCAGTAGATAAAGAAAATGGGATACATATAAACCATGAAATATTACCCAGTCATAAAAAAATAATGAGATCACATCCTCTGCAGGGACATGGATGGAGCTGGAGGCCATTATCCTTAGCAAACTAATGTAGGAAGAGAAACCCAAATACTGCATGTTCTCACTTACAAGTGGGAGCTAAATAATGAAAACACAAGGATACATAGAGGGGAACAACACACGCTGGGGTCTGTTGGAAAGTGGAGGGTGGGAGGAGGGAGAGAGTCAGGAAAAATAACTAGTGGGTACTAGGTTTAATATCTGGGTGATGAAATAATCTGTACAACAAACCCCCATTACACAAGTTTACCTATATAACAAACCTGCACATGTAACCCTGAACCTAAAGGTTAAAAAAATACATAAAATGTACCGATGAATGCTAAAAAATAAAATAAAATAAATTCTAAATCCATATATCTTAAAATGAAAATTTGAATGACAAATTAAAATAATTAAAATATTTTGTCACACTTTCCTCAGTATGTTTGTGTAAATTCAAAATGTGCATTCTGTTTTTGAAAAAAATCTCATATAGTACATTGTTTTCCTTATTGCTTAAAACACGTTTGTAGGAGGAATATAATGACATTATAAACCACTTAACTTTCATTTATTGGGATAATTAACATTTCAAAATAATTAGTTTTAGATGTGGTTTATGGGAAATATGCTTTCGAAGAATGGCCTGAAACTTTATCTATTTGGATATTTTGTTATAGCATTTTAATAAAGAAACAGACTGATTTTAAATGACAGTTGTAATTTTCAATTTCAGTTCTGAAAAGCAGGGTTTTATAATCTATTTTTCCAAGTCATATATCTGAAATACGATCTCCATTTTTATTTGCATTTGGTTTATATACTAAGTATAAAAAGTTTGCTTTTACTTACATAAAAACATTAAAGAAAATTAAATAGTATACATCAAATGTTAAAATAAAAAATTTAAATGTTTTTACATATTATAATAGTATTACAATATAGAATTAAGAAGCCATATAATAGTATTTTGTAACATGCTCATATAAGATACTGGCTTTAAAATTAACATCATGTAAAAATGATAAAGACATGTAAAAATTCCTTCCAAATTTGGTAAGATTTCATATTGCTATAATATACAAAAAATCAGGAAATTTTTGCTACAAGCCAAAGTATAAGTAAAATTTTTGCTATAAGTGAAATTAGATAATGTAATTATTTATATATTGGAAAAATCTATCTTAGTGCATGCGTGAATGCGTCTCTAGATAGATAAGAATGTATTGTAATTTTTGAGACCAGGTAAAATATAAGCCTGAATTATGACACTACAGTGACAATGGGGATAGAAAATGATTCAATATATAACATCTTAAGAGGGCAGGACCTTTAATATTATAGCAATGACTAGCTATAGCTTTAGGGAGAAAGATTCTAGAATGTGTTGCATTTTTGCTTCTTTAATTTGGCTTATATTCTCACTCACTCAAATAACCCATGACTCAGAATGTTTAGAGAGGAACCTGTATCACTGTAGAAGGAAGGGAGGAGAAAGAGCTAGAAACAGATGAATTATTATGAATTTAGTTCTGAACTTGCTGAGTTAGAGATTCTATGAGACATCAGGTTGTAGTTGACAAATGTGTGTGTAGGAAGTCAAGCTTGGGATAGAGAATTTGGAGTTATGGTGGTCATTAGTATTGCTTTCTGGGTACTATGCTGTGCTAATTATTTTATATTTATTATTTCTTTTAATCTACCAAATGGATTCAGATGTTAAACTCTATTTTCGCGTTTGAGGGATGAATTCTCAGATGGACATGGATATAAAGTGTGTTTCCCAAAGTTGCAAAGTTGAGTGGTAAATGGCAGAACTTCAAGTTCCGGTCTACCTTATGCAAATTCTGTGTGAGTACCCCCTGCAATATACAGATCACATTTAGTAGCACGAAGACATGAAGAGATGAAATTAGCTCTGGGAAACCTCAGCATTTAAAATGCAGAAAGAAACATCTGCAAAGAAGACAGAACATTAGGGGGAAACCCAAGAAAGAGAAAAGTCTGGAGAAAAAAAGTGGAGTGGCAAATATGTGCAATTTATCAGTGAGCTTGATTTTGAACACCAAAAATAAAAAAGAGCAAAATAATGAGAATATATTGCAGAGAATGAACACAGTGGCCACGGATGACTATGTTACAAGTTGAGTCTTCAATTATGACATAAACTGTGATAGAAGATTATCAAAAATGTTTTACTCTTTCAAGTAAGTTGCAAGTGTCCTCTGGTGAGAGACAGTTCTCATCAGTCAGAACAGTACACATTCTACAAGTGACAGCCTTCTATTTTTGTTAAAAGTGAATATATTCTGTTTTTGAATAAGGTAGGTTAGAAATGAACACAGGTGATAATACTTTATTCTAAATTTTCTAATGTTTGCTCAAAAGATTGCAACTGTGTGTGGCCAAAAGGCTTAGGGATACAATGATGTCAATTATAGACATATCTGATTCTCTGGCTCAAAAGCCAACTTTTTCTAATATTACACACTGAAAAGAAAGGATCTTTATTTCTATAAATTTTTTTTCTTTTTCATAGGCACAATTCAGGTGCAACATAAAAGGAACTTCTGCTTAAAATGGTCTAGTATTACTTTAATGTAAAATGTTTCATGGAGGGTGACAAACAAAATTTAACAGATTGAAATTTGAGAAATATGCTGCTGTAAATGAGAAGTCTTGATATACTAAGAACTCAGAGAGCAATGATGAATTTCAATCTTTACTTTCTGTTATTTTATCTCTGATTCTATAAGTTCAAGTATCAAGCTTTTCCTAATAACAGCTCCTAGTACTTATTGGGAATTTAACTCTCTTAGGTGTTCTTTATTTTTTATACATCCATGTTTAACCTTTTTCTTTTATTAAGACAATTAATAAATGTAAAAATCCATATATTTTTGGTGGTGCTTTGGTATATGTATACATATGAAAGATTAAATCAAATTTAAATCAAGCTAAGTGACATAACCATAACCTTACATATTTATCTTTTTTGCTGTGAGAACATTCAAGATCTACTTATTTACCAATTTTCAAGAATACAATACATTGTTATTAAATCTAGTCACCATGCGATACCATAGATATCCAGAACATATTCCTCCTATCTGACTGAAGATGTTTACCCTTTGACCAAAATCTCTGTATTTCCACTCCCATCCCCAAGATCCAACAACCACCCTTCTGTATCCATGTGTTTTCATCATTTAGCACCATTGTGTCTGCCGCCTGTATGAATTCAACTTTTTTATATTCCACGTGTAAGTGAGATCAGGCAGTGTTAGTCTTTCTGTTCCTGGCTTATTTACATAGCATAATGTCCTTCAGGTTTCTCCATGCTGTTGCAAATAACAAGGTTTCTTTCTCTTTTAATTCCATTGAGTGAGTGTGTGTGTGTGTGTGTGTGTGTGTGTGTGTGTTTATCACATTTTCTTTTTCCATTCATTTGTTGATGGACACAGGTTGATTTTATAAATTGGCTATTGTGAATAATGCTGCAATGAACATGGAAATGAAGATATTTCTTCAGCAAATGGATTTATTTTCCTTTGAACATATACTCAGCAGTAGGATTTCTGGATCATATTGTAATTCCAGTTTTAATGTCTTGAAGAAGCTTTATACTGCTTTCCATAAATGCTGTACTAATTTGCAATCCCACCAACAGTATACAAGGTTTCTCTTTTCTTCACTTCTACATCAATACTTGTTTTCTTTCATCTTTTTGATAATAGCCATTCTAACAGGTGTGAGGTGATATCTCCTTGTGGTTTTGATTTGCATTTCTCTGATAAATAATGATGTTAAATATATTTTTATATATCTGTTGGCCATCTGTGGGTCTTCTTTTGAGAAATATCTATTCTGATTCTTTGCCTATTTTTTAATCAGGGCATTTGGGAGTTTTATTTGCTATTAGAGTGTGATTTGCAAATACATTCTTCAGTTCCCTAGATTATCTCTTCACTCTGCTGTTTCCTTTGCTGTACAGAGCTTTTGAGTTTTAAGTTTTATTTAATTCCATTGGACTATTTTTGCTTTTGTTACCTGTGATTTTTGGGTCATGCCTCCCCACAAAATATTACTCAGACCAATGTTCTGGAAGTCTTCCTGTATTCCATTAGTGATTTCATAGTTTCAGGTCTTAGGTTTAAGTCTTGTCCATTTGGGGTTGATTTTTGTAAACGGTGGAGATAAGGGACTGTCCTTTCCCTACTGTAGATTTTTGGTAACTTTATCAAAGATCACTTCACCATAAATAAGTGGATTTATTTAAGAGGCTTCTCCTCTCATATTGGTCTATATATCTGCATTTTGTCAGTAGAATGTTGCTTACATTATTATAATTTTGTAGTAAATTTTGAGATCAGGTAGTATGATGTCTTTAGCTTTTTTCTATTTATTCAACAGTGATTTCCCTATTTAGAGAGTTTATGGTTTCATACAATTTTAGAATTTAGGTTTTTTCTATTTCTGTGAAAAAACTGAATTTTAATAAGGATTACATTGACTCTGCAGATTACTTTGAGTATTTATGGCATTTTAACAATATTAATTTTCCAACTCATGAACATGAGATCTCTTTCCATTTATTTGTGTTTTCTTCATTTTCTTCTATCAGTGTTTTATAGTTTTCAGTGTACAGATCTTTCACCTCCTTGGTTAAAATTTGTTCCTAAGATTTTTTAAATACTACTGTAAATGGGATTGCTTTTTTGATATCTTTTTCAGATAGTTTGTTGTTAGTGTACAGAAACACTACTGAAACTTTTATGTTAATTTTGGATCCTCTACCTTTACTGAATTTATTAGTTCTAACAGTTTTTTTGGTGGTGTCTTTAGGGTTTTCTATATAAGATCATGTTATCTGCAAACAAGGACAATTTAACTGCTTCCTTTCCAACCTGGATGCTCTTTATTTCCTTTTCTTGCTTGATTGCTCTGGCTAGGACATTCAGTAATATGCTGAATAGAAGTGGCGTGAGCGAGTACTCTTGTCTAGTTTCTAATCTTAGAAAAAGATTTCAACTTTTCACCTTTGAGTGTGATGTTAACTTTGGGTTTATAATATACGGGCTTTATTATGTTGAGACAGATTACTTCTATACCTAATTTGGTGAGAGTTTTTTATCATGAAAAAATGCTAAATGTTGTCAAATGCTTTTTCTGCATGTAGTAAGATGATCATTTTGGTTTTGTTCTTTGTTCTGTTAATGTGATGTATCACATTTACTGATTTACATAAATGGGAACATCCTTGCATTCTAGTGATAAATCCTACTTGATGTTGAAAGATGTTTTAACATGTTTTTGAATTCAGTTTGTTAGTATTTTGTGGGCAAGTTTTAGAACTATGTTCATGAGGGATATTGATTGGCCTGTAATAGTTGATTTTTTTCTTGCAATGTCCTTGCCTGGCTTTCATATTAGGGAAATTCTGGTCTCATAAGATGAGTTAGAAAGTGTTCCCTCCTCTTCAATTTTTTGGATGAGTTTGAGAAGGACTGATATTAATTCTTCCTTAATTGTTTCATAGAATTCAGTAGTGAAGGCATCAGGGTCCTAGAATTTACTCTGATGGAAGATTTTTATTGCTGATTTAGCCTAGTTACTTGTTATTGCTCTGTTCATCTTTTTTGTTTCTTAATGATTCCGTCTTGGTAAGTTATATCTTTCTACAACTTTAAGCCTTTCTTCTATATTATCCAATTTGTTGATATATAATGGTTCATACAAGACTTTTATGGTTCTTTATATTTCTGTGGTATCAATTGTAGTGTCACCTTTTTGATTTCTGATTTTATTTCTTTGGGTCTTCTCTTTTTATTTCTTAGTAGTCTAGCTAAGGGTTTTTCAGTATTGTTTATTTTTTCAAAAAATAAACTTTTAATTTAATTTTATTATCTTTCCAGTCTCTGTTTAACTTACTTTTGCTCTGATAATTGTTATTTTTTTCCTTCTACTAACTCTGGGTTTACTTTGTTCTTCCTTTTCTAGTTTCTTGAATTGTACCATCAGGTGATTTGAGAGCTCTCTACTTTTTTAATGTAAGCATTTAATTTATTGGGTATGCATTTATTTATTTATTTTGAGATGGAGTCTCACTTGGCCACCCAGGCTGGAGTGCAGAGGTGCAATCTCAGCTTACTGCAACCTCTGCCTCTGAGGTTCAAGCGATTCTCCTGCCTCAGCCTCCCTAGTAGCTGGGACTACAGGTGCTCACCACCATGCCCGGCTAATTTTTGTATTTTTAGTAGAGATGTTGTTTTGTCATGTTGGCAAGGCTGGTCTTGAACTCCTGACCTCAGGCTATCTGCCTGTCTTGGCTTCCCAAAGTAATGGGATTACAGGTGTGAGCCACTGCACCCGTGTTACAAACCTCCCCTTTAGAATGGCTTTTGCTGCATCCTATGTTTCAGTATGTTCGTTTCCTTTTTTGTTGACCTCAAGATACTTTAAAATTTTTCTTTTACTTTCTTCTTTGACCTACTGGTTGTTCAGGAGTTTATAGTTTAATTTCCACATATTTGTAAATTTTCTAAAATTATCTCCTTTTGTTTATTTCTACTTTCATACCTCTGTGTCAGAAAAAATACTTGATATGATTTCAATCTTCTTAAATTTGTTGACTGATTTTGTAGTCTAATATTCAATCTATCCTGGAGAATATTCCATTACACTTTAGAAGAATGTGTATTCTACTGCTGTCGGATAGAATGTTGTGTATATGTCTGTTAGGTCTATTTGTTCTAAAGTGTAATTTGAGTCCACTATTTTCTTATTGATTTTCTGTCTGGATGATCTATCGCTCTTTAAAATGCGGTATGAAAATTCCTACTACAATTGTATTTCACTTCTCTCTCCCATTGTATCTGTTAATATTTGTTTTATATATTTAGCTGCTCCAATATTGGGTGCATATATATTTACATTTGTTATATCCTGTTCATGAATTAACCCCTTTATTTTTACATAATTATTTTCCTTGTTTCTTTACAGTTTTTGATCTAAAGTCTACATTGTCAGATATAAATAACTTCCCCTACAATATTTTGGCTTCCATTTGCATGAAATATCTTTTTCCATCCCTTCATTTCCAGTCTATGTGTTCCTTATGGGTAAAGTGAGACTTTTGTAAGCAGCATATATTTGGGTATTTTTTTTTTATTTTTATACATCCATTCAGTCACTGTATGTCTTTTGTTGTACTTACTAGTGAGTATTGTACTTTCATGTTACTAATTATCATCCATTTTTTTTCACCTTGAAAAAGTCCCATTAGCATTTCTTGAAAGGCATATCCAGTGATGATGACCTTCCTCAGCTTTATTTGTCTGGGAAAGACTTTTTTTCTCCTTCATTTCAGAAGGACATCTTTGTGAGTTAAAGTATTCTTTCTTGGCAAAATAACCACATTCTTGTTCCCTTTCATCACTTCGATTAGATAATCCCACTGTTTTCTGGCTTGCAAAGTTTCTGCTGATAAATCCACTGGTTGCCTTATAGAGGATCTCTTATATGTGAATAACTGTTTTTCTCTTGCTGCTTTCAATATTATTGCTTTGTCTTTGATTTTTGATAGTTTGACTGTAATATGTCTTGGTATAGCATTCTTTGGATTGTACATGATTGAGACATTTAAACCTCCTCTGGCTAGGTATTTATATCTTTTTGCAGACATGAAATGCTTTAAGTCAATATCTCCTTAAATATGCATTCCGTCCATTCCATCTATTCTCTCCTTCTTTTTAAAATTCTATAATGTAAATGGTAGCTCTCTTGCTGTCCCATAAATCTCATAGGCTTTCTTCACTTCTTTCCATTCTTTTTTTCCCTCTGACTGTGTACTTTTAAGTAATTGTCTTTAAGTTAACTGGTTCTTTCGCCAGTCAATTCTGCTGCTGACTGACTCTTTTTCATTTTATTCATTGCATTCTTCAGCTTCATAATTACTGTTTGGTTCTTTTTGTATAATGCCAATCTCTCTGTTAAACATTTTCTGGATGTTGTTTAATTGTCAGTTTGTGTTGACTTGTAGTGTGCTGAACTCCTTAAAACAATTATTTTGAATTATTTGTCTGACAATTCACATATCTTAATTTCTTTGGTGTAAATCACAGGAAAATTATTGTGTTCTTTTTGTGGTGTTGATTCCTTGGTCTTCTATAGTTCTTGTTACCTTTCATTAATGTATGTACATTTCACCCCTTGCCAACTTTATGGATTGATTTTACACTGGAAAGTCCTTCCCTACAGGTATAAGTGATGGCACTGTCTACGATGGGTACAGATGTTCTGGCTCTGATGAGAATGCAGTGGTCATAGTCTCTGTGAAGCTTATCAGCTGATGTTGGTGTCAGCAAAAACCCCAGGGATCTTTAACAGCCAAGGCTGTGGCTATCTGCACCAATAACAAAGGCTTTTATAGACTTTTTTTCTTCCACTGGGAAGTCATGGCTAAAGGAGTCTCTCTTCGCGTTGGGTCTAGCTTGTGGTTGTGTTCCCAGGAACACTGGCAATAGTGTCTAATGCACAACGTCCTTGGAGTGGCCACAGACCTAAGGCCTGAAGCACAGGTCTGAAGGGACCTAAAAGGCCTGAAGAGACCAAGTTTCTAGGTCCAGGGTGGTGGTGACACCAATGTTTGTGACACAGACACACCTGCTGCGACACTGGTAACAATGTGTGAAGCACAAGTGCTTGTGGAGCATCTGGGAAGCCAGAATCGAAAGTGTGAGCATGCGCTGAGTTACAGTGACTTGAAGCCAGGGAGGTGAACTAACCCATAGCAGCAATGACTCTGGCATCTGAGGTATGGTGCTCACAGTCCATCTCTAGAGCCAGTATATGCAGTGCAGGCACATGAGGAGCTACGGTGGCTCCAGGGACTAGCTTCTTGTGATGATAGCTCAATTGTTAGCAGCGCAGACACTCACAGAAAGGTTGTAAAACTGCTCTCCATAGTGTGGGTGCACAGAGCAACTGGGGTCCCAAGGCCTGGGAAAGTGTTAGCCCTATCAGTGGTGGCTTCTTTGTTTGAAGTATGAGTTCATGCAATGTGGCCACAGACCTGTGGTTTTGAATGTAGGCAAGCACAGAACATCTACGGACAAGTGTCTGGGGTGTGGGCTCCCACTGGGTGAATATAGCCCTGGGACTGGGGTGCATGCAGGGTTGAGAGGGGTACTAGTTTCTGCCCTGAGTTGCCAGGGCAGCAGTTCTTTTTTCAGTGGAGAGAACACAGCACTGTTTCCTTCTCAGGGGACTTTACGATGGAGATGGTTGTCTCAGTGATGAAAGCAGGCAGTGTCTTCTGCAGAGGTGAGTTCTAGGGACTGTGGTGGCAACCACTGTGTGACTGAGGCTGTCAGCTTACACACTTCTTTGTTCCCAGGGATCTCCATATACCTCAGGTATGACAATCTCCTTAGTGATCATTTCTGTGCTTATATATAAATATGTATATATAAATATGTTGTGTGTATATGTGTATATATACACGTACATATGTGTATTTATATATCAATATATATATTGATTTTCTTCTTTATGGTTCAATACGGAAGGGTCAAATTTGCTATTAACATTCAATATTATTATGTTATAATATCTAAAGTAAGAAACAACTTTTGACCAGTAAGATTATGTGTAGATGTATCATGTATCACTATATATTAAGTATTACAAATTTTAGAAGAAGTAGAGTGAGGGAAAATCAGTTGGAAAGGTTTCTGTTGCAGGCACACAATTGGTTCCTCTAAAAAAGGAAAACATATGTTTGTTTGTTTTTCTTGCTTTTGTACGACCCAAATTTCATTACTACCAATGGAACTGTAGTTTGAAGCCTATCAGTTTCAATTAGTTCACCTCAAACCTGGTCAGAGAAGACAGAATACAAAAAAAAAAAAAAAAAAAAAGGTTATTTCTCCCTTATGCCTCTGAAGACACATATCTTAGTTTATTTTCTGCTGTTATAACAGAATACCACAAACTGTGTAGCACTGTAAACAATAGAAGGTTATTTGGCTCACAGTTCTGGAGGCTGTCAATTTTAAGAGCATGGTGCTGGCATCTGGTGTGAACTTCCTGCCATGGTGAAAGGTGAAAGAGAAGGCAGAAATAAGCTCAGTTGACAGAGAAAGCAAGAGAGGACAGGCACCCTCTCTCTCTCTCTTTTTTTTTTTTTTTTGTTGTTGTTGTTGAGAAGGAGATTCGCTCTTGTTGCCCAGGCTGGAGTGCAATGGCGTGATTACGGCTCACTGCCACGTCCACCTCCCGAGTTTAAATGATTCTCCTGTGTCAACCTCCTGAGGAGCTGGGATTACAGTCATGCGCCACCACGCCCGGCAAATTTTGTATTTTTTTTTTTTTTTTTTTTTTTAGTAGAGACGGGGTTTCACCATGTTGGTCAGGCTGGTCTCGAATTCCTGACCTCAGGTGATCTGCCTGCCTTGGCCTCCCAAAGTGCTGGGATTATAGGCTTGAGCCATCGCGCCTGGCCCAGGCTCTCTCTTATAACAATGTGCTTTTGTGATAACTGACCTATTCCTGCAGTAACTATTATTCATTATTCATTAATCTAATGAACTATTATTCATTAATCCATTCATGAGGACAGAGCCCTCGTGACCCAATAACCTTTTATTAGGCCCCTTCTCCCAACACTTGGGATTTGCATTGGGGATTAAGTTTCCAACACGTGATTTTCACGGTGGGGGCACATTTAAAACCTAGAAACATATATCTTCAGAACTATTAACCTTGAAAACAACCAAATTCTGTAAAACCTTTAAATATATATAAAAGATTATTGATATAAATTGATAAAAAAGACTTTACTTCATTTGTTAACATGTCAATGTTTTTAAATTATTGATTCATTCAATAAATTTATTAATAAACACACATTGTGTATGTAACTAAATGTATGTTGACAAAATAAATTCTGTAGTTTAATATTATTTTATGTATAAAATGTTCCTTGAAGTCATGCAGGCCTTCTGTTTCTAAGGTTCACCTTAGCAGTCCAGAAAAATCCTCATGAGTCAACAACAGGAATCTGTTGTTGAGTTGTAGAGTTTGAAATAAATAGTAATAAATAACGAAGTTTGTTGCTAACTGGATGGTACGTATTTTCTCATTTTTGTAAGACTATTGAAGTTCAAATCTTGTGGAGTTTGCTGTTACTATAAGATATCTTCATTGGGAAAAGCAGAGAAGAGCAATTGGGTGTTCATACAAATAGAACTAAAAATAAAACAAAATATTTTCCTCCCTTTGTGGATTGAAAGATTGCATGGGTGAAAATGATCAATTTTATTGACTCTAGTTTCCTATCTAAAGACTCCCAGACCTTGCGTCTATGATGTGATAGAACCTGTTAGAAACGAAAAAGAAAAGTTTCAAAAGTAAAGACAGCTGGCATTACATGGTGATTTATTGGAGTCTAGCTTACACACACTGTTTCCCTTACTGATGGTAACTGGTCTGTACTCCTGAGATTACTTTTGGTAACCTATTAGTGACTTCTACTTGACTTATAAAAATAACTTGGCTAAATTATTTGATAGTCTTTGTGTTGAAAATTTATTATTTTTTATAATATTTAAAGAACTGAAGGGCATCTATATTTAGAAACACTAAAATCACTTCAAAATAAACAACACTATATTTAACATATATTTAGGAGAAATTAAGAATTCACATGTTTTCACAAGCTCCAGAGTGAAAGAAACTATTTAATTTGGAAGAAAAGGGGATTGACCTGATGATCAGGAATAAAGCCAGGGGCAAAAATTCAATCTTCATTTCTTCACATATTCAAAAGGGATTGTGCTAAAAATCTATCCTTTCACTTAACTATTATGTGAGTCTACGAAATATCAAGTAATTGTGATCTTTAGTTCTCTACAAATGTTTGAAATAAATCTGAGATTTAGTGTATTTTGTGAAGATAAATTCTGATGAGGTACATATTATCTTTTCATTTAAGTGAAGTAAAATTTATTTTATTAATAAAATATACTACTAGAATATTATTACTAAAGATGAAACTAAATATGCTTTATTTTTCAGTTCTTAAGTCACTGAAATACAGCAGGTGTTCTAAATGAGGCAATAAAATTGGCACTACACCTCACAGTATTATTGTTCAGACTTAATTCCTGAAATAAAGCAATGATACATGAAATATATTCAATAATGTGCTCTAGTTTGTCTTTATATTGTATAAAAATAATGTGGGCCTGGCGCGGTGGCTCACCCCTGTAATCCCAGCACGTTGGGAGGCAGAGGCAGGAGGATCACTTGAGGTCAGGAGTTCGAGACCAGCCTGGCCAACCTGGTAAAACCTCCTTGTTAGTAAGAATACAAAAATTAGCCAGACGTGGTGGCTTGTGCCTGTAGTCCCAGCTACTCAGGAGGCTGAGGCAAGAGAATAGCTTGAACCCAGGAGGCAGAGGTTGCAGAGAGCCAAGATTGTGCCACGGCACTCAAGCCTGGGTGACAGAGTGAGACTCCATCTCAAAATAATAATAATAATAATCTGTTTGCCTATTATTTTTAATAAGTCTGTGTATTTAGTCCACTATATTGATGATTGAAGGGATATAAAAATGATTCTATCACTATCTGAAAAAAGTTAATTTATAGATTTACTAATTAATTTCTTACAGAATGATTTACATGATATTTACTTTCAGAATTAAATGAGAATGTTTGTATTTTTAAAAATGTAAAAGAATTACGTTATTAAATAGTATATATTTTTTATCTTTGTTGTGTGACAGTTTGTTTATATACCCATTTAATTAAGCTTATTAATGCATTTTTTTAAAGATATTCCTTATTCATTACCAATGTATTCTTGGCCTATCAGATCATAATTTTTTTTCTGTGAGTATGGATGCTTTCTAACAGTTCTAAAAAGTTCTGATTTATTTTGATACTGTTAGATGCACATACAGGTTTATGAATGTTGTATTTTAAATTATTTTAATAATAAGTTACTAATTTTATTACTATTTTGCTTCAATTTCGTTCATGGTCAATGTAGGAATAGAAACTTTGAGAGGCTATTTCTCAAAATATTGACTTTTTCAAAATCTTTTTCGTTTGCAAAAACACACTTATTCTCTACATTGCGTCCACTTTGTACGCTTCGGTTTGAGTGATTTTCTTAATAACAAAGTTCACATGTTCACTGAATATCTACTCTGTGCCAGGGACTGCTGTTCTACATGCAATCAGTCATGTCAACAAACGTGTTTGCCTCCATGGAACTTGAATTCCAGTGAAGTAAACAGAGAATAAATGGTTCAAACAATAAAAAATAGAATACACTTGATGACAATAACTGCACTAAAAAAGTCAGAGGAAGGAAATAGAAATGTCTGGTATGAGGTTGGAGACTCCAGAGTTTAAGTAGAGTGGCTAAGACTACACTGAAAAAAAAAAAATGACGTTTAAGGAAAGACCCAAGAAGATGAGAGCTAAGGCAAGAGTTATCTAAGGCAAACTGCTCAACTTAAAGACAAAAGAAGCCAAGGCTATAAGCTTTTGGGTCCTTTTTTAAGGGCCCAATAATAACATCGTATGCCTGAGTCACAGATTAAGAGTCACACTAATAGACAAAAAAGGTAATTTCACCGATAAAATTAATATTGGAGAATATGGCTTAGTTTTTGCAAATTAAAGGCCAAATCAATATTACTCAAAGTGTAGATAGAGCCAATGCCACTAAGAGAGTGCCCGGCCAAGAGCAAACTAGAACATATTCTCTTAGCAGCTAACAGATTTCAAAAGAGAAGAGGGTGCTAATTCATGCATTTTAAGTCTCTTTTCCCCAAACAGCCACCAGAAAAGATAATGGGGCATGAAACCACAAGTTTAGGAAGCTCCATCCCCTAAGAGCTCTATGAATAAACATGCCAAATTACATGACCAGAACATTTAACTTGTAATCTAATATCAACACATAGATTTATGGTAATTCTTACAAGTTCTTCAAGAACAATGAGTAAGTAGCTGATTTTTTCACACAGACACTGTGATTTACAGAAATAAGAAGGAAGACAAAATAAACACTACTTATAGTCCAGTCCACTCATAATGGTATGGAATTACACATAGAATTTAGGAACTTTGTTATATTTAAATGTGTTTATACATTTAACCACATACAGTATTTTAATAACAAAATGAAGTATAAAGTATAATTTTAATACTAGTTCCTAAAATATTCAATTTTTAAATAATTTTTAAAGCAATGTTAACCTTTCATGTCTCCTGTCTCTATTTTTCTATTATGCTTCTAATCAATGTCCAAAAGTATTTTCTTATATTCTTTTTTATTTATTTTATTTATTTATTTATTTATTTAGGGACAGAGTCTCACTCTGTCGCCCAGGCTGGAGTGCAGTGGCACGATCTCGGCTCACGGCAAGCCCCGCCTCCCGGGTTCACGCCATTCTCCTGCCTCAGCCTCCCGAGTAGCTGGGACTACAGGCACCCGTCACCGCGCCCGGCTAATTTTTTTGTATTTTTAGTAGAGACGGGGTTACACTGTGTTAGCCAGGATGGTCTTGATCTGCTGACCTCGTGATCCACCTGCCTCAGCCTCCCAAAGAGTTGGGATTACAGGCGTGAGCCACCGCGCCCGGCCGTTTTCTTATATTTCTGTTGGAATTTTCGGAATTTTCTTTAGTATCTGCTTCGAGTAAACCAGACTCCAGCATGCTACATCTTCTGCCCAGTCTGTACAAGTATGTTATTAACATTTCCATGAAAAAATAAACCCAGTGTATTAGTCAGAGTTCCCTATGGAAACAGAACCAATGGGATATTGATATTGAAACAGAAACAGAGATTATAGCCCTTGGCTCATAGTTAAGGCCGAGAAGTTCAACAGTCTGCCAACTGCAGGCTAGAGAAACAGAAAACTGATGGTATGATACAGTCCAAGTTCAAAGCCGCAAGAACCAGAAGCTCTGACATCTGAGGAAATTTTATCGGAGAGAGTGAATTCACCCTTTTTCTACTATTTTGTTCTATTCAGGCTCTCAACAGGTTGAATGATGCCCACTCACATATCTTTATTCAGTCTAACATTTGAAACCGTCATAGACACACACAAAAATAATGTTTTTTCAGCTATCTTGGCATCCCTTAGCCAAGTCAACCTGACATATAATACTAATCATCACACCCAGTAATCACAGTTTAAGTCAGTTAACTAACACGTAACACAAGATGTGCTCTTACTGTATATGAAATGATGGGAAAAGACCAAAGATTATTTTAGCTTCACTGATGGAGTGAATATATGCTGTTAAGGACTATTTTTTTGTTTACAGTTGTGCAAACATTTCTTATTTACATAGTAAAATGTTTTTCAATAAAGTGTTATCTGAAATTGTTTTATATGACTAGGATAAATATAAGAAAATGTTGGTAATAATAACAATATATTAAACAACCTTGCTAATCTACCAAAAAACAAAACTAAACAAATAAATTTGGCCTTAAAGAAATGTACCCCAGATATGAAAGACTTCAGCATAGAAAAAAATAGCAATACTAAAGAAGACATTGATGTCAATTATTTGGTGTCAAATTTGGTGTAGGTTATTGATAAAATATTTACTGTACTTTCTGATATGTTTACAATACTCTAAAATGTGGAGATTTAATGTTCTATCTAGACTATGTTTTGAGTAATAAACATTTAAAAGTTATTCTAAATATGTTTATTTAAAGTTGACTTGAAAAACTGGCAATAGATGGTAACATTTTATGGCTTATTTTAGTTAATTTTGGTAATTTAAGAAAATTTTTAGACTTTGGGATAAGGTCTTCGGACATTACTTAATATATTTTCTATGAATATAAAAGAATATCTTTATAAAAAATAAAGCTCACTTATCACATTTATAAGGTAACTTTACCAAATTGGAAATATTGAGAAAATAAACTTGTTTGTTCATTGATAGAGGAACTATCTGATAGATTTATGGTTTTGAACTACCTTACATATAAATAGATATAGCACCTTAGTCTACATAGTCATTTATTATTAACAATAATAACCACTTACCTTATTTTTCAACTAACATATAACAAGTATGGATATGTATTAATGATTGTAAGTCTATGAAGAATAATTAACCCCGAGGAAATAAATGAAACAAGAGACAGATGGAAATCAATGGATGAGATACAGAGTTGCTTGCCTTGTATTTGAAAATTTAATTTGGCAATGATACTTTTATTGTTGATGCCTAAATATATTTTTCTTTCTAGGGATTTGAATGTTCAATGAATAGTCAAGCAATAAATAATAAAAATAAAATATTACTGTTTCTCAAGCAAATGGACTATTTTCTTTAAAATTCCTTCATTTTAACAAGGTAACTATAGGCATTCATATCTATTAGGCTCAGGAGGATTCTGGTCCACTTTTAATACACTCTTTGGTTAGAATTTTTTCCTCTCTGTAAATAATGACTTGAGAAAATTAGATAAAGTTCACTATGTTTCTTATCACCAGAAAAGGACATTTAAGGTAATTTCAGTTGATAGTTAAGAAGTTTTTCTTACTAAATATAAAATGTGAATAAACTCACATTATTCATTTTGTTCATGGGCCTCAGTAATTAAGGCAATTACCCAATTAACTATGTCAAAGTATTAATTCTCCACCCCTTGAGTCAGGGTTTAGATTTCTTTATGAGCTCCATTCAATGAAGACTAATGTCTCATATACTTCTTCCATTTGAGGTAATATAGTGAGCACACAGTAATTGTCATCAGGGAGTTTATCATCTAAGAAAAATGATGAGCTAAAATCAGCAACATAAAATAATTTAATGCAAGCCAAATGCAATAGTTACCCTTGCGAATTAAATGCAGTTCATTGACAGCAGTGACTCTGATTGAACGAAAAAGTGATTTGCTGTGAGCAATATTGATATTGGAAAAGTGTAATCTTCCTATTTATTCATTATCCCCCACATGGGAAGGGCATATGCTAACATAAGAAGGTACTTAAATTTAAAATATCTAATAGTTTACATAGAAAGTGTTAGATATTTTCTAATTGCTTTATATAGTTACACTAATTGTGTGGCATTCAACAATTTAGTTCAGCAATACATGATTATTACCATTTGGGGGCACTTATTTCATGGTGACATTTTATATTTATTTGATAGAAAAAATCAAGAAACACATCCAAAGAAGTTGAGATATTTATTGATATTTATAAAAATATATAATTATAGAAATTATTCCTTAGGTGTTTTAGTAAAGTCTCATCATTGATACTGTCTAAATAATAAAAGGGTAACTAATATTAGAAAAAAATTATGTAATATATGTTATATTTATGATTGTCCCTTTTGCAGTCCAAAGTCATAAATAATTGAAGTATGTTTACAGCTGAGGAAGTATGCATATGCTAGTATATGCACATATTATACTAATAGTTTATAATAACTTTTGAAAAGAGAAGATTATGGGATTTTTATCTCAGTGAGAGTTTTACATTGCATTTGTAGAACACAGAAGAAACACATGGAACCAACACATTTCAAAAATAATTATGTGTAATCATTACTAATAAATAACTTGAAGTATGATTTTAAGAGTAATTGCCATATGTTTTATATATATATATATGTGTGTGTGTATATATAGTGTACACCCTTATTATTTCTAGTGCTGGAATATTGTCTTCACTCGACAGGAAAGAGAGGAAAATTAGCCTTATTGCTTTAATATTGTTCTAAATTGTTTTAATGTTTAATAGTTAACTGTCTGCATTTAATAAATGTAAGTCAGCTAAGATATATTGCAATTAAACAATGAATAGAGAAATTTTCATAAAGTATATTTTTATTTGTGATGTAATCCAAAAATATAATATGCAATCAAGCTCTTACTTCCATTTAAATTTTTGCTGTTGAATTAAAAATAATTTAAAAGAATTCATTTTGGAAGGTAGGTAATGCTATTTTTAATGAGTAATTTGATATATAATTACATAGTAATTTAAAGTATAGTGTGCTTTTGAGACATATGATTTTGACATTAACTAGATATGTTGCTCAATTTGTATTATGTTATGTATTTCAAAATTAAATGACAATAGGAATAATTTTATGATGTTTATATTGCTTTATCAAATTATCTATAATTCTATGGGAATCCCCTCAAGACCATTCTGGTTATAAAAACACTCAAAAATTTATTGAAATCTGTAGAAGAATGTTGCAGATGTAAATAAGTAAACGATTTAAAACTGTAGTTAAAAAATGAGTTAATTAATGAAACTCATTTGCATAGCCTTTTTATTGTGAAATAGCAATGAGAAAAACTAGTAATCAGAACTCTAACACAATTGATTCAGATGAGCTCAAAACAAAAATGTAACTATATTTTATCTAAAATGTTTATTAGCAGAATTTGCTAGTAGTTTTTGGCTTGAATTTTTTTTCATCAGAATGCAGCATTTTATAACCTATTGTCTATTAGAATTCATTTTAGTATTGCCACCATCTTGATTTAATAAAAGGCAAAAATTAAGTATATTAACAGTTCGTACCTCTAATAAATGTGAAAGGCTGATTTCTTTAAAGGTGCAAATTCAGAGCCTTAGCAAAGGACTTTGCAATCCATTGATATTTATTCTGAATTAACTGTGGATAACTCAAGGTTTCCTTGAGGATAGTCCTGCCTTTATAACAAGCACAATTTCTTGTGCAGAATGTGGTAGTATATATGTATGCAAAATGTCCATAGGTGCTAATTTGTTACCAATGAAGGGAGCTCTCGGCTTTTGGAACTTACCTAACTTTATTTTTGCTGCATCTGAAAGTGAACATATTGATAGTACACATATCATGGCAGGTAGTCCACAGAAAGTCTGTATTTCAGATATTGTAGATGTGGGAGTAGAGTTAGAAGGGATCTTTATTACTAAAGAAGAACAAAATTGAAATAATGCCATAGTTTTTCTTCCCAACCATTTTTATTTAAATGACTAGGCTATTGTAGAAGCAACACGTTCTAACTCCAGATATACTAACAGTAAAAAGAACTGAGAGAGACACACCTAAAACAAGGGCAATTAACAGTAATAATGAGATAAAAACAGATATTACTAAGTGTTTCAATATGTCATCTCATTTGTCTCTCAGAAAGACTCAGCTCTTCTACTCTCATTGGTGGACCAAGGGATTTTGACCCTGCAGTTTTCCTTGCAGTGATGTTGGCCATGTGACTAGGTTTGGCTAATGGACCGTGAGTGAAAGTAATATTTGTCACTTTCAGTTAAAACAATTAAATCTGATGTGTCTGATCCATCTTGCTCTTTTGCTGGCCATCATAAAGTTTACATAAGCTAAAGCAGCAATATATATGCAAAAATTTCTATATTAAATTTTATTAACCTGACTGATTTTCTGTTCTATGTCTAATGCATAAAATTTTAGATTGGTATAAACTAAAATTTTTAAAATATTAACAACTATATCTTTTAATAAAGATGTTTGCAGCATAAGATTTGTTTTCTATTATTTCTCAACTTTTTAATTTATTTCATTAATATATAGTAATAGATGTACATATTTTGAGAGTATATGTGATAATTTAATACAATGATATAATTTGTAAAGATGAAATCAGTATAATTGGGGTAGCCAATCATCTCAAATAAATTTCTTTGCCTTATGGTAGACACAAACTATAGCTATATTTTCTAGCTATTTTGAAACATACAACAGATTAGTGTAAACTATAGTCACCCTACTAATTTATGAAACACTGAGTCTTATTTCTTACATCAACTGTATATTTGTACCCATTAATCAACTTTTTTTTAAATCCTTTCATCTCCTCATCTTTTCTGACCTCTGGTAACCACCCATCTACTCTCTATCTTTATGAATTCCTCAACTTCAAAATCTGTGAATGCTTTTCCGTGTAGCATCTCTCCCAAATCATTTTATCCTTCTGATGATGGCATATTTTTATTGCTGAATAATAGTTTCCTGGCAAACAGAGAAATCTCTTTTTAGTTAAATAAAGCTTGGGTATAGAATTTTTTTTGTAATAGACTTTATTTTTGAAGAAGTTTTATGTTCACAGAAAAATTGAGTGGAAAGTGCAGATTTCTCACGTACCATCTATTCCCACCAACAGCTTCTTCCATTGTCAACATATTCTGCACATTGATACTTAATAATGATCTGAAGTCAATTGTTTATATTATAGTTCACTCTTGCTATTGCACATCATATGGGGCTTGGACAACTGTCTGATTACATGTATCCAGCATTATAACATCATACAGGGTAGTTTTACTATCCTAAAGATTCCCTGTATTCCACCTGTTCATCCCTCCCACGCTCTAGTCTCTGGCAACTCCTGATTTTTTTACTGTCTTCGGAATTTTTCCTTTTTTGGAATGTCATATAGTAGGAATTCTATAGCATGTGGCCTTTTCAGACTGGCTTCTTTCACTTAGTAATATGCATTTAAGAGTTCTCCATCTCTTTTCATGGCTTGAGAACCTTTTTTTTTTTTAAGTTGCTGAATAATATTGTACAAATGGCTGAATCGCAGTTTATTTAGCCAGTTACTTATTGAAAGACATAATGGTTTACTTTTAACTGTGGGAAATTATTAATAAAGTTTCTACACACATCTGCATGCAGCTTTTGTGTGGACTTTTGAAAGATGGGGAATTCTCATATTTTATTAAAAAGGCTCATAAAGCACATGATGATGAAATCTGTGAGCCTGATTTTTTCCATAAAATATTAAAATGCATACAATTAATTCTGGAAAAAAAATAAGTGAATGCCCCATAGATTCAATTATTCATGGATTTTATTTTATTTTTTTATTTATTTTATATTTTATTTTATTTTATTTATTATTTTATTTTATTTTATTTTAATTATTGTAGTTCATTTTATTGAGAAGGAGTCTCACTTTGTGGCCCAGGCTGCAGTTCTGTTGCATGATCTTGGCTCGCTGCAACCTCTGCCTCCAGGGTTCAAGTGATTCTCTTGCCTCAGACTCCCAAGTAGCTGAGATTACAGGTGCCCACCACCAAGCCCAGCTAATTTTTTTGTATTTTTAGTAGAGATGGGGTTTCACCATGTTGGTCAGGCTGGTCTCAAACTTCTGACCTCAAGTGATCCACCTGCCTCGACCTCCACAAGTGCAGGGACTACAGGCATGAGCCACTCCACCTGGCCCATGGATTTTAATACACAAACTCATAGACATGAGGATCCACTGCTGATTAGTGAATATTCACACTTCAAAATTAATCCAACAGTCTATTCCAATATTTTTTAAATATTAGATTCATAAAGATACAATTCATATATCACAAGATAAAACATTTTAAAGTGTATAACTCTGCGGTTTTGAGTATATGCACAGAATTGTACAAACATTAAGAGTATCTAATTTTAGAAAATTTTCATCAACACAAAAAGTAACCAACACTCCTTCTTCATTCCCCCGGCCCCTAGTTTGTGGGAACCGCTAATATACTTTTTGTCTCTATGGATTTGCTTATTCTGGATCTTTTACATAAACAGAATAATACAATATGTGGTCTATTGCATCTTGTTTCTTTCACTTAGCATAATGTTTTCAAGGCTCATTCATGTTGTGGTATGCATCAGTATTTCATTCATTTTATTGCTCAATATTTCATTATATGATTATTGCAGTTTCAATGTTCAGTCTCATACATTGGACATATGCACACACCTGATAAACTCTCACCATAATTGAGAAGCCAAACGTATCCAGCATAGAACCAAAAATTTTCTGTGTATCTCTATAATCCTACCATTCTATTCCTTCCTCAAACTCCCTCCTGCACCAGCCTCAAACCATCACAGATTCACTCTTTATTATTTAGAGTTCTTTCTTTTTCTAGATTTTTATATAAATGGAATAATAAAGTGTGTACTTTTTGTCTACTGTTTTTCAGTAAGCATAATTAACATTTATACATGTTATTGTATGTATTAATATAATTAGAATATGTGAATACAATGATATTTATACATGTAATTGTATGTAATAATATAATGAATAAAAATATTCATTATATTATTTGAACATTATCATTCCTTAATAAATTCCAATGTATGTATATACTACAGGGTGTTTATCTGTTCACCTAGTTATGGACATTTGGGTAACTGCAGTTTGGTTTCTATTTCCTAAAATCATGTACATTTCTTTACATCAATAGCCATAGCCTTAGTTTAATATTCTTTTACTTCCTTGACTCTCTCTAACTCAATTCAAAGAACCCAAACTCTAATGTTTTAATTTTAGTTTTAAAAACTTTCGATGATACAAAATTGAGAAAAAAATTGTCATCACTAGTAAATAGATAAAAACTCTGATACACCCACACAGTGGAATATGACTCCACAATTTTAAAAAGCATCATCTACTGATACATACGACAAGGATGAGCCTCTAAATAACTTAATAAGTAAAATAAATTGGACTCAAAAAACTATATACTCTGTGATTCCATTTATATGACATTCAGAAAAAGAAAATTAAGGAAACAGAAATAAGAGGAGAGGTTGCCACGGAATGGAAATAGAATAAGGAAATTGACTATAACTGGCATGAAGGAATATTTTTAGAGATAATGGAAATATTCTGCATCTTTATTTTGATGCTGGCTTGATGAATGTATATTTTTCAAAAATTATAGAACTGCACACCTTTAAGGTGAAATTTACTATATATAAATTGTGTTCAAGTAAATCTGACTAAAATCACTTTTCTATAAGCAAAAAATAACCACTTATAAAATATACTTTTAAGTTACCATTTACCATAACATCTGGAAATACCAAGCACCTACAAATAAACATAACCAAAAATGTGTATATGATTTCTGCACAGAAAACTATAAACTGTTATTGACATGTTAAATGAATCATCATAAAATGGAATTATATGCCATGTTCACTCCTTGGAAAACTCAATATTCTAAGGGTGTCAATCAATACCATAGGGCCATTAAAAATCTTATATTTTTTTCATAATTTGATGAGAAAATTTAAAAATATATGTTCAAAAATATGAAAATAGTTAATATTTTATAAAAAACTCAGCAACAGACAGTATTTCAAATAAAAAGATTTATAAACCTACCAAACACTATCATGTGTGATAGTAAATTAAAAATAGACAAAGAGGCCAGTCAAATAAAATGGATGTCACTAAAGCAGACTCACATATTTATGAAAGTGTGATTTACACTAAAGAGTGTACTGCAGACGAGCTGTAGAAAAACTTTGTTTCCAAAAACTGGTGCTCAGATAAGTAGACATATATATAGAAAACAATGAATATATAGTGTGTTTGTTTGTATATGTTATAAAGAAAAACCAATAAAAGATTGGATGTTAATATAGGAAAATATCTAACTCATGATCTTTGAGTAGCAAAATATTTTTTAGTAACAAAAAATACTAACAAGTATAAATGATGACATTAAAGTGGAAAACATCTGTTTAACAAAAGATACCAAATTACAAATTGTAAAAAAGAATAATATGTCAAGTACGCATGGTGGCCTGTATTCCCAGGACTTGGGGTAGCCAAGATGGGAGAATCATTTGAAGCCAGTAGTTCAAAGCCAGCCTGGGCACCACAATGAGATCTCATCACTAAAAAAACAATATTTAAAAGATTAGCGGTGGCTCACGCCTATAATCCCAGCACTTTAGGAGGCCGAGGTGGGCAGATCACCTGAGGTCAGGAGTTTGAGATCAGCCTGGCCAATACGGTGAAACCATATCTCAACTAAAAATACCAAAAAATTAGCCGGGCATGGTGGAGGGCTCCTGTTGTACCAGCTACTCAGGAGGCTGAGGCAGGAGAATCGCTTGAACCTGGGAGGTGGAAATTGCAGTGAGCCGAGATCACGCCACTGCACTCCAGTCTGTGCAGTAAGAGCGAGTTTCCTTCTAAACAAACAAACAAACAAAAAAACTTAGCTGGGCATGGTGGCATATGCCTGTATTCCCAGCATCTTGGGAGGCTGAGGTGGGAGGATCCCTTGACCCCAAGAGTTGGAGGCTGCAGCACTCCAGCCTGGGTGAGAGAGTGAGACCTTGTCTCAGAAAAAGGAAAAAAAAAAAAAAAGGTTGAAGTATTGAAAGCTAGAGAATCATCATCTGTAACACCCATATCATTTATATTTTCAGGGAGCAATGAGAGAGAAGTTATTGTGTGAAACTTTGAAAGGCAAAAATATTTAAACAATATTAAAGTAACTCCTTATAGATCACCAATTTTGTAACATTTAAGCTTCATTTAAGTAACATTTTTGCCAAAAAGGAGAACCTCAATTTAATCAGGAATACTCAGCCTATGTAACTAAATGTAAAATCATTTGACCAAATGTCTAGGCTGTAATTTTTGTTCAATCTTTGTATCAATGTCATGAATGTCATGGAGACAAAGAGTAGATGAAATAACCTAGTACTCCTGAGGGTACTGGTAGGATAGATTAAAGTCTTGATTACTGAAAAAAGTGAGGAATAACTTCTTGCTTTAAGTCACAGTACCGAAAGGAGAATCCTAGCTAAAAAGCTTTTCAGAAAGAGAAGACATTTGCGGAAGTTGAAGCACAGATTTGAATTGTTTCAGTTCCAGAAATTGGATGGAGAAGATCCTGAATTGCCTGTAGAGTTATGCAAATGACATTAAAAAGGCAAATCCTGCGAGGGCACATACAGCGTCTTTGAATTATTTTTTTAACATTTAATTATATAGAATATTAAATATGTGATAAATCTCTATGTTCACATTTTGTGTTTATTTAAATATCAATTAATTGCTAATCTTATTTGCTCTATACCCTCATTCTAATCCCACACACTGTATAATCAGTAATATTACTCAGTAAATCCTAGACATAATATAAATTCATCCATACACATTTCACTGTGTATTTCTATAAGATATGAACGATAATTTTTAGAAAACCATATATCTATAATCTCACATATAAATAAGCAATATTTCCTTAGTATAATAAAATATCTGATGAGTTTTAAAAGTCCAATTCACTTATAAATCTCATACATTTGTAATAGAGCTTTTCAAACATTTTAATTAGTGACAAGGTAAGCTCTATACTTTGCAACTTAAATCATTTATTCATTTTTTCCCATCCCAGACACTGCAGGCGCTGGTCGCTGGTACAACCCTGCTGGGTCTACTAATTAAATTATTTTGAATTGCAAAGACAATGTTTGGAACAAATAAAAGAACCAAGAAGACAACAAGACAATAATGCATAAGTGAAATCATAGAAAAGCAACAGATAATATAAACAGAAATGTATATTTCCACGTATTGAAGTTATTGAACAAATTATAAAAATGATTTTATTTAGTATTTACAAGGAGATAGAAAACATGACTCACAATTTTAGCAGAGAACTCAAGAAAAATTGGAAAGCCAAATTTTAAATCGTTAATTAAAAAATACAGTAACAAGTCCATGGATAAATTTAAGAGCAATATAAATTATTAAGAAAAAAGTAAACTACAAAATAGATGAGACAACAATGTTAAGAAAAGAACAAGAGACACAGTAAAGGAAAATGGAGAAATGAGTTAGGGACACTAAGAATACACTGTAAAAGCTTAATGCAATTATCAATGAATTTTTTAAATCAATGAAGATTGCAAGGTGCATGGCTGGCTCGGGCCTGTAATCCCAGCACTTAGGGAGGCCAAGGTTGGAAGATCGCTTGCATCCAAGAGTTCAAGACCAGCCTGGGCAACATAGTGAGACCCTGTCTCTACAAAAAATTAGCGGGGCCTGGTAGGTAGTGCATGCCTGTAGTCTGGGAGGCTGAGGTGGGAGGATCACTTGAACCCGAGAAGGAATGGTTGCAGTAAGCCCAGACAGCACCACTGCATTCCAGCCTAGGAGACAAAGCAAGACGCCGTCTCAGAAGTAAAAAAAAAAAAAAAAAAAAGAAGAAGAAGATGAAGAGTGATGATGGGGCTTAAAAGGCTGACTATTGAGGAGTTGAAACCCAAGAACTGTCTAAAGGATGATGAGACAACATATCAATTCATAGATCTAAAATGTCCTGGCCAGGCTCGGCGGCTTCCGCCTGTAATCCCAGCACTTTGGGAGGCCAAGGCGGGCGGATCACCAGGTCAGGACATACAGACCAACCTGGCTAACACGGTGAAACCCCGTCTCTACTAAAAATACCAAAAAAAATTAGCCGGGGGTGGTCCTGTAATCCCAGCTACTCGAGGGGCTGAGTCAGGAGAATGGCTTGAACCCGGGAGGCAGAGGTTGCAGTGAAGAGCCACTGCACTTCAGCCTGGGGGACAGAGCAAGACTCCGTCTCAAAAAAAAAAAAAACAAAAAAAAACAAAAAAAAAAAAAACAAAAGGTACTATCACCATAAAGAAAGATAAAAAGAAAATTTCTTCAAAGCTATCAGAATAAAACTGCCAAGAACATAAGGTACAGCAACCAGAGCAAAAACAAAGCCTTAAAAGCGGAAACACACGTTTTCATATTAACATCAAGATAATACATGTTTTCATATTAGCATCAGTAAATACGAAGAAATTAGAATGATATATTTAAAGAGTTGAAGAAGACTAATGGACAACTTAGACTTTTATAACGAGCAATAATTTATTTCACTTTTGAAAATTAAATACAGACATTTTCAGGCATACACATATTGGTTTCATCACCAGCAGAGCTGCCCATCATGAAAAGGTTCTCATGATAAAGTTAGAGATGCAGGAAAGAGTGTGACAAATCAATAGTGCATTTAATGTTGAGATTATAAGATTTAAGAGCAAAAGCATGTAAGTAAGGCAGAAGTTAAGTACAGCTTAAATATATGTTCTCTGAGAAAAAGTTAATACATCAAGAAATAGTAGACTTTCAAATAAATTTGGTACATTCTGCAATCTCTAGGTTAGCTAAATAACTAATGAATTAAAAAATAAAATAATGAAATAATTACTTAAGGATAACAATAATTACATGCTTTATCAATCTAAAGTTTTTAATAAAAGAAAGCATATTATAGAATATGTGATGCAAAATTAGACATATAAATAAGATGGATAATTTAAAACCCAATATATTAGTAGAAGTCTGAATGGAAAAAGAAAAAAATAATAAAATTAAGATACAGAGGTTGTGGAATGGATAAGAGTAACAAACATAACTGTGTTATATTTACAGAAAATATATCTAAAACATAACAATATAGGAAAGTTAAAAATATAATAATAAATGATATCCTATGCAAATATTAAACAGCTAAAGCTTTCCTTAAACCAAATAGTTTTAGAAAAAGAAGACTTTAAATGAAAAAAAAAGAATACTACACATAGAGCTTATTCAGGGGATCAATGCCAAATTTAAACGCACATGCAATATAGGTTTGAAATAAACATTTACCTAATAAGGATAAATAATCAGTTGATAATGAAAGTAAAAGATCCCAATAAAATTTTCATAGCATATGATAGAATATGCAGACAACAAATCAGAAATTATCTAAAACACTTGAACCGTAAAATTGTTCTGAGAGGCACATAACGGCATTAAAACACAATACCCAAATAATGGCACATTTATTTCCAGGCGCTCATTTATTTCCAGATATCATATGTGTGATATCTAGGTAACGTCATGTTAAGGGAAAATTTGTACTGTAATTTTATTTGTTGGAAAATACCAGGCCGTGTGCGATGGCTCACGCCTGTAATCCCAGCACTTTAGGAGGCTGAGGCGGGAGGATCAGGAGGTCAAGAGGTTGAGACCATCCTGCCCAACTTGGTGAAACCCCGTCTCTACTAAAAATACAAAAATTAGTCGGGCGTGGTGGCAGGCACCCGTAATCCCAGCTACTCAGGAGGCTGAGGCAGAATAATCTCTGGAACCTGGGAGGCGAGGTTGCAGTGAGCCAAGATCGCACCACTGCACTCCAGACTAGTGAAAGACCAAGACTCCATTTCAACAACCACCACAACAACAAAAATACCAAAGCCTGAAAAAGCAATGATCAAAGTATACATGCCAAAGAGATGAGAAAAATAAATAAATAAATCTGAAGACAGCATAAAGGCAGAAATAATGGTCACAGGGTAGAGATTTACGAAATAAAAAACCTGTACATTTGAAAAGTTTGACTCTTTACAAAAGTGTATATTGGATAAAGCCCTGGGAAGAGTGCTCATGATTTTAGAAGACTGGAGTCTTGACTCAAAGCCCTTTTCAGCATTAAAATGACACATGATCAGCCTGAAATGTACGTGATGCTGAAAATAATGTATTTAGCAGAGAAAAAACAGGAGTTTAGATAATAAGGATGAAAGAAAGAAGGCATTGGATGAGCAACTATTACTGCAGAATACTGAGCTTGCTTATGAAATTCAAAATCATTATGATGAAAACAAAAATTCAGAAACAAATTGAATGTGATAATGATGTCTAAAAAATACAGCAGATATGATAATGGTAAAATGTTGAAGTCCTTTTATTTTGTAATCTGGCAAAAGACAAGAAAGTCTATTTACAAAGAATTAATTAAACATTGTACTGGATGTCCTTGCCAGTGCAATAAAGCAAAATATAAAAATAAGAGATATAAAGATTGGAAAGAGAGAAATGAAATAATTTTCACAGTATATGGAAATCTAAAATAATTTATCACTTATTCTTCTAATTAGGTTATCATTAGAATTATTATAACTAATGGTGAATTAACAATGGTATGAAATATATGACCCATATTCAGAAAATTATAGCATTTCTGTATATTAGAAGTAATACTCAGAAAATAAATATATACAATATTATTCATATATACCATTTAAATGGAACCCAAAAATATAAAATCCCAAGTAATAATTCTAGCAAAAGTTATGAAGAATTTTACAAAGAGAACTTTAACATAGAGACAGTATAATTGAGAGAAATTTAAAATGAGTTTAAAAATGAAGGAGTTTGGAGTATTCATGAACTGAAACATTGAATATTGTAAACATTTTTATGAATTCAATTAAATACTGATCATAAAACAAGCAGGGTGTTTGCTTGTTTGCTTTGTTTTTTGGAAATGACAACGTGATTCCACAATTTATATGGAAAGGCAAAACTGCAAATAGGGCAATATTGAAAAAGAAAAACATGAGTCGATTTGCATTTTTTAATATTAATCCTACTCATAAAGATGGAGAATGTAGTACTAGAAAAGAAGAGAGTATTCAGATTGAAAACCCAGGAACAGACTCATGTATATAAGGCTATTTGATATATAACAAATATTGCACAGCACAGCTGAAATGGCGTCATTTCCAATAAACTATGTGTCCCATTTTGGTAGCCACATAGTGAAAAATAATTCCTTATTCTCTACATGTTTCAGGTCCACATAGTGAAAAAATAATAATTCTCTACTCTCCATATGTTTCACGTATAAAATCAGTGCTAGTGGGTTGTATAGATGAATATAATTATTCAATAAATATTCTAGAAATTTATGTTGTAGAATATCTTCAAGAAATATACACATATTGCATTGTTACATTTGGGGCAGGATAATTCTTTGTCATAGTTGGGCAGTCCAAGTATTGTAGCATGTTTAGCAGCACCCATGGCCTCTACCCACATGATGCCACTAGCATTTCACCAGTTAAAACAACCAAAACTGTCACGAGTCATTGAGAAATATTCCCTAGGTGACAAAACAAAACCCATTTAAGAACCATTGAATTAAACTACATTAAAATTGTCATTAATGTTTATTAGATATTGTAAGGTAAGTGAAATGACAATTCATAGAGGGGCTCTTCTCAATGTATGTAAGTGATAAAGGCTTTTATCCAAAATGTATTTTAAAACAGATATCAAAGACACAGTAATATAAAAGGACTTGAAACTTTATAGAAGAGGAAATCAAAATGTAAAATGAAAATCAGAATAGCCATTATTAAAATGCAAAAAAGAACTTCAATGTTTTTGAATTTGACAAAATGTTTTGAATTTGACAAAAAATCAAAATATTTTAAATTAGACTGCCCATGTCAAATATTGCCAAAAACATGTAGCTGTTGGTGAGAATCTTGTTAGTGAACTATTTGCTATTGCCCAATAAAACTAATAATATGTTCTGTATGATTCTACTTATAAGAAGTTCAAAAAATCAGGCAATACTGAAATGTCATGCTTGGGGAAGCACGTGAGGTATAGGTATAAAAATCAAGAAATAGATTACTGTAAAAATCATACCAGTAGTTAACTTTGTGAAGGTAAGAGGTAGTGAATGGGCAAAAGTATTTGCCAGAGCCCTGTGTGCTAGCAAATTCTAGCTTCTGACCTGTATACCAGTTACACAGGTTTTTCTGATATATGGTTGAGCTACGCAGTTTTTCTTAAATATTTGTGTTTATATATCTTCAAAATATAAAAGGATAAAAAATGAAATATTTCTTCAACTCTGGTTCCACTCCCCAAAGGTAACCACTGTCACCAAATTCTGAATTATTTTTCAGAATTTTTTGCACACATGTGCCTACATACATATTTATATACCTTGAAAACAGCATGCATAGTATCTTGCATTTTTATCACATAATGTACCCTAGTGATGATTCTATATTGGAACATACATTATTAATTTTTCCAAAACAAGTGTGTATAAGTGCAGTGCATTTCTAAAAGAAGTATGTATAAGTGCAGTAAATTTTCAAAAGAAGTATGTATAGTGTAATGCTTAAAATAATATACTGTAATAGTCTGCAGCTTGGCAAGAAATTAAGCTTTCATTTATTTTTGTCACAACAGGTATACTACATGCAGATTAAAATATATATTATATATATATATATATATATATATATATACATACCATTTATCTTTTAAGGGCATTGTTCATAACCTTGAAATATAAACAATAAAAATTATGAAGCAATAATTTATTTTTTTAAAAAAATCCACTTGCCAAACAAACAAGATACTCCTTCCAGGATGTCAGTAATATCAAGATAAAATGCCAGAGAATTTTAGCTGAGTATAGTAAATCAAACAGCTAATTTTTAACTTTGATGGAGGAGAAAATTAGATAAATTCTGAAAATTCATCCATTTATTTTTCTCTCTATATATATGTTAACAGCAAGCAAACACATTAAATCCTTAAATTTGGTTGCTAAGTTCACAAATGTCATGGACACAGTGAGGTAATATTTACAGACTGAATACTGATTTACTATCCTTTGAGTTTATTTGTACATTTCATAGAGTAGATGCTCTTTATAGATATACTCTTTTGGAAAAAGTCCAGATAACTGGATAATTAACTATTAATATCACTTTTTGAAAATTAAATATTAATATGTTTCTTCCAGGAAAAATTATTTAACAGGTTTTATTCAGACTACTAAGACATACAAAAACCTGACATTAACTCTTTGGTTTTCTAAAGATTCTCTTCAGGAAAATGTGCCATCAGTCTTTCTAAATGTATTCAATTTTATCTCAGCAGTCTTGAACCTCAATCTACATGATGTTAATATACCTCCAAACAGCCATTCACATTTCTTAAGGTGATGAAATATGTATTACCTATAATATTCTTAACTAAGTTATTGTAAGGCATATTTATCATGCCACATAATCCTGGGGGAAAATTGGGTATAATAACAATTCCCAAAAATGCCTCTTGACAAAGAGTTGGAATTCAACTTTTTTCTTCTACTGCTAAGGATGTTTGCATCGTGTCTTTGGAAAAATGTATCTCATAATTGCAAAGCCCTAATTCCTGATGCTCCATTAACAATATTACTCAAGATATTGTTGCTGATGTGGCTGCTTATATTATTCCCAAGTGAATTTGTAGATATTTAGCAATAGCTGAGGCCATCTACAATGTAAATTCCTATCTATGTTACTCCTCTTGAGAATCTACTCTTGGTACATTTATCAAAGGAAGACACTTTTAGCAACACAGCAGTCCCCCCTTACCAGCGGTTTCACTTTCCCCAGTTTTAGCTATCAGGGGTCAATCATGTTTTGAAAAATATTAAATAAAAGTTATAGAAATAATAACTTTGAAATTGTGTACCATAACGTGATAAATTCTCAGGTTGTCCGTCCTACTCCCTGTTTTCTTTATCACAAAAAGAAAAGTAGATAATAATAAGGTATTTCAAGAGAAAGAGAGACCACATTCACATAACTTTTACTACAGTATATTGTTATAATAATTCTACTAATTATTAATGTTCATATAATTATTAGTAAAAGGAATATAATTATATTCCTATATAATTATAGAAGTACACTACTCCTATAAATAATATATTAGTATAACTAATATAATTCTATTATCATTAGTAGTGTTAGTTTAACTAATAAACTAATAGAATTATTAAACTAATATAATTAGCCTATTAGTTTAATACTACTCCCATAATGAGTATATTAGTTTAAACAAATACTACTACTATAATAATTAGTAGTAGTAGTTTAACTAATAAACTACTATAATTATTAGTTAAATTTCACTATGCCTAGTTTTTAAATTACAGTCTATTATAAGTATGTATGTGTAGGAAAAATAGTACATGTTTACTATCCACTGTTTCAGGCATCAACTGGGGGTCTTAATACATATCTTTTTACAGATAAGGGTGGAGCTACAGTTACCTTCCAAAAGGTAGTATTGCCACTGCCATTGTTGCCTGCTAATGTAAATTCCAAAGAAGTAGATGATTTTGGGAAGGGCAGAAAATAAAAATTTTCATCAATATTAATGATTTTGCCATTAATGCAGATTACCATTGCCATAGTCTGAGAAGTGACATGAAACTTGAGATTGCTAGAGCTCATAGGACAGTAGAACAGTGAAGGCATTGAGGTTTAAAGTGTTAATGTTATGAAGATAGCTAAAAACAGGACTTGATCAGTATAATCCTCTACCTAACACAACTTGGAATGGGGCAGAGAGTAAAGAAATGGACCTCGGTAAGGATGTGCATGAGCACTAAGAGATAGTGCTTGACGCAAGAGCAATAATAACAACAATAACCATAATAAAGGTATATTATTGGGAGCATTAGAGAAGAACAACAGAAAACTAAAAATGGTTGCAGATGTTACCTCCGAGGAAGAAAATGGGACTAGGGACACAGGCCCTTTTTGTTTTTTGCTTGCACATTCTGTAATTAGAAAATGTTATTTTATAGACACACATATCAAATAATAGGAGAAAAAAGATATTTCATGTAAGATTAGTTTATTCTCAATATTCTGAATTAGAATATTGGATTAAAACAATATTTAGAATGATAGAAGCTGGATTAAAACAACTCTAAAACAAGCATTTGTACTGCATTGACATCTCTGTAGAAGTTGCTGTCATACTAGTTGAGAAGAGCTTGGGGACCTGGACTTGGGAGATTTAATGGATAGATAAAATTACACAGAGGGGTAACCTTATGAAGAATTCTGAAACCAAGCATTTGGAAGTCTAAGAAAAGAAGGGACAACAATGCAAGTTGTCCAACCAAAACCTCTCTTCCCTACTTTCTTGTTTCTGAATGCCATTTTTGTTTGAAAGAGCAATGTGTCCTGCCAAATAACTACAATGCCCAGTCTCCTTGCCCTTGTGGCTGGTGACATGTTATAGTCCTGTAGAAAGATACGTAGGCTGAAGTTGTTGAAAAGGACACTTTGTTCTTCAACTTCTCCCTTCCTGCCCTGATATAAAAACATGATAACACACTACTTATTACTCTAAATATGCATAACTTTTATATGCACTAGGAAGTGTATATATCAATACTTAGAGATACAATTTCAGAAATGGTCAAATTAAAGAAAACAAGTTAAAAGTTTACAAGTTCTTATAATAATTATAGAGGCAAGATAAATTACAGATTCAATTTTTTAAACTAGTAATTTAATTAATCACATCATGGATAATGTTTAGAGCTAAAATTTATTCTGTATTTACATAATTAATATTGTAATTAAAAACCACTGAGTATTTTTTGTTGCAACTGAATGTTGTGTCCCCTCAAAATTCATGTGATGAAAACTTAACCTTCAGTATGATGGTAGCAGGACCTATAAGCTGCATATTTATAATGAACTTTGGGGAGTAATTAGCTTATTATGGTGGAGGCTTCATAAATTAGATTGGTGCCCTTAAAAATGACTCTTGAGAGCTCTTTCTGTCCACCATGTGAAGCTGCATTGAGAAGGCAGCAGTCTGAAACCCAAGAGAGCTCTCTCACCAGAACCCAATTATGCTGGCACTCTGCTGTTGGACTTCCAGCCTCCAGAACTGTGAGATGTGCATTCCGTTATTTAAAAGCCACTCAGGTTATGGAACTTTATTAAAGCAGCCTGAACCGCTGAAGATGCAAACTGATCATGAGAAGTGGGAGTGCTGTTGTTATAAATACCTAAAACAAAGTGAAAATGGTTTTGGGCTCAGTGATTGGCAGAGATTGATGAGTTTTTATGCAAAATGCTAGATTACTGTGGAAGAAATTTAAAAGCCAATTCTCGTGAGGGCTCGGAAAGAAATATAGAAGAAAACGCTGTCTTCTCAGAAAATAATTAAATAATCATGAACAGAAGATTGATAAAATATGGACAGTAAAGGTCATTCTGTTGGAGGCTCAAATGGAAATGAATATGTTATTGGAAAATGGAGCAAAAGCAATCCATGTTAAAAAGTGGAAACAAACTTCTCTGAATTGTATTCATGCTCTTGTGTTTTGAGGAAGGTGGAACTTGTGTGCAGTGAAATTGGACATTTAACCCAGCAGATTTCTCAGCAACATGTAGAAGAAGCACCTTGGTTCCTTCTGAATCCGTAGCGTCAAATGTAGAAAAAAAAAATGGTTGGAAGATGGAATTGTTAAGGAAAAAGTAACCATAATTTAAGATCTGGGAAATTCTCAGCCTGCCCATATTGCAAAAAAAGTGAGAAAGTGTGTTCTGAAGAGAACATGAAGAGTGTTTCGGACCCTTACTGATTTGATTAATATGGGTGTGAACCATAGGCTTAATCAAACATCTCAACACAAACCATGAATAGAAATGGGATTATACCAGGAGAAACACTGCCAGTTGGGACTAAAGGAAACAGAGATAATGGGACGAAATAAAGGAAGACATTCAGAATGTTTAAGCCCTACAGGCCCGGACCCGAGAGCTATTCAGTTGTGGATGTGTGCTATTCTCTTCTTCAAAATTACGGAAGAGGGGGCGCAAAGGGGATTTGGAGACAATTACAGCTGCTGCTTTTACCAAAAATCAAGAGGGTATGGCAAGGTGGGCCAAGGTTGCCTCCATTTTGATTTCAAAGGACAGAAATGATGCTCAGAGGAGCTGTGTGGGAGGGCCATCCAGTGAAGCCCTGGGTGAGTGTCCTCAGCCCTGACAAAAGACTGTGCCATAAGTGGGTCCAGTGCATAGAGTCAGCAGCGAGCAGTGCCTCACTGAGCTGTCGGGGACTGTCTGGAAGGTGAGTCATCAAGCCAAAGAGGATGCTTCTTGAACCTTAGGGTTTGATGGAGTTTGCCCTGTTAGGTTTTAGATTTACTTGGGATCCAGCATTCATATATTTTATTTTTTTCGAATAGTGGTTCTTCTTGGAATGGGAATGTTTATCCTATGCCTGTCTCACCATTGTATTTTGAAAGTTCATATTGTTTGATTCCACAGGTTCACAGATGAAGAGAAATTTTGTGAGAATGAACTGTACCGTGAAGCTCACCTACATCTGATTTAGGTAATATTTAAATAAGACCTTGGACTTTAGACTGGACTTGAGGCTGGAATGAGTTAAGATTTGTGGATTTGTTGGAATGGAATGACTGCATTTTGTATGTGAAGACATGAATTTTGGGGAACCTGGGGCAGAATGTTACGGAATGAATTTTTAAAGTGTACCCTCAAAATTTGTATATTGAAATCTTAACTGTCAATGTAATGGTATTAGTATGTGGGACCTTCAGGAGGTAATTAGGTTGTGATAGTAGAGGCCTCATGAATAGGCTTAGTGTTCTTATAAAAGGGACCTAAGAGAGCTCTCACTTCTTTCCCCATGTGCTTATACAAAAACCCAACAGTCTGCAACCGCAAAAGGGCCCTCCCCAAAACCAGAACATCCTGGCACTCTGACTTTGGACTTCCAACCCCTAGAACCGTAAGAAATACTTTTTTTGTTATTTGTAAGCCACTCAATCTATGGTATTTTGTATAGCAGCCCAAACTAAGACACTCCTCTACACTACCGTGTACACCACATTCTTCTGCCTCCAGTCACATTGAACTATATTTTGTTTACTGAACATGACAAATTTATTACTGCACTATGGTTTTGCCATATAATTTTTCCTGTCTTTTCAAACAGAAATTATTTCACAGCATACGCAGCTATAGGCAATTATCTAGCTTATGTATAAAATTACTTTCCTGATATTTGTCTCATTTTTTGTTTTTAAATGTTTTAAATAAACAATTGTTTTGAGGGGTACAGTATGATGTCTTCGTATATATTTATATTGTGGAATGATTAAATCAAGCTGCTTAACACATCTCTTATGTCACATATTTATCTTTTTGTTGTGAGAACACTGAAAATAGACTTTTTAGCAATCTAAAAAAGGCAAACCCTTAAAAGTAGAGAGTAGAATGCTAGTTAATGCTGGAGGCAAGGGATAGGGAATGGGGAGATGTTGTTCACAGGGTACAGTTTCAGTTAGACACAAAGACTGAATTTTAGAGATTGACTTTATAGCAGAGTGACTATATTTAAAAATGACTTATTGTACATTTCAAATTTTCTATTTAAAATACACATAGTATCTGTATTCCCAGTTCTTAAAACATGACCTATTAAACAACAGATTTGCAAGACTGAATGATTTTTTTTACCTTGTCCTGATCTCTAGATTTTTTTTAAACTTTATCTCATTAATTGCTAATTCTCTCTTTATGAATGTTAAATACTTAAAATAGCACCAAACATAACTAAACAAAACAAAAACAAAATTTGTTTTTTATTTCAAATGGCATGTTCCATTGCGTTCTAAGACTGGACTGTCTTGGAGATAAAGAAGACTTCATTATTTTATATAATATTCCTTTGAGAAATCCTGAGCTTTGTGCAAAAATGACATACTTCTTTTTTTTTTGCATAATTTTATCACTCCATAGAGCCCAGATCGAGTTCCTAAGTTCTCACTAAGGCACATGGGTCTAATTCCATTACATTTTTGGCCTGTGTCAATTAATTTTCTTTTCTCAGATAATAAATTTACACTCCTATTCCACTTCTGAGCAGTTAGAGATTTTCAGCATGGAACATTCTATTAAAATGAAATGGCAAATTGCCTTGTAGCACACGCATTTTCAAAGAATGTTTTGTCTGATAATGTAGTTCTTATGAGTTTCTTTCCAAAGTAATCCATTTACACAAAATACATTATTAATTTTGTGCATTTACAAACTACACATAATTTCAAAGTGATGTCATTGTTCCACAAATACATCTAGGTTTCAAAGTGATTGATTAAATTCTGTTTAAAATTTTGCACAGAAGTGCAGTATATAATCACATTTTATATCCCTCTGTGCAGGATATAGTTTTCTAAATCATACTCCATTGTCAGGAGCATGTTCATTTTCCATACAGAACACACTGACTGAAAATAAGGTCAAGTCTACACATTTGGGATATAAATTTTTGAGATTACTGCTCTTGGTATAATATATCTCTCTTGTACTTGAGCCTCTAGATCTTGCTGTTTTTAACACTTTTGTGCTCGCAAGATTTACGCTTCTGTATACTTTGTTTATATTCAGCAGCTAAGTATATTTTGTCCTGTTATCATGATTCAACCTGTGATTTGTTTCAAAAGTACAAGTAAGGTTTTAAACATAATTATAGTGTAATCTCTTTAGATTTTGCTGCATTATCACTCAGAATGAGAAAAATCTAAATTAAAAGTGTGTGCACATGTATACACACTTTTCAATATACAAACTTAGGTATCATGTTAGATTCATCACGATTTGAAAATGAAATTTGATTATAATACTTGCAAGATGACTTACAGGTTAATATTTATATGTACACTTACAATTTTTATAATTTTTAAAACTATCCAATATGTTAGTTTTCTTTGATTTCTAGTGATAACAGTAGAAATATCTGGCCCTGGTTATCATATCTGGTTGTTATGATCAATAGAAACGATATATGCAAAAGCAAATACATTTTAAAACTTTTTAATAGTAACTTTTATTGTTACGTATTCTGAATAATGCAGTTTTACAGTTATTATTATAACATGACACAAATGGTAGAGATTTTGATGCCTACATTTTTAATAAAAATGTTCAAAACCATATTTCACAAAATGTATCATGCTGTAAGGTTGCAACAGCCCTCTCAAATAGAGTTCTGCCTTTCTCTTGCCCTTTAAACTAATGCTATCTGAGACTGCAACAGAAGGCCCTCATTACATGCTGGTATCTTGATCATCGACTTCTTTGCCTACCGAACTATCAGAAAATAATTTTCTATTTTTTACAAATTACCCAGTTTCAGGTATTTTGTTACAGCAGCACAAAACAGACTAAGACATAAAGTGTAAAATTATCCTTCCATATTGCTGCAAGTGAAATGATTTTATTTTTTATAGCTGTGTAGTATTCATTGTGCGTGTATGTGTGTGTGTATATATGTATGTATGTATATCACATCATTTTCTTTATCCAGTTATTTGTTGATGGACACATGTTGATTCAATATCTTTGGTATTATGAATATTGCTGCTATAAATAAATGAGTGCAAATATCTTTTTTGGTATAATGATATTTTTTCTTTTGGGTATACACCCAGTATAGGATTGATAGAGTGAATTGTGGCTCTTTAATACTTGAAAAAATTTTCATACTGTTTTAATAGAGGTGGGACAAATTTACATTCCTTCTAATTATACTATAAGGCTATAGTAATAAAAACAATATGATACTGATATAAAAATGGACACAATACTCAATAGAGCAAAATAGAAATTCCAGGAATAAAGTGACAAAGGCACTTGTCACTTTATTAGTGGATATTTATAAAGGGACCTACCTACAGTCAATGGATATTTGACAACATTGAAAAAAACATACACTGGGAAAAGGACATTCCCTTCAATAAATAGTGCAGGGAAAATTGGAAAGCCACATGCAGAGGAATAAAACTGGGCCCCTATCTGTTGCCATCCACAAAATTAACTCAGGATGAATTAAAGAATTAAATATAATACCTGAAGATATAAAAGTACTCATAGAATACCTGGAAAAACTCTTCTAGACATTGGCCTTGGCAAAAAATTTGTGACTAAGACCTCAAAAGCAAATTTAGCAAAAAACAAAAGTAGACAAATGGGACTTAATTAAACAAAAAAGTTTCTGCACAGCAAAAGAAATAACTGAGAAAACAGATAACCTGAAGAATGTGAGAAAATATTTGCAAACTATGCATCCAACTAAGTACTAATATCCAGAATCGACAAGAAATTCAAACAACTCAACAACAACAACAAAATAGATAACCCCATTAAAAAATGGACAAAGTACATAAACAGACATTTCTCAAAAGAAGACATACAAGTGGACAGCAAACATATGAAATAATGCTCAGTCTCATCATCAGAGAAATAAAAATTAAAACCACAATGAAATGCCACCTTATACTAGTCAGAATGGCTATTTTTTAAAAGTCACAACACATCAGGTATTGATGAGAATGTAGAGAGAAGTGAGTGAATCCTTATATAGTATAGGCGACATTTTTATTTATGGAATATCAAAATAGATAGTTACTTAAAATTCATTTGAATTATAAAATATTAAAATGTAGATTTATGAATACTTTGTACTTTCTAAAAGTTTAACCACAATAAAAATCCAAACTACCACTGTTGTGTCCATAATAATTCATAATTGTATGTGATGATGTTGAGAAATCTTCCTAAATATTAGGATTCAAGTCCCTCATTTATTTTAATGAAAATATCATTCTTAAAAGCATTTCAAGGAATATAGCTCAATAATTCAACAAATAACATTTGCAAATTGATAATCCATGGTTCAAAGATGTCAAGATGAACTCAAAGTCTACAGGGATACCCTTTTGATTCAAGGAAATAATGTTACCCTAAATGAGAGAAGATAGGGAAGACCATGTCAAATGAATCACTTTTTGATGTGGTTTGGCTGTGTCCCCACCCAGATCTCATTTTGAATTTTAGTTCTCATAATCCCCATGTGTCATGGGAGGGACCTGGTGGGAGGTAATTGAATCATGAGGGCGGTTACCCTCCGTGCTGTTCTTGTGATAGTGAGTGAGTCTCACAAGATCTGATGGTTTTATAAGGGGATTCCACATTTGCTCGGCTCTCATTCTTCTCCTTCCTGCTGCCATGTGAAGAAGGACTTGATTGCTTCCCCTTCCACCATGATTGTAAGTTTCCTGAATGTTCCCCAGCCATATGGAACTGTTAGTCCATTAAAGTTCTTTTCCTTATAAATTACCCAGTCTCGGGTAGTTCTTCATAGCAGCATGAGAACAGACTAATACACACTTCAATATTGATTTACATTTCTATGATCATCAGTGATCTTGAGTATTTTTTAATGTTTGTTGGCAACTTGCATGTCTTCTTTTGATAAATGTCTGTTTATGTCATTTGCCTACTTTGTAATGACATAATGTGTTTATTTATTTATTTATTTATTGAGTTCCATGTAGATTCTGGATATTAGTACTTCGTTAGATGCATAATTTGTGAATATTTTCTCCTGTTCTGTAGGTTGCCTGTTTACTCTGTTGATTATTTCCTTTGCTGTGCAGAAGATTTTTAGTTTACTTAGGTCCCATTTGCCTATTATTATTTTTGTTTCATTTGCTTCTGATGACTTAGTCATAAATTCTTTGTCAAGGCTGAGATTCAGTAAAGTTTTCCTAGGTTTTCTTCTAGGAATTTTATAGGTTTTTACATTTGAGTATTTAATCAATCTTGAGTTAATTTTTATACATGGTGAGATACAGGAATCCAGTTTTATTCTTGTGTATATGGATATCCAATTTTTCTAGTACAATTTATTGAAAAAGGTATCCTTTCCACATTGTTTATTTGTGCATGCTTTGTTGAAGATTAGTTGGTTGTAGGTATGTGGCTTTATTTCTTGGTTCTCTATTTAATTTTATTAAACTATGTATCTGTTTTTGTATTGGTACCATGCTGTTCTTGTTATTATAGGTTTGTAGTATAATTTGAAATGGGGTGAAGTGCTGACTCCAGCTTTGTTCTTTTTGCTTAGAATTGCTTTGGCTATCCGGGCCATTTTTTCAATTCAGGATTTCATATAAACTTTGGGATTGTTGTTGTCTAATTCTGTGAAAAATGACATTGGTAGTTTGATAGAAATTGCATTGAATCTTTAGATTGCTTTGGACACCATGGTCATTTTTAATTTTTTTTAATCCATGAACATGGGATATTTTTCCATTAGTTTGTTTTATTTCAGGTTTCTTCCATCCATCTTTTGTAGTTCTTATTGTAGAAATATTTTACCTGCTTGGTTAAACGTATTTCTCAGTTATATGTGTGTGTGTGTGTGTGTGTGTGTGTGTGTGTGTGGCTATTGTAAATGAGATTGAGTTCTTGATTTTGTTCTCAGCTTGAATATTATTGCTATAAATACTACTGACTATTGGACATTGACTTTGTATTCTGAAACTTTATTGCAGTCATTTGTCAAGTCTAGGAGTCTTTTGGAGTCTTTAGGGTTTTCTTTGTATAAGACCATGCCATCTCTTAATGTAACTTCTATCCCAACTTTTGTGGTAATTTTTTTCTTGCATTTTTTATAATTTTATTTTCTAATTTGTTTATCCAGAAATACCATTTAGTTCTGTGTGGTATTAGACTTGAAAACAGTGCAAATTTTCTTTCTTAACATTTCATTTTTGGGCCGGGCGCGGTGGCTCACGCCTGTAATCCCAGCACTTTGGGAGGCCGAGGCGGGCGGATCGCGAGGTCAGGAGATCGAGACCATCCTGGCTAACACAGTGAAACCCTGTCTCTACTAAAAATACAAAAAATTAGCCGGGCGTGGTAGCGGGCGCCTGTAGTCCCAGCTACTCGGGAGGCTGAGGCAGGAGAATGGCGTGAACCCGGGAGGCGGAGCTTGCAGTGAGCCGAGATCGCGCCACTGCACTCCAGCCTGGGCGACAGAGCGAGACTCCGTCTCAAAAAAAAAAAAAAAAAAAAAAAAAAAAAAAATTTCATTTTTGAAATTCATCCATGTTTTTGCATAGTTCAATCATTTTTGTTGATGTATTGAGTAGTCTTAAGTTACCAATTTCATTTTTAATAGTTATGCTTTTTCCAAAAATTTTATAATAATTAGTAGTTTTATCATGACTATTCCTATATACATATTCATATAAATGCATAACAAAGAGTGCAATTGCTCATTTGGAGGGCATGCCATCTTTAGCACTATGACTATTAAATAAATTGTTTGCATTGTTTAAGAGAGTGATATTCCACATCATCACCAGGACTGTGGATTGTCAGACATTTTAAGTAACTGTGGCTCCCCATACAGGATAACTTGGTTAAACTTGCTATTCACTTGGCATCCCTAGCATTATATTATTGTCATCATAAGAATGGAACCCAAAGTTCTAGAGTTTTTAATCAATTATCAAACAACAACTAATTGAATACCATGTAAGTTCCTAACCTTGTGCTAGCCGTTGTCCTACATTTGTGATAAGAATAGATAAAGTGCCCTTCTACCTAGCAGTTTAGACAATAAACAATGAGAAAAGAAATTAAATGTGTATTGTATGATAGCAGGTTAGTGATAATCACTGATAATCCAATGAGTTTATATGATACCAAAATATTGATTAGATCAGGAAATCACTGCTAAAGAGGAAACATTATTTATCAGTGTGTTTATAACAGATGGAGCAATGAGTATAAAAGTCATGTGTTAGGGTATGCAAGATGATGATATAGAGCAGAGTAATCAAGGCAAAGGATAATGGTAGGTGGAGAAGCCAGCTTATAGTTCTGAGCAAGATTATATCTTTAGCTTTTATTAGGCAAGTAAATGAAATTCTTTTGAGATTTTCAGCTGGAAAAATGAAACTAATGTGAAATGCATTATATTGCCAGAGGTGACTTCCATTGCCTGGTGGGGAAGAGACTGGAGGAAGGATGGATAATGGCAGCACACAGATGCTGCTGAGAAGCTATTTTAGTAGTTCATGTAGGAGACCATTGTCAAATTTGCAATAAACTTCCAGGTGAAATGGAATTGACTTTCTAATGGCTTGGAATGGTGTATATAAAACAGCTGGTAATGACTCCATATTTTGAAGCTTTAGAAAATAGATTAATAATGGCTCAAATTACTGAGTGAAAAATTACTGGGAAAGAAGCAGGATTGGCAGGATGCAGATAAAGAATTCTGTTTTACTTACTAAGGTTGAGATGCCTATTTGATATTCAAGGCAGTTGCAAATGAGATGAGTGTTCAGGAATGAGATGTCAGCTAAAGATATAAATTTTAGTCTGTGCCCATATCTTAGCTGCAAGGAAGGATTTTATGAACTGCTGGTGAGACTGTAAATCAGTGCAATCAACGTAGACAAATAAATAAATGCATACACCATGTCATCTTGTAATAACTCCCAACCCCCAACACCTAAAGAAGAGACTGTGTGTTTAAGTTGGGAGTGTATTGTGGAGTAAGAATAAGAAACAGGATGGGTGCTATAGGGAGAGAGAGTAAAATCTAGAACACATTATTAAGTTAGGCGATGGAATACTATATGACCATTCACTGAAGTGAAACAACGGGGGAAATATGTATCCATCAGCTCTAGGAGTTCCATTTTTCAAGCATAGCCTCATGGATGCTAACTTCTCAATGTGTCTAGACAGTGCATTTATGAGTACCAAGCAAAATGCCTACAACAATCCACACAGCATTGTCTGAGAAATCCCACAGCAGAAAGTGAATTCTTGCTCTAGTCTGAAGCCACATACTATCACTTCCATCTTTATGAAACTGACCAAAGTCTACATAAAAATAGTAACCAAGGCTCTGACTGGAACAAGAGGTAATGCTGAGAGGGTCTGCAGTGATGTAAGATCCAATACACCCTATGATTTTTAAATTTTGTTCCTGGGTTTATATCCTAGAGAAACTCTGACATATATATGTGTATATATATATACATTTATATATATACACATTTACATATATATACACACACATACACACACATTCATAGCAGCTTTTTGTTGAAATAGCAAAAAATGAGAAAAAAACTAAATGGCAATATAATGAACAAAAGGGAGCTGTGTTTTGATATTTTTATATAGTACAATGCTAAACAGCATTTAAAATAATTGATAAGAATGATATGCGCCAACATAGATGGACATCATCAATGTCATATAAAACAAAATAAAGCAGAAGGTAGATAGACACTTTTTTTTTGAGTCGGAGTTTTTGCTCTGTTGTCCAGGCTGGAGTGCAGTGGCGTGATCTTGGCTCACTGCAACCTCCGCCTCCCGGGTTCAAGCAATTCTCTTGCCTCAGCCTCCTGAGTAGCTCGGATTACAGGCGCCCTCCACCACGCCTGGCTAACTTTTGTATTTTTAGTAGAGACAGGGTTTCACCATGTTGGCCAGGCTGGTCTCGAACGCCTGACCTCAGGTGATCCACCTGCTTAGGCCTCCCAAAGTGCTGGGATTACAGGCATGAACCACCGCGCCCTGATGGTAGACACGTTTTTAACTTCTAAAAATATATGATCATGATTAAATTGTGTCTGTGGAGACTTGCACATATACTAAATTCTAAACAATTAGAGATATTTGTTCATTACCACATTTTAGGAGTCATTATTTCCTCTATGAAGAGAGAAAGGAATTTGATACAAGTTCACAGGGGCTTCCAATAGATTGAGACTTTCATTTCTAGCTGAGCTGCTGATATATGAATTTTTTTTGTTATTATGACTTTCATATGTATTAAAAATAAAATGAAAAAACAAGGATTATGTGAGGAACCTATACGTCTCTAATATGCAGAATACCACAGAAATAATGACTGTTGGGAAATTAGGCCTTAGCTCTGATGTTTGAACCATCCCCTCAATGTTTCCCAGTGGTTCTTAGAGTATTTTGATCACCTCTGTGTTGGTGCTTTAGAACTAGAGAAGCCCGTTTTGTTAACTTTTTTTTTTTTTTTGAGACAGAGTTTCACTCTTATTGCCCAGGCTGGAGTGCAGTGGCACAATCTCGGCTCACTGCAACCTCTGCCTTCTGGATTCAAGCGATTCTCCTGCCTTGGCCTCCAGAGGAGCTGGGATTACATGCCACCACATCTAGCTAATTTTTTGTATTTAGTTGGTCGGGCTGGTCTTGAACTCCTGACCTCAGGTGATCCACCCGTCTCAGCCTCCCAAAGTGCTGGGATTATGTGTGTGAAACACTGCACCTGGCCTTTTGTTAACTTTTAGTTTAAGTTCAGGAGTACACGTGCAGGTTTGTTATACAGGTAAACTCGTGTCATGGGGATTTGTTGTACAGGTTATGTTGTCACCCAGGTATTAAGCTTAGTACCCATTAGTTACTTTTCCTGAACCTCTCCCTTTTCCCACCCGCTACTCTCAGGTAGGTCCGAGTGTGTGGTGTTCTCTTCTATGAGTCCATGTGTTCTTATCATTTGGCTCACATTTATAAATAAGAACATGCTGCATTTGTTTTTCTGTTCCTGCATTAGTGGGAGCTGAGGATGGGTGGAGCTGAGGATAATGGTCTCCAGCTCCACCCATGTTCCTGCAAAGGACATGATCTTGTTCTTTTGTATGGATGAATACTATAAAGTCTTCCAAACTGTTTTGGTTTTGGTTTGTTTTCTTTCTTGAGAAAGGAAAGACAAAATAGAAATAAAAGAGTAGGCCGAGCGGGGTGGCTCACGCCTGTAATCCCAGCACTTTAGGAGGCTGAGGCAGATGGATCACTAGGGGTCAGGAGTTTGAGACCAGCCTGAACAATATGGTGAAATCCCGTCTCCACTAAAAATACAAAAAATCAGTCAGGCATGGTGGCACATGCCTGTAGTTCCAGCTACTAGGGAGGCTGAGGCAGGAGAATCGCTTGAATCTGGGAGGCAATGGGTTGCTGGGTGTGCCGGGATGGCACCACAGCCTGGGTGAAAGAGTGAGACTCCGTCTCAAAAAATAATAATAATAAAATAAAAAAGGGAGAGAGAAAGAGTACCAATGTATGGCAGAAATCAAGAGAAGAGTTTGCTTTTTTGAATAACTACACCCTGGACATTAGTTTCAAGAAACCGTCTGCTGGAAATATAACTATATGTTTAAGTTGATGGATCATTATTACACGTAGCATGAAGAAAGTCACTCCTTGCTAGAAAGCCCTGTGTAGGTCATTAGGCATCACAGTGTGGAGTTATCTAAGCAAGCACCAAGGTAGGATATCTGAATAACTGATTTATTTCCATGTTTACTGAGAATATTCATTGCAACAAGTCAGTAGAGAAACAGTAAAGAGGGCAGGCATGGCTATGCTTCTATAGAATCTAGTGAAGAGGAGATAATTTCAAATAACCCAAGAAGGTAAATGAGTAGTCAAATTTTGAAAACGACTATTAACTCACAAACAGGAAACTATAATAGAAAATAGTTGATTGAAGGCAGAATGCCCAGTTCAGAAAAGATTCCTCTGAGAGCAATATGTAAGCATAGAGTTTGAGGATGAAGAGTCACTCATTTTGAAAGAGCAGATGAAGAAAGTTTCAGGACAAAGAAACAGCATCTGCAAAGACCTCAACGAAGATATCACACAGAAAAAGCTGTATTTAATCTGTTGCTAGACAAAAGTGAGCTACGGATCACATGGTCTTGGATGAGGGAGACAGATGATATAGTTTGGATGTCCCGCCCAAATCTCATGTTGAAACGAGATCCCCAGTGCTGAAGGTGGAGCCTGGTGGGAAGTGTTTGGATCACGGGGTCTAATCCTTCGTGGCTTGGTGCTGTCTCCATGGTAGTGCACCTACCCCAACACACTCTCTCTCTCGTTCCTGCTTTCACCATGTGAAGCGCCTGCTCCTGCTTTGCCTTCTGTCATGAGTAAAAGCTCCCTGAGGCCTCTCCAGAAGAAGATGCCACTGTGCTTCCTGTACAGCCTGCAGAACTGTGAGTCGATTAAACATTTTTATAATATCCAGTCTCAGGTATTTCTTCATAGCAATACAAGAACAGCCTAATATAACAGATAAGCAGGGACTAAAGTCATCAAAATTAGAATTGTGCATTTAATTTTGATTGCATTTAATTTTGATTGCATTGAAAAGGCAGATGCTTTGAGGCTAGAATGAGGTAATAACTGTTTTGTTTTGCTTTGTTTTGTTTGCTCTTAACAAATTAGTCTGACTTCAGTCCATAGTAAATTGGAGAGGAACTGATAGAAGATAAAAGAACTGGTAAAAAGCCATTGTAAATACTCAAGTTTCAAAAACAATTTTGTGGTAAGGGCAAATCCTCAGGTCAAGAAAAGTGTGTTACTAAATTCTGTTAGTTTCCAGAAGAAAGATAAAGTCATATGACACAGATTTTACTCCTTACGTTAGAGAGTGTGCTAAGGATACCACCCACATTTTCCAACATTTATTTCCATCATGTTTTATGATCTTCATCTATATTCCATCCTCGTTATTTCTAGCAACAGTCTATGAAATTTCTTACATTAATAGAAATAATGTATTAATATTCAGCAATGTGCTAAACATTGTTGAAACACTGTCTCAATATTACTCTTGGAAGAGCTCTGAGGTAGACAATATTTCCAATATATGAGTCATGAGGAAACTGAGGAATGGAAAGATTAAACAACTTGTTGAGGGTAGCATAATTGTAAATGGTGAAGACATAATACAAATCCTAATATCTATGACTCTAATGCTTTAAAAAATCATTATATATACTATGCTGTCTCTGATGTGTGAATCTACCCACTTCTAATTCATTATTTATAACAAGTATTTGTTGCCAGGTAGTATTCTAGGCTTTGGGGATACATCTTTGAAAAAGCTTATAGAAATCTCTGTCCTCAGGGAATTAATATTCTAGGGACTATACAATCAACAATAAGCAAAAATGTAATATGTATAGTGTGTTAGACTGTAGTAAGTACAATGGCCAAAAATTAAGAATGGAGAATGTCTAAGGGGACAGATTGTTTGGAATTTGAATAAAGTGGCTATGGAAAACCTCACTGAGATAATGGCATCTGACCAAAAGCATGAGGAAGATATAGAACAAACCATATCTGTTGCATGTTTAGTAATAACCAAGAAAATACTGTACGTGAAGCTGAGTGAGAAAATTACATAGTGGAAGGAGGGAAGTCCATAGAAGAATTGGGGGCTTCATGTGGTACAGCATCTATAAAGCATTGTGCAAGTTCTGACTTTTACAATGAATGAAATGAGAGATCAGAGTTTTACACAGAAAAAGGTAATAACCTGATACATGTTTTAAAGTGATTATACAAATTGCTCTTTTGAGGATGTACTGAAGGGTGCCTTATGCAGAATCAGAAACACCTGTTTGCTGGCCATTTCAATAACCTGGGCAATAAATGATGGTGGTTAGCACCAGGATGCTAGTGGTGAAAGTAGCAAAAATGATCAGAACTGAGCTGTATTTTGAACATACAGTTAATAAGTTCTGTGGCATGACAGAAAAATGATTCCATAATATTTGTATTGAGCAACCTTGTTGATTTGATATTCAAACTAAGTCCTAATATTAAACAATGTAGGAATTTCAATGAAAATATGACCAAAGGGAGAAAATGGCTCCCAACCTACTGTAATTAAAGTTCCCTTCTGTTGTTTTAAAATGCTACTATGGATAGAGAAAACAAGATATGGATTTGGAAGAAAATTACCCACAGTCTAATTGTCAGATTTATTGACTTAAATGTTACATGGCAATAAAGTTGAAAGAAAAATAAGAAGAAATTCTAAAAGCCAGCATGTTAGATTTATTCCCTCCACAAAAAGAATTGCTAATATTTATAAAGTGAGATAATATGCCAAATACTTGTACTTGGCATAATTGCATTTTCTCAACAAATCCTATATAATCAACATTGTTTTATTTGTATATGTGTGAAAAATCATGACACCTGCAGTTTAAGTTACATTTGTATGAAACAGTCAATATGTGGCAGAGTCAGAATAAAGCCCACGTTTAGATTAAAGGAATTCTCTTTCCATTGCACCAACCCGTATTGCCTGTGGAAACCCTAAACAAGCCATTTAAATTTGTTGGAATTCCGTTTTTCAACTTTTTAAAACTAAGAGTCCAGTCCTAAATCAAGTTAATGTTTAAATTCTTCACTTATGCTTAGTATGTACATTATTCCAAAATGTGAATTGGTCCCAAATATCATATTCATTCTAACAGAGGACATTAAAAGTTTAAAAGATATCTGTTATATGGTTGAACTGATTATATTTTATCGGAAAGTGAAAGGAACTGAAAGGAACTACTCAGCATATTTCTAATGAGTATACAGAGGAAAAGTATTTTGCCTCATTTAATTTTGTAAAATCTCTCTCTGGCACATAATTCACAGTCTTTTTTTGCCCACAGGAATAGTGAGGCAGATATGTATTAATTCATGTCATAATACAAGAATAGGTAGCAATAAAACTCTGGCATTTTCCAAATTGCCAGTATAAAGAATTGTCAGAAGAACATGGGTATTAGCTTCAGATTCTCCAAGGGGTTAACATTTATGTTATCTGTTAAATATGAATTATGTATTAACTTCTCATATTTCATATATAAAACTTTATGCTTTGGTCCTGTTCCTCAGGATGACCTTGATGTAATCAGAAATAATAGTGTTCTTTACCAAAGACATTAATCAATAACTTTATAATATGAAGCACTATGAATATTTAATGGCTTCAGCTTGAATAATTCAAATCCCGTATTACTAAAAAATAAAGTCAATTGAGTGACTGAGAGTTCCATATTCCACAATTCCTACTCTGCTTACTACCTATTCTATTTACTATTCTCTTTACTATTTGAGAAGGGTATGGAGTTGTATATGTTGCAAACATCACGTATCTTTTGTTCGACTTTCTTGAACACGTCATATTATTTTTTTAGTTCATTTTCTGAATATAAGTAATTTTTGGTGAATTAATACTTTAAACAAGAGTTCACCTGGAAAGCAGTAGGCAAAATATCATTAAAAATATTATTTTATTAACATACCTTAAAAATGTAATAGGACAATGCATCAAAGAACAATTTCAAAATAAAAACACAGAAAATAAATGACCAGCAAAATTGCTCTGAAGTCCTAAAAACAGAAATAAATACTTCAATAATCGTAGGTAATATGGAAATCCAGTGTATGACTTACCTATAGAAAACCCTTCTGGAATTTCATTTAAATCTAACGTCAATATGAGCTATGTAGGAAGTCCATTAATAAATAAGAATACTATATAGGTACACATATATATATTAATTTTAAGCCATATGCAGCCCTATTTGAAACTGTTAAAAAAAATCATCAGGATTAGTCCATACTGATTATTAAAAAATAAAATTGTCATTGCTTATTGTAGAAGATAAATGTCAGCTGTGCAGCAGATGTGTTTATAGCCACCCAGTAATCCTATCGCCTCAATAATGCATTTCCCTTTTTTTAGTTAAAAACTTAATTACATTAAGAAACTGTATGTGTTTAGGAATATGAATATAGAAGGAGTAATCATCGTTTAGTAAAATAAGTTTTATTTGCATATTAAAATTTACTGTGTTTGTGAAGATGCTGATAGTACATTACATATGGAGATCCAAGTGCACATAGTCACTAATTCTTTAAACTATGTTTGATATTAGTAATAATTTACTTTACATATATATCGGAATTTTATTGAAAAATAGTAAATGACTGCTAATGTACATTATTCTTCCGAGTTGCATTTTTGCTTAATGAAATAGAATTTTTAAAAAAATTGTTTATCTTTATTCCTACTAGATTATACATTTCATGAGAAAAGCATTATCTCTTTATTAGTTTATTTGTTTACCTATATTAGAACTTGACTTTGAAATAAACCAGAAAGGAAAGATAGCCATTACACATTTCACTTTCTTGAACTCAGCAGCAGAGATAAGGATGAAATCAATAGCTTGAGAGAACTAGGAAATTTTAGGGCCGTGTTTGCTTGTGTGTATGTACCTATTGTTAACAAATTGGTAATAGATCATAAATATGATCTAATATTAACTTTTTTTCTGATTGTCAGCCATACAAAAAAATTTCTCCTAATAGCTGATTATAAATAATAAAGTAAAATCTACAGATTTTTATGTTTTTTAAGACTCTTTTCACCCATAAAAGGTCCCTGGTCTTTCTTCCATTGATATTATTTTTAAAATTGATAGACATTATTTTTTAGAGAAGTTCTGGGTTTAAAGAAAAATTGATCAGAATAGATAGAATTTCCATAAACTCCATCACTCTCCCTCTCTTACAATTTTCCCTATTATTAACATCTTGCATCAGTGTGGTGCATTTGTTACAATTGGTAAACCAGTAATTATCAATACATTACTGTTAACTAAAGTCCACAGTTTACATTACAGTTTGCTCTTTGTGTTATACATCCTGGGTTTTTTTTTAAACAAATGTATAATGACATATATTTACCCTTATAGTATCATAAAGAGTTAATGCCAGTTAATTGTTGAAGGAACTGGGCCTTTTATCCTTAGAAACACCTCTATGTTGTATTTATTTCATTGTATCTATTTCCTGCCCCTTGACATGTTTCTTAATCTACTCTATTTCTTGTAAACTGGTAGTTAAAAGTAGAGGCTCACTTAGATTCAGCTTCGAATCTTTTAACAAGACAATTTGATAGGTGGGCTTGTGCACTTTCCATTGCTTCGCTTTATGAGGTACATAGTGTCTGGTTCTCCAACTTTTAGTCACCAATATTAGCACTAATATGTGGTTCAGCTGCCATTCATAAATACATGTATATATAACTCATATATTTATGTGAATATATATATTTATGTGTTGATAAATAAAATGATACACAAAAATTAGAAAATAACATTGAAAGACTGAACATAAAAGTAAACAAGAAGGGATTAACTCTCGAATGCACAGTTTAGAAAAGAATCAAAAGTATATCTTCGAGCTCCTTAGAATATAATGAAAATGGGGGCTTATAACGACATATTTCTAAGGATTCTGTAGAAACTGCTTTCTCGTTTTAACTTATACCTTTGAATACCCAAGTTACAAAACATTAGAAGAAATCAGTGCATCCAATATAAGAAGTAAGAAAAAGAAGAAAAAGAAGCAGCAGAAGCAGAAGCAGAAGAAGGAGAAGGAGAAGAAGAAGAGGAAGAAGAAGAAGAAGAAGAAGAAGAAGAAGAAGAAGAAGAAGAAGAAGAAGAAGAAGAAGAAGAAGAAGAAAAAGAAGAAGAAGAAGAGGAAGAAGAAGAAGAAGAAGAAGAAGAACAGGAAGAAGAAGAGGAAGAAGAAGAAGAAGAGGAAGAAGAAGAAGAAGAACAGGAAGAAGAAGAGGAAGGAGAGGAAGAAGAAGAGGAAGAAGAAGAAGAAGAAGAAGAAGAAGAAGAAGAAGAAGAAGAAGAAGAAGAAGAAGAAAAAGAAAAAGAAGAAGAAGAAGGAGAAGGAGAAGTAGCCCAAAAGAAAACCAGAAAACAGAATGGTGAAGGAAACACAGGAATTAACTAGAAAATTGGAAAATCTGCTTGGTCATTTGAAAACAAATGGAAAATTGTGAGTCAAATGTCAAAAATAATGATAAGAATAAGGGGCTATGGAGAAAGCACAAAGGAAAACCAAAAAACATTAGTGAATGCTATTATTAAGATTTTAGAAATGTGGCAGGATAATTTTTTTAAGTATTGCTTTGTGTTTGATCTCCGTTTCCTTATACTACTCACCTCATCTGTTCAAGGCAGTAACCGTATTTTATAGGACCTTAACTCTACACATGGTGATGAAGTGAGTTAAACACAGTCTACATAGACAGTGTTTCGGTACTCAGGAAGCTCCCATTCTAGGGGAGAGAAAAACAAACCAATAATTCAAAGACATACTTTCCGGAGGAGACGATATTTGTGAAGATGTAATAGGAACTGAGAGATCGTGTGGGCATCACTTTTAGCTGTACTTGTCTAAAGACGGGAAATTTGCGCTGACACCTGAGTACCTAGAAGTGCCAAACCTGTGGCAGGAGTGGAAAAGAAGGGAGGATGGAAGCAGGGGCAACAAGACTCTTACACGGGGATCAATAAAACACGGGCTCTAGGGAGGCGGCAGTTTCCTCTGATCTTCTCCCAGATAAGAGGCACAGATGTCGTCAACAGGAGAAACAACGGGGAATACAAACTAAAAGACATAAACCAGACAAGAAATTAGAGAATGCGGGCGTCGATCCCGCTACCTCTCGCATGCTAAGGGAGCGCTCTACCGCTTGAGCTAATTCCCCGAGGGAGAAATGCTGCACCCCACCCATTTTCCTGGTTATTAGGAGCATGCTGGTGCTTTGTGTCGCCAAACCCCTGGCAGGACAAGATTGAGGGCGGAGCTTCTCAGATACTGCCTTCAGCAAAGTTCTATGAGCCTGACAGTGCGAAGAATAGGGATTTCCAAAGAAGGTCATGAGGGAGACCTCTCTCCTCACTTCCCAATTTCGCCTTCTTCATCTCTCGGAATTAGAGAGCACATTCTGGATGGAGAAGCACCACCCGGAACTGCCTGGCTTGGGGGCACAGCTATTCCAGCACGCTCTAGAGTTGTGATCGTCACCTGCTCCTTGCCGCCACCGCCGCCCGGAAGTGGTGGGACAGCTTCTCCCAGCCCCAGAGCTTCACGGCATAGCCGCATCTTCAATAGCACTTTCCTCCTGTAGGACTCAGAAAGTGATGGAGAACCTTGGAGGAGTTGAGAAAGAGAAAGCTTGAGAATTTTCATCTCAATCTGTGGATTCATTCCTGAAGCACTTCTTCAGCACCAGGCACAGTGGATGAGGCCAATAATCCACACAGATACTGCCACAACAATAACGAGTACTGTGCAACTGTCATCTAGGCCAGATACCATTGGTAGCCTAGGGATTAAAAGAAGCTGGAGAATGCAGGCATCGATCCTGCTACCTCTTGCATGCTAAGCAGGCGCTCTACCGCTTGAGCTAATCCCCCACACTACACTTGTCTTTTCTGCCAATTTTTATAACCGGGACACAAATAGCGTCCTATGTCCCACTTAAGTTTCCAGGTTTTCGAACACCTCCGGAAACTTCCCTACCAAGGCGAAGCCAGGAGTGAAGCTTCTGGGAGACAGCCTCAGACCTGGAAGGCAGTGACCATCCTCTGCTTTTTCAATCTGAGTCGGGATCCTGAGAAAGAGAGAAAAGATCTCATTAGGAAAGCTCTAGTTCTAATCTGATTTCACTCTCCCATTAGATGAAAGAGAAGGAAGTACCGTCCCTAATTAGCAGTTACCTCAAATGCTCTGTTGAATGCATCACTTTTTAAGAACACAAACCTGGAAATAAACCCAAGTATCTTTTCACCGATTGATCCTTCAAGTAACTTATCTTCATCTAATATCTCTGTTACTAATTGTTTCTCCATTCAGGGGAGTTGAGATCTGTTGTTACCTATTAATCCTTGATAGATTTAATTTGCATTTTAGTACTGATTAATGTTGTTGAACATCTTTTAGTGTGCCTATTGGCCATATAAGCATCTTATTTTGTGAAATGCCTGCTCAAGATTTTGGCCTTATCCTTACTGAGTGTTTGTATCACTGAGTTCTAAAATGTGTTCTATATTCTCCATAAAAGTCCTGTTATATATGTATCTATAACACATATGATGTAAAACAACTATGTGTGCATATGACATATATTACATTTCTTTTCAAGTCTATGTCTTGCCTTTTCATTTTCTTAATATTGTCTTTCAAAGAAAAACATTTTGATATTTTATGAAATCCAGTGTATCTTTTTTTGTAAGGGCTCATGCTTTTCTGGTCCCTTCTGAAAAAGCTTTGCCTACATCAAATATGCGTAGACTTCTTTTCTTCTTTTCTTCTACAAGTTTGATATCTTTAACGTTAAGCTTTTTGTATATAAACTATTTTGATTTAATTGTTGTACAGGATGTGAGGTAAGGGTAGGGAATCCTTTTTTCCATACTCAGATGCCTGGGACCATTTGTTTAAAAAAACATTTTACCTCTGTCATAAATCAGTTGACCACATACATTGGTCTATTTCTGGACTATCTATTCTATTCCATCAATCTGGGTAAGTATCCTTGAGAAAATACCACATTATTTTGATTACCTTAGCTTTATAATAAGTCTTGAAATTACTTGGTGTAAGTCCTCTAACTTTGTTTTTCTTTTCCTAATTATTTAGGTTACTCTAGGTCCTTCAGAATAAGCTTGTCAATTTCTGTAAAAACAAACAAACAAAACAAAACAAAAACTCCTGCTGGGATATTTGTTGGGATTGTAGTAAATCTATAGATCAACTCAGAGTAAAAAAAGTTATCTAAATAATATTAAATTTCTCAATCTGTAAATATGGCAAACAACACCAATTATTCAGGTTTTCCTGAGTTTTTCTCAGCCATCTTTTGTAGATTTCTAGGCACAAGTCTTGTGCACATTGACAAGTTTATCTCTAAATATTTCATTTGTTTTAAACCTATTGAAAATGGTAATTTAATTTTCCATTTTTGTTGATGCTAGTACATAGAAATACAATTAATTTTTTTATATTGTAATCTGAGACATAGCTGCATTTACTTATAATGCTTATTTTTGTAGATGCATTAGGATTTTTTGTGTATCTGATCATGTTGTTTGCAAATGAATATATTTTTCTTTTCTAAAGTGAGTATGTCATTTATTTTTCATTCATGCGTTCCTTACTTTCTGGCACTAGCTAGGACTTTCAGTAAAATGTAGAAGTAGTAAGAACAGATATTTTGCATTTTTCTCCAATATTAAAGGGTACATATTTATTCTTCCACTATTAACCATGTTGCTAGTTGTAGGAGTTTCTTAAATGCCCATTATTCATCTAAGGAATTTTTCTTCTATTCTTAGTTTACTGAGATATTTTTAAACACCACGAATGAATGGCAAATTTGGTCCAATATTTCTTCTGCATCTAGTGAGATGATGACATGTATTTTTTGTTTTGTTAATGTAGTATATTACATTTAATTGACTTTTCAATGCTTAACTAGTTTTTTATTCCCAAGGCAATCTCCCCTAACTCTTGGTGCATTATGCTTTATAGATAATGCTGGATTCAATTTGTTAATATTTTAATTCAATATCTGTTGGTAAATGTGTCAGAGAAGGGTCTCCAAGCGTGGAACGCGCTGCTTTCGCAGCCCAAAGAAACATGGTGAGCATAGTGCTCCCTTCTAAGTGATGGGAGCTTTGAGGTGCAACAATGAGTCTTTTGGAGGAAATGTCTCAGAATTTCACAGATCCTAAAAACTTTCATTCACGAACCAGGTCGATGAATGGTTTCTGTGTTTCTCTCCCACCCTCTGGAGCATGCAGGGCTTAACAAAATCTATAACTTACTTGACACTTCTTGCTCATTGAAGATTTAAATGATACTATCAATACAGTGTACCAATGTTTTGCTGATGGTCCAGACAGTTCAATTCTCTTTGGACTAGATTAGGAAAAATTGGGGGACTTGATATACCTCTGGAGTAGGAACATAAATGCATACTTTCGTCTAGTCCATGTGAATATGAACTATTTCTGTTCCTCCTTCCTGATAGCAATAGAAAAGAATGCATTCCCCAAATCAAAGACTGCATGCCAAAGACCATGCAATTTTTGCTTCTATGTTCATATTGTTTGTAACATGATTAATTTATTAACTTTACATTCCAATTCTATTTTCTTAATTCTATTTTAAGTAAAAAGTGTTAATTATGAGAAATTCTGCACTATGGCACTGCTAATGTTGCAATCTATATCCCAGACTTCGTTTTACCGACAGAAGAAAGAATACCCTCATCAATTTCTCATGTCTTCGGAAGAAGGGACATGGGTTTGTAGTGGAATTCATGACTTTTTCTGCCTGAATATTAATTAGCAGAAGCACGTTCCATTTCTTTATATAAACCCACTCTTAGAACCAAGGTGAACTGAGTGAAAAAAATACTTGCCTTTATATTTCTCTTATCAAACTAACCATTCTTCAATCTACCTTTATCACTTTTCTCCCAGGACCTCCTAGTGGAAGAAACTGTGAAAATGGCTGGTGTCACTTCAGACGCAAAAGGAAAAGTGGCACATCATGTTCAGAATCCGATTAAATAGTGTCAGTAATTATTACCTCTGCTTAAAGGATTCAGAGCTGAGTTTGTTCAGCTACCCTGCCCTGACTAATGGCATCATGCAGGTGTACTTAGAAGTAAATTTAAAATTCCCCCTTACTTTAGGATCACACAACTCCTAGGGTAATTGCAGGAGTGATTGGGAAAGAGCAGTCTACTCTGAGGAGGTCAGATGGAGACCAAGTGAATCCTGTAGAATAGAAGTAGTGTCATATGACAAAAATGCAAATCCAACACTACTACGTCTTGGATTTCTTCTTTGTTTCCTTGATTAATTTTCTTGCTTCACTCCAAAAATCATAGCATAAAGCAAATTATTGTTCTACCTATTGCTTTCCACTTTACTCATCTTTCGTCTGGTGTCTGTGTGATTATGTCTCCATTAGAGACTGAGATCTGTTATTACCTATTAAATCCCTTCATTCCAGGATGTGGAACTAATTAGATAAGTTTCAGATTGTTGAATTTAGTGGTTATTTTAGAGGTAATTAGATGGTTAAATTTAACACTTGTAGCTCCACATAATGATGGAGTGCAAATATCTATTTATTCATAAATATCCATAGGCAGGGATCAGAATCAACATTTAGAAGACCTACTCCCTCAAAACAAGACGACCAAGAAAACAAATTGATTCTACTACCTTGGATTTATTAAACTTGCTGAGCAAAGAGCCGTACCTCTGTGGAGTCCCAGTACTGCCTAAAACAAGGGTGAGTCAGAGACCAGAATTTAAAGGGTTTGGGGACTGGAGCTATTCATAGGACACTTTTAGGGGGAAAGTTAGTAAGGTCCTTCTCAGGAGGGACTAGACAATTTCTAAACTAGGCGAATCATAGGTTTATTCAGTGGAACTTAGCTGCTGGAACATGAAGATCTGCGCAGAGTTGCTGGATCCGTTTGGCTTTGGTCTTATCTTGGATCATCGGGTCTGAGTAAGCTGGTGTTAAAACAATTAGAGCTTAGTGTAGCATGGCAGGGTTTGTAGACTTGTCCTGTGCTGTAAGTCACAGGGCTTTTGCAACTTCTGTGTTTGTTCATTTCTCAATTTGCCCTCTTTCCTCACCAACAGAACTGCCCAAGAAATCAACTTACAGTATAGCTACTGGAACTTAGCTCCGAAAATGTCCTCTGCAAATCTAGAACACTTGTTTTTTTTCCAAATAAGAAAGTTGAAGAGCAAAACGACGTGTCTAACGTCACACATTGAGCTAAAGACAGATAGGATCTGGCATGCGTTTGTCAGTTAACAGTGCTAGCACAAATACAACTCTTGTTAAAATCGTAAGGATTTTATGTCGTGAGACACTCAGGACTCACCTGATCTCGGTGTTCAGTTGTGCGTAGTTTTTGATTTGCACCTCGCCCTTGGGCAAGTGCAGAATCCTGGGGTTATACAAAGCGCATCACAGTTAACCCCTTTGTCCCAGTCCGCAGAATGAGAGCTCAGAGCCCGGCCATGGGAGGCTGGGTTATATAGGCAGGAAAATCAAGGAACCCAGGTATGAGCAGGGGCGTTTGTGGCGCGGAGAGAGCTCCTATCCCTGCCGTCCATCTACGTCTCAGGCTTGGCCCCTGGCGTGCAGAAAACCGCATCTCCCGAAATCCCAGAACGTAAACGTCGCCCAGGTACTCGCTCTCTTGTCATTCTCCGGGATGTAAAAGACTCGGGGTCTCTTCACGGATCACTGAAACCGCCTTCTCCGAGGCCTCCAGGGTGACTAAAAGAAAGGGTGCGTGTTCTGTGTTCTCCCGCCGGTGTGTTCCTCTTCATGTCCAGCCGCTTGTGTCTGTGCCCGCTAGGGTCTCGGGAGTTTTTATAGGCACAGGATGGGGGCGTGGCGGGTCAGGGTGGTCTTGGGAAATGCAACGTTTGGCCGCGGAGGAAGGAGTGCCCGTCCTCACCTAGGTCCATGGGCACAGGCCCGGCGGCGGAGCCCTGCTCCCCTCCCTTATCAGTACCGCGGTTAGTGCTCTGCTTTATGGCCGCAGCAATCTCAGACACTTTCGGAGCGTGTTTTTTTTTTTCTTGTCCTTTCGCTCCCCTTTTCGGGCGCCAGCTTTCAAACCAGACCAAAGGTGTGCTTTCCCCCATTATCTCCCAGCCTTCTTTCCTTTTCGCCTCTACTCAAGGCTGTGTCCACAATTAAGCTCTCAGGGGGAGGAGGCCTCCAGCTGCCTCAAGGAAGGGCATTTCTCGCAGTGCAAAGTGCGGAAGAGGGGAGCCATACCGACTGAAATCTTAACCAGAGTCGGTTTGCATAGAGGCTGCAATGGATAGAATCTCAGAAGTGAGGCGGAAAGACAGGCCAGCCCTGCGAAAGATGGATTGGAGAGAGGTGAGAATCTAGTTCAAAAGCCGGGAGAAGGAACAGGACATTAGCACAGTAGTCTAGGCAGAGAGCTGGACCATCTGTAATACGGCAAGGGGGTTGGTTGAGATTTCCTTTATTCAGTTATTCGAAATGTATCTATTGAGCTATTTATTAGTCCCTGGGTGCTGTGGGTGTTCCTGCGTATTCAACCACCTTGTCGACGCTGCAGGATGCGGCCCCATTACCCAGGACCCAAAGAACTTCCAAAAATGAATCCCGAGGAACAGCTGTTTCTCTACCGGAGAAGTGGGCAGCCAGGCGGAAACACGCAGGGAAATAGTTCTGTTTGGGACAGAAGGCATCAACCTCGTAAGACCCAGCGATCAGCAGAGCTCCCGGAGAGTGTTTCTTAATCTAAAGGTCATGAGTCGGGCTTCAAAGTTGTCTTGTCGTGCGTAAAATACCAATGGACTTACACCTGTTTCATCGAGAAGGAATACAATGCGAACACAAAGACTGTAATGGAACGTATTTCTCTACAGTGTCCTTTTCAGATAGAAATACGAGAGCGTTTTCCTGAGTTTTCTAAAAATGGGGTGGGGTAGGGATCAAATACTCACTTTTGGGAAACATGGGCGAATACAGTGGGAGTCGTGCTGGAAGTTACGAGCAGAGGAGCCTGGGTGGGGACTTATATTGGCCTTGACGGCCCGTGGAAAGAAACTGGCGGTAATTCCTTCCGTTTTCCGTCAATTTCTTCACGGGTTGCTCGGAAGCTACGGAAGCAAAGTAGAAAGGAGTGATAAGGGCAGGCCACAGTACCGGCGGACGGTGATGGCGTTGCGTTTAAAAGGGTGGTCACTGAAACCCCTTGTCATGAAACACTGAAGCAGGTGACATTTGAACTTTCCTTCCTCAGAATTGTATTTTAACTGAAATGTCAGGGTTCGGAGAAATTTGCCGAGGATCGTAACCAAGTTAGCAAAGATCGCAGGTTCTTTCCAGTTCCGAGAAGTTCAGAAAAGTTTCTTCGGTGATTGGAATAACGTTCGCCTTTAAACTTCTCAAGAGATTTAGGGTGGGTTTTAGTATGCGGGGCCGGTTAGCTCAGTCGGTTAGAGCGTGGTGCTAATAACGCCAAGGTCGCGGGTTCGATCCCCGTGCCGGTCAGAAGCGGCTTTTTTTAATGTTCATCTTACAGCAACAGTTGTGTGCAGTGATATCAAAAGTCACGGGAGAACAAGAAAAGAAATGTATATGTACTCAGTAATCTACACAGACTTTAATGCTTGTTTCACAGTAACAACCGTGTGCAGTGATACAGACAGTCACAAGAGAACACGAAAGTAAATGTATTTGTACCCAGTAATCTTGATGGGACGTAGTTCGCTGAATCGTAGGGTTGCGTTTCCAGTTTAGTGTTCCTGCAAGAGCAGATGATGCAGAGAGCTGAGATTCCAGAAAGAAATTGAAATCCGGGAGGAACGTGAAAAACAGGCGAAAACACGGAAATAAGGACCTGGGCTTTTCATCCTTTTACGATTTCCAAAGTGTACAAATCTTTCTCTGTCGTGACTAACTCCTGATGTGGGCTTTCCTAACTGTGCATCTGCTTACTTCCTGCAGACCTGTCCTTGGCTTGTGCAGGGTAAGTAAAGCCTCTCAAGAACTCCCATTTTTCATTTCTATTTCCTCCCTTTTAGCTTCCCACACTCAACTCGAGAGATACTGGACTTAAGGAAATGTCCCATAGAGCGCTGAGCCTTTCACCTCCTCTTTGCTTGTCTCACGGCTTTGTTAGACATGAAACCATCTTCTGGAAAATGTCTTCCCTGACACCTCTCCTACTTTTCTGAGTTTGGGTTGCTTTCCTCCTAGCACTCACGGAGATCCAGGTACGCATTTGTTTTAGCGGCATTCACCATGTTGGGATTGTCTGTTGCTTGGCCATCTTCTCCATGAGATCATAAGCTTCTTGGGGGTAGGATGCTTATTGCTGAATACTTTTAAAAGTCTGCATGAATCAATGAAGAGTGAGGGATATGTGTGCAGGCATGATGGAAAGAGTGTCTTGTGGTCCAAATGGGCTTCACGGGCCTGTAGAATCCATGCTATCGCAACATAGTGCATTTTGGTCAGACGAACAATAGGCTACACTATATGGTGATTGGTTCCATTTCACTGAAGGTACCTCTAAGGCTCTGAGTGGCTCTATATGCCCCCCAGGATTGGATAGTGGTAAACGACAGAGCATGCGCAATAGATCCAAAGTCAGGAAAGGTCTGAAATGTTTAACTTTGCTGAGGCTGAGAGACAGGAATGAACCCTCTTCCGCGATGGGAATTTCTACTCCACTGATCCATAGTAAATAAAACAGTGAGCCAATGCACCTCAAACCTGTATTTTCTACTACATAAATGTGATTGGTTTTGACATTTTCAAAATTCAAGTGATCAGAATGATTTAGAACTAATGTTTACAAAACTATAATTTAGGAAATCCTTAGCTGTAAGCAGATACACCTACACAGAATAAAGAGAGTGATATACCCTTTACTTCAGTGTCATTTATAACACTGGGGTAATAATACTTGGGGAAGCTGAAAAACGATATTGTCCGATTTACGTAAAAATTAAGAAACATTCAGTATAATTTCTGGCACATAGTCCTGAAAAAGTCCTTGTATGCGGAATATTGTTCACCTTTAAGGAAAATGCTTTCAAGGTCTGAGGAGAGATATTAATGCATTTCTGTTGCTACTGGCTGTTTTGCTCATGCAGTTGTAGCAACAAGCTTCTGTGAACATGAAAATGAAATAACGCTTAAAAAAACAAAATAGATGGTGGAGGAACACAATAGGGATGCATAGTAAGGTATGATTTTCTAGACAAAAATTGATTTGTACAAAAGAATGTAGTAAAGGATTTGTACCTGATTCTTTTTTATATACCCTTTGAAGCTTATTTAGCTTATATTCGAAAGCCTCAATTGTCTTCTTTCTCCCAGAAAGATTGTTTCTCTGTACCACGAACATTCTGGTCAGATTCTCTGCTTAAGCATCTTGACCTCTTGAGCAGTCATCTTCGTACTGAGACCCCGATATATGCCCAAATGATGCCCTTCCATAGGAGGGTTTCTTGCTTTGCTCAAAGAGCAATCAATTTTTCAAGCAATTTAGGGCTCTTTCCTCACCCAGTGTCTATGTGAAAACTTAGAGGGAAGGGAAGAACACATGCCTGTTCTTTCCAGGAAAAGAATCCTGATGGGTTCTAACCTCAACCTGTAAATCCACTAAGTAAGTTCCTACTGAAGGCCTATGATGCAAGCTCAATCCAGGAGGCCAGCACTCCACAGGGGGAAGGCAACCAAAGCAGTAGGTAATGTTTACTGAGCACTTACTTCTTTTTGATCAGATCCAACTCTAGGTGCTGGGATCCACCCAAAGAATCCCACAGTCCTTATTTCCCATGTACAGAAAGAAATTTGCAGTAGACTTTGTTACTGGAAAGCACTACTTGCTTTTTTTTGTTGTTTTTTAACAAGTATTTTAGAGTCCCTTAAATAAACAGACCATATACCTTTCCTTATCTAGGAATTCCCACTCCAATGCGCGGTCCACACACCCATTATTTCTGCTCATCTTCATTCTTCAAGGCCCATTCTTGGTTCTTTCATTCTTATTTGAAAGAATGTAACATGGAGGAATGTAGCAAACTAGTTTTTCCCTCGGAATTGCACGACTCATTGTCAGTAACTATCTTATGGTTTTTGCTGTTGTGACATTTAGTATGGATGTGTGCTATCTTTCATTAATATCCTCCATCTAGTAGTCACTGTTTCCATAAGGAAGCGCAGCCAGTGTGAACTACAGTCCAAAACCTCACATATGCATAGACTGGTTATGTAGTCTAAAGAAATTCCTGGCTCTGAGTCCTAATTCTGAAGGTAGTGTTAATCTTCAGTCCTTTGGTGTCTTATTCACTTAGGTTCATGCCAAGCTTATGGGGCCCAATGCAGGTCCCGGGAAAAGGAGGGAGGGATGTAATGCTAAACCTGTTCCTATTTCTACCCACCAGGTTTGTTGTTGTTGTTGTTTGTTTTTCAGGTGGAAGCTCAACAGCATCCATGCCATGGGTGATTGATGCTATGTTTCTCTAATGTTAGCAGTATCTTTTTCTAATGAACTCTCTCCTTGATGATCTCTTGTCATCTGTCTTGGCCAATGTCAGTAAGGGGTCTGCATGTAAAAATGCTCATAGGTACTTGAGATGTTCATCTTTTCCTCCTTGTTTGGGTGAATTGTTTCTTTCTTAATTCATTTATGCACGTGCACATACATGTATACATAAGTGTGCACATAGGTGCGCACGCACACGTGTAGATGCCTGTGCTTATATGTGTACATACAGGTATGCATACACATATGCATTCTCGTGTACATACATGCACGAATGCTCGCATGCATGTGTAGGTACGTGTATACAAACCTGATACACAAATAAATACGTGTACAAATGTGTTGATGCACGTTTACATGAGTGTACATGCATGTTAACATATGCGTATGCATCTACACATACACGTATACACACATACATGCACACATACATACTGTGTACACAATCAATGAATATGCACAAATGCATGCAGACTCACACATGTATTTGTACACGTGCATGTGTGTACATATGCGTGTGTGCACACATGTATGAGTGTATATGTGTGTATGTTTGTACGTATAGGTGTATGTATACATGTACACAGACGTCTGAATGCATGTGTGGGTACACATGTGCATTTGTATGCACAAGTACGTGTGTATGAACATATATGTTTGTGTACATGTATGCATCGTGCTTTTTTGCGCAAACATGTATGTATATATACATGTATTATGTGTGCATGTGTGCATGCAAATGCACATGTGTATGCACATGCATGTATACCCACATATCCATGTACACATATATGTCATGCATGCATGTGTTTGCACACAAATTTTTGTGTGTGCACATGCATGTGTGCACGCATGCGTGTTGTAGACATGTATGTGTGGATATGCACATGTATGTATGGACACTTCTATTCAGGCATACACACGCTTTCACGTGTGTGTGCACAGATGCATTTGTAGGCTGGTATACATGGTGTATACGTGTATGTATATATACATCATTCATACAAACATGTGCATACATGTGCACAATGCATACATGTATGCATACTTGTGTGCATGCATGCATACACAAATGCATATGCATGTACATGCATGCGTACACACGTGCATACACACGTACATGGGTAAACACATACACATGTACACACATACATGCAGACTTGCTTGTGAGCACATGTCTATCTGCACATATATCTACACACATACATGCATGCATACTCTGTACACAATACATGGATACACATACATCCATGCACACACACCCACATGCATTTGCACATTCATGTTTACATATCTTTACACACTCACACATGCACACACGTGTATATACATGTATACATACACACGTGAATGTGCAGCTACGTGTGCACATGCATGTACACGCATGTATGCATATGCATATGCATCTGCAAATACACACATGCATACACACATACATATGGTGTACATGCATGTATACGTAAACATGCGTGCGTGCATGTATACACATGTATGTGTAGATACCTTTGTGCATATGTTTACATGCATGTATGCATACACATGCTTGCACGTGTACCCACATACATTTACACATGCATGTGGTGTACACAGACATGTATACATAAACACGGGTGCAATCACATCTACATACACACATGCACCTGTAGATACATGTGTACATGTTCTGTGTGGAAGACATGTAAAGGGAGAAGAAAAGACACACACACAATATGAGGGTAAACAACGTTTATCCCACGTAAATGTCAATGCAGATATAATAAGCAAATGATATAGTAAGCAAATTGAAATAATAAGCAGACTGATATAATAAGCAAATTGCAATGGGAAGGAAAAAGACATATATATATATATATATATATATATATATATATATATATATATATACATATACATATACATATATATGTACACTCACCAGACTATGGAGGATTCACCAACAGACCGGGAAGCAACAGCCTGGGCTCCAGAGTTGGCCACCTGTCTGCCCACAGACGAGGAGAAGTCTCATGAAGCTTCAGCCCAGTCTGGAACCCTAGTTCTTTTTGTAACGAGTTGTTTGGCATGAGGCCCGGTCACGAGGGCCCTTCGCAACTGAGCTCAAGGATCACAAAAAGGTCAACTTGTTTTTGTGACTGTCTGTTCTTTTTCAGTAACTAATGTATAGGAATAGATTGAAATAGAGATTTCTCTGAAACAGCACTGGATGAACACCTCAATGGGTTCACAAACCTGTTCCAGACAGATTTCCCTCATGCTGTTCTCATGGCAATGAGTGAGTTCTCCTGAGATCTGGTTGTTGAAAAGTGTGTAACACTTTCCCCTTTGCTCTTTCTCTCGGACTCTGCCATGGTAAGGCATGCTTGCTTCTCCTTCGCCTTCCGCCATGATTGTAAGTTTCTTGAGGCCTCCCAGCCATGCTTCCTGTACAGCCTGTGGCACTGTGGGTCAATGAAACCTCTTTTCTTCATAAATTACCCAGTCTCCAGTAGTTCTTTATAGCAGTGTGACAATGGACTAATACAGGTGCCAACAAGTTCAATCACTGGCACCAAAATATGGGAGATACGGTAGTTAGATGCATGAGAAATGTAAAGGGGAGAAATGGGCAGATTGACTGCCTGAAGTTCCTTCTATATTGGGATTGGCCTGTAGTCCCAGGGCTTTTCAGGGACAACCAGATGTAGGCCTTTCCCACAAGACAGGTGTGGGAATCAGGAGAGAGGGAGCACTAGCATGAGGTCAACTTTGAGCCAGTCCCAGTGGGCTATGTGGAAGGATGAATGTAGCTAAGGAAAAAGAAGCAAAAGGAAGCTTTGAGTTTTGCAGTGGCTGGAAAAGCAGTCATAAAGAAGGGGGTACAGGAGAGTACATCATCATCAAGGGAAATGCACATGAGAATCCACAATCATGGATCGTATTAAAAAAATTATTCGTATTCAAACAGCTGAATGGAAAGCATGACACTGACCAATGACAACACCATTTAAAAGTAAGAACTTTATTATTCTCCCCACCACCCCTCCCTGGCTTTAACTCATCTTCCACCACAATTGAAGCACAGAAGTCTCAGAACAGTGGCTAACAAATGGTAGAATGTTAGGCTAAGAAAAGAGAAATGAAATGTTTTCCCTAGAAAACTATCCAAATAGTCATGACTCAACAGCCCCAGCAGGTAAAGGAAGAGATCTGATCTTTACGTCAAGTTTAAATTTTAGAGTGTTACATGGAGCTCAGCATCTTAACTTTGAGACTGAGACTGTATTGCCTGGGATGAGGCATAAAACTGTGTATGTCTTCATATGGAGGTAGGGAAAGAATGTATCCTACTGAATAAGATTAAAATGACACTGGGAGACCAAAACATATTTTTTGTATTATTAAATCCCAGAGATTGGCCACATTCATATTACAGAGTTTAGAGAGAACTAACTGATAAACTTATGTGGCTATCCCTTAATGAGCTTTGTTATTACTATGATTTTTCCCTGTCTGCTTATGTATTATTATGATATCTATATTATGATTTTGTTATGCCAAGTAATGACATCTCAGGGATCTGTGAGGCAGTACCTCATTTGGTATTCTAACCACATTTGACAAGTACAAAAATGTACACACCTTAGTCTATTTTGTGTTGCTAAAAGGAACACCTGAGACTGGGTAATTTGCATGACAATGAGTCATGCAATTCCGAGGGAAAAACTAGTATGCTACATTCCTCCATGCTACATTCTTTCAAATAAGAATGAAAGAATCAAGAATGGGCCTTGAAGAATGGAGATGAGGAGAAATAATGGATGTGTGGACGAGGCACTGGAGTGGCAATTCCTAGATAAGGAAAGGTATATGGTCTGTTTAATTAAGGGGCTTTAAAATACGTGTTAAAAAAAAAAAAAAAAAGCAAGTAGTGCTTTCCAGTAACAAAGTCTACTGCAAATATGAAGGTGAAAATGTAAACAACTTTGAGCCTGTCATGGTGGAATTTTGTCCCGCCCCACCTGTCATCAAATTCATGTCGAAACCCTAACTCCCAATAGGAGTTCTTATAAGAAAAGATGGAAATATGTGTAGAGAGAGAGACCGTGGGAGAATATAGCAAGAAGGTAAGTGACCATCTGCGAGCCAAGGAGAGAGGCCTCAGGAGAAACCAAAGCTAACAACCCTTCTAGCCTCCAGAACTGAGAAAATTTTCTGTTGGTTAAGCCACTCAGTCTGTGATATTTATTATGGCAGCCCTAGCAAACTAGTGCAGAGTGGGAGTTACAGTATCAAAATAAAATATTTAGGAAGATGCATTTATAAGAATCCGGAAGTTTGAGAGTACAGGAACCGGACCGGATAGGACAGTTTGTCCTGTCAGCTCCTGAGGTCAGGGATGGCTCAATTTCCTCTGAATCCTCAAAGCCTTCAGGTAGCACAGTGCCTGAAATGGAATGTGTCCTCAAGAATTATGTGGTGGGTCTGGGCACCGCACTTTGAGAACTAATGATTTAAGGTGTTTGTAGGGATGTGAGGGATAAAGGGCCAAGGATGCCTTGGAAATCTAGAACATAAATGCCGGGTACATGGCAGGTGGTGAATTACAGTTTGTTGAATGGACCAACGAATCTAAAATTCTATAGCTATTTGCTTAACAAATGAGTGTGGTAGTGTGGAGAGGAAAAGGGGAGATTACATGATCTAGAGGGAGAAAGAGGGCAGCACACTTTTTGGAAAACAAAGTCTGCTTTCAAGATCTGGTTTTGCCCCTTATCAGCTGTGGATTTAGTTCTGCTGAGCCTCAGTTTCATCAGTAAGATGGGGATAATGATGTATAGATTTATGGCAAATAAATAAATAAAGAAATTGGACTAAATGAAATTACGGGAATAAAATCTTTAATAGGGTATTTGCAACATAGAGGTGAAGAAAAC